>NC_000007.14:135631779-136256779 GCF_000001405.40 Homo sapiens | reverse complement strand
TTCCTGTTACAAGAAAGATTGTACAAGAACACATCCCGGCTGTGGCAATGATCACTATTATACTGTGCCAACACGTCAAAACATGTCTCTATCAATGTCAGCTTAGCCTTCATGTCCTGTTTCCAATAGAGCAGGAGACAATCAGAGCTCTGGCAGCTATTTGTCTTGTCCCTTATTTTCCTGTTCTAGCAAGACAGGGAGAAATGATGACCTTGAAGTATTTGTGAGATGTAAGCTATCTCTCCTTTATTTTCTCTCCAAAAAAAATGGATACTCCAGATTATGTACCACTTATTAAATCTTTTTTATCAAGTCCTAAGATCTACAAAAATGTATAATATGATTATAATCATGACTGCTAGTATTAACTCCCAGTCCAAATCTTTAGATTTTCTCTAGACAGGTTCATATTATCACAAGAGAAAATTTGGTAAAATTCTTGAAGACTTGCAACCTATGCTGTCTTCACTGATTTACTCAATGTTAAAAATTCCCAGCTTCGACTCCTTTAACATATATTTAATTGGATGGAAAGCCACTATGCCTGACTATAGCTTATACCTTACTGATTTAGGAAAATAACACAATTCTCTTTGTGAAAGTGTGTTAAGCAAGAAGTAAATGATATCTTACATGCATGGCTATCAGTCCTGGATAAAGAAACAAATGGTCATTAAATTCTATTTATGTCTTCCCAAGAATTTTCAGATTAACCTCTGGGAGAGCAGCAAGAATATATGAGCCATCCAGTCTTCAGCTTATATTTAAGAGAGTGATGGTGTGACTTTCATCTCTCTAAGAGGTTCCCACCTGTTATACCCATTCAACAACAACAACAACAAAAAACAGGATGCTTCTATATAGAGGCAGTATAGCACAGTGGCTAAGGCCACAGCTCATTGGCAGTACGTTCCTAGGGAAATAATTTAACTTTTCTGTGCCTGGAGTTTCTCTTCCATCAAATGGAGATAATAATAACCCCTACTTCACAGGATTGTTACAAGGTCTAAATGAGTTAACATGTGAAGAATTTAGAACAGTGCCTAATACTTAGTAGCACTCAATAATACCATTGAGCAAGCAGCTGATGTTCCAGACCAACAGCCAGCAAACCTTTTCTGTAAAGGTCCAGACAGTAAGTATTTTATGTTTTTCAAGCCATGCGGTCTCTATAGCAAACACTCAACTCTAGCATTATAGCATGAAAGCAGCCCCAGCCAAATGACAAACAAATGAGTCTGGCTGTCTTTTAACAAAACTTTATGGCTGGGCGCAGTGACTCAGGCCTATAATCCCAGCACTTTGGGAGGCTGAGGCAGGCAGATCACCTGAGATCAGGAGCTCGAGACCAGCCTGGCCAACATGGTGAAACCCTATCTCTACTAAAAATACAAAAGTTAGCTGGGTGTGGTGGCAGGCACCTGTAATCCCAGCTACTTGGGAGGCAGAGGCAGGAGAATTGCTTGAACCGGGAAGGCAGAGGTTGCAGTGAGCCAAGATCGTGCCATTGCACTCCAGCCTGGGCAACAGAGCAAAACTCTGTCTCAAAATTAAAAAATAAAACTTTATTTACAAAACTAAGCAGCAGGCTGGATTTGACTTATGAATCATAATTTGCCAACTCTCTTCCAGTCTAATTATATTCTCTGATTGTTCTATTGTATAGACCAACAATCTAAAGAAGATTTAGTTTCAGTGTTATTCCTAGACTCAGTTTCCTGCAAGAAAGTTTCCTGATTCTTGACTCAATCCTTGCATGGATTTGCCAATGTCAAGATTTCTACCTGCATTCTTGACCCTGAATATGACCCTGGTTCATCTGGTGGATTGTGTCATTTACTTCTGCTGATACTCATCACCTTGGTTTTGTTTGTTAACTTCATGATACCCATTTACAGCATCTTTTAAACACATTGAACCCATCTATTCATCCATCTATCCAAGTCATTATTTCATTAAATCCATTATTCACAAACATTAAAGTAAGTGCCAATTTTGTGTGTGCATGAGTACTGTGCAGGATTCTGGGAATATGAGTATGAATAGGACTTACCTACATTCTGCACTTAAAAGACCCACAGCCAGAAAATTATTATAGCGATACAAGGCTTTCACCTATGTACATGTTCAAGATACCACATGAGTCCAGGAAAGGAAGCTTCTTCCTCTCTTGGGGTCTTCATATACACTATTTCCTTTGCCAGAAGGCCATTTTGCCCACTCTCTGCATGGAGAACTCCTACATAGCCTTTACATTTTGCCTTAAATAGCACTTCTTCAGAGAAGTAGCCTCACTTTCATCATTTCAGGTATGTTCCACCTGTTGGACACTCCCCCCTCCAAAGTCCTTAAAATAATGAAAATAAAGTAATGATTTATGATGGTTTGTTTGATGCATATATCATCCACTAAATTATCGGCTGTCTTCCGTACTGTTATATGCCCAGCGAGAAGTAAAAGGGAAATGCCATATTTGGGGTGCCTTAAAAGCAAAAAAGCAAAAAGAACTTCAGCAAAAAAGCAAAGAAGAAATAGCATTGCAAAAAGCGGAAAAAGCAAGTGGAATTGAACACCCACGCAGAAGGGCACAACACATTCAGGAAGCGAATTAGTTGATAGTTCCTCATGGCTAGAGCTCAAGAGAAAACACTAGGCAGGTTATAAAATTGGAAAATCAGCCTTCTCTTTGTTTCTGTAAGTTTGACTTTTTTAGATTCCACATGTAAGTGAGATCGTGCAGTATTTATTTTTCTGTATCTGGCCACTGTGTGTGTATATATATATATATATATATATATATATATATATATATATCTCCAAATAGCACATTGTACACCTTGAATAGATAATATTTTTATTTGTCAGTCATACTTCAATAAACCTCAAAAAAAAAAAAAGAAAAAAACGAAAAGTAGGCCAATAATGAAGTGGGGGACATGCCAAGGAATTTCAGCATAATCCTGCATGTTCTGGGCAGCCACTGAAGCCCTGAGCAAATAAGTGAAATGATACATATTTTAGAGCGATGGCTCTGGAAGCAGTGAGGGAAAAAAGAGACTTGGTGCAAGGGAGATTCCTTATGGGGTTGATTTCTGGTTTTATTCCACTGTGGTCTGAGAAAATGCTTGATATAATTTCAATTTTCTCAAATATATTGGGGCTTGTTTTGTGGCCTATCAAATGGTCTTTCTTGGAGAAAGCTCCTTGTGCTGTTGATAGAATGTATATTCCATGGTTGTTGGGTAGAATGTTCTGTATATATCTGTTAAGTCCATTTGTTCCAGGGTATAGTGTAAATCCACTGTTTCTTTGTTGACTTTCTGTCTTGATGACCTGTCTAGTGCTGTCAGTGGAGTGTTGAAGTCCCCCACTATTATTGTGTTGCTATCTCATTTCTTAGGTCTATTAGTAATTGTTTTATAAATTTGGGAACTCCAGGGTTAGGTGCATATATGTTTAGGATTGTGATATTTTCCTGTTGGACAAGGCCTTTTACCATTACATAATTTCCCTCTTTGTCTTTTTTAACCACTGTTGCCTTAAAGTTTGTTTTGTCTGATATAAAAATAGCTACTCCTGTTCACTTTTGGGGTCCATTTGCATGGACTGTCTTTTTCTCTCTGGCTTCTTCTCTCCAGGCCACCATTCACCATCCTCTGCTGGCTCAGGCATTCACCCTAAAACACCCCTTATCCTGCCCCTCCTTACCCAGGCCTCCCCCAAACTTACCATCATACACACCTTCTCTAAGGAAACCAACATCCAATTTCAGAAGGTTTCAGGGAAAAGTGGGAGAAAAAAAAGGTAACACTCAAGGCTGCAGAACAATCACAAATAACATGGATGTGTTGATGACTGCTGTATTAGTTAGCTTGGGCTCCCATAACAAAATACCACAAACACAAATGTATTGATTCACAGCTCTGGAGGGTAGAAGTCCAAGATCAAGTTGTCAGCCAGGTTGCTTCCTTCTGAAGGCTGTGAAGAAGAATCTGTTCATGCCTCTCTCCTTGCTTCTAATGGTTGGCTGGCAAGCTTTGGCGGTCCTCTGCTTGTAGTCACATCACCCGATCTCTGCCTTCATGTTCATGTGCCGTTCTCCCTGTGTGCATGCCTGTGTCCAAATCTCCTCTTTTTATAAGGACTTCAGTCATACTGGCATTGGTCCCACCCTAATGACTGCATCTCAAGTTATTTACATCTGCAACAACCCTATTGCCAAATAATGTCACATTCTGAGGTACTAGAGGATAGGATTTCAAAATCTGAATTTTGGGGGAGACAATTTATACCACAACTGCTGAACACCATCCTTTTTTTTTTTTTAGTTTATAAATAAACTATTTCTTTCAAAAAGTAATATATGAAAAAGTGCTCCATCAACTGGAAAATGGTAAAGACACTATCATTATTACCTTTAATAAAGCATTGATCATTTATATAAATTCTATCTCAAAAGTATTGAGGGTTAAGTTATGGGTCCTTAGTAATTCAAATGCCAAGTGTTGGACACAATAGGACGTAATCACCATGCCAAATTTATAGTCCTTTAAATGCAATGTAAATATGGGATGAGACTTTTAGGGATTACTATTTTTAGTTATGACTGTCAACATAATCACCCCTGTGGATTTTGAAAAAGCTTTGTATTAAATGAGTTCATTCATCTCTGACTAAAGACTTAACTGTTAAGATTGCAGCCATCATTCCCAATGGCTCATCAAGGCACCGGATTTTGCCAGTGCTCCCAAAGTCATGAAGTCACTGCTTGAGGTCCGCAGCAATGGAATTTCAGGCATGCTGTTTCAGAGCTTGTGGTGTGGCTGGGTGCAGAAGCATCTCAGGGTATGTGCATAATCCCATATTCCAGCGCTAGCCCAATATTCCACACCACTGCTCAATGTTCCCCCAATAACTATTTTTAATGAAATCCTGCCTTATGCTTTTTATTGGCTTCAAAGCTTCTTCTCAACATCTTAGAACTGAATTTGTAGATACTGACATACCTCTAAATCCCATTCCCCACCTGAGAAAAGGGATCAAAAGCTTAGGCTTCCTTTTGATCCATATGACACAATGCTATACTCAGAGCCCTCAAGCTGATTATATTTTGCTCTCATTTCTTTGAGGAAATCTTTGTTCAAAAGAGGTTTTACCAAACAGAATCACAGCAAAACCTTTTACTCTTACTGTCCCTTTTCATTTCCTCCTACTTCAAAATGTATACCTGCACATCTAATTTCTCCTTCACAATATAATTATAAATATCTGCATAGTGTGTTACATAATCCTAGGAGGGATTATAACCTGCTGATCTCATGAGGTAGTTATAGCCCCTGTGAGCCTCCATCCAACTGACTGCAGAGCCACAAAGAGGGCTTCCAATGGTTAGATATTTCATTTGTTATTTATTGTATTTGGAGGGTCACAAATCAGTTAACTCATAAGACTTATGTGTTAACCCATTCTTGCATTGCTGTAAAGGAATAGCTGAGACTGGATAATTTATAAAGAAAAGTGGTTTTAATTTGGCTCACATTTTTGCAGTCCGTACAGGAAGTGTGGTGTTGGCATCTGCTTCTGGTGAAGCCTCAGGAAACTTCCAAACATGGTAGATTGTCAATTTGTTCCAGGGTATAGTTTAAATCCATTGTTTCTTTTTTGACTTTCTGTCTTGATGACCTATCTAGAGCTGTCGGTGGAGTATTGAAGTCCCCCTTCAATACTCAAATTGTGTTGCTGTCTATCTCATTTCTTATGTCTATTAGCAATTGTTTTATAAATTTGGGAGCTCCAGGGTTAGGTGCATATGGAACTCCCACGGCAGAAGAAAACGGGGAAGCAGGTGCATCATGTGGTAAGAGTGGGAGCAAGAGAGAGAGTAGGGGGAGGTGTCACGGTCTTTTAAAGAGACAGATCTCACATGAACTCAGAGTGAGAACTCACTCATTATTGCAAGGACAGTACCAAGCTATTCATGAGGAATCCACCCCCATGACCCAAACACCTCCCACCAGGTCCCATCTCCAACACAGGGGATTACATTTCAACATGAGATTTGGAGGGCACAAACATCCAAACTATGTCATCTCAGTATAACTGGGGTAGAAAACAAAAGACTCTTTTGCTTTAATTTAAAATTCTTTCTCTCTTCCTTCTCAAGCCAATTCTAAAGTTCATTTGGACTTTTGTTTAAAATAGCCATATATCAGAATTCCCAACTTGCTAGACACAACATGGGGACAATAAGTATTTTGGCATAATACCCACTCCTCGACTCAGAGCCAATGATGCTATATTAAATTTTAAGTGCAAAATCCTTAACATTAATTTGCTCCCAAGTCAGAGAGGACATATATTGTGAATCACTGAAGAGAAAAATTACAAAGGGTTTGGGTTGGCTGCATGCAGCTGGGTTGACAGCTATGGGGCAGAGGGAGAAGAGCAAAGACATAGAGTTACAGAAAATGAAAATCGACTTTCAGAGAAAACAAGTGGGTCAGGGACATGCATGAGGGGTGGAAAATGACCCCACAATATCCAGCATGACTTAATAGAGTGAGCCAGGTTTCAGGGCACAGTCAAGGAGACGAACTAGAGAGTAGAATCAAAGATTCCTGGGAGCACAGTGAGTGGCTGATTTATGAAGACCATCTGTGAGGTCATCATGTCCTCCAACCAAAAGCCAAAGGAAAAAACTCAGGTCCAAAGGCTGACTCGAGGCAAGAGAGCCAGAACCACAAGCAAGGGACTGGGGAAAACAAAGCAGTGATGACAGGGAGATGCTGGGAGGGACTGTTTAGTGTTTCAAAATCAGCCAAGATCCAACAACATTAGAACTTCATCTTTCTCGCCTGATCAACTGTTTTTACCTCTCTCTGCTAACATGGCTGCCCACCACCAGCCTCTCATACCTACCTCCACCCACAGTCACTCATGCCAGGGAGCATCTTTCTGTCTGAGTATCCAATCAGTATCATTATCATCCATTTTTTTGTATCATTCTAATAGAAAACCTGATTCTTTGGTGGATGAAACCAGAATGTAAATAAGAGACTTTTGCTCCTCGAGACTCTTGCAACATGCTATTGACCAGCTCCTTGCCTATGCCTGAAATTTTCCTATTCCTTCACTCTGACTTGAACTGTTGGAAATCCCTTTTCAATCACTGTGAGAGAGGAATCAGTAGCATTAGCTGTTCCTCATTTGAACCTTCTTAGAAGATCAATCAAACTGGTAAACGAAGGTGTCCTCGTGTAACCCTGGCAGAAGAGCACTTATTTCAAAATGTGAACATAGTCTCATTACTTACCTCTATACCCTGTAGTATGTATACTCAACTCAACAGTAAATGTCTAAACTGCAAATTCTAAAGTAATGCCTAGATTTGCACTTGGCCCGTTAAAATCTTATCAGTAAAGGAGGTCACATGAGGATGTTTCCAAAAGCAACAAAAACTCAGAAGGAAAAACTGGCACAGAAAGACCCTCTTACGGCAATTCCTTTTACTCGTTTCACAGGACAATGGCAGCAATGTGTCAACATAAGATCTATTACAATTGGGACAAGAATGCTGCATTTTATTTGGTCTTGTATAGATTAAATAAAGTTGAAATGAATCAGAAAAGAGCAGACAGTAAAAGCCTCCCAACAGAGTCTTACTTTTTTTCTAAATAAAAAAGTACAAAAGGGTTGGTTGCTTGAGCTGCATGGTGCAATATATATATGCCATTGACCAATAAGTTAAAAAGATAAAGGATGTCTAGAAAATGCAAAGATAAGCAATCCAACGAGGTCCAGATGAAATTCTGCCAAAGGTGGAGCCAGGCACTGCCTGGCCTCCTGCTCCATCTGCCTCTCCTATTTTCCCTGCCTGTGGGCTCAGTACTGCCTCATGCTGACTTCATCCTGGTCCAGTGCAAACAGCGTATCATAGTCAGGCTCACAATACATGTTAACATGGTCTTTTATTTTTTCTGCACATTTTCTAATTGAATCTGCTGTCCGGACACTGGGTCTGGTTCTGATTTTTTCTACCTGGCCCTCTTGGCCACTTTTCTGACACTTGTTACTCATCTTTACCTATGTGTGTTTTCCAGGCCTCAGAATTCTTTCTGTCTGCCTCTCCAGATGCTAATCTGGCTGAGCTCCTTTGCTCTTTATTTCTTCTGTGTTCCTCCATCTCCTTGTTAAGGTCCTAAACCTGGTGTGCTTCCCTTATCCACAGACTTCCTCACTTCTCTCAACCTTGTTATCTTCAGAACCTCTTTTACCTGGACAATTCTCTGGCCTTACTCACTGGTAGCCCTAATCCCTGCACTGATAAACATAAACAAAAGAACTTATGGTTTTCAAGGGGATCATTTATTACTATGGGCTTATGGCTATTTGCTAAGAGGTAGAGATAGATATAAACATAAATCCATATGACTATTCTATGTTGGGGGATAAAATGACTACCATTAGGCAAATTTGAATAATAATTGAAGTAATTTAAGATATGAAATAGGAAATGGGTATTAAGCAATCTGAAAACAAGGAATTAATGAGCATCAAGCAGGGTCTGAAAGTAAATTTTTTAAAACTTTACTCCAAACAATTACATATTCTATACAGTAGATAGGTTTTCATACTGCTTTCCATAAATGAAATAAGTAAATAATAAGTAAATGCAAGATATAAATCTCTGGAGCAATAACTTCTACAATAAAATCTATGTAAAGGACACACAGAATTTTCCCCCATGGTGAAATGGTTACTTATGGCTGTAGTCTTTTTTTTTCCTTTTTTTTTTTTTTTTTTGAGATGGAGTGTCACTCTGTCGCCCAGGCTGGAGTGCAGTGGCATGATCTTGGCTCCTTGCCTCCTGGGTTCAAGCGATTCTCCTGCCTCAGCCTCCTGAGTAACTGGGGTTACAGGTGCACGCCACCACACCCAGCTAATTTTTGTATTTTTAGTAGAGACAGGGTTTCACCATGTTGGTCAGGCTAGTCTCGAACTCCTGACCTCATGATTCACCCACCTCGGCCACCCAAAGTGCTGGGATTACAGGCATGAGCCACCACACCCAGCCTGGCTGTACTCATTTTAAGCTGTGGTTTTTCCTTCTCAGACACATCAGCCAACCCCACTATCGATAGGCAAGGGCTGTTTAACAGTTTCCATTTATTACATTTCATCACTAATCTCATCTCCTCTCTTTTCCTACTTTTAGTTTCTGCTGATTCTCTTCAGGAACTCAGAGAATAGAGGAATGGGCAGCTATCACCCATTTGAGAATAAACTCAGAACCAGTAACTTATTAGCTCAGAAGTTTTTGCCAGACTGATGAAAATCCTGCTTCTGCCACAGACTGACAAATTACCATTTGTCAGAGAGATTACGTAGCTATGCTCAGGGAGTTATCAGGGGACCTAAAAGCTGTATCAGAATATACTTCCTGACATCAGTAAAATTCTTTCAGGCAGGAAACTGTAAACATTATCAAAAGTCCTAAAGATAACTGTAGTCATCTAAGGGTGGGTATGTACTGAAAGTTGTGTTCCTGAAACTGACCCTGGAAAAATGTTTACATTCAAGTAGTTACAAAATAATTTGCAAATCAGCTAATGCACTAGCATTTTTAAAATGCTAAAAATGCAAACACGATCTATTTTCCAGCTTGCAGGAGAGAAACCCTAAATACAACAAATGGTCTGCACCTGTAATTCAAGTCTGAAAAGCATCTCAGATATCAATTGCCTATGTGAAAAAGAAGAAAAGAGGGAAAAAAATAAAAAACAAGTCACTGGTGTTTTGTTCACAAGAAACTGGAAAATGACATCCAAAGGTTTAAGACTCCTTTGAGACGATGAGAGACAAAAGGTAACACTGATCAAGCTCCAAAACGACTAAATGGTAAAGGATGGAAGCATCAGCCCAGCGACCAGCTACTGTCATCAGCCTAATTCCCAGGACTCTGCTGACTGTTATCTGGAGAATATGTTACTCAGTGACAGGTTTCCATGGATGGGGTCCACTGTTAGTTGATCTTCTAAAATTTTAATTAAAAAAAAAAAAAAAAAACAGGGCCGGGAGCGGTAGCTCACATCTGTAATCCCAGCACTTTGGGAGGCCGAGGTGGGTGGATCATTTGAGGTCAGGAGATCGAGACCAGCCTGACCAACATAGTGAAAGCCCACCTCTACTAAAAATACAAAAAAAAAAAAAAAAAAACATAGCTGAGTGTGATGGTGGGCGCCTGTAATCCCAGCTACTCAGGAGGCTGAGACAGAAGAATCGCTTGAACCTGGGAGGTGGAGGTTGCAGTGATCCAAGATCATGTCATTGCATTCCAGCCTGGGCAACAAGAGTGAAACTCTGTCAAAAAAAAAAAAAAGGAAAGAAAGAAAAAAAGAAAAACAGAAATGTTTTCTGGTCAGTGATCCCTTTCAGAATATGATTAACTTTTGGACTTCCCCCTGGAGGAGAAACATGAAGATAAAATACAAATTTTACAAACCATTCTAGAGGATTCAAGGACCAGTGCTTAACTTGTAAATCCACCAGTCATATATTAAAAATCTCTGCATTAGACTAATTGGGGAAAAAATGGTTGTAAAGGAAATAATCTTCTCATGACATTTCAAAGGATATAAATAAGAATGGGGGTGGGGAAAGGGGGAAGAGACACAGCCCAAATCTGCAAAGGGCTCTTGGCCCAAGGGCTCACCTGTCAGATATAATCTTTGAAATATTCTTAATGAATTATCCCCTTACTGCAAAACCTCTTAAGATAACCTCTCTAGGTTCTTTGTAGTTAGTACTTTTTTTCCCTCTCCATCTCTTCGGTACTCTCTCTTAAGTATTCCTCACTCCTATTTGTTATTTTTTCACTCATCCTCTACCAACCCACATCTTTTGATTTTTTGTTCCTAAACTTTAGTGACTCTACTCGTGACCCATGAAGTATAAGCCAGGAACACATTTCTACACACCTCTAGGAAGCTAAGTACACTAAGCAACCAAAACATTAAGCTTCTTGAAAAGTTTCCTCAATGCTGGAAACAATGCTTTTTGAATTTAAAATTGCAAGACAGAGTAACCCATAACAAATATGGGAATGAGACTAAACTACTCAATGCTAAAGCAAATCATTCACGCAGTTGACAACTGCAGAGTTTTCTGTCATAATTTCAATGGACTGGCCATGCACCAAGAATGGATAACTGCCATATGATGATCTGGAAAATGGCAGTTGGAAAGAGAAGCAATCAGAAGGCCAGGCAGCAGAGAGTAATCAGAGATAAGATAGCTTCCTGGAACAAATACATCATTTAGAGTATGTTTAAAGTGGAAGAAGACTCTGAAAACAGCAGCAGCCACCAGGATCCAAAGGACAGTGTCAATGTGGGTAGACATTTGTCTTGCATCAGTCTTCCAAGATATATCCAACACTTCCAGCCAGAAAACATAGGCAACAGGGTGGTCTTGTACCATAAAGCGCTAATGCAAATTTTAAAAAGCACCATCAGATTTTTCAAGTAGTTTTGAAGAAGCAATAAAAAGTCTTGGTTATTTTGTCAATATGCACCATAAAACAAAAAAAGAATGCATCTGAATTGGTTTTTGTCAGGTAGTCAGTGAAGCAAGGCAAAGCACCAAGAAGAGAAAATAAATGTCTTCTTTTGAGAAGTGTCTGTTCATATCCTTCACCCACTTTTTGATGGGGTTGTTTGTTTTTTTCTTGCAAATTTGTTTAAGTTCCTTATAGATTCTGGTTATTAGAATTTTGTCAGATGGATAGATCGCAAAAATTTTCTCCTATTTTGTAGGTTGCCTGTTCACTCTGATGATAGTTTCTTTTGCTGTGCAGAAGCTATGTATACCTATGTAACAAACCTGCATGATTAGCACATGTATCCCAGAACTTAGAGTAAAATAAAATAAAAAGAAGAGAAAATAATGAAGTAAACACGCTAGACCTGGTTTACATGGCTCTCTTGAGTGATGTAAGTTTCAAAATAAACAAAAGAACACTTTGAGCAATTACTAAATGCAAGGCAGTGTTTCATGCTATAGACCAGTGAATTTCAAAATCAACTGTCCAGAAAAATTATCTGGATGAGCTTTTAAAAAAATCAGAATCTTGAGACCCTTCTTAAAACTTTTCAGAATTCCCAAGCTGAGATCTTAGATTCTAGGTTTTTTAAAAGACACCTTGGGTGATTCTGATGTGGCTAGTTTGGAAACTACTACTACAAGACATGTATTATATTGATGCAAAAGTCATTGCAGTTTTTGCAATTGAAAGTAATGGCAAAAACCACAATTACTTTTGCACCAACCTAATAGAATTAATAAGACACCAACCTAATAGAATTAGACACCAACCTAATAGAATTAATAAGACATAGTCTCTTTCTCTCCTCTTCTTGGAACCAACCCAAATGCCCATCAACGATAGACTGGATAAAGAAAATGTGGCACATATACACCATGGAACACTAGGCAGCCATAAAAAAGAATGAGTTCATGTCCTTTGCAGGGACATGGATGAAGCTGGAAACCATCATTCTCAGCAAACTAACACAAGATCAGAAAACCAAACACCACACGTTCTCACTCATAAGTGGGAATTGAACAATGAGAACACATGAACATAGGTAGGAGAACATCACACACCAGCCTGTTGGGAGGTTGGGAGGAAGGGGAGGGAGAGCATTAGGACAAATACCTAATGCATATGGGGCTTAAAACCCAGATGACGGGTTGATAGGTGCGCAGCAAACCACCATGGCACACGTATTCCTATGTAGCAAACCTACACATTCTGCACATGTATCCAAGAACTTGAAGTAATAAATAAAATAAAATAAAATAAGACATAGTCTCTGTCCTCATGCACTTTAGAGTACAATTTTTGAGAAAATTCATAAGAATAGAAAAAATGTGAATGTATCAAGTGTGAAATAACAGTACAGCAACACAAGGGCAGCACGATGCAGTCAAGAATTGTCCACTTTTCATTCCATCATTTGAGCATTGAGAAGTGAAGGTTATGATACAAAGATTGAGCAGAACAAAAAACCATCATCTTGTTTTACTGAATTATTTCAGGTTCTAATCAAAATGTATGTGGTTGTAAAAGTCAAACACTGTGTGATGGGAAAAAAATATGTAAGTAAATTAAAAGAGGTAGCCATAGCCAAAATGATTTCTCCCAATTTTAAACACGTAAATCATTCCCCAAGCTAACAATTAACACATGGCTAATTATGAAACAACATTTGTAATAATAATAAAAGCACATGAGAAGAATGTGCTAATGTCTTATAAATTTTAACAGCCCCTAAAACATAATTTTCACTTTAATTTGCCTAATTAATTAAATTGACTGAATTTGTCTGGCAGTAATCTAAAAATCTAGCTACAAGTTATAAATACATTGCATGGAAATGAAAGGGAAGAAGAAATATAAAAGCATAAAAGGTACAACAAAGTAACCAAGTTCCTGGTGAATTATCAAAACTCCAGTTCTGTTCATGGATCTTCTGTCTTAGCCTTTACCTGCTCAGGTAGCTTCCATGTTATCCACAAGTGTGGGCAGGATTTGCTTATTAACCAACGGAGTTGCATGAAATCATTCACAATCAAATCTTGCCTTTCGAGTACCGGCTGCCCTAGAATTCTCAAGAGCCCTGTTAGACATCCTGCTTCTTGATCTTGGACCTCCAAAGTCAACTCTTTCTCCGGCCTATGGTATGCTGTTACTGTACCTATGCCCACAGCCCATGTTAGTCTTTAATCAACATGTATTTCAAAAGGTGGATAATATTTCTAACAAGAATTGCATGTATACTTGAAATGTTGTAACTAATAGCACCTTAGCACATCAAATGGATTATTTTGAGATACTAATAAACTAATCATCAACTATTTTGCTCTCTTAATATTAGCTTATCATCAATGTGTTAGTTACCTGCATAATTGCAAGGGGAGTTTAAAATAGGTTACCTGTTCTTAGAAAATTTAAAATATAAGAAAATACTATACTTATGCATGAGAAACCATGAGAAGCAATGTAAAACATATAGAGCAAGTGTATAAGTTGTGACGTGCCCTCCAAATATTAGAGAATTAAAGGAAAAGGAAGTTGCCTATAAGCAGAAGTGAAGAAGTAGGCACAATATTGTAGAAAGAACATTGCATTTGAAATTTTTAAGAGTTGAGTTCTAGCCCTTACTCCACTCTGTAACCGGGTAAGAGTCCTTATCCTCACTGCTCTACGTCTCAGAGGCCATTTGTTAAAAAAAACCAGATCGAATTAAGTCAGTGTTCTTAACTGGAGTAAGGGGAGTCTCAGACCATCACAAAGAATTTCCAGACTCACACCATCCCTCTCATTGCCTGGAAGATTCAGACATTACCCGTCCTCCACACCTTCACATGAAGTCTTATAGAATATGGCATCACTGGAAAAAAGCAGTTCAGAAAAGAATCCATGTGATTCTGTTGTCCTTTCACATTTTCCATTTGAAAGCCGCTGGACTGGATGGTCTGCAAGGACTTTCCTAGTTCTCATTAACTGTTCTCAAAAAAGTCAGCACCACGTTGGAAAATCTTGATCTGCAGTCTTGCTCTGTAAGATACTAAATAAGCAGAAACAGTCATTCTCAAGGCTTCCTGTGCATAAAAATTCATTTCATGAGCATTTATTAAACACCTACTCTGAGCCAATGCAGTTCGGGGGACTCAATGATAAGCCAACAAACACACACACAACTGAAAGCCTTACTCCCAGACCTCATGAAGCCTGCCCTCTCTGGCCCTGTCCCAAGAGATTCTGGTTCCAGACGCTCCGTAAGAATATCATGATCCATACACAGTAACTTAACTGTACACAGGAGTGATTGTAAAGTGCATTAATGAATCCCACTGAACTCACTGAATGTATCCTCAATTGAAATTACGAATACCTATTCTAGCACTTCCTGTCACCAAAGGAGGTATCACAGAAGGGAAATCAGAAGAGAAAGAGACTCTGGTCCTAATGCAGTTAAAATGTCTCACTTTTACCAGCTTTACAAACCTGTAACCATGTATCACATTGCTATAGCTATTTGCAGAGACTTGGGAAGGACACAGTCAAAGCATAGGCCCTAAAATGTAAGCTCCACTATTTTCACTGTAAATCCCCCTCTCGTTGGGGCCAACGGTTGGCAGCCAACAGAGTAAAGCCAGAGGCAAGCATGAAACACTGTCTGTGCGAAGTAGATAGTGGGGAATCTGAGTTTAATTCTAGTTCTATCTTAGAAGCTTAATTAATATTTTTGATGAGTTAATGTATCATTAAAACCTCCTGATGTGACTCTTAAGGAAGGAGGAGATAAGAGTTGTTTCAGATTGTCCTTTGGAAGTGGGAGTTATACATAGTTGTTTGAAAACTCATATTCAATGTTTTTTAAACACAAATTACAGAAGGTCAGATTTGACAAAAATCTTCTTGCTTTGTGGGGATATACAGATTACAGAGTGAGAAAGCACTACAGGAGTTGTGGATTTTAAAGAAGTAAACTCCTTCAAGATTAGAAGGTGGGAGCCACTGCAAACAGTGTCTGGGTGGCTAAGGGGCAGGTAAAATGGAGAAACAGAGAAGAGCATGACTGGTCTCCATCTGGCCCAGTTTCCTCATCTTTGTCTTTTCTGGCTCCCTACAGGCAGATCAGCAATCAGTCAAGATGGGAGAGTGGACTATTACAAGACTATTGTGAGATCCAGCCCCCTCCAGGGGGACCAGGAAGATTGAAATCAGATGTGAAGGGGTTTTGATGTTAGGCTGAGGAGTTTAGATTTTATCCTGCTATCCATGGGTGCTGATGGTGACCAACTTGGTGTTTGGTAAGACAGCCCTGGTCGTGATGAAGAGGTTGGACTGACACCAGGAAGGCCCAAGGACAGCCTCCAAAACAGTCAAGATTCTGTGGCACTTGTCCCCCTGAGAGATGGTGAGGTGCTGACGGAGGGCAGTGGCCGCGACTGTGAAGACCGTGGGACCTGGGGCTGCAGGGAGGGAGGAGGCAGCCACACTGCTCCCCTCTGGCCCCCTCCTGGATGGCACTCACTCACTACTGTTCTACCACCTACCAGAGATAATCACATACCACTACTCCTCAAGAGCCACAGTTCTATTCTAGCTTCATACACATATCTGTCTAACAAGTCTTGTTTAGCTTGGAGAGAAGGCTGGGAAAGAGCATGAAGGACCCTATAAGAGGGTAGGGCCACACTGAGGACCTTCCAGTACCCACCTAATTTGTTATTAATATCTGCAGTACCATCAATATCATGTACCAAATGGATTGCATCTTCTAGGACTGAAGTTTTTCTATATTCTAACAATATAGGATAATCTAAGCAACTGCAAACTTCAATGCCTGCCTTAGCCAAGCCTGTCTGGATTTCTTAGAGTTCCCCCAGGCAATTTCCTGTCAAGCTAGACAAGCTTCAGAATGCTCCTTAATGTACCTGTTAGAGACTCAGAACTGCCTCCTCTGCCTGATTAATTTCCCAAAGGGTCTAAGCTGCTTGTCTCAGAACCATTCTGCTTCCGATCAAGAGCTAAAAAGACCCATCTAGATCACAAAGGATCAAGGAGCCAGATGGGGCATCCTCTATAGGACACAGGTTAGTGTTAAAAAAAAAAAAAAAAGTTAAACCTGTCTGGTGAACCTGACTTTCATGCAAGTTCTCTACAACTACGAGGAGGATGGGGAAGATGAGTGGTATTTTCTGACAAAAGAAAAATAGTTATCTATAAAACTTACACAAAAATGCAAAATGAATCCCTATCCTCTTTGTTTTAGGAAAAAAATATATATGTACCTGTCAATATATACACGATATATATATATATATTTTATATATATATATACACACACACACACACTATATATATACACACATATATATACACTATATATACACACATATATATACACTATAGATATACACACACATATATATACACTATATATATACACACACACACGCAGAGAGAGAGTATATGCGTGTGTGTGTATACATATATGTCTTAATGATGCCCTTCAGAAGAATGACATATCTGTGAGATTCTAAAGTGATTTTCAACATGCATTCCCTCTGCAACTCATTACTACAAGGAAAATTGTAATGTCATATTATGTCTGATCTTTAGTGTTTAAAGAAGACAGTAAGGTTCAGAGAGGCTGAGTGACTAACTCAAGATCACAGAGTAGGTCAATCAGACATGGAATCCTATCTTCTTATTCTCAAACCAGTTTCCTTTTGAACTACATCAAGCCACTCCTTTTCACAATGAAGAGAGATAGAACAAGGAGTGGAGAAGATCAGAATGACTAGGTTTATATCCCAACTCGGGCTACTTGGGACCCCATAGCCAGACAATTTTTTTTTAACATTTCTGTGCCTCATAGTCTCATCTAAGTACTGGGAAAAAATCATAGTTACCTACTTTATAAGACTTTTCTGGGAATTAAATAAAATATAGTAAGTACTGATATATTGAGATATGCTATAAATATAATATGACCAATATTATCATCATTATTGTTTAATTGAAGTAATCATGTATATGTGAGCCCCAGGTGGCCTATTTTCAAAGAATTTGTAGGTTTAGAAACTAATTTAAAAATCTAAAATGGATTTATAGAATAGTACAATCTGCAAACAATTTCCATAATTTTAAGTTTGACACTTAAATGTATGCAATTTCTCTGCATTCTTAGGTGGAACTTCTCTGGTTTCTTCTTAAATATACTTTAAGATGCAGGTTTTCCCAAGATTTTTTAGGAGTGGGAGATAGAAAACATATGTAAAAATCACTAACTTCAGGTTGCTTCACAGCTCATATCCCATGCCTAGCTCCCATGCCTATTTATAACATAAGTAGCTCATGTTATTTTCCCAATTTTACTATAGAGTCATCCCTTAGTAATCCCAAAGATTGGTTCCAGGACCCCAGAGGATACCAAAATCCATGTCTGCTTAAGTCCCTAATATGAAATGGTGCAGTATTTGTATTTAGCCTACACACATCTTCCCATATACTTTAAGTCATCTCTGGATTATTTATAATACCTAGTCCAGTATAAATGCTATGTAAAGAGTTGTTATACTACACATTGTTTTTATTGGTATTTTTTACTGTTATATTTTTATGGGTTTTTAAAAAAAAAATTTTTGGTTCACGGTTGTTTGAATCTGTGAATGTGAAACCCATGGATATGGAGGGCCGACTGTGTTAGTAAAATTCTATGATGCTCCTGTATTTGAACCTGGCTAGATATAACCACTGATCTCCTCTGAACAACAATATTTTTTTCTCTACCAGCCCTCTCAGAATATAGTAACAGTCTCCAAACCATAATACAGTCATCTTCCTAACTCTTATTTTTGAATTACTGAATTCTCGATTTATGACAGTGGTTTTCAAACTCGGCTGCCCATTAATATCACATGCAGAATTTTTAAAAATACAGATGCCTGGGTACCACCCCCAGGGAGTGTTAGTTGGTCTGGGCTGCAGTCTAGGCACTGAGGTCTTTCAGAGCTTTCCAGGTGATTCTGAAGCCAAGGTCAATACTTTCTGATAGAGGGATCCCATGCAGATGGAGAGACCTACAAGGATAAGACCAGAGGAACCCGGCTCGAGCATCTGCTTCTCTGGGTGACCATCAGAGCTCCCCAAATGTTGACCGCACCTTCCTCTGCCCCCTTAAAGTAGCTCCTCCGCAGCACGTCTCATGCTGATTTGTGTTAATTTGCTTCTATATTCCTCCTCATTTCTTCACTGTGAGCTCCTGAAAGCAGAGCTCATTTTTCTCTCATCCCAAACAGAATATTGAACCACAAACAAACCCTGGCACATAGAACGTGCTCAGTGAATGTTTGTGGCATCACACTGACAGTGTTTATTCCTTCTAACTCTGACCAAAGTAACCCGGCTAGAGCAACTCTGTCCAGAGAGCCAGGACTATGGTGCTGCAAAGTTAACACTTGAAGGATACCCTGAAAGGCATCCCACAACCAAACCAGCTGCTCATCAATAATTAAAAACAAGTGTGTGGCAGCGCTGGTGCTGATAGTTTATGACTTGCAAAGTGTTCTTTCTGGAGACTCCTCAAGTGTGAATATAATTAAAGCCTCTGAATATTACCTCTTCCATTGTGCCTGGTACTAGTCCCTGCTCATTGTTCAGATAAGACAAGACTGATGAATGTGAATGTGTCTGAAGTTAAAGTAGGCAGGAGATAATGAAAAAGGCTGATTGGAAAGTCCTTATCAACTCAAGAGGGTTCTGAGATATAGAGAGCATGAGGACACCAGGCATCCCCATCTTCCAAAGTCACGAAGGGGAAGGGCAGTTGCTGCAAATTCTGCAAGTTCCTCTCCACTGACACATACAAGTCAAAAGGGCCATTTATGCATAAATCCAGACAGATTAATATTCTATGGGAATGGTAACCCCTGGATCCTGTAACTTGGCAGCCCCCAAATTGCCTGTGGTGGGAAGCTTCACAGCAGAGGTAATACAAGGCTACTTTTATTATTAATAAGCTTCAAAAAGATCCAAATCCTTTATGGTAATTTTTGCTATTGTTCACAACATAGTCCTGGATCTCCCTCTGAAATTGACCCAATAGTCCCATAGGCAGTCCCATAGATTCTCATCCCATTGCTGTCATGATAGAGGACGGCTCTATCTTTAATGTATCAGTTCATTCCTAGAACAAACTGTTTATGGGATAAACATAGAAATTGACCCTTCTGTTGTTAAAGCTTGAAACTTGTATTTGTTTATCTGAGTTCCTTCCTGATATGGTTTGGCTGTGTCTCCACCCAAAATCTCATCTTGAATTGTAATCCCCATAATTCCCATAATCCCCACTTGTCAAGGGAGAGACCAGGTGAAGGTAATTGAATCATGGGGGTGGCTTCCCCCATGCGGTTCTCATGATAGTGAGTGAGTTCTCACTAGATTTGATGGTTTTATAAGTGTTTGGTAGTTCATTCTCCTTCCTGTCGCCTTGTGAAGAAGGTGCCATGCTGCCCCTTCACCTTCTGCCATGATTGGAATTTTCCTGAGGCCTCCCTAGCCATGCTGAACTGTGAGCCAATTAAATTTCTTTCCTTTATAAATTACCCAGTCTCGGGTGGTTCTTCATAGCAGTGTGAAAACAGACTAATACACTTCCTCAGGAAACGACCTTCAGGCCACTCCAAAAAAGTATCACAGAACTAAAACTCACCAGATCACCACACCAGATGCCTCCTTCTGCACCGCTCGCACCCAGTTCCTGTTTTTTTACATATTGTTACATTTCTTCCCTGCTATATAAAGCCCTAGTTTAGTCAGTCAGGGAGCTGAATTTGAGACTGAGCAACCACCTCCTTGGCTACAGCACCTGATTAAAGCCTTTTTCCTTGGCAATACTTGTCATCTCAGTGATTGGCATTCTGTGCAGCAAGGAGCAGGACCTAGACCAAACCCCTGCTGTTTCAGTAACACGTCTTGGACTCTGCCTCTCCATTCTGATCATAGCACCAATTCCTGAGAACCTTTGGTTCTGAAATCCTGCTCCAAGCTCCCCTCTCCTCTCCTCCCCAAGTTCTACTCACTAACCTTGCATTATGCAAATGGTTAAAACGCCCAGAAAATTAGGATGGAGTTCTACACTGCAAATACTGATGGGCTGTCTTTGTTCTTTTATGTTGTTGTTACCTTGCTTCAATGAAACAAGGTTTGCTCCTCAACTCTCATCCCATTGCTGTCATGACATAGGACAGCTCAGTCTTTAATGTATCAGTCCATTCCTAGAACAAACCATCATCCCACAATTTCACTGTCCAAAGGCTCTCCCCAAGGCAGTGTGGCACAGTTGCTAACCTTGGAGTTGGATGGTCTGGGTTCAAATCTCATATCCACTACGTATAAGCACTGGCATTTTTGGCCAGTAGTCATGCTTCAATATTCCCAGCTAAAAATGTAGATGATAGTAACACTATCTACCCCATAAGGCTGTTTTGAGGATTGATATGGTTTGAATCTGTGTCCTCACACAAATCTCATGTCAAATTGTAATCTTCAGTGTTGGAGGAAGGGCCTGGTGGGAGGTGACTGGATCATGGGGGCAGAGTTCTCATGAACAGGTAGCACCATACCCCATTGGTACTGTATAGTGAGTGAGTTCTCATGAGAGCTAGTCATTTAAAAGTGTGTAGCATCTCCCCTCCTCCTCTTTCTTGCTCCTTCTCCAGCCATGTAAGACATGCCTGCTTCCTCTTCACCTTCCGTCATGATTGTAAGTTTCCTGAAGCCTCCCCAGAAGCAGAAGCTGCTGTGCTTCCTGTACAGCCTATAGAACCATGAGCCCGCTAAACCTCTTTTCTTTATAATTACCCAGTCTCAGGTATGTCTTCACAGCAGTGCAAGAATGAACTAACACAGGGATTACATATATATCCTATAGGCCAGTGTCTGACACATATCTATCAATATTATTCTCAGGTTGGAGTTTTACTGTAAGATTAACTTGGCCAAAATTATATTCCTAGAACAAGTGAGCATCTGGTTACCACTCTTTAGTTCCCAAGATGAGTAAATTCCTTCCTTGTCCCTCTTCCTTTCCCAGCTTATAAGATACATCATTCTAGATAATGCCTTTGTTATTTTCTTTCCCTATTGATTACTTTTACTTAAAATTGAAATTATTTCTTAATATTATCTTTCTGTTGTTAAGAATATCCATGGCATTCTTCTGTGGATCTGGGACTACGGATGCTTTGTCCTTCATCCCCTACTGTGTTATTTCTAGTTCACCCTCTCTGCTTCAGTTCTTTTTTCATTGGCTTCTTTTTTCAGTTACAATGTGCCCAACCTACCCCAGCCACCGGCTTTCAACTCCTGCCACAGCCAGGAAATTATCATTTCCCCTTATAATATTTTATTCATGCTTTTGAAATATAGAGCTGACTTTTTAAAAACCACCCTTACCATACTTAAAAAAAAATCGGTACTATCCATTGATATTTTAATCAAGGACTCCAGGTTGTTCCCACATTTAAAATCACTTTTTAGAACATTAGATAGTTTCTGAAACTGGAAATAAAAAGATAAAATTTAGGCAAATTAAGTACTGAAATAAAGAAACCAAACCACATACTGCAACATAAGGACAGGAAGATGAGGACTGTATTTTAGATTCCCTCTAAGATACAGCAAAAGAAAAGTGACATGGGCTACAACAACTTAAAATGTATCAATAAACATTACCTCTGAGGGTCACTCTGACTCAGATTCTGTTTCTCCCACCAGCACATTATTGGAAGGCATTTTCTCCTGATTTGTAACTTAAAGCAACATGTTCCTTTGGGGAGAAAAGTATGGAGAAGATGCAATTTGGGGAGAGCACATTATTTCTAAGAACTTTGCAGAGCAATGAGTTGCTTTGATTCACTCATGAGTGACTCATCAGTAAAACTCTTTAGATCCCAGAATGTCCAGGTCTATGGTTTAAAACTGCCCCCAAAGAACTTTTTTTCTCCTTCAGCTTCCTCTCATTTGAACTTTTGCCCACTTGTCTCCCATAGCAGTGTTTTTCAGACATACTTCTCTTAATAGGCACATCCCCACTGCCATGCCTTGGTATACCAAACCATGATGGGCATGGGTTAGGAATGATGAAAACTGCCTGGGAGAACAGCAACTTGGACATGTACCCCAAAACAGATAGTCAGTTTGGAAGTATGTTCATACATGACCAATGTATGCCCTTGCCTATTCTCCCCCAACCCCTACCACTACTTTGTAAGGAACTTTTTCATTTTGCAGTAGACTAGGAGTAATCTTGGACCCTGGATTAGTCACCTAGTTCCATCAGGAAATGCTCCCAATGCACCACGTTATTTTTCAATTAATAGAATCTTTCTAAGAAGAATGAGATTGAATGGGTAATAAGGAAGGTTAGTTTGCTTGGGGGGTGAGAGGGAAATATTGGCAAGAGCCAAGGCATACAATAATTTGAATTTGAGACCTGATGGCAAACTTAGAAGGAAATATGAGAAAATATAAATGTGAGATGCTAGATATTGGTTTGTACTGAGACAGTAATAAATAGAAATTAGGCAAGGATTTCTTAATTAACAAATGAACCTGGAGAACCTGGGCCCTGGTAGACAGTTGGAGGTATAAAGAAGCAAGGGAGCTCTGTAAAGCCATGAGGCAGAATGGAGTGTGAGCAATGTGTAAGATGAGAAGTAATAATTGAGGACAGACTTTAGCAGCTGCATTAGTTTCCAATTGCTGCTGTAACAAATTACCACCAACTGGATGGTTTAAAATAACAAAAATTTATTCTCTTACAGTCTTCAAGGTCAAAAGGTCCAAATGAGTCCACTGGGCTAAAATCAAGGTGTTGGCTGGGCTGCATTCTTTCTGGAGGCTTCAGGGTAGAGCTCATTCCCTTGACTTTTCCAGCTTCTGGAGGCTATCAGCACTCTTTAACTGTGGCCTTTTCTTCCATTTTCAAGGTCAGCAATGGCCAGTTGAGTCTTTCCCACATCATATCATTCTGACAGCCCTCTGCCTTCTTTTTCTACACCTAAGAACCCTTGGTTACCTTGGGCCCTCCAAATTAATCCAGGATAATGTTATTTTAAGGTCAGATAACTAGCAATAATTAATTCTACCTGCCACTTTAATGCCCCTTTTGCATGTAAAGTATATATTCACAGGATCTGGAGACTGGGGGTGCATCTTTGGAGGAGGGATCATTATTCTGCCTACCACAATAACCCTTTTAAAAGCATTAAGAGAATGATGATTGAGTGATAGAAGAAAATCCATATGCAGAGAGTAGGGAAATAAAAACCCAAAGTGTAACTCAAGAGTCACCTTAAACTAGGAGTTACAAATTTATATAACTTTAAGGACTAGCTCCACAGAGGAACTGTATCAGAACACACATTATGTTCTAACTGAGAATCATTTTAATGTCCTCCATTGAAGGGAAGACCTGGCCTCTTTGGTATCAACCTGTTAATTGGGACTCTTGAACAGAGAGTACTAAATCCACTCATCATTCAAGGAATAATTCAAGCACGACCTTCCTTAAGGCAGAAGCTCTCCCTACTCTCCAGGCAAAATTAATTCTCTTCCTTGGATCACTGTCCCTTGTGCTCTCCTTTCTAATGGCACTTATCATTCTGTAATGTAATTTCCTGTTTTTATGCCTGTCTCCCTACTGGATGATGAGGTACTTTTGAGGACAGGGACCATGACTTACACAACTTTGTATTCTAAGCACCTACCACAGTGACTAACATAAGGAAGATAGTCAATGTGTGTATTGAATGAAAACCTGTGGGGTGAATCAAGAGGATTCTAAACGTTAGTCTTAGAAAATAAAACTAGATGACAACAGCTTTCAAATTAGAACAGTGCACAATAAACTTCTAGGTTCTGGGGATGCATTTGAGAGAGGCAGGTAACTGGTAGAAACTAAGAAATTAAGAACATTTTCCTCTAATTGACTGCAGATTTAAAAAGCAAGGTCAAAACACAGACAAGAAAGTTTACCTGCTATGATTTTATACATTTTCTACCACATTTAGCATATAAATGAATGGTACCAAAAAAACCCACCAAAACTACAGTTCCAGGAAAAGGACTAGGATACTATATAATTTGTAAGCAGACATAACTTTCAGTAAATTGATGATATACATTTTAAAAATGTTTTTAGACACAATTTTACATTATACTTTATGAAAAAAATTAACACTAGTACAGCTGACTAGGAAGGAGAGAACATTTCTGAACTGCTTTCATCCTCCCTAAAAACTCAAGATAGATTTTGAAGTTTCATGACTTCCAAGTTACACTTGGGAGAAAAGGAAAACTAAAACTCCAACCTAGTTCTCCGTAAGAGGACATAGAAAGGAGAGACCAAGTAAAGACAAGAAGATGTAGTCTAATGTGCTTTCAAGTTTGTTTTTCCTCACTTCAAAATCTTTTCACCAAAATCCTTTTCCTTCCATACCCACTATATTAGTCTATTCTCACCCTACTATAAATAAATACCCAAAACTGGATAATTTATAAAGAAAAGAGGTTTAATCAGCTTGTGGTTCTGCTGGCTCTACAGGATTCTGCTTCTGGGGAGGCCTCAGGAAACTTACAATCATGGCAGAAGGTGAAGGGGAAGCAAGCACATCTTCACATGGCCAGTAGGAGAGAGAGGGGACAGAGGGTACTATTCACTTTTAAACAAGCAGTTCTTGGGAGAACTGTACAAGACAGCATTAGGGAGATGGTACTAAACCTTTAGAAACCACCCCCATGATCCAGTCACTTCCCACCAGGCCCTTCCTCCCACACTGGAGATTACAATTCAACATGAGATTTGGGTGGGGACACAAATCCAAACCATATCACCCATCAAGAACATGGTTGTTTTATTCCATATGTACTAGTCATTAAAAGTAGAGAAAAACAAGTGATGTAACAATTAAATAAACCTAAAGCTCAACACTGGTAAAGACTGATACAATAATTTGGCAATACCATTCTTTTTCAGTGAAGTTTGTTTTAATCTTTGTTAAAGGTAACTTTATTTCTGATTTCCACTTATGAACCAAGGAAATTACAGTAAAGTTACAGTAGAGAATTAGTAAGCTCACTTTTCTCCTCCTACTTATCATGACATACCATGAGCAACAGCCAGTTAGAAATGGTAAGTGAATGGGGGGACCATAGGCAAAACAGGGTGGGGTTCCAGGAGCAGAAAGATGGTAAGATTATGTGTGGCTAAGAAAGGTATGCAGAATTGGGAAGGAAAAAACAAATGAATGTCATTCAAAAATTTATGGTATTTTAAGGACAGGCAAAGAAAGAGGAGTCCAATAAAGCAATTGATAAGGATAAACTGAGAAGGTAGGAGGAGAATTATGAGAACAGTGTCAAGGAAACCATCAAGAAAAATATTTCAAGGAGCTAGTCAACAGTAGCACCAAATGCTGCAAGGAAAACAACATATGGTAAGGGAAGTAAGTGAAATAGACCAAATATTTCTATTGTCCGTAGCACACAAGTAAGAATTAGCTTCTAGAAATATTAGAATCTTTCTCCATAAAGTTTACTTTTTAAGCATAGAGTCCTCTCTCAGATGCCTTCCTTATCCCAAATACATACATTCAAACATACACATACCTGTTGACACTTCACTAAAAACAAACTGGGGTCAGTTTTGATAAATGTTCATATAGGTAAGAGGAAGACAGAAAATGCAACTCTTCTTGTTATTTTCATTTTCATAAAGATCAGTGAACTAATTGGCTCCATTGATTTGGAAAAAGAAGCAACTGAAGCATTCAACCACAAAGCTGAGGGTTAGGACATGGTTAGCTGACAGCAACCCTGCCGTTTTTAGAGCTAGACAAAAGATTTTACCAGCTAATCAAAGGTAAGTTGTCTTCATTAGGTAAATCTCATTAAATTCAAGTATCTCAGAATATAACTTACACTGAGTTTGAAGATCTAAGGCCATGGATTAAAAGTATTGTGCCAAAGGAAAACAGAAAGCAAGAGGGAAGATAAAATTAATCATTATTTGTAAAGCATTTTACATTCAATACATGATGAAGTAGAAAAGGCGGGTATTATTATTCTGGTTTTCACATATGGAGATAGTCTCAGAAGTTACATTTACAGCATAACCACATTATGCTGCCTTGTAAGGAGAGGGATAGAGCTGCAGATGGCATCATGATGACAATAGCAACACAACCAAGAATCTTTGAGGAAGAGCTCTATATCAGTCAAGTTTCCAATGCATATGAATAAGTCTGAATTACTGAGGAATTCATACAGATGGGCATGCATTACAACAAACAACTTAGGAAAAAGGGTGAGTGACATGCTGCAGCTGACTCTCACTGGCTGACCAGAACCTACTGTGAGCTTCTCTTCCCAGCTCTGTGTTCACTGTCATCATGTTGGCAGTTTGAAACCAGCCATAATGGGAATATTTATATCACAAAAATACACGTTACAATAATGGCTACTTTTGGTTTTCAGAGAAACAGTTGTAAATATCTACTAGCATATAACTACGTATATTCCATTGTTCACACATGATCAAATTTATGTGCTGATAAATATAAAAATTAAGACTTGAATAGCTTGCAATATAATGTACTGCCAACACAATGGCTTAAGTAACTCATAATGCATAGAACATATATCTCTTTTCAAAAGTGTGTGTGTGTATATATATATATAAATAAAATATATATCTGATGAACATACACTTATATATATATATATTTTTGAGACGGAGTTTCGCTCTTGTTGCCCAGGCTGGAGTGCAATGGCTCACGACAACCTCTGCCTCCCAGGTTCAACTGACTCTCCTGCCTCAACTCTCCCAAGTAGCTGGGATTACAGGCATGCACCACCATGCTCGGCTGATTTTGTATTTTTAGTAGAGACCAGGTTTTTCCATGTTGGTCAGGGTGGTTTCGAACTCCCGACCTCAGGTGATCTGCCTGCCTCAGCCTCCCAAAGTGCTGGGATTACAGGCGTGAGCCATCACGCCCAGTCTGTTCATCAGCTATTTATACAATTTTAGAAAAAAAATATTTTGTATTTGTTCTCAACCCTTCTGTTTACTGTGTCAAGTTATTTCCAGGTATTATATCACTTTATATTTTTACTTAAACAGAAAAGCATAGGGATTACCCATAGATACATTTTGTGGCGTGTTAGAAAAAGATCAGATGGGTAATAGCTGGTTGGGGGTCTCATCACGTATCTGCAGCTTCATAAGTGTAGCATTCGAACAAGTCACTTAGTCTTTCTGGGTCTCAGTTTTTTCATCAATGAAATGAATTACTGACATTTTCAAGTCATGTTCCATTGACCATTAGAGGATTGTGAATTTTTTTCCAAAGAATCCTAAAAAAAATTGTCTTAAATATCATTATTTAAATAAATTGTAAATGTTTTAAAAACTTTAATTAAAAGACTAGCACACCCAAATATGTCATACACCAAATTGTAATATATTAGAGACTATCAACTCATTAACTTGTACTGTCACTTTAACTTGTTTTTTGGCAGACATTAGAATGAATCTCCCTCTGGCGTATCTGTGTATACACTTAAATTTTGAGGCATCTTTGATTAGGATAATTATAACTCTGCACTGTTTTTGTTTTGTTTTGTTTAATTTAAAACTCTTGAACTCTTCAACCTCCTCCACCACCAAAACAATATGCCTGGGCTAGCTTGACTGGAATACAGCCCAGTTACCGCCACGTCCCAGCTAAGGCCAGCCTCGATCAGCCAATAGCCTTCCAGCCCTCCATGTGAGCATGCCCAGCCCCATTCAGTAAATCTTCAGCTGACCATAAATACATGAGAAGCCTGGCAGAGACCTGTCTATCCCAGCACAAGTCAGCTGAACACAACAGAATCATGAGCCAACTGAATGTTTATTGTTATGTAAACTGTTATTTAAAAACCTCAAGCTAGTTTATTTCTGCTTTGATAAAAATTAGACAAACAATTATGCTACCTTAGCAACTGTGTCATGTTGTTAATGTGTCATGTTATAAATAATATTATGCTGACTGTAAGATTTCAGTTTCTTTCATCTAAATTTAATATTTATAGTAAGAAATAAGAATAGTAGCAATATATTCATCACAAGTCCATATAGAAACAAGTTTTTCCTCTCAGTCATCTTTCAAATTTCTAGATCAGTTTAGTTTCAACATTTTCAAGATTCTTTTGAACTTAAGACATAGTCAATCATATTATGCACATCCAACATCTTTTTTCTTTCTGTGTTTCTTACTTTTCTTCCCTCCTTCCTTCCTTATTGAAAATCCTCCCGCTTCATTTTTTTCTTGTCACATTGCACTGGCTCAGATAACTCCTAATTTTATTAAAAAAATGGACCTTCAGATATTTTCAATATCTATATTTTTATCATAAGCTGAAGCAGTTATAAAGTTGTGATTTCCAATGTTTTTAAAACATTGACATAAAAATAAAACTGTTACACAGCCAATAAATAAATAAACTGTTACGCTAAGGTACAGTGACAGAAGTTAGGAAAGTCAAACCATGGTACCTTTGGAGAGAGGTTAATGACCATGGGGTATCATGAGGAAGTCTCTTGGCATGCGGACTCAATCTGGGTTTTAAAATTATATGGGAGAGTGTTAATTTCATTAAAAGTTATTGATTTGTACACGTAACATTTTTCTACATTATTCTATGTATATTCCAATGTAAAGTTTCCCAAAATATTTAACATTATATTTACATAAATATCACTGTAATCAGTTTAACTGTTAAGTAACTTTCTTGACATAGATGATAGCCACTGCATGCATTTTTTAGCAAATATCTGTTTGCTATTTTAGCAAATATCTGTTTGCTATTTGCTATTTTATCAAATATCTATTTGCTATTTGCTATTTTAGCAAACAGCAAATTTAGAAACTATCTTTTTTAGTAGTCACAATTCTACATCATTCCTTTTTATTCATGAACTCAAATTTCCAGTTCACTTGCCTCACAACATTTTATCCTATGTAATATGTTTTCAAGTTTCAAAGTTTTTGTGTATTATCTTGACATACTTCTGTGTGAAAAAAGAAGATACGTTAAATAAAAATGAATTAAAATTGGTAAACAAAATACAAGTTATTTTTATTTCCTATTACCAAAATACTCTATCTATTAAAGTTTTCTGCTAGGTTTTCTTTGAGTTGTAACTCATTTGTATGAATATAAGCTCAAGAAAACGTATTCATATAAGTAAATATATGAAAATAAAATAAATTTTTTAAAATAATGTTATACAATTCTTTGAAATATATATCCCCCCCAAAAAAATCTTATAGTGACCTATGGCCATACATTAATAAACTCTTAAATTTGATTTTAAATTTGTTTAAAACTAGAAAACACCTGACTTGCAAAAGGATTTATAACCCAGTCAGCTGTGTCATTCACTTTTCAATTTTTGGAAAGTCAAAAAGGTTTTTAACCAAGATTTTTCATAAAACGACAAATTATAAGTATTTCTCTCTCAAGTTACAGTACTTTGTTTAATGCAATTATAGTCAAACTAGGTTGAAAAATGGAAACATAGTTACTTATAACAACCATTGTCAAAATATTTTTAATAAAATGCTTTTTTTCACTTTTTTTATTATACTTTAAGTTCTGGGATATATGAGCGGAACATGCAGGTTTGTTACATAGATATACACGTGCCATGGTGGTTTGTTGCACCCATCATCCCATCATCTACATTAGGTATTTCTTTTAATGGTATCCCTCCTTGCCCCCAACTCCCTGACAGGCCCCAGTGTTTGATGTTCCCCTCCCTGTGGCCATATGTTCTCATTGTTCAACTGCCACTTATGAGTGAGAACATGTGGTGTTTGGTTTTCTGTTCCTGTGAGTTTACTGAGAATGATGGTTTCCAGCTTCATCCATGCCCCTGCAAAGGACATAAACTCATTCTTTTTTATGGCTGCATAGCATTCCATAGTGTATATGTGCCACAATTTCTTTACCCAGTCTAACACTGATGGACATTTGGGTTGGTTCCAAGTCTTTGCTATTGTGAATAGTGGTGCAACAAACATACATGTGCATGTGTCTTTAGAGTAGCATAATTTATAATCCTATGGGTATACACCAAGTAATGGGATTTCTGGGTCAAATGGTATTTCTTGAGGAATCACCACACTGTCTTCCACAATAGTTGAACTAATTTACACTCCCACCAACAGTGTAAAAGCCATCTGCTGTTTCCTGACTTTTTAATGATCGCCATTCTAACTGGCATGGTATCTCATTGTGGTTTTGATTTGCACTTTTCTAATGACCAGTGATGATGAGCTTTTTTACATGTTTGTTGGATGCATGAATGTCTTCTGTTGAGAAGTGTCTGTTCATATCCTTTGCCCACTTTTTGATGGGGTTGTTTGTTTTTTTCTTGTAAATTTGTTTAAGTTCCTTGTAGATGCTGGATATTAGCCCTTTGTCATATGGATAGATTGCAAAAATTTTCTCCCATTCTGTAGGTTGCCTATTCACTCTGATGATAGTTTCTTTTGCTGTGCAGAAGCTCTTTAATTAGATCCCATTTGTCAGTTTTGGCTTTTGTTGCCCTTGCTTTTGGTGTTTTACTCATGAAGTCTTTGCCTATGCCTATGTCCTGAATGGTATTGCCTAGGTTTTCTTCTAGGATTTTTATGGTTTTAGGTCTTCTGTTTAAATCATTTTTTTTTTTTGAGATGGAGTCTTGCTCTGTTGCCCAGGTTGGAGTGCAGTGGCACAATCTCGGCTCACTGCAAGTTCCACCTCCTGGGTTCACGCCATTCTCCTGCCTCAGCCTCCCGAGTAGCTGGGACTACAGGCACCTGCCACCACACCCAGCTAATTTTTTGTATTTTCACAAAAAATTTTCACCATGTTAGCCAGGATGGTCTCGATCTCCTGACCTCGTGATCCACCCACCTCGTCCTCCCAAAGTGCTGGAATTACAGGTGTGAGCCACCGTGTGTGGCCCTGTTTAAATCTTTAATCCATTTTGAGTTAATTTTTGTATAAGGTGTAAGGAAGGGGCCCAGTTTCAGTTTTATTCCTACGGCTAGCCAGTTTTCCCACCATCATTTATTAAATAGGGAACCCTTTCCCCATTTCTTGTTTTTGTCAGGTTTATCAAAGATCAGGTGGTTGTAGATGTGTGGTGTTATTTCTGAGGCCTCTGTTTTGTTCAATTGGTCTATATATCTGTTTTGGTACCAGTACTATGCTATTTTGGTTACTGTAGCTTTGTAGTACAGTTTGAAGTCAGGTAGCATGATGCCTCCAGCTTTGTTCTTTTGGCTTAGGATTGTCTTGGCTGTATGGCATCTTTTTGTGTTCCATATGAAATTTAAAGAAGTTTTTTCTAATTTTGTGAGGAAAGTCAATGGTAGCTTGATGGGGTGTGTCTCCTGAATACAGCACACTCCTGGGTCTTGACTCTTTATCCAATTTGCCAATATGTGCCTTTTAATTGGGGCATTTAGCCCATTTACATTTAAGGTTAATATTGTTATGTGTGCATTTGATCCTGTTATTATGATACTAGCTGGTTATTTTGCCCATTAGGTGATGCAGTTTTTTCATAGTGTCAATGGTTTTTACATTTTGGTTTGTTTTTCAGTGGCTGGTACTGGTTTTCCTTTCCATATTTAGTGCTTCCTTCAGGAGCTCTTGTAAGGCAGGCCTGGTGGTGAAAATATCCCTCAGGATTTGCTTGTCTGTAAAGGATTTTATTTCTCCTTCACTTATGAAGCTTAGTTTGGCTTGATATGAAATTCTGGGTTGAAAATTCTTTTCTTTAAGAATGTTGAATATTGACCGCCACTCTCTTCTGGATTGTAGAGTTTCTGCAGAGAGATCACCTGTTAGTCTGATGGGCTTCCCTTTGTGGGTAACCCAGTCTTTCTCTCTGGCTGCCCTTAACATTTTTTCCTTCATTTCAACCTTGGTGAATCTGACGATTATGTGTCTTGGGGTTGCTCTTCTCGAGGAGTATCTTTGTGGTGTTCTCTGTATTTTCTGAATTTGAATGTTGGCCTGTCTTGCTACGTTGGGGAAGTTCTCCTGGATAATATCCTGAAGTGTGTTTTCCAACTTGGTTCCATTCTCCCCATCACTTTCAGGTACACCAACACCAATCAAATGTAGGTTTGGTCTTTTCACATAGTCCCATAATTCTTGGAGGCTTTGTTTGTTCTTTTTCATTCTTTTTTCTCTAATCTTGTCTTCACGCTTTATCTCTAATATCCCTTCTTCTGCTTGATCAGTTTGGCTATGATACTTGCATATGCTTCATGAAGTTCTCGTGCTCTGTTTTTCAGCTCCATCAGGTCATTTATGTACTTCTCTAAACTGGTCATTCTAGTTAGCAATTCCTCTAACCTTTTATCATGGTTCTTAGTTTCCTTGCATTGGGTTAGAACATGCTCCTTTAGCTCAGAGGAGTTTGTTATTACCCATCTTCTGAAGCCTACTTCTGTCAATTCATCAAACTCATTCTCCATCCAGTTTTGTTCCCTTGCTTGTGAGGAGTTGTGATCCTTTGGAGAAGAGGCACTCTGGTTTTTGGAATTTTCAGCCTTTTTGTTCTGGTTTTTCCTCACCTTCAAGGATTTATATACCTTTAGTCTTTGCTGTTGGTGATCTTCAGATGAAGTTTTTGCATGATCATCCTTTTTGTTCATGTTGATGCTATTACTTTCTGTTTGTTAGTTTTCCTTCTAAGAGTGAGGCCCTTCTTCTGCAGGTCTGCTGGAGTTTGCTGGGATCCACTCCAGACCCTGTTTGCCTGGGTATCACCAGCGGAGACTGCATAACAGCAAAGATTGCTGCCTGCTCCTTCCTCTGGAAGCTTCGTATCAGAGGGGCACCCACCAGATGCCAGCCAGAGCTCTCCTGTATGAGGTGTCTGTCAATTCCTGCTGGGAGTTGTCTCCACTTCAGGAGGCACAGGAGTCAGGGACCCACTTGAGGAGGCAGTCTGTCCCTTAGCAGAGCTCGAACACTGTGCTGGGACATCCACTGCTATCTTCATAGCTGGCAGGCAGGAATGTTTAAGTCTGCTGAAGCTGTGCCCACAGTTGCTCCTTTCCCCAGGTGCTCTGTCCCACAGAGATGGGAGTTTTATCTATAAGCCCCTGACTGGGACTGCTGCCTTTCTTTCAGAGATGCCCTGCCCAGAGAGGAGGAATCTAGAGAGGCAGTCTGGCTACAGTGGCTTTGCAGCACTGAGGTGGGCTCTGCCCAGTCCAAACTTCCCAGTGGCTTTGTTTACACTGTGAGGGGAAAGCCACACTCAAGCCTCAGTAATGGTGGATGCCCCTCCCCCCACCAAGCTCGAGCATCCCAGGTCAACTTCAGACTGCTGTGCTGGCAGCAAGAATTTCAAGCCAGTGGATCTTAGCTTGCTGGGCTCCATGGGGGTATGGGGGTGGGATCTGCTGAGCAAGACCACTTGGCTCCCTGGCTTTAACCCCCTTTCCAGGGGAATGAACAGTTCTGTCTCTCTAGTTTTCCAGGTGCCACTGGGGTATTAAAAAAAAAAACAAAAAAAAAAACTCCTGAAGCTATCTCAGTGTCTGCCCAAATGGGCCACCCAGGTTTGTGCTTGAAACCCAGGGCCTTTGTGGTGTAGGCACCCGAGGGAATTTCCTGGTCTGTGGGTTATGAAGACCATGGGAAAAGCTGGGCTGGATAGCACCGTCCCTTACAGCACAGTCCCTCATGGCCTCCCTTGGTCAGGGGAATTGCCTGACCCCTTGTGCTTCCCTGATGAGGCAATGCCCCACCCTGCTTCTGCTCACCCTCCGTGGGCTGCACCCACTGGCTAACCAGTCCCAATGCAATGAACTGGGTACCTCAGTTGGAAATGCAGAAATCACCTGCCTTCTGTGTTGGTCTCACTGGGAGCTGCAGAATGAAGCTGTTCCTATTTGGCCATCTTGCCCAGGAATCTGATAAAATGCTTTTATTTTATCATTTGTTTTAAATATATTTTCTTCAATACCATGGACATACTTATTTAGCTCATTCAATGTATGGAAAATTCCTGCCATGTCATCTTGTTGCAAAGGCTGATTTTGGACTAGGCTTAAACAAGTGAGGTGTTTAGGGTACAAAATTTAAAGAGGCATCACATTCAGGGTGATGTTTCCTTAAATTCTGTGCTCTGGGCACCTTATTTACCTCTCCCTAGTGCTGACTCTGCCTCATTGTCAAAAGAATGGACCATATCAAACATACTTTGTATGATTGTCATTTTCAATTTAAATAAATAGTAATACATATTCTTATAGAGAGATAGAAGACAGACTGCCTAAGAATGAGCTTTGTCATAAGTGTGTCACCTGGAGAAAATAGCCTCAGTATTCCTTTCATGCACTTGCTTTGCTTTGTTTTCAAAGAACTCTCTCATAACAAAGGGACAAAGAATAATCAGTGGATGAAAAAGTCTTGAATGTTTAACAAGTTTCTTTGTTGCTTTTCCAGGCTGGAAAGTCAAACTTTATATTTGTGAAGAGAGTGCACCCTTGTAGGCTCTTGGCCTTATACAATTGGACTTGTTTCCAGCTGCTGACCCTGCATGAAAACTTCAGCCTCATCCTTTACACAATCCTATATCTCATAAACCTCAATGGGCCAGGTTACTACGTTCACTTTACCCTTCCCAAATGACTGTGATTTCTCTCTATGTTTTTATTATCTAGGGATTCCATTTTCTCAGTTACATGACTATTTTATTCAAGCTTTTTGTAGTTTTTCCATCATTTCTATATGTTAGAATCAGGAAGAGGGCTGATTCATGTCAGGTAAATCTTCTATGAGGCCAGACATCTCCTCATTGATTTTACAATAATTAAAAGTCAGTGGCAACTTATTATCTATTGCTACACAGCAAATTAAACCAAACCTTAATGGTTTAAAGCAGCAGTAAATATTTATTATCTCTCGTGATTTGTCTGTAGGTTAAAAATTCAGGAGTGGCTTAGCTAAGTGGTCCTGGCTCGGGTTCGTTATGAAGTTGCCCACCCTTAAATTCCTTAGAGGGCCTTTTATCTCACCATCTGGTTCTCTAACTTCTTCACAAAGCATATTATAGTCACACCCTCAGGTTCATCTTTATACTATATCTTCCTGAGAGTACCCTGAATTTGATCTTTGTTCAAAAGCCAATTTTTTTAAATTTTAGCATTGTTTGCCATCCAAAGAGGCTGCAAACTTTAAAACCCACCAGGTCTTCACTGCTTTATATATTATAATTTTTCTCTGACTTGTTTCTCTCCTCTTGTATTTTACTAGACGCAAGAAGAGAAGAACAGGAGGCACCTTCAACACTCTGCCCAGAAATCTCCTTAACTAGATATCCCCATTGATTAAAGTGCCTTTACCGCATTACCACAGGTGACAATGTTGCTAAACTTCCTGCCACAAGTTGGCAAGGATCCCCTTTCTTCTAGTTTCCAAAAATAATTTTTCTTTCTTTCCTATAAGCCCTTCCCAAAAGCCTCGCTGAGGGCATTCAAATTTCTCTAACAGTCTCTTCAGAGCCCTTCAGGCTTTCCTAATATTCTCAAAAAAGTTTTTTCAGTGTCCACCTACCCACAGAGCCCAATGCCATTCCTATATTTTTTTAGCTTTTTCTTCTGGCAAGGTCTTTGATAAAAATCAGCATTAGTTATCTATTGCAGTATAGCTCATCACCCCAAAACTGAGTGACCTAAAACAGCAATGATGACTTACTATCTTTCACAATTTCTGAGGGTCAGGAATTCAGGAGCAGCTTGACTGGGTGGTTCTGGCCTGACGCCTATCATAAGATTGTAGTCTGATGAGGGCCAGGGCTGCAGTCGTTGAAAGCTTAACTGAGGCTGAGGGATCTGCTTCCTAGGTGGTTCACTCTCATGGCATGTTGGTGCTGGTTTTCAGTAGGAGGCCTCAGTTTTTCTCCCTATGAAAAACTGTCCCTCCACAGGACTACTTGAGTATTTTCACAGCATAGTAACTGGTCTGCCCCAGTGTGGGCAATATAAGAACAAGAGCAACCAGGCAGAAGCTGCATCCTCTCTGCAACCTAGCTTTGGAAGAAACATAGCATCATTTTTGCCACATTCTCTGTTGAAAGTGAATCACTAAGTCTGGCCCACCTTCAAGGGAAGAGGCATTAAACTCCATTTTTTGAAGGAAGGAGGATGAAAGAATTTGTGACCATATCTTTAAAACCATAACATGTAAAGTCTACAGTAAACTTCTGATAATAAAATTATACTTCTTATCAATTTTTATTTGGGAAAAATTTTTATACCTCCTTAAGAATCTAAAAGGCATTAGGAGATGAGAAGAATTAGGCTGAGTCTCTCCATCTGTATCTGCTGAAGGTCTCTGTACCCATTTTCTGATAGAGACAAAAAAAAAATAACCCACAAAAGGACAAAAGCGAGGATGAGTGCCTGCAGGAGCGCAAAAGGACAAATGGCCAATCAACTCACACAAAATACAAATTTGACCCCACATCAAACTTTGCTGATAATTAGCAAAGAGTGCCAAAAAGGAGCTACCACACATATCACATCAATATTTAGGAGGTCCTAAATGTGCACTTCCACACTGGGATGAGATCTGGTTTTGTTCAACTAGCATAGGGTATAAGCTAACATGGAAACCTTACTCAGTTTCGGACCCTCTAAGTCTTTATACCTCATTAACTAACTTCTGCCTTTAAGTGTAGCTGCATCACATCAATCCACAAAGTGCAGGTTTACACACACACACACACACACACACACACACACACACATCCAGAAATCCCAAAAATATTCCTCAGTTTAATCATCAGTAAATTATAAATCCCTACTTAAACTCATTTATCTTCAGGCTTATCAATTCTGTCAGCCAATGCTCATACAAACTGCCTGCAGTGTCCTGGAGGAAAGAGAACCACTCTTAACCTTTTCTTTCTCAGCGAGAGTTAAGGGAATCCACAGAGTGGAAGTCATTGGACATTCTTCTTTTGATTTTTTTATTTTCCAATTTCATTTTCTGATTTAATCATTTCAATCCTATAGTTTAAATAAATTCATCTAAAATTCCTTCCAATTTAACTACCCTCTCTTAAAGAATTTTACAGGTAAAGTTTTTCATGTTATTATGGAAATATAAGCATATATATTTTTCCCTTATTTCCTTTTAAATTTTCTTTTCTGCCTCCCACACCACCCTGCAATTTGCTTTCTGTACCCTTAACTTTCATCTCTGCTCTAAAGTTCTTTATGTTCAGTTTTAAAGTGCTAAAATATTCATGGAAAACTAACTATAATCTCTTTAATACTAAGTAAGTACTTTGACAATGGCCAGGCTTGGGGAAAACATAATTAACGAGTCAGTTAGAGGAGTTTCTAAGGAAATTAGTTTTAAATAGATGGTAGTAATTAATCAGTAAAAACAAATACCTGATGGAAGGAGGGAGGTTTCCCTGGTGATTCGAAAAGAACAATTAAGGCTGAATTTGGAATATTGACCTGTGTGCATGCTGTGGTGGTAATCTCTCCTTTCTGGCCTTTGAGAAGCTAAATGGAGTATAAAGCAATCTTTCCATGACTTAAATAAGTACAGGGCAAGCATGCTGAATAGAAGGTAGCAGCATTAGACAGCTTAGAAAGACTTACAGTTAAAGCAAAAGTGTATGAGCTTTAACACCTAGAAGGGGTTGCTAGAGGTCTCAGAGCCATGACTGAGTTTCAAACAAGCAAGGAAATATTGAGAGTGCATTGTTAATTAAAATACAGGCCCAGAGCTAGGACTGGATCAGGTAAAAATCTGTTTTTCAGGCTGAACTCAGACTTCTCCACAACCTAAAACGAGATGGAATAAAATAATGTTTAGGTTGTAGGTAAAAATAATTGTGGATCAAGGTAAGCTGTTTTCATGTGTTTGGGCAAAAGCAAGGTATTTGTGAGTATGTAAGGATTCAGAAAAAAAAATTTTAAAGGATGAAACTGGTATGAAAGGACTGCTAGTGAGCATGAGGACTTAAACGTCAATTTTAATAATTGCACAACAATAGATGCATGTACTAAAACGATTTTTAAAAGGGAAAATATGTAATTTAAAATAATGAGTAAAATCTAACTAAAATCTTATTTCAAATAGGAATTAGACAAAATCAGGAAAAAGTAAGAGGAAGATAAATTCTTTAACTTTTGAGAAGTTTTTTAACATTTCATACAAAGAAATATTTCGGTGGCTTAAAATAGGAAAAGCATTCACTGGTAACATTTAAAACAAGATACACAGGCATGGCCTTTTAATTTGGTATAAGTAGAAAATAAGTTATGAAAATAAATGTAAATTATTTATATTAAGTTATTAGGATGCAGACTCTTCTTAATTGGGCTTAAAAATAAACTTCAACGTCAGAGTGCTTATAATAAACACATTAAAAATAAATTACATAGAATCAATAAATTTAAATGATTAGCAAAGTAAACTGCATTTGAGCACAAATAAAATTAAGAAAGGAAATACTAGTATCAGTCAACATAGAATTATAGCTTAAAAATTATATTACAGCCGGGCACGGTGGCTCACGCCTGTAATCCCAGCACTTTGGGAGGCTGAGGCGGGCAGATCACAAGGTCAGGAGATCGAGACCATCCTGTCTAACACGGTGAAACCCCTTCTGTACTAAAAATACAAAAAAAAAAAAAAAATAGCTGGGCGTGGTGGCGGGCGCCTGTAGTCCCAGCTACTCCGGAGGCTGAGACAGGAGAATGGTGTGAACCCGGGAGGCAGAGCTTGCAGTGAGCCGAGATCGTGCCACTGTATTAAGACCTGATATTTATTCACTTTAAAAGCTTATAACCAAGCCTTTAAATATATGAAATAAACACCAAAATGCACAAAGTATTAAAAATATAACTGCTTGGTAGACTACATAGTTTCAATCTAAGACTTACAGAGTAGGTTTAAAAAAAAAAAGATGAAAACAGAATAAAACTGAATTATTACATTAGAACATCATCTGTTAGATAACCTAAGTAGTGAATGTGCCCAAACAATTCAATTGTTCTAAAACTGTTTTTTAAACTCTTTGGGACAGCTGATGGCATGTGGTGATCTGGGAGGAGGGTGACCCATGGCTGATTCCTCTGGAGCTCAGTCCACACAAACCAAATGCCAGGGATGTGGATCCAAAACGGTTATCACAGCAAGGTAGCCAGCTACAAACATGCAATGATGTTCCTCATTTACATATTTTTTAGAATTATGAATATTGTAAAGTGGCCACTGAATTAGCTTCAGCATACTACATGAATGAGCATACATTTTCTTACTACTCCTTCAATTCCTCTACAAAACTGAGTGAGGTTGCATTTCCTGATTCAGAGGTTGCATTTCCTGATTCAGAGGTTGTAACTAAAATGTCCTGTTGGGCAAACAAAAAAGGAAATTTAGATAACAGATGTGTAGCCTCTGACAGGGCAGGTCTGACTCTTACCAAGGATTCTTCTTTCTATAGTACCTCACATGAGACATCACAGAAACAAGAACAATAAAATGTTACCCCTGGCTGTTGTTAGGTACTTAGATTTGAAAAATGGAGCTTCAAATCATCTTGATTTCTTTTTTCTTTTTTTTTTTTTGTTTTTTTTTTTCTGTCGTTGTTGTTGTTATTGTTGATTCGTTTTTTGAGATGGAGTCTCACTCTGTCGCCCAGGCTGGAGGGCAGTGGTGCGATCTCAGCTCACTGCAACCTCTGCCTCCCAGGTTCAAGTGATTCTCCCGCCTCAGCCTCCTGAATAGCTGGGATTACAGGCACCTGCCACCACGCCCAACTAATTTTTGTATTTTTAGTAGAGGCGGGGTTTCACCATGTTGGCCAGGCTGGTCTCAAACTCCTGACCTCAAGTGATCTGCCTGCCTCAGTCTCCCAAAGTGCTGGGATTACAGGTGTGAGGCACCATGCCCATTCCATCTTGATTTCTATAAAGATTTTAATGGAACTACAAAAAGTAATAAATAAAATATTGTTGATCCCTGTCCAAATACAAAGTAAACATTGCTCATTCATTTGGCTTGAATATTTGTCCCCTCCAAAACTCATGTTGCAATTTATCCATGTGACAATATTGACAGATGGGGCCTTCAAGAGGTGATTGGATCATGAGGGCTCTACCCACATGAATGGACTAATGGATGAATGAGTTAATGGACTGATGGGTTATCATGGAAGGAGAACTGGTGGCTTTTTAAGAAGAGGAAGAGAGACTTAAACTAGAATGTTAGCACGCTTAGCCCCCTTGCTATGTGGTGGCTTGCACCACCTCAGGACTCTGCAGAGTACCCACCAGGAAGAACGTCTTCACCAGATGCACCCCATTGACCTTGGACTTTGCAGCCTCCAAAACCATAAGAAATAGATTTTATTTCTTATAAGTTACCCACTTATATGTATTCTGCTATATGCAACAGAAAATGGATCAAGATACTTATCTATTTGCATATTCAGCAGACAGTATATATATATACACATACACACACATATTATATATATGCAAATTCCATTCAACTTATAAACTTCCTACCAAAGAAAATTAAAGATCTTGCTGGCTAAATGTCCTGCACACCTTGTAAACAATACTGCTTAAAAGGATTGTGATTTGCTTCCCTTCCATAATGAAAGTTGTGGATCAATTTTCAATTTCCTCAAAATGTGCAAAAGCACTTAAGTTTTCTTTACTTTGTAGAAATGGAAGGAGGTAGCCTCCCTAGACATGTGCCTACAAGATGACTATAATTTTTGCTTTCCATAGATGTTAAAATATTGGCGTGCCCTAAAATCATATTTGCAAAGCATAGGACAAAAAGAGTATCCTTCTCTAATTTGCAAATGCATTGAGGATGAGAATGGAGAGAAGTATGGAAACAGAAATGTATGCACTGTTTCTCCAAAAATGTTTGGTGGTCTATGAAGAGACCATGAGGAACCCAGGAAAGCATGTACTGACTGCACTTGAGCTGTTGAAAGTTATGTGGAGATTGCAACAAAAACACATACAATGCAAAACAAAAAAAAGTCATTTAAAAAAATAGGGCTGTTTCAGAAGTGAAAAAACAAAGTCACTAGAAAAGGGAAACCAAGTTAAACAGGACTTTCTCATTTCTTTACTAAAATGGTAACTTACATGAAATCCAACTTCAATTTCACAAGTTCAAATTACTTCTATGCTTCATAACCATTTTCCATGACAAAAAGAGGCTTAACTTATGATAATAACATCCAATGTGTTTTGGAATATCTAAACATGAGGGAAATTTTAGACATGGAGGGCCTACCTGATGGATTTACAGATGAAAGGAACTTGATTGACAAACAGCTACCAAAATACTCCTGTAGATACAAACTGGATAGGCGTTTTTAGTGAAGTGGAAACTAAGTTCTATAAATCTAAACATTTGCTGTTTACTAGGGAGTAAAATTCTAAGAATTCCATGCTAAAACACTTTTTTTGAGAGAATATTTAGCTGGATGTCATTTCATTTAACTGCCACTAGGAAACAGTGTAATGTGGTCTTAAAGGGGCAGAGATGCAAGTCAAAATAAATTTTATATTTCAGTTTGAGTTCTACCACTACATAAAAGAAGAGAAGAGTATCTGGGAGGCTGCTGGCACTTCAGAGAAATATTACTGAAAAGAAAACAGAAATATCAAAAACATCTTACTGGTGTATCATGGAACAGAAAGAAATATGTCATTGTTAATTTTATTAATTTTATTAAATATAATGTTTGGTTAACTAATCCCATTTTATTTACGTTCATTTTTTTAAAGGTATTTTATTTACTTAGCTTAAGAATACACAATAACACAACTTACAAAAGTAGAATATCCAAAGAGTTAAAATCTCTAACAGAAATATTATAAAAATAGTGTTATATTTTTGTTGTCTATATCAATTCGTTAATTAGTCCTATTATTAATTACTAATTTCAACCATTAACTAGTTCTATTGCTTTTTAAATAATATGCATGTATTTATATTTACATTTCTTATATGTATGTAACAGAAAAGTAATACAGAATAACACAATTTCAAATCAATACCTATATTTTATATATTTGCTATAATATATGTGTATACTTATTATATATTATATACTTTTTGGTATGAATGGAATGATTGTGATGATTTTATTGTGACCAACTTCTGACAGTATCCGGGGTGACACTCTCAGAAGCTGGTCATACTAAATTCTTCACAAGCAAGGATGGTATATCCTAAGAATGTCAAGATGGTTTATTAAATCTGTTAGTGGTCACATAAAATGATGCTCAAAATCATTCATCAGGGAAATGTAAATTAAAACTATAATGATACCACAACACATGCACTATAATGGTTAAAATTTTAAAAGTTGACAACATAAAATGTTGGAGAGGAAGTAGAGTAATTAGAATTCTCAGATATTGTTGATGGGAATGTAAACTAGTAAAACTACATAGAAAAAATGTGTGGCTTTTTTTGAGTGTTAAACATACACTTATGAATATTCATAAGTTTTTATCAAAAAGAAATAGCACATCAAAAAGATGTGCGCATGAATGCTTACAGCAATTTTATGCATAATAGATACAAACTTGAAACAACCTACGTATCCATCAACAAGTGATTAGAGAAACAAAATATGTGGCATATCCCCACTGTGAAATACTACTCAGCAACAAAAAGGAATAGGATGCTAAAATATGCAACAACATAAATGAATCTTGCTATGCTTCGAATGTCTGTGTCCCTTTAAAATTCATATTTAAACCTCACCCCTCGGCCACCGCACTGTCTGGGAAGTTAGGAGCGCCTCTGCCCAGCCCCCGCACCATCTGGGAAGTGAGCAGCGCCTTTCTCGGCCTGGCCCGCCCCACTGGGAAGTGCGGAGCGCCTCTGCCCGGCTGCCGTGCAACCCTCCAGGTGTGAAGAGGCAGCCTTGTGTGTGATCTTTCTGCCCTCCCCAAGTTTGCATTTTCCACAGTAAAGTTTACTTTTAAATTAAAAGATTAAAAACAAAACAAAACAAAACACCTCATCTCCATTGTGGGGTACTAAGAGGTGGGCCCTTTAGGAGGTGATTAGGTCATGAGGGCTCTTCCTTCATGAATGAAATTAGTGCTCTTACCAAAGAAACTTAAAGCTTTCACCCCTTATGCCATGTGAAGATGCAGCAACGAGGTGCCATCTTTGAAGCAGAAAACCAGTCCTTATCAGACATCAGATCTGCAGGTGCCTTGATCTTGGACTTCCCAGGCTCCGGAACTGGGAGGAATAAATTTCTGTTGTTTATAAATTACCCAATCTAAGTTATTTTGTTATAGCAGCATGAGCGAACTAAGACAAATCTCAAACTCATTCTGCTAAGTGAAAGAAACTAGAGATAACAGTTGCTTTGATTCTATGTATATAAAATTCTAGAAAATGTAAATTAATCTATACTGATAAAAACAAAACAGTGACTGGCTGGAGCCTGGAGCAAAGTGACAGATTTTCTACAGGGGGGCACAAAGAATCTATTAGGGATGATGGAAATATATTGCAGCTGTGCTTTCACAGAGAAATACATCTGTCAAAATTTATCAAATTGTGTGATGTTTTTATTTAAATGATGTATTTTATTTTACATAAATTATAACTCAAAGTTTAGTTAAAAATAAAATTTCAATAAACACAAAATAAGTAACTCTATCAACATAGGTTGATAGAGAGAAACAGCATGATCATGCTAATAAGCCCTGAAAGCATTTGGAAAAACTCAATAGCAATTCTTGATTTTTTTTAAAAAAAAGGAAAGTATAGCAGATAAGACACATCTGAAGTCAATATTCAGCAATAATCTCAATTGTGGACACTACACACATTCTCTCTAAAATTAGTGGCAAGAGTGGCTATCATTCCCTACATTAGTAGTCATTGTATATCTACTAAAAACAGAGAATTAGAGCAAAACAAAGCAATGAACATGAATCCAACAAAAAATTATACAACTTTCAAAATAATTGGATGAAAAATAAGACCATAAGAATAAAGTTTTACATGTTAACAATAGCCAGCTTAAAAAAAAAGAAAATGGGAGATAAATCCTGCTCATCATTGATAATTGTAGCCCAAAACATAAAATACTAACAAGCAATCTTACAATGTAAAGTATAATACACTTACAAAGAAAAGTAAAAACATAGAGACACAAAAGCAGTTTTGAAAAACTGTACAGATATTCTGTCTTAGATAAGACAGAAGTAAATTCTCCACAAATTAATTTATCATTTTAATTCAGTGCCAATCAAAACCCACTCTGGTAAAATAAAAAAAGAGATCCTAAGTTAATCTAGAAGATAAATGGATTATACTACCCAAGAAGAAGATTCTAAAAATACAGTATAACAAAGAATTTTCCATAATACATAGGAAAATTATACATCTACAATAATCAAAAACATGTAAACAGAAACTGAACAGTTTAGCCAAAAACACACCCTAGTATATATCAGAACCTAATATACAATAAATGTGCCATCAAAATAAATGTGAAGACCAAATGATGCCAAAGCATCAGTTAACTATTTTTAAATGATTTTAAATTAGGTAAAAACTGCATGTCATACACTAAAAGAAATTACAATGAATTAACAAGTTAAAGGTTTGTTATTTAAAAAAAACTAAAGCTTAAACAACTATTTTAAAATATAGGTGAATACAGATAACTTCTAACGTGAAAATGTATTTAAACCTATAATTATTTCTGAGGAAGTTAACTCAGAAATAATTATAGGTTTAAATACATTTTTTAAATTATCCTTTAATTGTGAAATTGCAAAAGTGACACATACTGTAAGTACAATTTTATAGAGTAGAAAGCACTCATTTTCCCTTGCCCATGCCAATCTATCACACCTCCCAGAACTAAAATCTATTATTAATTAGGTGTGTATCTTCCTAAGTTTTTTCCTACATTACATGAATATTTTTAATGTGAATAAACAGTATTTTTAAATTTTTATTCTGAAATAATTATAGATTCACAGGAAGATATTAAGAAATGTACAGGGAGGTCCTGTGTACACTTAACACAGCCTTCCCTACGTAGGTAACATCTTGCATCAACATAGTGTATCTATCAAAACCAGGAAACTGACATTGGTACAAAGCACAGAGCTAATTCAGATTTCACCAGTGTGATGGGTGGGTCTATGCAATTTTATCACATATGTAGATCTATGTAACAACCACCACAGTCAAGAAATGTGAGCATTCCATTTCCACAGGCTCCCTCGTACTATCCTTTTATCCACATCCACATCCTCCTCCTCCCATTCCTAACTCTTGGTGACCAACAGTCCCTTCTCCCTATCTACAGTTATAATAACATATGAATGTTTTGTAAATGGAATCATGCAATATGTATCCTATTGAGATTGGCTTTTTTCACTTAGCATAACTACCTTCATGTTCTTCCAAGTTGCTGAATGTATCAGTAGTTTTCCTTTTATTGCTGAGTAGTATCCCATGGTATAGACATATGAAAGTTTATTTAACCATTCACCCCTTAAAAGAAATTTGGGTAATTTCCAGTTTTCTGCTATTAAAAACAAAGCCTCTATGAACATTCATGTACAAGTTTCCATATAAAATGTTTCTCTATTAAGTTAAAACCTTCTTAAGTTTTAAATTCCCAAGAATGCAATTGTTAGGTCATATGGTAATTATTCTTTTTCTGGAGGGGGGAATTGCTAAACTCTTTCCAGAAAAGCTGTAATATTTTACATTTCTACTAACAATATGTGAGTAATCCAGTTTCCCTGCATTTGATGTTATTATTTTTTATGTTAGCCATTCTGATAGTATGTAGTGATAGCTTATTGTGGTTTTAATTTGTATTTCCCTGATGGCTCATGATGTTGAACATCTTTTCATGTGCTTATTTACCATCTCTGTTTCCTCTTTGGTAATATGTACATTCATGTCTTTTGCCCATTTTCTAATTGAATTGTTTGTTTTTACTGTTGAGTTTTCTGAGTTCTCTCTATAGGTATTATGTATTTTAGATACTAGCTCTATGTCAGATATGTGGTTTGCAAATATTTTCTCCCACTCTGTAGGTTGTCTTTTCATCCTCTTCACTTGGGCTTTCACGGAGCCAGTATTTTCAATGTGATGGGATTCAATTTATCAATTTTTCCTTTTATAGACTATGCTTTTGGTGTCAAGTCTAAAAGTTCTTTTCTTAGTTCTAGGTCCCAAAGATTTTCTCCTATGTTTGTTTCTGAAAGTTTTATAGTATTATGATCTACATGATTTATTTTATGAGGCTTTTTGTATAAGATGTGAGATTTAATTGAAGTCCTTTTTTCTTTTTGGTTGATGGTGGTCGCAGTGCTCTACACCATTTCTTGAAAATGCTTTCCCTCTCCCACTGAATCACCTTTGCTTCCTGACCCAAAATTAATTGGTTATATTCATGTGGGTTTGTTTGTTTGTTTGTTTGTTTGTTTTGAGACGGAGTCTTGCTCTGTCGCCCAGGCTGGAGTAAAATGGCGCGATCTCGGCTCACTGCAACCTCCGTCTCCCAGGTTCAAGCCATTCTCCTGCCTCAGCCTCATGAGTAGCTGGGATTACAGGTTCCCGCCACCAGGCCCAGCTAATTTTTGTATTTTTAGTAGAGATGGGGTTTCACCATGTTGGCCAGACTGGTCTCGAACTCCTGACCTCAGGTGATCTGCCCACCTTGGCCTCCCAAACTGCTGGGATTACAGGCATGAGCCACCGCACCCGGCTGGGTTTATTTTTTATTTCTCCATTTTGTTCCATTGGTGTATGTTCTACCCTCTACCAAAACCAGTCTTGATTGTAGCTTTCTAATAGGCCTTAACATTAGGAAGAGTGATTTATCCTACTTTTTCCTTCTCTTTCAAAATTATTTTGACTATCCTATGGTCTTTTCCTAAAATATACATTTTAGGATTATCTTGTATATCTCAACAAGAAATCTCACAGTGATTTTGATAGGAATTATGTTAATCCTATAGATCTACACAGGGGGAATTGACATCTTTGCTATTTTCCATCTGAATACATGCATTTTTAAAACATCAACTCAAGAATGTGTTCACAAAATTCAAAGGCACATGATATAACCAACAAAAATGAGAAAAAGAAATTAATATTCTTAATAGAAAAAACACTCACACTAATAAACACTGTTATTCCCAATATGCTAAAAACCTGAATAGAACAATCCACAGAAGTAATAATTTTAAAAGCACAACTTCATAACCAAAGAAATGCAAATTGCAACTAAAATGAGATAATTGTTCCTGGGCGCGGTGGCTCACGCCTGTAATCCCAGCACTTTGGAAGGCCAAGGCGAGTGATCACCTGAGGTCAGGTGTTCGTGACCAGCCTAGTCAGTGTGGTGAAACCCCGTCTCTACTGAAAATACAAAAAATTAGCCTAGTGTGGTGGTGGGCACCTGTAATCCCAGCTACTCGGCAAGATGAAGCAGGAGAATCACTTGAGCTCAGGAGGCAGAGGTTGCAGTGAGCCAAGATCGCGCCACGGCACTCCAGCCTGGGCAACAAGAGCAAGACTCTGAAAAAAAAGAAAGAAAAGAAAAGAATTGTTTATACTTGCCAAATTGAAAAATATTTTAAAGAGAAATGCTGAGGGCTGAGTGACGAAAATGAAGTGAGGCAAGGTCTTGGTCCCTGTTAGTAACAGTCTAATTGCTATAGTGATGCCATTTGGGAATATCTATCAGAAACCTTCTGAAGGTACAATATACATTTTAGAATTATCTTCTCTATCTCAACAAGAAACTTTGCTAAGATTTTGATAGGAATTTTGTTAAACCTATAGCTCTATATAGGGTAAATGGACATGTTCACTATGTTCTATCTGAATACATGCATTTCTAAAACATCAACTCAAGAATTCAAAGGCCTTTCTTCCCACGGTTTTCATTTATAGAAAACGGTCTTAATGAAAATAATCTGAAGTGCAATGGACAAATTAAATTCAAATGTATATCACAACATTAATTGCAGTAGTGAGAAGGAAAGAAAACACTAAACGTCTAATGATAAGACATCATTAAATAAACTGTGAAATAGCCATATGATGCAGTATTATACAGCTGTTAATAAATGCTGTATTTGAAGAATTTAGTGGCATGATTGTTCACCATATGGAACTGAGAAAAAAGAGCTATAGCAAATATGTTAATGTAATGTAATCCCAAAAATATTTTTAAAGTATATTCCTGTACAGAAAAATTATCTGCTGGGAAACATACAAAAATAACATTTGCCAATGTCGTAAAAGTTGAATTATTTTCCTTTTTATACTTCTTTGTATAGTCTACTTTTTCTACAATAAACATGTATCACTTCTATAATCAGAAAAATATTCATTAATAATGTGACCAGCAGTTCTAGTAATTATTATTTGGTAATAATAAGACTAAGTTTCCTAACTCAGATTATGAGCTGATGTAGCAGTGGCCCACGTAGAAAATCATTCTAAGAATTGGTTGTGTGGAAGTAAAAGAATCTTTCATCCAGCCACATTCTACCCATGGTTCAACTTTGTATTAGTCTGTTTCCATGCTGCTAATAAAGACATACCCAAGACTGAATAATTTATAAAGGAAAGAGGTTTAGTGGACTCACAGCTCCACATGGCTGGGGAGGCCTCACAATCATGGTGGAACATGAAGGAAGAGCAGAGGGATGTCTTACGTGGTAGCAGGCAAAGAAGGCATGTGCAGGGAAACTCTCCTTTATAAAACCATCAGATCCCATGAGACTTCTTCACTATCGCAAGAATAGCACAGGAAAGACCTGCCTCCATGATTTAATTACCTCTCACCAGGTCCCCAAAAACATAGAGATTATGGGAACTACAATTCAAGATGAGATTTGGGTAGGAACACAGCCAAACCATGTCAAACATCATATAGAAGTTGGATGTGCATTAAATAAATAATTATCTACCAGTACAATCTATAGATTTGAGAACAGTAACGTAAGTTTTAGTTGATATTAAAATCCTTAACGATAATAATAGGGTACCCCATCACCATACAAACATTATCACTTAAATTTTGTTGTTGTTTTTCTGAAAAGCTCTTTAGATGGAAACAACGTAATTTTTAACTGGTATCTTTGGGATTAGGGTACACACACACACACCCCACACACACACACACACACACACACACACACACACACAAATGCCTCCATATTGAATTTAAGGTGATATTAAAAGATTGGTTTAGAGATAGTATTCTCCTGCATTATTCCATCTGGATGATTTATTTTGCAAGGGCCCTCTCGATGCTAATAACCTTCACTACATTTTCCCTCCAATATTCAGTTCTATGGCCAGACCTTGAAATCACTCTAATGCCAACTCGTGGCATTTCAATATACTGCTTTCTGACATTAAACACCTATGCTCCAGGCCTCCTATTCCCTCAAAGCCTATTCTTCTGCCTCATTTAAACCTCACATGCCTGGATTTATTCTTTCCTCTCAATTATTTCTCCCTTCTTGATTTCACATTCATCCTTGGATCCTGTGGTATATATGCTAGAAAGGTTAATTCATGCTAGCTACTATATTAGACAATTCCAAGATCTTGGTGGCTTGATACAATAAAAGGCTTTTTCTTGCTCACTCAAAGTCAAATGTAGGTTGATCAGCTCTCTTTGGCAGTCATTCTAGAATCCAGAAGCCTTCCATTCTAAATACACAACCTCTGGTACTTTGCAGAAAAGAAAATGGAAAGTCAAAGTTTTGCTGAAGACATTTTTAAGAGCCAGGCCAAGAGTGGATTATGTTACTTGAACCTATGTTTCATTGGCTAGAACCTAGTCATACAACCATTAGCTAATTCCAAGAATGGCTGAGAATTGTAGATTTCCTTTGTGTCTAAGAAGAGAAAATGAGATTGGTGAGCATCTAGTCAAGGCTTTGTCATAATATAACTGTAACTTCACTTCTAACACAGCTAACTCTGTCATGATTTGTCTTTCTCCCACAGCTACTCATAATTTCCCGAGACCTACAGCTTTTTAATCATTGGTATTTGCTACTCTATATTTCTTGGTATTCCTGAAAATACAGTTATAAAACTCTGTGCTACTATGATTTAGGATCTTCAGCCTCAGTTGGGACCTCAGCATAGATCAGAAATCTTTTTCTCTGCCCCTTTTAAACATTCCCTTACAGTTTCTATGACAAATATTCAACCCTACTTCCCACCTCTTTCTCAGAAAATGTTTACAAAGAACAAAAAGTTAGATTATTGTGATGATTAATTTTATATGTCAACTTGGCTAGGTCATGGTACACAGATATTTGGTCAAACACATCTGGATGTTGCCATGAAGATATTTTTCAGTTGAGATTATCATTTAAATCAGTAGACTTTGAGTAAAGCAGATTACCCTCCATAATATCGGTGAGCCTTATCCACTCAGCTGAAGGCCTCAAGAGAAAGAATGACCTCCTTTGAAGAAGAGGAATTCTGCCAGAAGACTGCATCCAGATTCTGGTTGCAACACCAGCTTTTCCCTAGGTATCCAGACTGCCAATCTGCCCTATAAATTTTCAACTTGCCAGCCTCCACAATCATGTGAGCCAATTCTCAAACTCTCTCTGGAGAGAAAAAGACAGAGAAACACTTCCTCTTGTGCTCTAGACACATTCCATTCCAACTTCTCACAGGCTTTGAACCATTAATTGTCCCATCAGAGTTTCTGAGTTTACTTCTCAACTGACATCTTCCTGTAGGCATAAAAATAGAGTAAAATCTTTATATTTCCTTGTACAGGTATGTGCATGTATACATATTTATTTGTATGTGTACTTAATGTATATTAACAAAATGGCACATATAGCTGGATTATCAATTAAAGAGCATTTCCCAAAACATGAACTCTCAATTTACCACTAAGAAGAAAAATGAGAAAAGACAAGAAGAAAACTAATAAACCATTAAATTAGAATATGTAAAGCAGAATAACCAAATATAAGTGAAGAGTCTGGATCTGAATGGCAAATATAGAAAAACAGAGCTGAAAACAAATTTCGAACAGGCCACTAATATCCAGTTTGTTACAAGTGAAGTTAAAAGACTTCGCAGTAAGTTTAAGAACAATGGGAATGAATAAATCTGTCACTTATAAATTATTATAGTGGTGATTAAATTTATAAGAGTTTTCAATCAACCATAAGTAAGTATACAACTCTTACTCTGGACTGTTACAAGCACTTATTATAACATATTGATTATTCTTATCCTGTTTTAAACATTTTTTTCCAAGGACTGTACTCAGGCCAATCCTGGAAGCCAATTCCTCTGTACAATAAAGTCACTTATAATAGATGGACTTACATTTTGAAAGAATGTAAAGATGTTATAAATAAAATATGGATTTACTAAGATAGCAATAAAATCAAAGGTAAAAATTAATGCCAAATGTGTACAGGACTATCTAAATTCCCTAGTAATAAAAAGATAAATTTCATATTTTCATATGAAATAAAGAAACTGTTTTTAAGTGATAATATCCAGTTTGAAAATTATTCAGGAAACTGGGTACTTCTACATGTTGTTATTAAGAGTACAAATCACTGGAAACCTCATGGAGGACAATTTGAAGAAAAAATTATATATACATATATTTGCTATACATATGTATGTATAACAAAATCATATATACCTATATACATATGTATGTTTATGTGTATACAGTCATGCACTGCAAAACGGTGTTTCAGTCAATGAGGGACTGTGTATACAGTGGTGATTCCATAAGATTATTATGGATCTGAAAAATTTCTATCACCTATTGATGTCATAGCACAAGTACAATACTCATGTGATTAAGAGGACATTGGCACAAACAAACCTACTGCACTGCTAGTCATATAAGAGTATCACATATACAATTGTGTACAGTGCCTAATACTTGATAATAATAAAAGACTATGTTACTGGTTTACGAATTTAATATACTATACTTTTTATTATTATTTTATCAGTATTCCTTCTACTTATAAAAATGGTTAACTGTAAAACAGCCTTAGGCAGGTCCTTTAGGAAGTATTCCAGAAGTAGGCATTGTTATCATAAGAGATGACAGCTCCATGCATGTAATTGCTTCTGAAGATCTTGCTCTAGCAGAGCAAGACGCGGAAGTGGAAGATGGGGATACTAATGATCCTGACTCCGTGTAGGCCTAGGCTAATGTGTATGTTTGTGTCTTAGTTTTTAAGAAAAAAGTTTATAAAGTAAAGAAAATAAGAACTTTTAAAACAGAACAAAGCTTATAGGACATATAGAAAGAAAATATTTAGTACGGTTGTACAATGTGTTTGTGTTTTCAGCTAAGTGTTATTTACCAACAGTCAAACGTGTAAAAAATTTAAACATTTGTAATGTAAAAAAAGTTACAGCAAGCTAACATTAATTCATTATTAGAGAAAGAAAAAATATTTTTTATAAATTTAATGTAGCCTAAGTATACTTTACAGTATTTATAAAGCCTATAGTAATGTACAGTACTGTCCTAGGCCATCACGTTCACCCAGAGTAACTTTCAAGTCCTGCAAATTCCATTCATGGTAAGTGCCCTTTACAGGTGTACCATTTTTGTATCTTCTATACCATATTTTTACTATATCTTTTCTATCTCTTGATATGTTTAGATACACAAATATTTTAACCGTAATGTTAACAACTGCCTGCAGTATTCAGTACAGTAATGTGCTTTAACGGTTTGTAGCCTAGGAACAAGGTGTTAAAGCATATAGCCTAGATAGTAGTCTATATCACCTAAGTTTGTGTACCTAAATTCTATAATACTCATACAATGACAAAATTGCCTAATAACGTATTTCACAGAATATATTTTCATCATTAAATGATGCATGATTGTATCAAGTGTATATGTATTTATATTTAACACAAACACATATATAGTTTGTTAAAGCTTCATAGCCTTTGACCCAGCAACCCCACTAACAGGAATTTTTCTCAAGAAAATAATTAAGAATTTTGTTCTGGGTATGTTTATTGCAGTATTTTTATGATAGTAAAGATTTAAAAACAAAATAAATATTCAACAATAAGACATTTTTAAAGCAATTAAGATATTTTTGCTAATCCAGAGTTTAAAAATTAGAGTATTTAACTCTAAGTTCAAAATATTTATTTTATATACAAAAGGCAAGTTATAAAAATCATCAAATCTGTTCCCTTTTGCCAATGATGTATTTTTCTTGACAGCTATATGTATGTATAGATATAAATTCTAAAGATCATTTATAAAATATATCTTTTTAGAACAATCAATGAAATGTAGCATATCACATTTTCTAGAAAGAGTATACATTACTTCAAATGAGAACAAACAGTAACTGTTTAATGAACATTTATCAGGAACATTGCAGAAAATAAACAAGACATTATAAAGAAAACAATAAAATCAAAAATGATTGAAAAGTGGCTACAACAAAACAGCAGAGGTATCCAAAACAAGATAATATTCTGAGCAATTTTATGATGTTAAATTTGAAAATATTTAAATTAACAAAATGTACTAAAACATCTACCATAGGAAATCAACTCAGAATTCTCCAGTTGTGCAATAATACTAAAATAAACTGGACTAGGGAAAAATTATCAGAGAACTATCTCCCTAAAAGGTCAAATGGTTTCATGGCAATACTCTTGAAATTTTTTAAGCATAGATAATCCCCTTACTATGTGAACTGTTCCAGAGCAAAAATATTAAGTCACTTAATAATTTTGTGACATATTAAACCTGAATAAGATATATAAAAAGCATACGCTTTTCTCACAAAACATGAATCCTAAATCAATATTAACTCATGTCATAAATCCTAAATCAACATGAACCCAAAATAATAGTTCAGCAATATTAAAAGAATTATATGCCATAATTAAAAAGGATTCACCCACATGTATAAAGATTATTTGATATGAAATATTAAGAAACCTATTAAGATTATGCAATACAAAATAAAGTTCAAAGAAAATTACTATCTCAAAAACTTTATTAAATTCCACACTAATTCCTATTTTTAAAAGCTTTTCGAAAATAACACTTAAAGTAGAATATTTTAATAAATAAAAGTTTAAAAATTTAACTAAGCTATTGAAACAAATGAAGATGTAACATCTCTCTGTATTGATAAGACTGAATATTGAAACATTTTAGTTATCTGAATTGATAGGCCTATCATCAACTTAAAATGCCAGATAACTTCTTGGAACTTGATAAAATTATTCTAAAGTTTATTAGAAAGAATGCTTTAATTATTAATTTTTTAGTGAGTATCATAACAAGAAATTAGAAGGCAGATAAATGGAATAGAGAGAATATCCTGAAGCCATGTGGATTTATTATTTAATAAAAATAATATTATAGCTTAATGGGGAAAGAATTATTCTTTAAAATGAGTTGGAACTTTAAGGGCTAATAATAATAGCTCTCTTATGTCCATCTGAATAGCAAACCAGATGGGAATACCCAAGAAGCTGAGAGATGACTATCAAAATATCTTTTGAGTACTTTTGTTACTGATAAAAGATGGATTCAAGAATGTGGCTTTGATATGTGGTCCAAATGAGCATCCCCAAAATTCTCCCCACAATTAAACTTTCTTACATACAAACCTGAAAAAATACAGGGAACTCCTGTATGACCATCTTCCTGGTGGCATTTGCAGAGAGTAGATCAGAATGTAGATCTTCAGTAGATAGGAAATGAGTGAGAGGAAAAAGCCAGCATGTTCAGCTTCTCTCCTAACTACCTTTCAGATTCGTCCACCTTTCCTCAGCCCCTGGAGAAGTGAATAAGGTTTAGGGGCAGGGAGCATTACTCTAATGCAATTCCCTCAAATGGAAAAATGAGGGGGCCAGGCACGGTGGCTCACACTCGTAATCCCAGCACTTCGGGAGGTCGAGGTGGGCATATCACTTGAGGTCAGGAGTTCAAGACCACTGTGGCCAACATGGCGAAACCCCACCTCTACTAACAATACAAAAATTAGCCAGGTATGGTGGTGGGTGTCTGTAATCACAGCTACTCAGGAGGCTGAGACAGAAGAATCAGTTGAACCCAGGAGGCGGAGGTTGCAGTGAGCTGAGATCGCACCATTGTACTCCAGCCTGGGCGACAGAGCCACACTCCATCTCAAAAAAAAAAAAAATAAAATAAAACTGAGGGAACACATAAAGGAAGTAAACTCTAATAGCTGAACACTCATGGAGTGAAAAGACAAAGTCAATCCTTATTTCACATCATATATTCTATCTGTAAGTATTAATTAGATTAGAATTGTGGTTTTTATAGAATTGTGGTTTTTATATTAGGCAGTGGTTTCATACCATGCAGTCAAGTTCTATTTATTCCATAGCATTACCTTGGAGACACTGCAGGAGAAATACCAGATCCTAGGCTTCTCCCTTTACTTTTGCATAAGTAACTATGCTTGTATCACTTCTACACACTCGGCTTTCCAAGTAAAGTTTTGTTTAAAGGAAGGCTCAGCTAAAAAAAAAAAAAAAATTAAAACACCACCAGACTAAATACTTATAGGAAATAAAATGTTTAAAACATATTTTAAACTATAAGAAAATATACATAGACGAGGATTAGCTTCAAGATGACTGACTAGAGGCATCTGGCACTCACCGACTCCACAAAATAGAACCAAAATAGTGAGTAGATAATCACACTTCAAATAGAGAATCTGAGAGAGAACACCGGAATTCAACAGAAAACTGACAGAAAACACCTGAGGCACGGAAGGAGAGAAAATCAAGGCAGCCAGCTCAGGATTAGCTGGGAGTTCTGAGAGGCTTTCCAATATGGGGAAAGCTTAAGTGAGAGATCCCTAGCAGTCCACATTCTCTCTGTGGCTCCTGAAATCTAACCATGGGAGAGCCCCTCGACCCTTGCAATCCCTGAGACTGGAAGAGTGAACAGCCCAGAGTCCAAATGATGGCATTACTCCAGAGAGGGAGCTCACTCTGGGTCCCATACATCCCCCAAGATCCAAGCAAGTACAGCATAGCACCATTATGAGAGCTCAGATCCCACCAGACTGCATCCTGACAGCCCCTGCATCTCCGTATCCCTGGAGCCCTACTGACATCCTCTTGCATCCACCCAGAGGGCTGCAGTGGTGCAACACCAGTGGATCCAGCAGTTAGGCAGGATGCCCAGCATTCTAGCTCATACAATGTCCTACAGTCCAGGGAATAGGCAGTCAACACACCTGGAAGGCTTCCCCCTGGGACAAAAGAAAAAAATGTGTGCACTCCCCAGAGCCTGAGAGCCGCCTGCCACTGAGAGCAACCCTGCCCTCACCAGCATCAAGACCATAGTGCACTTGCACACACCCTAAAGACAAGTTATCCCTGCTCATTACCACCACTGCCATCATCTCGCAAGCATGCCTCCTGGTGACCTGGGGATCACCCAAGCCAGCCCACCACAGCCTGCACCCATGCACATCACTGGGGGGCCTAAGGACAGACCTACCCAATCTGGCACTGTTACCCACAGTGGCAAAGCACACTGCCCAGAAGCCTGGGGATTCCCCGACCCTAACCCCACCAATTACCGTGGGCATATGACCAGCAGACTTAACAACAGACACAGAACACCTGCCACTGGTGCCAAAGTATGTCATCTGGTAACCTGGAGATCACCCTGCTGGTTCACCACCACTGGCATCTGCACTCTTCCCTGGGGCCTGAGGACAGGCCCACCCAACCTACTGCCATTACCACTATCAGCACCCACCCTCACCCGACACCTGAAGGCTTGGAGGCCAGCCCATCCAGTCCACTGCTGCCACCACTAACATCAGTATGTGATGCCCAGGGAGGCTACGTTTTGTCTAGCCATTTCTACCGTCATTGCCTATACATGCTGCCCAGGGGTCCAGGCAGCCTCTCACTCACCCAGTCAACCATTAACACAACCACACCCAAGCAAGCTACCTGGAGGCCCATGAATTAGCCTACCACATGCCTGCATTCATTGACCAGAGGAGCAAAGAAAGGCATGCTCCACCCACTGATGCCACAACTGGGACCCAAGGACTGGCTCATTTAGCATCCCTGACCCCAGCAAAGCTTCATCACAGCCTCCACTAATAACCACAGCCTAAGCCACTGAGGTTATGACAGACACCACTGATGCTATTTACAGCCAAATAAATCATTTAGAGACTACACTACTGTACACATCCAGAATCACACCTAATGTGCCCTACACAACCAACACCATAGATACACCTTTAAGAAAAATCTTCCCCTACAAAAGACAATTCAAAAAACTGGAAGACATGATTGTTACACTAGATGTGCACATATTGAAATAAGGACAGAAGAAACATTTAAAAATCTAGAGAATATGACACCTCCAAAGGAGCACAATAATTTTCTAGCAAAAAATTTCAATGGAAAAAAATTATGAAATGCTTGGTAAAGAATTCAAAATAATAATATTAAAGAAGCTCAGTGAGATATTAAAAACACAGATAAAAAACACAAAAACATTAGAAAAAAATTCAGGATACGAATGAGAAATGTATCAGAGATAGATACCTTAAAAAAAGAACCTAAAAGAAACCCTGGAACTGAATAATTCAATGAATGAAATTAAAAATACATTCAACAGCTTAAACAATAGATCAAGCAGAAGAAACATGAATATAGGTTTCTGAAGTAACCCAATCAGAAAAAAAAAAACAAAGAAGAAAGCCAACATTGCATATGGGACATCATAAAGCAACCAAATATACAAATTTTGGGTATTTCAGAAGGTGAAGAGAAGAGCAAAGGCATTTTTAAAAAAACCTATGTATTGAAATAATAGCTTTAAACTTCTAAAGTCTGGCAAGAGATTTACACATCCAGATACAGGAAGCCCAGTTATCCTGATAGAGTTTGAAGATGGGTGCCTGCCCACATCTCATGTTGAATTGTAAACCCCAGTATTAGAGGTGGGGCCTAGTGGGGGGTGACTGAACATGGAGGTGGATTTTTCATGAATGGATTAGCACCATCCCCTTGGTGCTCTCCTCACAATGTGAGTGAGTTCTCATGAGACCTGGCTGTTAAAAAGTCTGTATCTCTCCTCTTTCTCTCTTTCTCTCTTTCTCTCCTCCTCTCCTCCTCTCTTCTTCTTTTTCTTCTTCTTCTTCTTCCTCTTCCTCTTCTTCTTCTTCTTCATCTTCCTTCTCTCTCTCTCTCCTGTTTTAGCCATGTGAGTTGCCTTCTCCTGCTTTACCTTTCACCATGAGTAAAGCAGCTCCCTGAGGCCTCCCCAGAAATAGATGCTGGAGCTATGCTTCCTGCACAGCCTGCAGAACAGTGAGCCAATCTTTTCTTATATATTCCCCAGTCTCAGGTATTTCTTTATGGCAATGCAAGAATGGCCTAATGCAGATTCCCAAGTAGATACAACACATAAAGTTTCTCCAGGGAACATTATAGGAAAATTGTCAAAAGTTAAAGACAAGAAGAGAATTATAAAAACAAAGAGAAAAGCATCTAGTCACCTATACAAGAAACCTCATGAGACTACAGTGAATTTCTTAGCAAAAGCATTACAGGCCAAGAGAATGGGAGGATAGGATATATTCAAAGCACTGGAAGAAGAAAAAATGTTGACCAAAAATACTATAACCCGCAAAGTTGTCCTTTATAAATGAAAAAGAAATACAGTCTTTTCCAGACAAGGAAAAAATAAGGGGATTCATTGACACTAGACCAGACCTACAAGAAATGTTTAAGGGGTTCCTATATCTGGAAGTGAAAGTATCATCAGAGACTATTATATACAACCATATGCTATTGAACTGAAAAAGCTAGAGGAAATGGACACATTTCTGGAGACCTACAACCTACCATGACAGAATCAGAAAGAAATAAAAAACCTGAACAGACCAGTAATGAGTAGTGAGACTGAAAAAGTAATGAAGTTTCCCAAAAAAGAAAAGCCCAGGACTGGATATATTTATAGCCAAACTCTACTAAATGTATAAAGAAGAACTAATACAACTCCTGAAACTTCCAAAAATTTGCAAGAGGAAGAATTCTCCCTAAATCACACTATGAGACCAACATCAGGCTGATACCAAAACCAGACAAGGACATAATAAAAAAGGAAAACTAAGCCCAGTATCCCTGATGAACATAGATGCAAAACTCTTCAACATAATAGTAGCAAACTAAGTCCAACAGCACATCAAAAAGATAATATGCCATGATCAAATAGGATTTATACCAGGGATGCAAGAATGATTCAACATATACAAAATCAATAAATGTGATACATCATATCAATAGAATAAAGCACAAAAAATCATATGATCATCTCAATAGACACAGAAAAAAATTGATAAAATTCAACATCCCTTCATGTTGAAAATTCTTGACAAAGTAGACATAGAAGGAACATATCTCAAAATAATAAGTCTGTATATCACAAACCCCAGCCAACATTATGCTGAATGGGGAAAAGTCAAAAGCCTTTCCTCTAAGAACTGAAGCAATAGAAAGACACATAACTTCACCACTCATAGTCAACATAGCACTAGAACTTCCACTCAGAGCAATTAAGCAAGAGAAAGAAATAAAGGTCACCCAAAATGGAAAGGAAGATATCAAATTAGCCTTGGTTGCAGATAACATGATCTTATACCTAAAAAAAACCCGAAAGACTCCACCAAAAAAAAACCCTTAGAGCTGATAAATAAATTCAGTAAAGTTGCACAATACAAATCAATATACAAAAATTAGTACTATTTATATACACCAATAGTAAACAATATTTAAAAAAATCAAGAAAGCAATCCTACTTACAATAGCTAGAAAAATATTAAATACCTGGGAATCAATGTAACAAAAGAAGTGAAAGTTCTATAGAAAGATAATTATAAATCATTGATGAAAGAAATTGAAGAGGACAATCAGAAAATGAAAAGAGATTTCATGCTCGTGGGTTGAAAGGATTAATATTGTTAAAATGGCAATACTTCCCAAAAAAATTTATAAATTCAATGCAGCATTCCTCTTCACAGAAAGAGAAAAACAGTCCTAAAATTTTTATGGAACCAAAAAGTGCCTGAATAGCCAAAGCAATCCTGAGAAAAAAAGAATAAAGCTAGGGGCATCACAATACCTGACTTCCAAATATATTACAAGACTATAGTAACAAAAACAGCATGGTATTGGTATAAAAACACACGCATAACCCAATTGAATAGAATCGAGATGCCAGAAATAAATCCATGTATTATGGCCAACTCATTTTCAACAAAGGAGTCAGGAACATACACCGGGGAAAGGTCATCTTCTTCAATAAATGGTGCTGGGAAAACTGAATATCCACATGCAGAAGAATGAAACTAGATCCCTATCTCTCACCATAAACATAAATCAACTCCAAATGGATTAAAGACTTCAAGTTTAGGCCCAAAACTATAAAAGTACCTGAAGAAACACAGGAGAAACACTCCAGGTCATTGGCCTAAGCAAATATTTTATGGCTAAGACTGCAAAAGCACAGGCAACAAAAACATAAATAGACAAATGGAACTATAGTAAACTAAAAAGCTTACTTCTGCACAGCAAAGGAAAAAATCAACAGAGTGAAAAGACAACCTGTTCAATGGGAGAGAATATTTGCAAACATTTCATCAGATAAGGGACTAATATTCAGAATATACAAGGAACTCAAGTAACAGCCAAAAAACAAATAATCCCATTAAAAAGTAGGCAAAGTTTCTGAATACACATTTCTCAAAAGAAGACATACAAATAGCCAACAGCTATGTAAAAAATGTTCAACACCATTAATCACCAGGGAAATGCAAATCAGAACCACAATGAGATATCATCTTACCTCAGTTAGCGTGGCTATTATCAAAAAGACAAAAAATAGCAGATACTGGTGAGGATGCAGAGAAAAGGAACATTGTTGGAGGGAATGCAAATTGGTACAGTCATTTTGAAAAACAGTATGGAGATTTATCAAAAAACTGAAAGTAGAAGTACTATACAATCTAGCAATTCCTCTATTGGATATCTATTTTTAAAAAATCAGTATATCAAAAAGATAATTGCATCCCCACATTTATTGCAGCACTATTCACAATAGCAAAAATATGAAATCAACCCAAGAGTCCATCAATGGATGAATGGATAAAGAAAATGTAGCATATATACACAATGGAATACTACTCAGCCATAAAAAATTCCTTTCATTTGCACCAACATGGATGAAACTGAAGGTCAATAATGTTAAGTGAAATAGACCAGGCACAGAAAGACAAATATTGTAAGTTCTCACTTATATGTTGGAGCTTAAAAATTAGTATCAAGGAGGTTGAAAGTAGAGTGTTATTAGAGGCTGGGAAGGGTTGAGAAGGGGAATGAAGAGAGTTTTGGTTAATGGGTATAAACATAGAGTTATATAGAAGAAATAAGGTCTAATGTTCAATAGTTGAGTGGGTTAATGATAGTTCAAAACAATGTATTATATATTTCAAAATAGCTAGAAGAGAGGTCTTGAAATGTTCTCGATACATAAAAATAATAAATGCTTTAGGTGATGGATATCCTAAATACTCTGCCTTGATCATTAGACATCTTATGCATGTAACAAACTATCACAGGCACCCCATAAATTTGTACAAACATTATGTATCAATTTTTTTAAAGATAATGCACATGAACATTTTCCCTCTCTGAACACATGAAGATTTTCCTGGCATAAACAATTGAAATTTTAAAGACCTAGAAATGATAGCAGTAGGTAGGTAGGTAGGTAGATAGACAGACAGACAGGTAGGTAGGTAGATCGATCAATCGATCGATCAATAGATAGATGATAGATCGATCGATAGATGCACGTAGATACATAGATGCAGATTTAAACAGACAAATATCAAAAGCTTGTGTACTTCCTAAAACATAATAAACAAAATGAAAAGGGAAAAAGCAAACAACAAAAATATTTACAACAAGGAATTCAAATGAAAAGTTGATTTCCTTAATATATAAAGACTTACTACAAATCAATAAGAAACAGTAAAAAATCTTACTTGGAAAAAATGGGCAAAGGGCATCATAGAGAGATAGGTTTTCCAGAGAATTGGGGAAGTGAAGGGAGAGTTATTGCTCAGGAACTCTTGGGCAATGACTGCATTCCCACCCCACCCCTAGGTAAGGATTTAGGCCACAATGTGCTCAACAGTGTCACCAACAGTAACATGCCCCTCAGAGAATAAATGTCAAGAGAAACAAGACAAAGGATGCTTAATAGGCCTCCTCTCCCTGCAGCCACCTATGGTAAGCTCTAAATTCTTAGCCAAGTAAGGAGTTTCCTAGGGCTGCCTTAACAAGCACTACACGCCTGGTGACTTCAACAAAAGAAATGTATGATCCCACAGTTCTGGGGGCCAAAAGCCCAAAAAGTCAAAGTGTTGGCAGGGTTGGTTCCTTTTGGGGACTCTGAGGGAGGGGCTGTTCCATGTCTCTCTTCTAGTTTCTGGTGATTGCTGGTGATCCTTGGTGTCCCTTGGCTTGTAGACGCATCACTCCAATCTCTACCTCCATCATCATGTGGCATTTTCCCCTCTGTGTGCCTGTGCATCTCTGTGTCCACATTTCTCCCTTCTTAAAAAGACACCAGTCATGTTTCAGTCATACAGTGTGACTTCATCTTAATTTGACTATATCTGCAAAGGCCTTATTCCAAATAGGGTCATATTTACAGGCCCCAGGGGCTAGGACTTGAATATATCTTTTTGCAGGGAGGGGGACACAATTAGACCCACAACAAACACCAAGAGACCAGGAACTTGGAGTAAAGATGTGTTGTGATCCCTTCTCACCAATCTGTAAACATACTTGGCAAATCTCTACACAGGAATAGACAGTTCATAAAAGGATTGGGCCAAATGTGGAGACAGAAATATAGGTAGCCTCATTATTATTTAAAGATATACAAACTTTAAAAACAATGGCTGGGCGCAGTGGCTCATGCCTGTAATCCCAGCACTTTGGGAGTCCGAGGCGAGTGGATCACTTGAGCCCAGGAGTTTGAGACCAGCCTGGGCAACATGGCAAAAACCTATCTCTACAAAAACATACAAAAATCAGGCTAGGCATGGTGGCTGACGCCTGTAATCCCAGCACTTTGGGAGGCCAAGGTGGCAGATCACTTGAGGCCAGGAGTTCGAGACCAGCCTGGCCAACATGATGAAACCCTGTCACTACTAAAAACACGAAACTTAGTCAGGCATGGGGGCACACACCTGTAATCCCAGCTACTCCGGAGGCTGAGGCAGGAGAATCGCTTAAACCTAGGAGGCTGAGGCTGCAGTGGGCTGAGATTGCACCACTGCACTCCATCCTGGGCAACAGAATGAGACCCTGTTTCCAAAAAAAAAAAATTAGCTGGGCATGGTGGCATGACTGTAGTTTTAGCTACTTGGGAGGCTGAGGCAGGAGGAGGAAGACCACTTGAGCCCAGGAGGTGAACAGAGGTTGCAGTGAGTCGAGATCACACCACTGCACTCCAGCCTAGGTGACAGAGCCAGACCTTGTCTCAAAAAAGAAAAAAAAAAAGACACCATTTTTACTATAAAATTATCAAAGACTAAAAGAGGTGGCAGATCACTTGAGGCCAGCAGTTCGAGACCAGCCTGGCCAATATGACGAAACCCTGCCACTACTAAAAACATGAAACTTAGTCGGGCGTGGGGGCACACACCTATAATATCAGCTACTTGGGAGGCTGAGGCAGGAGAATCACTTGAACCCAGGAAGGTGGAGGCTGCAGTGAGCCGAGATCATGTCACTGCACTCCAGCCTGGGCAACAGAATGAGACCCTGTCTCAAAAAAAAAAAAAAAAAATTAGCTGGGCATGGTGGCAAGCCTATAGTTCTAGCTACTCAAGAGGCTGAGGCAGGAGGACCACTTGAGCCCAGGAGGTGGATAGAGGTTGCAGTGAGTCAAGATCACACCGCTGCACTCCAGCCTAGGTGATAGTAGTGTCAGACTCTGTCTCAAAAGAGAAACAAAAAAAAGGACACAATTTTTACTATAAAATTAACAAAGACTAAAAGATAACACAAGAGATGATACAGAGAAATTCAGTCCAGAGGGAGGCAGTGGCAGTGTTGAAGGGACATGTTCAGATGTATAATGATCCTGAAGGACAATTCAGAAATAACTATCAAAAAACCTCCATTCAAATCATTGCAATATTTATTGCATATTCAAATATGCATTCAAATATTCAAATATTTGTTGAATACTTACTTTGCACCAAGCACTGTCCTAAGGCTTCTAATCCAGTAATTCCACTTTTGGAAATGTATCTGTGATAGTTAATATTGAGTGTCAACTTGATTGGATTGAAGGATGCAAAGTTTTGTTGTTTTTTTTTTTTGAGACAGAGTTTCACTGTTGTTGCCCAGGCTCAGGCTGGAGTGCAATGGCATGATCACAGCTCACCACAACCTCTGCCTCCCGGGTTCAAGCGATTCTCCTGCTTCAGCCTTCCGAGTAGCTGGGATTACAGGCGTACGCCATCACGCCTGGCTAATTTTGTATTTTTAGTAGAGACCTGGGTTTCTCCATGTTGGTAAGGCTGGTCTCCAACTCCTGACCTCAGGTGATCTGCCTGCCTTGGCCTCCTAAAGTGCTGGGATTACAGGTGTGAGCCACCGCGCTGGATCAGATGCGAAGTATTATTCCTGGGTGTGTCTGTGAGGATGTTGCCAAAGGAGATTAACATTTGAGTCAGTGGTCTGGTAGGGGCAGACCCAACCTCAGTCTGGGTGGGCACCATCTAATCAGCTGCCAGCATGGCTAGAATAAAGCAGGCAGAAGAATGTGGAAGGACTTGACTTGCTGTGTCTTCTGGCCTTCATCTTTCTGCCACGCTGGATGCTTCCTGCCCTTGAACATCAAACTTCAAATTCTTCAGTTTTGGACTCTTGGACTTACACCAGTTGTTTGCCAGGGGCTCTCAGGCCTTCGGCCACAGACTGAAGGCTGCACTGTCGGCTTCCCTACTTTTGAGGTTTTGGGACTCGGACTGACTTCCTGGCTCCTCAGCTTGCAGATGACCTATTGTGGAACTTCACCTTGCGACCCTGTGAGTCAATTCTCCTAATAAACTCCCCTTCCTATATACATATATCTTATTAGTTCTGTCCCTTTAGAGAACCCTGACTAACACAGAATCCAAAGAAAATTAGTAGACGTGCAAATATTTATATTAGGGAATCTATTACAGTACAAAAATGCCTAAATGGTAAGCAATAGGAAAGTGATTAAATAATTTATGCTACATAATCAAAATCATACAATAGAATGATGAAAGTAAAATTAAAGAGTAGTTAAAGTCAAGAAAAATTTTACTAATTTTATGGAAAATGGGATAAAATATACATTCACAGTATGATCCCAATTTCTGTATATATTTTTATGTTTAGCCAACATATTTATTTAGCATCAAATATGCGCTAGGACTTACAAAGAGGGAATCTACATGATATGTTGGTAAGATTAAAGGCCAACTTATATTTTCTTCTATTATTTTTTTCTCCATTTTACAGAAATTGCTGGAGAACAGCTTCTACACATGGTAGAGTACTTGGTGTTTTAGCCATGAATAAAAATGTATCCTAAGATGAAATGGAAGAATAGAAGTCAGAAAAAAAAATGTAATTTCAGTTTCAAGTACTTTCTGTTTAACAAGGGATGGAAATTTGAATTTGAATTCACATTTGAATTCACCTTTAAGGGCAGGCACTTTATTTGGGAAAAAAAAAAAAAGAAGAAGAAGAAAAGCTGTAGCAAATCTTCTAAATTATGCATGGGTAAAGAGAAAACTGTGCTCAAGTGGCAAAGTTTGGAAAAATCCGAGATTGAAAATCTGAAAAAGGCTAAATGGAAAAGAGAGGAGAGGGTAGCATTTTGGGGAGAGGATATTGCTTTTGAGAGAAAAGGGTTGAAACTTGGGGGAAAGGAGAAAAACAAAAGGGATATTTATTAGTTCCTCAGGTTCTGTTGCACCCTTTAGAAGAAGAGGGGGTGGCCAAAGGGTAACAGAGGTTTTCACCAAGACTGAATGCAATTCTGGGCTAGGCTGAGCTCCCTGGAGGCCCAGCTGGCCACATATACCTGGCTGAGTGTTGGAGCAGGGCCTGCCTCTGGATGGAGCCCTGACGTTTCTGGACGGTATGCACAGCACAGATACCAATGTTCTCATAAGTACGGGCAGTGATGGCTTTCCAGGTAGCCTGCGGCCAATAGGCATGGGCAATTGAAGCAGGAGAAGTAAGAGAGAAGTAAAACGCATAGTCTGGACCAAAATAAAGATAAGGGCACTCTGAAGTGGGCCTGAGGCTTTGTTAGCACACAGGAGAGGCTTAAGGATTTATGATGAAGACATAACTATTTCATAGTCAAAGGCTAATTAAGGCAAGGGACATGAGTTCATAGCTCCTTCAATTTCCAACTTTGGCCACATTTTCAACAATGAACCTGCATGTACTGTAGAATCAGAAAAGATAATTTAACACCCCTTCTATTCGATAGTGCTCTCCTGCCTTGAACTGCCCTTACTTCTCCCATTCAGAGCAAAGACTTTTTAAAGAAACTCACCCCCACTTCCTAATGGTCAACCGAAAGGGTTCTTTCCAGCCATTTTCTTTTTTGTCTTCTTAGTCACTTGAATGCTGTTGACCAGCCATCTTTCCCATAACTTCTCCCCTAATGTCCCTGACTCTACTCTCTCCTACCTCTCCTCCCACCACTCTATCTGCTTCTTGCTTGTTTTGGGGGGTCCTCTTCTTCTACAGTCTACCTCTTGGAAGTTTGTGTTTCTAACAGCTCTGGAGTGGGTCATCTTCGCTTCCTTTCTACATTCTTTCTCTAGGCCATCTTCTCCATGCCAATCTTTAAACCCTCGTGCCTTTATTTGCTGCTAAGTCTGCAGGGCCTGGAACAGCTCTTCAGACACTAGAGGTGTGTAATATGCAGCGGCTCACCTGGCATATTTGACATTCAGTGCAGATCATTATTTACCACTCCCTCCCTCTACACAACAAAATTGTTTCTAGTAATCATCATGAAATCATCAGTAGTCATCATTATTTTCTTGATTTGCTTTTTAATGTTTATGCAATGCACAATAAAGAATACATTTAAATTTTAAAATATGATTCATGTTCAGTAAAATATTTCATATATGAACTAAAATTAGGACTTACCAGTTTCATGCTCTGTTTTACTGTTTTAAATTCAAACACAAATTAAAAATTCCAGGTTGTCAAATGGTATGACAGAATTGGTGTAACCCAAGTTCTGTTTCTTCTTATTCACCATTTGCTGTGCTAACATTATTTCTTCCTAATCTACTGTTTAAATGCAGAAACATGTAGTATCACAGGGGATGGAAATAGGAGTTGCTCTCAAAGCGAGTTCAAACTATTATAAACTTACTCTTGAAACTAATCATGCAGTTGACTTCACACATGTCAGGGGCTGAATATATAACAGGAGTTCTCCAAATTAATAAAGAAGATAATGTTTGTGAAGAAACAAAGAATAAAAATGTGCTAATCTGAAGCTTGCAAATGTATTGTTAAAACTCAGTAACAACTGCAGCAATTGTTTAGAATTTAGAATAACAGATTTTTTTTCAGGGAGGAACATTTTATCACAAGCATTGTGACACTTGATAATAAAAACAGCACCTCTTATTTCATTTTAGTCTATACAGATAATGCACTGTCTTATTGCTAGCTGTTCCTGAACCCCACTATTGGGATGGTGTTGACAATACGTATGTGTTGAATGGCTCTAAGACTGTCTTTTCAAGCAGACTTCTCTCCTAAATTTTTGACTTGCTTTTCTTTGTACATTTTCACTCCTCTGTTCCTCTGTGGTTCTGCTTTTTTTCTTTCTTACATTGGTGAATGGTGCCAGATTATACTGAGTGCCTCAAGCCAAAAATTTGAGATTCCTGTCTCCTCGTTCCTCCAACTAGACACAAAAATGTTTATTTTACCTTCTAAACATTACTAGAATCCATTCTCTACTTCCCCATTCTTACCAACCTGGACTAATTCAGCACTTGAACATTCTGTCCAGGACCAGTACAACAGCTACCTACTCAGTTTCTCTGACTTTTCATTTCTTACTGTAATCTCCCCAAACTTCTCTAAACCACTTTAAAAAAATGAATCTCTACTGCAAAGGATTACTGTGAGGTTTAAGTAGCACGTGTAAAGGGCCTGGTATAGTGTTTGGCCCATAGAAGATGTTAAAAAATGTTAGTTTTCCTTCCTAAAACATTGTTTGGCATTCTACTGCTTACAAAATCTGAATATTTTGAGAGAAAGTAATTGTATTTTGAGACTAAGTTAATGAACCATAATTTTATGTGCATAAAGAGGCAAATTATGCTGGTAATTTCAGTTGTATAAATGCAACATAATTCAAACTATTCCCAAACTCATTTTTATTATCAGTAACAAACATTTACTAATCATTACCCTGCACACACACATATACACACACAAATAAGTTCTGGATATAATGACATAGATATATAGAGATACAAGAAAACATTTATGCTCTCAAGGACTTTATAATTCCATCCACACATATAACTTATCAGTGATGCGTAAGTGTTCATGAATACCACAGCCATCCGTGAAAGAGACAGAGACAGAGAGAGATGGAGAGAGAGAGAAATAATCCACCAAACTGGGGACATCAGAGTATTTATGGAGGAGAGAAACAAAGATGCGTCCTAAAGGAAAACTATGCAGTTATACCCAGGTAAGAAAACCAGACATAAGTACATTTTCTGTAACCAAAAAAAAAAAAAAAGCCTCAAAGTTTTGAGATAAGAATGCTAATAAGACATATGACCCAGCTTGAAAAGGACATAGAATTCATGAAAAGACATAACAGAGGGGAATTTGGAAAGAACAACGAGGCCAGTATGTGGACAGAATTAAATGCCAGCATGAGGGCTTTTCTTTGAAAGTAACAAAGCATCAACACGGAAACTACAATCGCCTCCTAACTGGTTGCGCTACAGTTGGTCACTCCCACTATAATTCACCTTCAACTTGATGTCATTGTGACCTTTCCAAAACCTAAATTTGACTATGGCATGTCCTTGTTTTAATTCTTTTTTATGGGTCTCCAAAGAAGATACACAAATGGCCAATAAGCAAATGAAAAGATGTTCAACATCACTAATCATTAGGGAAATACAAATTCAAACCACAGTGAGATTCCACCTCACAACCATTAGGACAGCTACTATCAAAAAACAAAAACAAACAAAAAAAGTGTTGAGGAGGACGTAGAAAAATGGAATCCTCGTGCAATGTTGGAGGATATTTAGAATGGTGTGGCCAGTATGAAAAACATTATGGCATTTTCTCAAAAAATTAAAAATAGAACTACCATGCGATCTAGCAATTCCACTTCTGGGAACACAGATGGTCTCAGACTTCAGATGGTTCAATTTAATGATTTTTTGATTTTACAACAGTGTGAAAGTGATATACATTTAGTATGTTCCTTGACTTACGATGGGGTTATATCCCAATACACTCATCTTAAATTGAAAATATCAAAACACACTTTCCATTTACAATGGGTTTATCTGCACACAGCCTCATCGTAAGGCGAGAAGCTATCTCTGTAACCAAAAGAACTGAAAGCAGGGTCTGGAAGAGATATTTGCAAACCCATGTTCATAGTAGCACATTCACCGTAACAAAATGTGGAAGCAACCCAAGTACCCATCCATAGACAAACAGATAAACAAAATATATATACTTGCAATGGCATATTATTCAGCCTTAAAAAGGAAGGAAATTCTGACAAATGTTACCACGTGAATGAACCTTGATGACATTACACTAAGTGAAATAACTCAGTCACAAAAAAAAATACTGATTCCACTCATGTGACATACCTAGAATAGTCAAAATCATAGAGACAGAAAGTAGAATAGTGATTGCCAGATGCTGAGGGAAGAGGGGAAAGATAAGTTGTTTTATGGGTAGAGTTTCCATTTTGCAAGATGAAAAGAGTTTAAGAGATTGGCTGCACTATTTATAATAGCAAAGACATGGAATCAACCCAAATGCCCATCAATGATAGACAGGATAAAGAAAATGTGGTACATATACACCATGGAATACTAGCAGCCATAAAAAGGAATGAGATCATGTTCTTTGCAGGCATATGGATGAAGCTGGAAGCCATCGTCCTCAGCAAACTAACACAGGAACAGAAAAGCAAACAGCGTATGTCTCACTCATAAGTGGGAGTTGAACAATGATAACACATGGACACAGGGAGGGGAACAACACCTGTTGGGGGTTGGGGGCAAGGGGAGGGAACCTAGATGACGGGTCAATAGGTGTAGCAAACCACCAAGGCACACGTATACCTATGTAACAAACCTGCACGTTCTGCACATGTATTCCAGAACTTAAAGTAAAACAAAAATTAAAAATACATTTTAAAAAGAAAGACTGGCTACACAGCAATGTAAATTTACCTCATACTACTGAATTATACACCCAAAAAATGGTTAAGATGGTAAATTTTATGTTATGTGTATTTTACCACATTTGAAAATAAAATTTAAAGAAAGTTCTCTTCCATAGGCTTCCAGCAACAGCATGAGTTTTAAACTCTGTAGCATGACATACAAAGCTTTTATGGTCTCACTACTTCCTATGGAAGAGAAGTAAGCATAACCAAAAGCATTCAGTTATGTTTGAGTTCCAGAAAAAGAAAAAAACAGCAGAGTCAAGAATCATTTTATTTTCAAATATATTCTGCAGTGGGGAAATAGAATGGCTCTTGTCATAAGAAAATCACAAATTGAAGTTTTTGTAATGTTGGAATACAATGCTTCTTTAAGAAACAGTAAAATTACTGTTTACATCAACTGATGCAATTTTTGAATCATTAATTTTCACAGTAACCATTGTTTTATGACTTATGTTATTTATTCAAACGATGTTTCACAAGCATTTGGAACTAGGGAATCTTGTAAATCATACTAATATGTGTAACAACAATGTAAACTAAAAAGTTTATACACAAAGACGATTCTTATCTTTTCCCCCTGCATGTCAAAAGCTTGACAGAAGTTCTCAATCTAGTTGGCACACACTTTACTGATTCAAAGCTAATTTCCATTTTTAAAGTGCAAAGCCATATTTCTGATCTTATGTTTTCTTCTAAAGAGGAGCATAGATGCTTTGTTTCCAGTTTCTCATGACCAGCCATACAACCTAAACTGTGGGTCTTGTATTCCAGAATACCAAAGGAGTTGTCCCTCTTTTGTGTTCTCAAAGGGACCCATACATGCTTGTAAAATGTCCCTGATTGATTTTTATTCAAATTGTTGCTGGTTTGTGTAGCTTCTCTGAAAGAATATAAGCAAGGAGCAGGCAGAAACTGTCCTCTTGATGCCTGTATCTGCAGAATTAGCACAGAACTTGTTACTTGGGAGATATTCAATAATGTTAATTTAGCATAATTGAAGTGGTAAACTGAGTAATAAATTGGGTATTCAGAAAGCTATGTTTTAGGAGCATTAATCTGGCCAAAATGTGTAGGATGAATCAGAGGGCTTATATTAGTTTGCTAGAGCCACTGCAATGAATTCCCACAAACTGAGTAGCTTTAAAAAACATTAATTCTCTTAATGTTTTAGAGATCGGAAATCCCAGATCCATTACACTGGGCTGAAACTAACATGTCAGCAAGGCCAGGCTCCCTCCAGAGGTTCTAAGGGAGAATTGTTTCCTTTCCTTTTCCCGAGCAGCATTTGTAGTATTGCTGGGCTCATGGCCTCCTTCCTCCATCTTCAAAACTCTCTCTCTTGCTGGCTTCTCTCCTTCTCTTTCTCTTCTTCCACTCTCTCTCTCTTGCTCTTCCTTCCTCTTTCTCTCAGTCTATCACATTGCCTTCTCTCTTTTGTGTGTGGTTAAATCTCCCTCTGCCTCCCTCTTGTAAGTACCCTGTGTTTAGGTTTAGAGCCTATAAGGATAATCCAGAACCATCTCCCTCTTGCAAGATCTTTAACTCATCACATCTGCATAGTCCCTATTACCTTAGACAGTACCATTCACAGGTTCCAGGGATTAGGACCTGGTTATCCTTGGGGATCATTAGTCAGCCTACCACAGGTGTGTAGGGTAGAAACAGATCAGTTAGGAAACTACTACACTACTAACAATTAACTGCTGAACATGATTTCATAGCAGAAGAAAAGTAAAGCAAAGGATATGAGATCTGCTATGAAACAAGTGATAGACTATGGTGAATAATTAGACGTGGGAAGCGAGGAAAAGAAAGAAAAGCTGATTTCAAGGCTTTGAGTCTTGGTACCTAGGGAAGTATTGATGCTGGGAACACAATAAACATCAGAAAGGAAAACTGGGGTGATATGGGTTGGCTGTGTCCCCACCCAAATCTCATCTCGAATTGTAGCTTCCATAATTCCCACATGTTGTGGGACAGACCTGGTGGGAGGTAATTGAATCATGGTGGTGGGTCTTTCCTGTACTGTTCTTGTTATAATGAATAAGTCTCACCAGATCTGATGGTTTTATAAAGAGGAGTTCCCCTGCACATGCTCCCTTGCCTGCTGCCATGTAAGATGTGACTTTGCATCTCCTTTGTCTTCTGCCATGATTGTAAGGCCTCCCTAGCCATGTGGAACTGTGAGTCAATTAAACCTCTTTCCTTTATAAACTACCCAGTCTTGTGTATGTCTTTATTAGCTGCATGAAAACAGACTAGTACCTGGAGTGAAAGGGAGGGAAGAAAGAGAGATTTTAGTTGTAAGTATACTAACTCTAAGTTACAGGTAGACATTTACATAAATATGGTTTGTAGAAAACAAGCTTTGAGAACTAAAACTGAAAGTAAGGACCAGAAATAGAGATTGTGAAGACAGAATCATGGCACTGAAGGAAAGAGGGCTCACCAAGGGCAGAAAGAGAGAATGCCAAAGGTTGTGTCTTGTGTCTTTTTTTTTTTTTTTTTTTTTGAGACAGAGTCTCGCTCTGTTGCCCAGGCTGGAATGCAGTGATGCAATCTCGGCTCACTGCAACCTCCGCTTCTCGGGTTCAAGTGATTCTCCTGCCTCAGCCTCCCAAGTAGCTGGGACTACACACATGTGCCACAACGCCTGGCAATTTTTTGTATTTTTAGTAGAGACAGGTTTTCACCATGTTGGCCAGGCTGGTCTCAAACTCCAGACCACAAGTGATCTGCCTGCCTCAGCCTCTCAAAGTGCTGGGATTACAGGCGTGGGCCACCACACCCAGCCAGTTGTGTCTTAAAATGACCCACATTAGGGCTGCAGACAAAGGCTAGGGAAGGGAGAAAAGATACAGCCAGAGAAGAAAGGCAAGGACATCATTCAGAATCCCTGAAGCAGCCAGGGAAGGGAGCTTAAACTAGGAAGGCATTACCTACAGCCTCAGAAGCAAAGCAGTAGATAGGGTAAGGAGAATTGGGATGAGGAAAGACTCTAAATTTGGTGATTATGGGTAGGTTGGTGACCGCAAGAGAAGAATTCCAGAAGCTAAGAGGGTGCAGGAAGATGGACTGTGCAGGACTGAATGTGTGAGTAGTAATGAAAGGAAACAATGAACATAAACCAAACTTTGGGGAGGTTTGGTGCTAAACAGCAAAAGCAAGAGAAATACAAGATAGCTCCATATGAAAGCATAATCAAGGTGCTAACTTCTGAATGTCTGTGTTCCCTCAAAATTCATATGTTGAAACCTAATTCCCGACGTGACAGCATCAAGAGGTGAAGCCTTTGGAGATGATCAGATCATGAGGCTAGAGCTCTCATAAATGGACTAAGTGTCCTTATTAAAGAGGGCCAAAGGAGCTCATAGGCCCCTTCACCATGTGAGGACACTGCCGCAAGAAGGTGCCATCTGCCCACATCTTCACACCTTCGTTTGGACTTCCCTGCCTCCAGAATTCTGAGACATACACTACTGTTGTCTATAAGCCACCCCAGGCTAAGGCAGTTTGTTATAGCAGCCTGAATGGAGTAAGACACAGGGGGCATTTTTATTTATTAAGATAGGGGAATTCTGAAGTTGTTTATAGGGCAACGGATATCGCAGAGAGAAGACAGAATGTGGATATCAAAAGAAGCAAGCCGGGCTGGGCATGGTGGCTCATGCCTGTAATCCCAGCACTTTGGGAGGCCGAGGCGGGTGGATCACCTGAGGTCAAGAGTTCAAGACCAGCCTGGCCAAAATGGCGAAACACCGTCTCTACTAAAAATACAAAAATTAGCTGGGCATGTTGGCGGGTGCGTGTAATCCCAGCTGCTCGGGAGTCTGAGGCAAGAGAATGACTTGAACCCGGGAGGCAGAGGTTGCAGTGAGCCGAGATTATGCCACTGCACTCCAGCCTGGGGCACAGAGTGGGACTCTGTCTCGAGAAAAAAAAAAAAAAAAAGAAAAAGCAAACTGCAGAAGGGAGCAGTAAGATTACAAGCTGAGAGCAGAGCCCTGAAGAGACTCCTTCCCCTAGTAGAAGTACCAGGGTGTCCAGCAGATGGAGAGCATACCTGACGACCACCGTCACTGAAGTCTTTCCCCTCTGGGTACCGATTAGGAAGTCATCCTACTATTACAATATCCCTTTCACTCGCTGTTTACGGACAAAGCCCATACACAGGCCTCTGATTTTCTTCTGACTATGACACATGTGTAGACACAGGACTACCCACATCCTGCCAAATGAACAAGAAGTAAGAGATCTGCCGCAGATCTCAATTCAAACTTGACCCCTCCTGCCTCCTCTGCTGAGCCAAACATCCCCGACTGTGGATCCTGCCTGCATGGGTCTCAGCACTACTCCCTACCTGAACTTCCCTCCTTCAACTTGACATTTTGTCACAACCTGACATGTCTGCCAGATACCTCCCCCTTACCTGGACTTCTAGTCTTGGATTTCATAGCTAGGATTACTACATATCACAGGACCCCCATGTCCCAGCATAACACTTGAAGGCCTTGACAATATCTGGCCTGTCTGTGCTAAGTGAATTGAGGCATTGATCAATGAACCAGTGAATTTATTTCACAAAGTTAATCTGTATCATTCAGATCAAACATTACCAAAATTAAACTACTTTCCTTACATAAAAGTTTTTCAATGAAATTATTTGGACATTGGCTTCAACAACTTACTTGACTTCAGGATACGTTTTAAGAGTTCATCATTTGAATACAATTTCAATTTTGTTTGAGCCTGGCACATAATTGGCATGCCACAAATTGTGACGTGATAATAAGGGTAAAGCTGGTTATTAAATCAGGCTAATAACCAAGTGACATTAGACATTTATCTGGATGTGATGACATACATATGGTTCCTGTCACTGGGATATCTCCAGGGTAGAAGTGTTTATCTGCAGAATTGACAAACAGACCTTATAGGATCCATATAAAACCAAGTTTCTTAATTATGGACTCGTAAAATATCTGCTGGCACAGTAGGGCAAGTTTAACTGCTCATGAGAGGATGCCATTTGGAAGATAAGAGCCTTAAATAGACCATGATAGAAGAGAGAGGAGGGATTTTAAAGGGCTTGTCCCCATAAAAGGCAGACACTGTGAGGCTCACAAATCTGCCTGCAGAGAAGGAACTATTTAGTGTGAACTGGGATCCTCTCCCTTCATGCTGAGATACACTTGCTCTTTCAAGTTCTCTGCCTTTCAAACAAAAGGCAGAATTAAACCTTTTGAGGTCACCCCATGTCATCTATGATTACCCTAGCTTGGTGTTGAATAGCCTGTTTATCTGTAGCTTTTAAGCAGCTACACTATGGCAAAAAGAGAAAGACAAAACACTCGCATACACACACCACACACACACACACACACACACACACACATCCCTCTTATCAGAATAGACAGATGCAGAAACATATAGGCCAAAATAATTAGAGCAAAATGAGCTCAAGTTGGAACAAGCCTAGAGAAAAAATATTCCAGACATGCTAAGGGACGTTTTTCTCATAAAAAATGTGAGGACTCTGCCCTGATCCCCTCTTGAGGCAGACAGATAGTGTTGGCCCCTTCAGTTAGGCAAGGCCTGGGGCAGCAGGTGGATAAGAGCCTCTGCAGGCGCAGGTGCCAAGCAGCCTGGGTCTCCTTGGAAAAGGCAGTTCCTTGCTCCCTGCCTTCTCGTTGGTTCTTTACTTCCAAGCAGGAACCTGCTGAGGCCAAGGAGGGATGGAATCACCTAAAGAAGAAAAGCTTCTCAAATGTTTCATCTCAAAGCAAACACGGCTTTCACTTTTTGAAAAGAAAAAAAATAAGGGCAATTGATTTTTTTTCATTGTTGTTCAGATCATTTTTACCAGTCTCTCATTTGTTGTCGAGACACAAGTTCCCCTCAACCATCTCTGCCTATGAATGTCCCCAACAATATTAGGTATGAGGAAGAAGAAACACCACATCAGAGCGAGGCCTGAAGTTCACAATGTAAGAGGTTGCTGAAAAACTTTCCATGTTCTCCAGCCACAGTAAAAGAGAGTGGTTTACCAGACAACGCTGAGTGTTAAATCGACCGGGTCTCAGAGGACTACTGTGTCTTTGATCTGGTGTTGATACTATTTCAGAAAGGAGGGAAAGTTCTCAGCCTCAAGGAAATAACAGGAGGGCTGTGCTCAGTGACTCTTAATTCAGACTCAGCTCTAAAATACAGCACTAAGGAGAGGTGCCCTGGTCAGCTTCTTCCATGCTCTCTATGGATAAGAGCCTCAGACATAGTTTTATAAGACATTTCCATTTCCAACATCAGTTTTTAATCTGTTAATGGATAGACTACTGTTGTTGATAATAACTTTAACTTTTGTTAAAGATATAAACTATGCATTGTGTGAAAGCCGAATGACTAAAGGACAAGACACTTCTCCTCTTTGTATAATATTCTTGATTTTGTGTCTTATTGCTAAGGCAATATAAGCACATTAAGGAGGAATAGTTCTGTCCTTTACAGCTCACTGGGTTTAGCACAAAGCAGACGCTCAATTAAAAAGAAATGCTTAGTAAAATTAAACATGAGCTCTAATATCTAAGAAATACAACATCAACATATGTGGGTAACACTGAGTTTTATATTTCAAAGCAAGATGCAGTCCTATGTGTTGTTTGATTGAAACAACACTTCTTTTTTTGAGACGGAGTCTCGCTGTCACCCAGGCTGGAGTGCAGTGGCACCATCTTGGCTCACTGCAAGCTCCGCCTCCCAGGTTCACGCCATTCTCCTGCCTCAGCCTCCCGAGTAGCTGGGACTACAGGCACCCGCCACCATGCCCGGCTAATTTTTTGTATTTTTAGTAGAGATGGGGTTTCACCGTGTTAGCTAGGATGGTCTCGATCTCCTGACCTCGTGAGCCACCCTCCTTGGCCTCCCAAAGTGCTGGGATTACAGGCGTGAGCCAAAGCACCCAGCTGAAACAACTCTTTTTTTTTTTAAGAGACAGAGTTTTGATTTGTCACCCAGGCTGGAGTGCAGTGACACAGTCACAGCTCACTGCAGCCTCAAACTCCTGGGCTCAATTTATCCTCCCACCTTAGCCTCTTGAGTAGCTGGGAGTTCAGGTGCTAGACCCGCACCTGGCTCTAAGCAACTCATTTTATAAATGAGAAAACTGAGACCCCCTAAGATTTGAAGTATAAAATTTTCTAACTAAGGTTAGAAATGACCAGTTTGCAGATGACAGAATAACTATTCTGGGCTGATGTTGTTCATACCACTTCCAGAATGTTGCACCCTGTTTTAGATGCCAGGCTGTTAAGAGAAATTGATAATTCTAAATTACGTCCAGAAGGGAAAAGGACCTTGAGATAATCTCTTACAATAAATAGTTCGATAAACTGTGGCTACGAGATCTATAAGAGGAAACATGATGTCCATCCTCAAACATTGTAAAACTCATTATACTAAGAGCAGTTAAGCTTATTATTGCTGGGAATGCAAAACCAGGACCAATAACTGATTATCAGTGAGAACTGAGCTACAACAGCAGAGGTGTTCTCATGTAGTAATGACCTTTGTGTTCCTAAAGATGTTCAAGAGGAAACTAGACGTCAAATGTCAGAACCAAATGGTTCACAACTTAAGCCAAGCACTGTGCTAGGGGTTTAAAAATATTACATGTAGTTCTTCTAATGACTTATAAAGGTAGATATTAGCCTCAGTTTACAACTAGGAAACTGAGATTCGAGGTTAAGTAGCTTAACCAAGGTCATACAACTCACAAAGAATAGCACAAGTACCATAAGGAAAGTCTACAACATTTCAGAGGCATAAGGACCATAACAGCCCCTGGCTCTTCTTATCACTCTCACCAGGACTAGGTACTTAGGATTAAACCAAAGCAGGACATGAATTCCATCCCCTGCTAAATACTGACACTGGACCAAGAGTTAGTAAATTCATAAAGGAAAGTTGAAAGACCAAGTACCAAGCTCAGCATTTAAACTCACATCTCACAGACTCCAAAATCCAAAGTCTTCTGACTCTATTGGATGGCTGCAAGGACTTCCCATCCTTTTAATTCTTGTTGGATCTAAGATGCTTCAATTTTGAGATTACTCTTCCAAGATAAGAAGGTGACGTTTCCCAAAACAGTGGAGGAAAGCTGAAAACTAAAAGACGTAACAGTTAAAAATCTCTAACTAAAATTGTAAAAGGTACTATGATTCAATTATATATTGTGAACACTGTGTCTCCAGTAAAAGTCTGGTGCAGCTCAGATCGGATGCAACAAGAGTTTATTTTATTTTATTTTGAGATGGAGTCTCACTCTGTCACCAGGCTGGAGTACAGTGGTGTGATCTTGGCTCACTGCAACCTCCGCCTCCAGAGTTCAAGTGATTCTCCTGCCTCAGCCTCCCGAGTAGCTGGGACTACAGTCACGCACCACTATGCCCAGCTAATTTTTGTATTTTTAATTCAGCCGGAGTTTCACCATGTTGGCCAGGATGGTCTAGATCTCTTGATCTTGTGATCCACCTGCCTTGGCCTCCCAAAGTGCTGGGATTACAGGTGTGAGCCACTGCACCTGGCCGAGAGTTTATTTTATTGTATTCCCAACAGTCCAGCATATTTTTCTATTTATCAGGTTTTCAAATTAAACAGAAAAAAATGCTAAGGAAGTACTCTTGGCTATGTTTACAAACTTAACCTTAATCCCCCCCTTAATAGTGTTTTTACTAATACTATTACCAGATTTTCCTTCCCTGGTCCAGCAGAGTAGAGTAAAATAAACTTGGGTTGCATCAGGCCTCAGCTACTGTCTGTAGCTGTTATTGACTCACACTTGAGCTAGCTCAGGGGATAGCAAGGCTTCAATAGCAATTACTTTTTTAACTGATTCTGCTTTTTCAGGATAAAAGGATTTATTTTAATACTAAAAAGAAGTTATTTATAGATTAACATTAGATTTTATCATAATAACATGAACCACTTAGCTTTTTCTTAAGGACTTTCCTATTGCATAGAAAATGTCTTGATCTGGTTCTAATTCTATTCAAATCTTTCCACAGAGTTTTCAAGTAATCCTTATATAGGAAATAAGATGGTGTTACCTTACACTTCCTGCTTCAAACACCAGAAAAACCTGGAACTTTTGGAGCCATGGCCTTCTGTGAGAGTCTAATAAAAGGTACAGGTCTTGTCCCCACAAAAATGCACATAACACATCTACACAAAATCTTGCAAACATTTCCTTATACTGTATCAGAAAGTTTTCTTCACACAGGTGAAAAACATCTTGAGCTGAGTTCCCACTTTTTGACAACTAGCATGGGTGGCTGCCTCCAGCCTCTTCCCCAAAACTCTAACATAAACTACAGAAATAGAGAATATATATATCTAACCATATATCCACGTAAGTTATTTACGTGTGGATTTTTTTTTCTAAGTACAATAGGCATCCAATAGATGATGTGAGTAGCAGACAGATGTCTCTCTGTTGGAAGTCAACCTTTGACAAAAGCCACACTTCCATTGTCTTCCTCTACTCCAACCTAAAGCATGAAAGCATCATTTTTAGGACACATGTTATCACCAAGATATCTCTAGTGTACATGGGTTTTTTTGCTTCAGAATATAAAAGTTTCAGATGGGACAAGTCTAACTACTAGTAAAGTTTTATTCTCTGTTGATTGAGTTTTAGTCTCACAAAATTTAGTAAAAATGATTCTTGTGATCTAACAGTAATTTCAGAATGGACCCAAATATCCTGCTTCTTCAAGTTCACTAACTTTGTATTTCCACTGGCAAGAGCATTACACAAGAAACACTTGATTTTTATGTCCTATCATGCTGTGATGAGAAAAAACTGAGGACTATTTCAGCTTCATCAAGATTTTTCCTTATGTACATTATCTACATTAACTAGGCTTGATATAAAAAATAATACAATCAAAATGAAAGGGCTCTTTTTCTTTAACTCCTAATATGAATAATGAAAATAATACTGACCATGTAATACCAAAGCACTATAGGATTATTTGCAGTTTTAAGAAAAAGAACATAATTACTTTTTTTCACTAAGATATATTTTTATATACCTTCAAACACTTCCCTGAACCCCAGGCGAGGAGTCCTTATCCTAATAAGTTTTGCCATTAACAGAGTTTCTATGTTTTGCCATATTTTCCCATAAGAACAAGGATCAAATTTTCAGGAGTACATAATTTACTCTTTTTTCTTTCGTATTTAAAAAGCAACCAACTACTAACATAATGCAGGCTGCAAGTTCCTTTTGCAAGACTTTTTTAATTAATAAGTTTACCTTCTTCCTGTGTATAATATCAGATGATATGGAACACGTGTTACCCGCAATATCTTTAAAAGCAAACAAGAAATAGCATGGTTTTTTCTTCCTGTTTTAAAAATGATCAATTGCATATGTTCAAATTGTTCATTTCAGTGACTCATAGCTTTCCACAGCCAACTGCATAATTAGTGATAAGCAATAGCAATAGAGTTTATATATATGACATATGTTTATGTAGATATAAAACCATACTGCATTTTCTCAGGCTCTGTATTGCCACAAAAGAAAATTCTTGTTCCTCTATAAGGATGTCTAAGAGCAATTCTCTTAAAATAGCAATAATAATTATACCCACATTTCAGTCCTAATATGATTTCTAAATAGGGCAACATACCTGGTTATGGGCTCCCGGGTGCCACTCTGAAGCTACTTCCTGTTTTGTTATACATCGTTTTAAGGAAGGCCTTTACTCAATTCGTGTAGCCTTGCTCTGGCACAAAAAATGTCAGGAGGTTCTCATTTGGTGTCTATTCTCTCCAATATTCTGATTTGCTCCATATGATTTACAAGCATTTGGTAACTGTCATACCAACTACTCTACCAAAAGAACCCTGAAAAGTCCTACAGAGCCAGACTTTTGATCGTTAGCCATGTGACAAAGCTTTTTGCACCTGGGAAGGGATGGATTTGATAAACTGTCAAATACCATCCAATCCACAGGACCACAATGCCTTGGCCATTTCATTGCAAAAGATAACATAATGCATCCAAATTACAAAAGGGGAAAAGAATAAAGGCATGAAAGTTCTGCAATATTCTTAAACATTGCTCTTGTCCCGGTCAATTATTCATACTTATTCCTCTGTTATGTTTCTGTTAGAAGATAAACCTTGCCTTTCAGAGAAAGAAAATTGAAATTACATATTATAAAAGACAATCATCTCTATTCCTTAAAAGCATAAATGGTGGCCCCAGCCGTAGGAAAGCTGTGGTCAAAACAAAAGCAAAGGGCTGGACAATGAGAAAGCTCTTTGATCTATTTAAGCTAGAACACGAGGCTCCGTCACCGGCCAAAACTTGAAAGAAATCTCACCCGCAGAGGGGTGAGAAACCAGTGGGGGTAATATTTGGTTATCACTTGATATAATTGTAGTACAGAATAAAAGAAGCTTTATTGGAAAACACTTTTTCCTGGAACTTCATATCTTATCAGGCTCATGGCCTTACAAAAAGGAAGAAGTAATTAACTGTATCCTCGCAAAGAAGACATAGAAGTCTGCCTGATTTCTGGTCTGACTACCCTATAATTTTACCCTAGAATAATAGAAATTGAGCCATAAGTCAAAATATTTAATCTTAATACAATTGTGTAAACAATCCATCAAGGGTATGTAGTTTGTAATAACAGCCCTAAATATTACAACTTAAATATGAGTTGTCAATAAAAAAAAATACTGAAAGCAACTTAATCAGTGAAACTTTGTTCTGTAATCCTGTAATAGACATTAAAGGAAATATTCAATACAAGGACACTGAATTCTAAAAGAATTCAATACAAGGACACTGAATTCTAAAAGAACTCAATTCTGGCATTTTCTAAAAGGATTTAATATATTTTGACAATAACTCAATCTAAACATATAGATGTATTTTATATATACATTTTTCTACATTAGAAGCAGTTTGATTCACAGGCTGAGTTTCTAAGAAAAACAAATAAGCAGACGCTTTCAATTATTTTAAGAGAAGCCCTGAACCAATTAACATATTCTTACTACAGATACTTGTAAGGTACTTAACCTGATAAGCACATAATCAAAATAATAAGTAAGGAGCAAAATAGAAGAAGTGGAAAAGCAGAGATGTTTTAAGGAGAGAAATTAAATGCAGCTTTTGTGTTGTGGTATTTCCAAGAGCATTATAAGTTTGGGTTCTGAGGCCAGTTCTCAAGAAGTTCGTTACATTTTCTTAACAATTTTGACCAAAATTAAAACGAGCTATTCCCAAGAGGATGGCAGTGTCTAAATGAGGACCTCATTGTCCAAACCTCCTCCTATCATGGTTGCTGGGTATTAATTTACTTCTCCACTCACTGTGTTTTTAGAAATAAAGCACAACAGTATGCTTTAAAATAAGTACACCTAAAAATAATAAGACACTTTTTAAATGTTTCTTTAAGTTTTGGGATACATGTGCAGAATATGCAGGTTTGTTACATAGCTATACATGTGCTATGATGGTTTGTTGAACCTATCAACCCATCATCTAGGTTTTAAGCCCTGCATGCATTAGGGATTTGTCCTAACGCTCTCCCTCCCCTTGCCCCTCACCCTCCGACAGGCCCCAGTGTGTGATGTTCCCTTCATTGTGTCCATGTGTTCTCATTGTTCACCTCCCACTTATGAGTGAGAACACGTGGTGTTTGGTTTTCTGTTTCTGTGTTAGTTTGCTGAGGATTATGATTTCTAGCTTCATCCATGTCCCTGCAAAGGACATGAACTCATCCTTTTTTATAGCTGCATAGTATTCAATGGGGTATATGTGCCACATTTTCTTTATCGAGTCTGTCATTGATGGACATTTGGGTTAGTTCCAAAGGACACACTATTAATTAACATTTCTGCTCATTATTTAAGCAAAGACATACAATTAGAGCAATTCTTAAAGAATTTCAAATACCTAAAGATAATCTATTTTCTCAGTTTCTGAAGGTTGGAAGGGTTGAATTTTGCTTCTCTGTATACAAAAAAATAATAATAATAAAATGAAGCAGTTGTATGTTTTTAAGAACTAACTAGATTCCTTAAGAAAACTGTTTGTGATTATCAGAGTCTCAGGCCTCTAAGGAAGTAAAGAAGGGACTGTCACAAACAGTGGGAGGTAGTTAGGACATAGGGCTTCCTTCTTCTTGCTTCACTCCATCCCACATTTATCTGTTTTCTACACTGGAATTCCACATAACATTTTATCTGAAAATAGAATTCTGCTTTAGAACAAAGGCCGTTTTTAAGGAAATGATGACTATAGATGGCCAGGTGAACATTTTCTAGGATGAAGAGAATTAAAGTGATGATAAAAGAAAAAATAGAGGGAACTAGGGTTAAGTATACAATAGCCAATCTCTTTCAAAACTTCATTAGCTTAAATCTTTTAAAAATTTACTAGTTGAGTTATGCAATTCCTTGTTTCCATTACTCTCAACACAGGGTATATAAAACTGGTGTATAGCTGTGACGCTTAGTTTTATAGATCAACTTCGCTGGGCTAAGGGATGCCCAGATAGCTGGCAAAATGTTGTTTCTGGGTGTGTCTGTAACAGTGTTTCCAGATGAGATTAGCATTTGAATCAGTAGACTGAGTAAAGCAGGTCTGCTCTCAGCAATGTGGTGAGCATCATCCAATCCATTCAGGGCCCAAATAGAATAATCAGAGAAAAAGCAAATTATCTCTCTTCTTGAGCCAGGACATCCAACTTATCTTGCCCTCAACATCAGAGCTCCTGGTTCCTGGGCTCAAACCAAGAGTGACAGCATCAGTTATCCTGGTTCTCAGGCCTTTGGACTCAAACTGAATTACATCACCAGCTTTCCTGGTTCTCCAGCTTGAAAACCACAGATGGTGGTACTTCTCAGACTCTGTAATCATGTGAATAACCAATTCCCATAATAGATAGATAGATAGATTAGATAGATAGATAGATAGATAGATAGATAGATAGATAGATAGATAGATAGAGATATTCTATTGGTTCTGTTTTTCCAGAGAACCCTAACACAACAGCCATGTGTCACTGTGTACATAAAGCCACAGAATAAAGAAATGTCAGCTGATATTATTATTATTCCTAGAGTGTTAATCTTATTTAATACTAATGAATTGTATTAAAACAAACCTGGTTATGTTATTAAATAAATCTAAAGTTCAGTAAATTTTAAGATAAAACCCGAATCTTCTCAGAGATGATGTACTTGCAGAGGGCCACTGTGGTCTATATCCCCAAGCTCCCACAGCTGTGCACTTGCTCTACATCACCACTTAGAGTAGTTCTCGTTGCAGAACGCCAAATACAATGAAGCCCATGATAGCATGCCCCATGATGATGCTAAGTGGAATACAAAGTGATTGGCTATTGGTTCCCAACCCGTATTCTCAAAAGAGGTGAGCTGATGTTATCTTCTGCAGTAGAGAAGGGGAGAAAAGAAAGAAATTATCACTATGTATTTGTTTATAATCACCAGACTATTTCTATATAGCTGTTAATAAAACAAGGTTATTTTTTTCTTTTTTTCCTACAGCAACTGGTAGGCCGACCAAAAAATGTTGTTTTACATTATCCCTGCAATAATGAGACTCTACATTTTATGCAATTGAACTGTTCAAATATTCTTTATAGCATTATGCAGGAGTTTGCTGCACTTAATCTCCCTGGACTCTTTATTGACCAAGACAACAACCCATCTAGATTGTAGTTGTCTTGTCTATAAAATGAAAACTTGAGTACCTTAGGGAGGATAACTTTGATACACAAATGCTTTTCCCTTTCCCTCATGACCATGGCAGACATGAGCCTGGATGTAGTCTTGAAGCCCTTCTCCCTGTTTTCCAAGAAATCAAATCCAGCAACTGGGGGTGGATTATAAACTATATTTGCCATCTCTGGGATGGCTTATCTCCAAGTATTCTCCAAGCTCTAAGATTTATAAGTGATATGCTGAACAGGAGTCACAAACACATAGCCCCTCTCTGTCCAGAGCCTTTCTTTGGCTCCTGCTATGTATAGGAAGGAATGCCAACCAGCCACCCTGGCCATAAGGTAGAATGCAGAAATCCAAAGTAATTATCTACAAGATGGACACAGGGAAAGCCCCAGCCAGCTCTGAGACCTCCCTCTCGGGCACTAGATTTTCTCCTTTGTTATTTGAACAGAAGGTGCACATGGAAAACTGCATGTGGAAAAAGTGTGACAACTTGAGGAACTTGAGATCAAGCAAGATCTTGTATGTTTGAAAAACTGAGCTATCGGCCGGGTGCGGTGGCTCACGCCTGTAATCCCAGCACTTTGGGAGGCCAAGGTGGGCGGATCGTGAGGTCAGGAGATCGAGACCATCCTGGATAACGCGGTGAAACCCTGTCTCTACTAAAAATACAAAAAATTAGCCGGGCGCGGTGGCGGGCGCCTGTAGTCCCAGCTGCTCAGGAGGCTGAGGCAGGAGAACGGCGTGAACCCAAGAGGCGGAGCTTGCAGTGAGCCGAGATCGCGCCACTGCACTCCAGCCCGGGCGATAGAGCCAGACTCCGTCTCGAAAAAAAAAAAAACTGAGCTATCATTCCACTTCTCCAGAAGTCTTCTATATAACCTAATCAAAAATAGAACCAGGTCCCAAAGTAACAGGGACATGGAGGTTAGAAAGGGTAAGTCACTTTCCCAAAGTTACTGAATTTAGGAGTTAAGAAAAATGGCTTCTAGTTTTTTCTCACTTCATGCCATGTTCAAAGAGGGCACAGTTTGGATTAGAAAGACTGGTGTTTTAAGTTGTGCTTTTCGTCTATATTTAGCTTAAGCAAGCCTCTTAGCTCCCGTTTCTTCATTTATATTCTATCTAGTGAAGGATTGATAATGGCTCTCTCAAATGTTTGTTGTGAGGATTAGAATTTAGCTGTGTAAAGCAACGCCTAGCATAGTCCATGGCACTTGCCCAGCATTTTAAATGTTATAGCCATTTGCAGTGGATCAGTCGAGCAGCAGACACAGATGTGTTAAAGGAGAAGGAGAAGTCAATGGTTAACTTTGAGATTTATCAAAGGGAGGACTTTGGGGGCAGTAATGCTGCTAGCCAAGATAGGAAATGTTAATTTCCACTAAATAATAACATGTCTCAGAGGAAAACAATATTAAATGAACTTTCAAGGAATAGAGATTGCTAAGCTTCAAGAGACTTGCAAAAATCAGTTCATGTCTCTGCCTTATGTAGGCAAACAATTCAGAACAAATAGTTGTCTCTTTTCTTCTTTAAGGTCACTAAGGAAAGAACACACGCAATTTCTCTGTACATTCCATTTCAGTTTGATCCCTTTACGGTCCTGAAGATCTTCATTAGATCCAACTGCAATCTCTCCTGCCTTAGTGTAAGCCTTTTTCATCTTATTCTGTCCTTTGCTGATAGAAAACTTGTTCAGTTTTATGGGACTAAAACTCTTCCTAGATGGTAGTTATCCTTCACTATCTCTTCCAAAAGCAAACCAATCTCTGTTATTTCTGTTTTCTCCACAGTATCATTCTCCAGCTCATTATTCACCATTTTCATTCTTTCTTAAAACTTCTTCCCTTTTGTTACATTTTTAATAAGAGATGATAATGATGAAAATTATTTTAACACTTTGGAAAATCAACTTTCTTATCCTTCAACTTGTCAAATTCTTCCTCTTCTCCATCCAAACATAGCAAAACAATTATTTAACCTTGATGTTTTACTCCCTGGGAAGCTTGAATTTTGTGTAATTGGCTGTTAAATGACCCAAGTGCAGAAAGATATATAAAGTGTTTGAAAATGTGTTTTTAAATTCCTCCCTCAGATTATTCACATGCTAATAATAGTAACAACTCTTTGAAACACTGAAATAATGCTGAAGACATCACAGGTGCATAAAGATGAGGTGCCAAAATTTAATCTCTGGTTTTAGATCTGGTATCTTTGTAATAACCCCACATTTTTTACATTTTCTTAAGAAATAAACACTGAATTGAAAACAGAATTTTAAAAACTAAAGCAAAAATTATTGAACTGCCGATTGACAGTTACTACCATTGGAAGTAAGAGTCAGGCTAAGGGTGTGGGCAGTGGTTACTTAGCATTGTCACCATAGCACACGGGTCCAGATCCCTGCAGAAAGGAAACAAGCCTTCAGCTAAAAAAGGGCCCTGGATAACTTCAGCCTGGCTGACAGAGCAAGACTCTGTCTCGGGAAAAAAAAAAAAAAAAAAAAAAAAAAGGCCTGGATAGATAGATGAAATCTTTCAGGCATAATGAGACAACAAAAAGAATATGTAATGCTCACTAACTGTGCTCCCGAAAATCCCACTAAAAGAAAATGGAATGAAGAAACTTGCAACAAGCTTAATTAAAGTTTCTCTTAAAAACTGATCTGACCGGCCGGGCGCGGTTGCTCAGGCCTGTAATCCCAGCACTTTGGGAGGCTGAGGCGGGTGGATCACGAGGTCAGGAGATCGAGACCATCCTGGCTAACATGGTGAAACCCCGTCTCTACTAAAAATACAAAAAATTAGCCGGGCGTGGTGGCAGGCACCTGTGGTCCCAGCTATTCAGGAGGCTGAGGCAGGAGAATGGTGTGAACCCAGGAGGTGGAGCTTGCAGTGAGCCGAAATCATGCCACTGCACTCCAGCCTGGGCAACAGAGGGAGACTCCATCTCAAAAAAAGAAAAAAAAAAAAACTGATCTGTTTTTTTTCTGGCAGCAGGAGTGGTGAAAAAATGAAGAGTAAAGTTTTTATAAAATATAAAATCTGTTTCTTTTCTCAATTTCTACCTGAGGCTAAAAGAAAAAAGAAAAGTCGTTTTCTTATATTCTCCTCTCTCTGCTTCTCACACACAAGTTCTCATTAAATCTCTTTTTTTCCCAAAAACCTCTTCCCTTGACTGATGACTTTTGCTTAAGGCTTAATCTATGTTTTCTCCTTATAATTGAATGGCATTGTGTCCAATATACCCTGCTGTGACATAGTAAATCATACTTTCTTCAATCTCCATAATGCAGTTAAGGGATGTCAGAATTATCTTAGAGATGACAGATTTCCCATATCTAAGGATGATAGAGCTGTCCCTAGTGGAAAAAAAAAATCACCTCATAACATTTTAAAAATTCTTTGCAATGTTCAAATAGTTTTGAATTTAAATAAAATAGGAACTCGGCCCTTTTAAAGAAACACAGCGGCCCAGCATAGCTGCTCAAACCTGTAAATCCTAGCACTTTGGGAGGCTGAGGCGGGCAGATCACCTGAGGTTGGGAGTTTGAGACCAGCCTGACCAACATGGAGAAACCCTGTCTGTACTAAAAACACAAAATTAGCCTGGCGTGGTGGTGCATGCCTGTAATCCCAGCTACTCAGGAGGCTAAAGCAGGAGAATCGCTTGAACCTGGGAGGCACAGGTTGCAGTGACCCGAGATCACGTCATTGCACTCCAGCCTGGGCAACAAGAGTAAAGCTCCTTCAAAAAAAAATAAATAATAACACCTAGGAATTCTTAGTGGAACCAGGTTCTAAAACTGCAGAATTTGGTAATTGGGTGATCTATGGCTGTGTCATGCCAAGAACTCTCCCAAGAGCTCAGAGCTTTGGAAAAGCAAGGCAGTCTGCTGAGTCAACTCTGGCCACCGGGCTATGTCCAAGGAGCTCTCCTGACTGGAAGCCAAACTTGCTACAAGAGAAATGGTACTTTGGAAAAAGTGGATTGTTTATTGTTTGATTTTTCACTAAGAAAAACAAAAAGCTTGAAGCAGAGGCTTTCTGAGGAGCATGGCTTTCTAAGCTGCATCCAAGGACACCTACCATAGTCCTTCAAATAATGACAGAAGCATGCTGGGCCAATAGTGAGGCCACCAGGTTTAAGCCTTTTTGCTTTTGCATTCCTTCCATTTCCTTCTTCTTGAGCTCTTTGGGGTATCCAATGAAGACTTTGCCTATCTTCTTTACAATCAATTCAGAAAGAATCGACATCAAGCATTTTAAACTTTCAATCATTCAACCAATTTTATGGGGTGACCTCTTCTAGGCATTTATATTTTGAGAAGTCTTTTACACATAAATATACATTGAAAATGTTCAGTTAAGGAACCAAAAGGCTCTTCCTGAATTCTTACTGTATTTTCTGACACTGGATTCTGTCCTGAATAAGAAGAACGAATACTTCTCCAAGTGGTAGCTTGTTCTCCTAAGAAAATGGGCCTGGCCAGTGGCACCACTGGGGCTCATGAGACCCCATTTCCCAGCCCATGCATTCCTTAAAGGCAAAGGCAATTATGTACCCATTCATCTTGTAATCTCACTGTAAGAAGTAAGACTCTGAAACTTTTTTAAAAATTTCCCTTGTAAAATTAATTTTATTGAGGGATTGCAAATACACTTACCTTAGGCCCACTACTAAGATGACCTTTCATATATTTGTTTTGCTCAAATGTGTCTCTATTCAGAAAGCCTAAGATATATTTGTCTTATAAGTAGAATAAAAATTAAATTTTTATTCACTGAGCATCCCCTAGGCCCCATAGTATAGCAAAAACTCAACAGATCCCCCAGATAGGGTCTCTCTATTCCAGGACAGTAATTGTCAACTATTTACCTCAAAGGGCTTCTTATCATTTTCTCCCATGGACCTCATGATTTGAAAGATATTAAGTAATTCATTTTTTCTTTTCACTAATCTAACAAATACAGCTGCCAATAATCAGACCTCTGGATAAATTGAGATAAATATATTACCACAATGGAGTTATATAACCTCAGCCCAAAGCAAAGAAATTTGACATTTTAATTAGTCTGTGCATGGTTGTTGTGAATAAATGTATAATTCCTTTGAGATTTTTCAAGTCATCAAAAATAGCTCATAGAGTCTCATTACCATCCTGTGGGCCACCTAGTTAAGAACAGAGCCTCAGTGCTCTCCCTCCCTCTCTTACTCCCTCTAACCCCCAGAATTTCTGTCTTCTCTAGTGCTGGATTGAAAAATATCAGTGAATACACTGGCCCATCAACTATTAATGTCTTATGCACTTCATTCCCCATTTTATGTCCTGATTTTTATTTCTCAGTGAAGTATTCACATGGGCTCCCAGTGTGGTAACACATTTCATCCCCAGCTTGACCCCAGTGCCCCCATGCTACTAAACTAACCTCACAGAGAGTGACAGCTGTGAACCAGCCTTGCAGGTAGGTAGCTTTGCCAGGAAGCCCAAGCACTTCAGTTTGGTCAGAATACATAAAGCTTTCTTAATTCAGTAGGGGAAATACGGTTGCTTCCAAGAATAAAATGGTTGTTTTAAGAATGTTTTCCCTTTTTTCTCTTTTATTTACTGGTGGGCAGAGGAGAGAACATTATATAAACAGAACATCAGTTAATTAATTGCACCATGAACATTTCAAATGGGTCGACCTGAGGTTGTGTACTTACAATCTTACAAAGTCATCACACTAGGGTGGGGGAGCAGGTAAATATAGTCCCACTGCCCTCCTAGAAAGTCCAAATTAAAAAACAAAACAAAACAAAACAAAACAAAAAAAAAAAAAAAAAAAAAAAAAAACCTCTTCTCCTGTACATGGTGCTTTCTTTTCTTTTCTTTTCTTTTTTTTTTTTTTTTGAGATGGAGTCTTGCTCTGTTGCCCAGGCCAGGGAGCAGTGGTGCGGATCTTGGCTCACTGCAACCTCCACCTCCCAGCTTCAAGCGATTCTCCTACCTCAGCCTCCCGAGTAGCTGGGACTACAGGTGCGTGCCACCACGCCCGGCTAATTTTTTTTTGTATTTTTAGTAGAGACAGGGTTTCACCATGTTAGACAGGATAGTCTCAATCTCCTGACCTCGTGATCTGCCCTCCTCGGCCTCCCAAATTGCTGGGATTACAGGCTTGAGCCACTGCACCCAGCCCGAGGTGCTTTCTTTAAAGTGCTATTGTTTAACATAAAATATAGTGGGATTAGATGTTTGACCACATTGAAGTGACATCCAACACATCCACTGCCTGAAAGCTGCTCTACGATTTGCCTCTTTTAACCAGGAATGGACATTTCAGATGCAATTCTATTTGCTGTTTTAAGTGAAAAGGATCTCAAATGATATACCCATAACTTACTGCATGTCATCCATTAACATTTTTTCTTTAAAATACATTAGTAGCTTTAGCTAGACCTTTTGTTCCTCTCTTCTTGGACATCCATTTGCCTAGGATCAGTGAAAAGGAGAGCTCACTTCCCACTGGGGCGTTCTAATCTCCCTGATGCCTGCCAGATTGTGGGGATCTCCTTTACCAGCAAGCCAAAGAGGCTGGGGCGTGCATGTCCCTCACCAGGACTATGCGAGTCTTATAGAAGTAGGAAATGAGAGACAAAACAAATGAATTATTAACACTTCTATGATTCACAGGAAGACAAAGGCTCTGTTAAGCTTTAGGGAAAAAACATCTTGCATCAGCACATCTTCATCAAGACAAGGTTCTTTTCTAATGTTCAATATCCGTTACCTCCATTCTCAAAAGCCTATAAATCTAAGGAAGATGTAATTTGTGGTAAAACTAGCCAATACTTTAGAGTAATGGTATTGAGGTTTGATGACACTGAGACTCGCCTCCAAGACTCTTACACGGATTCATAACAGTAGGCCATGACAGTCAGTAGATTTGTTTCCTCTCCTGACAGAATAATATGGCGCCAAGAGGCCATTTTTCTTGGGCTTCTACTAAGCTAAGCACTTATGGGTGAGTTGCTTGCTCTCTGTGCTATTCAGCAGAGCACAGAAATGAGACCCCACTGTCAGCTCCTGCTGCCTTGTTCACTCTCCTTGGTCAGATGTAGTAATGCCACTGTTATTGCCTGTAACACTAAGCTGTCCATTCCCTGGGATTGCGGGAAAGTTGAAGCAAGTCAGAAGCTCCTGACTGTACCAGAACATTGGCTGTATGACAAGGTTTCCTGCCCATTTCATCATACAGTCTCTCCTGGAGGTCTGTGTGTTATTCTCTGTCAGATTCCTGACCTTCTGTTTACCAATGACCTCTAGCAACCGTCCAAGGAACATTGTCTTACATCCATCCTTGTCTTTCATGTCATAAAATCCTACTTGCTCACCTGGTTCTGGCCCCCATGACCTCAGGGGCCCTGCAGTGACATCTTATTCTTCCTGGTCTAAGACTCTATGGTACACCACCCACAGGAGCCCAGAACAACATGGGGACCCACCCTGCCTCCTGGATGGTTAGTGTCACTTCTCCTCTGCTCTAAGGACTTGCCTAGAAATCGCGTAATTCCCTTCTCCTAAAGTCAACTGAAATGATTCAAGTTTTTTGCCAGGCAGTATAATCATGTATTTATCTGTTTCCCTCTAAATGAGAAGCTTTCTTAGGGAAGAAGCCAAATCTTTTTAGCCATCCATACCTGGAAGTGCCCTTTTTGTAGTAAGCATTCAAGAAATGTTGGTTGAATTTAATTGAAATGAATATTTTTGTTTGTAAGTGTAAAAAAAAAAAAAATTTATCCTAGTCCAGCTGGAGCTTGTACGTGAAGGAACTGGGGTGATTTAGTACATGGATTCTTAGTGTGTGTGCGTAGACCAGGGTAGGAAGCCAGAAGGGAGGTTATCCATTTCCCGCAGACAACTTCCAAGGTCCACAGCTCCCTCCTCCCATTCCATGCTTCCTCCCTTACTCCTTATGAGAATCTCTGCGTGAGAGATATTACTGAAGGCAGCATGCTGTGTCTGGGCAAACCAAAAGGAAGAAAACAGAAAGTGCTGGACATCCACTCATTCACTGATGGATGATCTTAAAGAGCTTGCCGCAACAACTATGTACCAGGAGATATGATGTTGGGTGACAATGGGATTTATCACCAGCCTGTGCATGTTGACCTGAAATGGAGCAAAATGGGGCATGCTGTGAGGAACTAAGAAGTATGAGAAAACCCATCATGAAAAGCAAGTAGCCCTGGCAGCCAGAGTCATAGCTGCCAGCAGACTAGGCTGTAGGTAGAGGTGCTTTTTAAGGAATCATAAACTAAGTTGGCAGATCTCTGCAGGGATGCTGCTGATGTTCAAGGATGCTGCTGATGTTATCTGCCTTAACAGCACACAAACAAAAATGAAATATTGGGACCCAATCCCTAATGCAGAGAAAGAAAACAACTCTTTGAGGATATGGAAAGACGAGTCCAGTGCATGTGACCCTGCCTTCCAACATGCATCCTAAAGACTCACGGAAATAAACAAAAGACTCTCTACCATACACTAACTCCCTCAAATCCTAAAACCTCAGTTGACAGGGCCCAGTTCCTCTAAAAATCTTTTCTGACATGCATGTGCACGTATTCACACCCACACCACACACAGTCTGAACCAGATGTCCCTCTTCTGTGCTCCCGTAGCCTCCTCTCAGCACCTGTGGTCACCCAGAGGTTACCTGTCTGTCTCTCCCATGGGCCATGAGCATAATGAACATAGACAATATGCTTTTGCTTTTACACAATGGGGACCTATCTAGAAGTACATGTTTTCCCCTCAGTGAATATTTATGGGCTCAAAAAAAAGTTATTGGGAAGTGGACAAAAGACAGTTTATTGTCAGGTGAGTACAGTATTCTCTTTTCTCCATCCCCCAGCAGCCTACCCACACTAAGTTTGTATATCTTGGCCTTCTCATTCAAGTGAGCTACATCTTAAATCAGCCCACATTTTTAAGATATCACCATACTTATATGGTGATATACATACCGTGGAATATAATTCAGCAATAAAAAGGAAAAATATTATCAATTAATATAGCCACTTGGATGACTCTCCAGAAAATTATGCTGAGTTAAAAAAAAATTTTACACTTATGTAAAATCTGAATCAAGGGCCACAGTCAATCTCAATTGCCTGGTCATGTTTAATTTCTATAATATTTCTAAGTTTTTTAAGCAAGTGGCATCCCAGCAGCCTGGTTCTGTCAAAGCTATAGACATTCCTGAGTATGTCTGAGTTTTTACAAGATACATTGTTAGGCCTCACTCTGGGACCAAACATTAGAAACACTAACCTTGGCATTAATCATGTTTGCTATTTAAGGAAAAGAAAAAATAATAGGGCCCCTGGAAACATTGCATAGTGTCCTGGAGGTTGCTTCCTTTCAGAGACTGTAACATCCAAATCAAAGGACAGAGGGAATCAGGAAGAGTAAAAATACCATTCCTCAGCCAAGGAGCCAGAGGTCCTTGATTTTAGATTCAAGGCACAAAAAATATAGGACAGCCTAGGAGATCTTGTTCCAGAAAGCAAGCAAGTGCACAAAGAATAATAAATTGATGTTAAAAGGACATGAGAGACCGTTTAAAGGAGCTTCCATTGGCCAGGTTTGAGACATTTGAGTATCAGAAAGAATAATGGCAATAATTGATTGAAAAGCATTGAAAAATGTAAGGTCTTCTGTGACATCAGTAATGAAAGCAAGAAAAAGAGAAAGGGAGGGAAGAAGGAAGGGAGGAAAACTGCAAGAAAAGAAGAAAGGGAATGAAGGAAGAAGAAAGGAAGGAAGAAATGAATAGTTTGAACTATGGAGGTAATGATTATACCATAGTCCTGAAAATTTATAATAAAAAAAGAACTAAGCATTTACCCTGACTTTAGAGAGAAAAATATAGTTCCACTCTAGTTGATAAGATAAACCACCACAGAAGAATGTCAGTTCATAAATTAAGAAGGAATAAAAGAACTAAAAGTCACCATTTTACAAAGCTTAATAAATGGTTGATTCAGGCAAAGATTATCAATGCATTCTAAACCATAACAGAAAGGATCACTGGGGAATAGGCTATCCTCACAGTGCCAAAGAACTATGCCAGAAATTGCTAAGTAAAATAATCATGCATCTTGACACAGGAAAGATTTTGCAGTCTACACTTTAACCAAACAATCAGACTTAGCGTCACGATAATGAGACAACTTGATATTATAAAGTCTCCTATTGTCATACAGCATGAGGTACACAGCATAACTTAAGAAATATTCTTCCCAAAAATATTTAACCTAAATCTCCTCAAGCCTCTAGATGTAATGGTCCAGTTTACAAGAAAAGCAGAAATGAAGGACCAGGCTAAATGACACCGCAGGAGAACAATGAACAAACCCAGTTGGCATGTCCTACAAGACAACTGTACTGATATCTTCAAAAATATTCCCCTTTTTAGGGGAAAAAAGTAGTAAACTAGACTAGATTAAAAGATGCTGCAGAAAATATACACATTGCAAAGGAAGAAATAAAATTATCTCTATTTGTAAATAATGTGATTAAATATTATTCCAAGGAATCTATAAAAAAATCTTAGAATAAGTGAGTTCAGCAAGACCAGAGGATACAAAATCAACACACAAAAATCAATCACATTTCTATATGCTAACAATAAATATGTAGAAACTGAAATTTAAAGCATAATATCATTCACAATTATTTCAAAGAAAATACTTAGGTATATACCTAACCAAAAAAATGATCTGAATGCTGAAAATTACAAAATACTAATGAAAGAAATTGAAGAAAATCTGAATAAATGGAGAGACATAAAATACTCATGGATTGGAATACTGAACATAGTAATAACGTCAGCTCCTCCCAAATTGCTTTAATGCAATTTCTATCAAAATTCCAGCAAGGTGTCTTGTAGACATAGATAAGTTTATTTTAAAATTCATATGGAAAGCCATAACACTTATTCTAAAATTCATATGGAAAGGTACAGGTCCTAGAATAGCTAAAAATAAATTAAACAAAAAAGAATAAAATGGGGGGAAAATCACTCTACTTAACTTCAAGACATAATATATAGCTACAGTAATGAAGACTATGTGGTATTGGTGGAGGGATAGACACATAGACCAATGGATCAGAAGAGAAAAAAGTAGAAATAGAACCACATAAATATGCCTAACAGATTTTTAATAAAAGTGCAAAAGCAACTCAATGAAAGAAGGATAGCCTTTTCAACAAATGGGACTTGAGCAACTGAACATAGGCCAAAAAAAAAAAAGATTAACTTTGACTGAAACTTCAAACCTTGTACAAAAAGTAATTTAGAATGGATCATTAACTTAAAAGTAAAAACTATAAAACTTTTAGGGAAAAAAAGCAGAATATATTCCAGATTTAACACTAAGCAAAGTGTTATTAGACTCAACACCAAAAGAGTAACATGGAAACTTAACAAGTTGGACTTCATTAAAATATAAAAATTTTTATTTATGAAATACCAGGTGAAGAAGATAAAAAAAACAAGCTACAGAGTGGTAGAATATATTTGAAAACCATGTATGTGACAAAGGACTAGTATCTAGAATATGTAAAGAATGCTCAAAATTTAGCAGTAAAAAAAAAATCTATTAGAAAATAGGCAAAAGACATGAACAGACATTTTATTGAAGAGAATATACAGATGACAAATAAGCACACACACAAAAATGCTTAACATCATGAACCATCAGGAAAATGCAAATTAAAACCACAATGAACTATTACTACTATATTAGTCCATTCTCACACTGCTATAAAGAAATACCTGAGACTGGGTAATTTACAAATAAAGAGGTTTAATTGTCTCATGGTTCCAGAGGCTGTACAGGAAGCATGGCTGGGGAGGCCTCAGGAAACTTACAGTCATGGCAGAAGGTGAAGGGGAAGCAGGCTCGTCTTACATGGCAAGAGCAGGAGGAAGAGAGAGAAGAGGGAGGCGCTACACACTTTTAAACAACCAGACCTCACGAGAACTCACTCAGTATCACGAGAACAGCAAGGGGAAAATCTTTCCCCACAATCCAATCGCCTCCCACCAGGCCTCTCCTCCAACACTGGAGATTACAATTTGACATGAGATTTGGGCGGAGACACAAATCCAAACCATATCAACTACACACCTATCAAAGTGGCTAAAATGAAAAATAGTTAACGATACCAAATGTTGGTGAGTATGCAGAGAAACTGGATCACTCACACATTGCTGGCAGGAATACGGCCACTTTGGAAGAGTTTAGCAATTTCTGAAAAAAACTGAACATGCACCTATCATAGAATCTAACAATTACACCCTTGGGCATTTATCCCAGAGAAATGAAAATGTATGTTCACACAAAAGTTTGCACACAGATGTTCATAGCAGCTTTGTTTGTAAAACCAAAAACTGTAATTAGTCCAGATGTCCATTCACCAAGTGAATGGTTAAATAAATTGTAGTACATACATACCATGGAATACAATTCAGCAATAAAAAAGAAAAAATTATCAATTAATATAGCCACTTGGATGACTCTCCAGAAAATTATGCTGAGTTAAAAAAAACAATCCCAAAAGATGACATTCTGTATGGTTACACTGTATACCATTTTTGAGATGACAAAATTTCAGAAATGATGGACAGATTAGTGGTTTCCAGGGGTCGGGCATGGGGTGGGGCTAGGAAACAATAGGGGTGCAGTTGTGGTTATCAAAGATTAACAAAAGAGATCCTATGGTGTTGGAACTATTCAGTGTCTTGATTGTAGTGGTGGAAATACAAACCTACACAGATGATAAAAATTATATAGAACTTAATACACACACACATATAACAACCTGAGCAAATCTGAATAAGTATTTCTTTTACAAGCTGGATTATATCAATGTGAACAACCCAGTTGTGATATTACACTATGGTTTTGCAAAACATTCCAATTGGGGGAAACTGGGCAAAGTGTATACAGATCTTTTCTTTATTATGTCACCGAAGTGCATGTGAATCTACAACTATTTCAACGAGGGGTGGGCAGGGAGATGAGGTGAAGAAAGGGGGAGAGACAGAAACAAAAAACTAAATAGATATAACAACAAATTGCAACACATCACCTTGTTTGGATTCTATTGGTTTTAAGTTATAAAAGAAACTTTGGAGAAATTGGGAAAGAAATGAATATGGACAAGATGTTGATTCATATTTCATAATGATTGTTAATTATTTTAGATGATAATGGTACTGTGGTTATATAGGAAAAACTTTCCCTTTTTAGAAAATAACATGCGGAAGCATTTTGAGATGAAGTGCACAAGTTGGCAATTTCCTTTCAAATGTGTGTGCACTTATACATATACATGTATGTGTTTGTACATAAGCGTATATGTATTTAATGTTATCCATTTAACATTTTTGTATTTTGAAGTATTCATAGTAAAAGTTGGATAAAAGTTTAAAATATTATTGAAATAATTATAGCCTAAAGAAATAATCACAGATAGAGTGAAAGATTGCTATACAAGGATTGTGTGTGTCCAGCATTATTTATAATGGCAAAAAATATATATATAAATAGAAGCAATTGGAATGTAAAGTAACTAGGCTGTGAGCTCTGTGAAGGCTGAGACTTTTCCTTGGTCACTGAAGTATCTTCAGCACCCAGAACAGTACCTGATGCAAAGTAGACATCCAACAAACATTAATTGAATGAATGAATGTGTTTAACATTGAAGAGATAAAATCGATTTGTGGCTCTATCATGAAGTATTAACAAACACTTTAAACTTGCTTTTTGAGAACATATAATGACATGGGGAAATTATCAACTTGAAATATCTTAAGAGGTCTTGTCTAATCCCAAGTGCTCAAGATAAGTTAAGGGACTAACAGATAAACAAACGGGCAGGTAGTATAACACGTTGTTAAAAGAAGCTATTCTTTGGTGTAAGGTTATGGGTGATTTTGTTTTCTCGTTATTCTTTGTTATATTTTCTAAGTTGCCTTTAAAAAACTGTGTGTGTGTTTTTCATCAGAAAGAAAAAATTAATGCAAATTTTTTATAAGCTTTGAGATTTAGTAGGTGGGGCTTGGAGCCTTGATGCTTCTTTAACTACCACACAGAACATACTCGTACTTTTGTTGCCCTGAGTTGGGCACAAAATTTTTTCCCCTATACTATGTTGATTTGAATCTAAAAGCAAGGCTCCCACATTAACTCCCTACCCCAACACTCCAGTACTGATTTCCCTGTCCCAGGACCTAAACCACAAGTAACTGAAAGCTCCTCTGCCCTGCTCAGTTCCTCTTGGCCATTTTTCCCTTAAAAAAATAATCCTGCTCTCCATACCTCTCATTCTACCACCTCCATAGATGGGAGCAAGTAGATGATCTCCTGACACTGACCATTTTTTTGGTATCCTCTCCCTACCGTGTCCTGCCTTGCAGGATCAGTGCTCTTACAAGCAATTATTGCTCAACCAGCCTGAGCTCCTCTATGCTTTTGAGCACAATACTACGCAGACTGGCTTCCCTTTGAGGGCCATCCTTCATGGCTAGTCATCTTCCCAGCCTAATTTCCTCACTAATACCCTCTATTAAAGTTCCCAAATAGTTCAAGCCAATACTCACTCCCCTTATGATACCACCTCAAGAGCTGCATGGGCAGAGTCATATCTGTAAAGATGAAATAAATATTTCATCTTTATTTTTATCACAGATCCTTCATCCTATTTTTTTTAACATAGCAACAATGAGATGGCTTTGAGAATAATACAGACTAAATGATTTTCATTCATCTCGTGCATGTCAAATAGATAAGACTTAGGTCTAATGTCAAGTCAGCTCATCTCTAAGAGAAATGAGGCACTGTCAATTATGTAAAGAATTCAAATTATCTTTTATTGATCTCTTTGAGAAACTGAAGCCAAGGGGAAGTTTTAGGAGACAATTAAAATTCATCAGAGCTAAAGGAAGATGATGTTCATGTGAAACTAAGAGGTCTATACAATAATTACTTAGCATGACAAGAAATCGACACAGAGAGAAAAGAAACTGTTCTAAGATGAACAGAATGTAGACAGAGATAATATTTGGCACTATGGGGGTGACGAGATGCTGTTCTTTAAAAGTTTATAAAAATGGGTAAACATTAGCTTGTAGTGAGCTTCAGTGATAAAATGTTGACTCAAGTTATATTTACTGGCCTTTCAAACATTATCAGAAAACCTTTTCCTCAGATTAAGTAGAAATCAAAGGTGACAAGTCATTATCTATTATATGAAGTTCCAGTGCCATTTTGGAAGACAGAAGCGAAGAATATTAGTAAGATTAAATATAAAGTTATTAAGTTGCTGCCAATATATACAAGATTGTGTGATAAACAGACCTTAAGTTGTAAACTAATGTTATTTTTTCTAGAACAATATTCGATATCAGAGACAGGCAGGAAAAAATAAGCTTTTTATCCTTGCAAACCCACGTGAATAAAATTACCTTAACTTTTCACTCGAGACAGCCCACATGTAAAATAAAAAGCTAGTTCTTCCTTGTTTACCAGAAATGTGGTGTCCCTGAAGGCAAATGGGAGGGTTCTGGTCCAAAATGCTCTAAAAAACACTTGTGTTTAGCTCTTCATCCTGCTGCAAACACCAGGGGAGACTGCAGAAACAGAGTCACATCGTTTGTGGCATAACTTCATACTCCCCATCCCAGACCCACAGTATTAGGAAGTGCACAGTTCACCTCCACTCCTGAGATCTCCTTTCACAAAACCATGACTGTATGTGAATGTGCACAATTCACTTCCAATTGACGTGGAAAGGAAGAATTGGCTATTTTTTTAAAGCAAGTCATTTATTTATTCCAGCTGCCAAGATATCAATTGTTTCCAAATAGATGGATGATTGGTGTTTTATTACTGATAAGGCAAGGAAATAAAGGATTAGTTCTGCACAGGTGAGACAGCCCACCTTGGCCTTTGTCCTCAGCTGCCTCTATGGTGATATTCTCCAAGAGACCAATGAGGTAGAATAATTTCTTGTGTGAGACTGTACATGTCAGGACATTAAGCAGCCCTGGCCCCACCAACTAAATGCTAGCATTTCTTTCAGATATAGTGACATCTAAAAGCCCTTGGACATTTCTGAATGTCCCCTATGAACCCCAGTTGAGAACCACTGGTGAATAATTTGGCTTATTTAGGTATCATAGACCCAGATATCGGGGTCCTTGCTTCCTTTTTAAAGAAAAATAAATTTATTTATTTCAAAATACAATTAGAAGCTAGATCAAGTATGAAAAGCAAAACCAATTTGAAATATACATGCATACTTTCTCTATAATGAATTGCCAAAGTTCAACAAATCTAAATGTGTTGACCTCCTTTCCTTCCTTTAGGAGAAAGCTGTAATCAGTTATCGGCAGATTGATTTTATCACCCAATTTTATCACCCAAAAGTTGTCTCGGGCTTTTTATACAGACTCTTGTTCTAAGTGACAGATGACAGTAGTTGAATGGCTACTCCAGGAAGACCAGGAATATCAGCTGAGAGGATCAAGCACCAATAACAGTAGAAACAAAAAGGGAATAGGCTACAGAACTGCAGGAGGAAAAGCAATACTAGCTTGCTACCTAGAACATTCTGTCCCCTGATGATTGCACTGCTGGCATTTTGCTGGCCATTCTGGTCTCAGCTCAATGGGAGTGAGGTGAGTAGGAATTCCCAGCTTGAGGGATCCTGTGTACCATGGACTGTGCAGATAGTCTCCCTGGGTTTGAATGCCAGCCTTGCCATTTCCCAGCTGAGCACTCTTGGACAAGTCATTTAACCTTGAGCCTCACTTCCCTCATCTATGAAATCAGAGTACTAACAGTAATTAATGGTATTAAAAATTCTTCGAATTATATGAGTTCATGTATGTAAAGCACATAGAACACTGAGTGATTGTGAACACTCGACAACCATTAACTATTATAATAAGATGATGATTAGGGTTTTGAATGAGACAACAGGATGAAAATATGAAATTCCAAGTAAGATGTCAGATGAAAATGCCAATATTTTAAGAAGCCTTGAGAAAAAGTTGCACAACTCTTGAACATTCTACCCACTTTAAAAATATAAAATAATCAAAAGAAGATTTTGAAAAAAAAAAAAGTTTGTGAGGAGATTCTCTTTGGAGAAAGTCGTGCTGTGAACCCCATTCATCCCTACTGGGAAATGGAGAAGTACCCCTTTACCATCAGTCTCAGGTCTACTGGGAGATTTTCACACACAACCCTTAGGTAGATGCATAGTGGACAGGGGCTGATTCCTATTTGGGAAATCTAAAACTATACTAAGTCCTTTGATAGCAAAGCCAGAACTGAGCTATTGAGTTAGCTTGACCTCACTTTCTCAGAGTTTACTGGGTAAAAGATACCCATGTACTAAAACGGGCCATGCAGCAGACAGAGTCAGCATATGGGGCAGAGAGCTTCAGCCAAAGGTAAATGTGCATCACTCAGAGCTGGGGTCAGAAGAGCTCAGCAAGGAGCCTGTGAAGGGACGTAACAGCACACAGGAGATGGCCAGCTTTTTTTTCTTCTATGTTTATCGCAGTAAGGATACTTACCATGACATCTACCCTCTAAATAAATTTTTAAGTGTACAACATATTGTTGACTATAAGTACAATGTTGTATAGCTGATCGCTACAGCTTATTTATCTTGCCTAACTGAAACTCTATATCCACTGATCCTGGAAACCACCATTCTCCTCTTTGATTCTATATATTTTACTATTTTTAATCCCACATATAAATGTAATCATGCAGTATTTGTCTTTCTATGACTTTCTTATTTTGCTTAGCATAATGTCATCCAGGTTCATCCATGTTATCATATATGGCAGGATTTTCTTCTTTATTCAAGGCTGAATTGTATTTCACTGTATATATGGTGAGCTTTAAGGATGTATCAGCACCAACAAACAAAAAGCCAGACAGTCCAGTAGGACCTGCCCTAAGTGTCTTTTTTTTTTTTTTTTTTTTTTTTTTGAGTTTCGCTCTTGTTGCCCAGGCTGGAGTGCAATGGCACAATCTCAGCTCACTGAAACCTCTGCCTCCCAGGCTCAAGTGATTCTCCTGACTCAGTACTCCCAAGTAGCTAGGATTTAGGCACCTACCACCATGCCCAGCTAATTTTTGTATTTTTAGTAGAGACAGGGTTTCACCATGTTGGCAAGGCTGGTCTCGAATTCCTGACCTCAGGTGATATGCCCACCTCAGCTGGGATTACAGGCATGAGCCACTGTGCCCCGCCAGCCCCATATCTTTATTCATTCTTATTACTCCACTCTCACCTTTTTTGACCCAGGCTAAGAGCAAAACAGTAACTATGTATGCTGAAGGAGATGAATCTTTATTCATCTTTCTCTTTAGAAAGAGAGCAAAACTAAACACCACCACCACTATGTCACTTCTCCAAAGGCCTGGCATGCAGAAAGAGAAAAATAAATATTTGAGGATGAGTTTGAATGACTACTTAAGGCCAGTTTAATAGCTAGGAGTAAATATTCTAGTTACAGAATTGAGACTACGTTTGTGATACTACCTAATAGAGAGCAGAAAAGTAATTCAATCTGCCCAAGATTCTATCCAGAATCAAGGAAGGATTACAATCACAAAATACAATTTTTTAAAAATAGCAGCTGACAAAAACAAATTTTAATTACTTCATGAATGATGCTTATTCAAAATATATCTTACACTATTTTTTTAATTCCCAGACCACCCAATCTGAATTGGTCATTGTGATGATAGTCACTGTCTATCCTATTGTTATTTCCTTTATGGTATTGATCCAAGATAATATTGTGTATTTATTTGTTTACTTTCTTTTTTTGAGATGGAGTCTCACCCTGTCACCAGGCTGAAGTGCAGTGGTGCAATCTTGGCTCACTGCAACCTCCACCTCCCGGGTTCAAGTGATTCTCCTGCCTCAGCCTCCTCAGTAGCTGGGACTACAGGCACACGCCACCAAGTCCAGCTAATTTTTGTATTTTTTTTTTAGTAGAATCGGGGTTTCACCATGTTGGCCAGGATGGTCTCGATCTCTTGATCTCATGATCCACCTGCCTTGGCCTCCCAAAGTGCTGGGATTATACATGTGAGCCACAATGCCTGGCCTATTTGCTTCCTTCTTTAGAGTCTTTCACCCTACACTAGAATGTAGGATCCTTAGTAGTAGGCATTTTGTCTATCTGGTTCTCTGTTGTATCTCAGTACCTAGAATACAGCCAGATACAGCAAGGCTACTCAAAAATTATTTCTTCAGTGAATGAATCCTGATTTTGTGGTTAACCTCAATGCTCTTTCAATCCACTTCATTGCTTCAATTACATTTTCATAGCTAAGAATTATAAGCTTATCACCTAAAATCTGAAGACCCAAACATCCTTTATCAAGTAATAAAAGGAACAGACAACAAGCAGGACTTACTGCTGCATAAACCACAAGATGAGGGAGGCGAGCAGGGAGTAGGGAAAAAGAGAAAAAGAGAGCCTAAAGTAAAAACAAACAGACAAAAGAGGTGGAGGGTCTGAATCAATAATTAGGCAGACTGAGTCCTGTGGTCCATGCATGCAGAGCCAAACTCTACCTCCCCTGTACATCACCCAGCAGCCTTAATATAATACTGCCCCCCATCAACCTCCACATTACTTTCAACAACAGGGCAATCTCATGTTCCACCATTGTAGTGGCACCTAAATCTAGGATTCTCCACATAACCAATCAATTGTATACAAACAATCACAAGCCAAATACAAATGGAATTTATCCCAAGTTACTTTCCACAAAGGACTGATTACAACAACTATGACTTTCTTTTCCATAATAGAAACTTGTCTCCCAGCTTTTAATTCCCCAAGGAAAAAGAGTCTGCCTTATTCATAGACATATGCATACAGTATATTCTGCTTCTACCTTGAAAGATAAATTATGACAGCAATTGCCCTCCAGCCATAAACAAATCAGAAAAAAATACATAAAACAAAGTTCTGGACATTGGACAACAGGAAGGCCAGGACTGTGATGACTGAAAGAAGTGAACCCACAATGCCCAAGGCTAGGGAATTGTCTGGAGGCCGAGGCCACAGCTCAGGGAGAGGAACACAAACAGAAACCAGCTGTCTCATTAGTTTAAGAACACACAGATCAGAATATAGGTAGGCCACAGTGGCAAGAATTTTCAGAACAGAGAATGACAGAGGAGGAAGAACAGAAAGAGAGAGAACTCTGGATATCTGAAGAGGAGTTCCTTCAAGTCTTTGGTTGAGTACAGATCAGTGCACACATGGGAAGAAAACCCCTGAGGTTGCAGAAGAGGCACCAGAAAGCAGTTGACAGGACAACTGTAGAACTCACACAGGATAAGAATTATCGGTGGTCCCACCAACCAAAGTGTAATACATAGTGCACTGGATAGAGGTCTAAGAAGGATTATGCCTTAGTCGTTGGGCTAAATTAATCCCAGAATAGAGATTGCTCTGGAGCTGCTTTAACAAAGCTTAAAAGCAAGCCTTTAAAGGATCAAACTTATCTGTGAGTGACTTCACTGAACACCAGAAAGAAATCCAACACTCTTTAAAAAAAAAAAAAATGACAAAACCTACAACCCAAAAACGTAAAATTCACAATCTCTAGCATCTGATCAAAATTTCAAGGCATGTAAGGGAGCAGGAAAATGTAACCCAAACCTCAGGTAGAAATCAATTATTAGAAATAGGTCCAGAAATAACACAGAGGATGGAATTAGTAAGGACTTTAAAATGGCTATTATAAATCTTAAAAAGATGTCAACAATGTAAAAAAATGACAAAACAATAAACGAAAAATACCGAAAGGCCCAAATGAAACTTCTAGAGATGAAAAACACAGTAACTTAAATAAAAAATATACCAGATGGAATTAACCGCAGATTAAACATTGCAAAAGAAAAATCAGTGAACTTCAAGGTAAGGTGAAAAACAAATCCAAAATGAAACATGGAGAGAAAAAACCTAAAAAATAAAATGCTTTGTGAGCTGTGAGACTAAACAGTCTAGCATGTGATTAGAGTTCCAGAAAAGGGGTGAGGAGCAGAAAAAAGTATATATGAATAAATAGTGACCACATTTTATTTCCAAATTTTATGAAAACTATAATTCACAGATCAAAGAAGCCTGATAAATCTAAAGGAAAAGAAATAAAGCAAGCAACACAAAGGCTTGTCGTAAATTACTTAAAACTCATGCTAAAGAAAAACTATTTAAAGCATACAGAGGAAAAAAATGTAGAATAAAGATAAAAATGATAATAGATAACTCATAAAAAGGCATCCACGTCAGAAGACAACGGAATGACATCTCTAAAGTGCTTTCTTTAAAGGTAAACATAGAGTTCTATAAACAATGAAAATGTCATTCAAAAAGCAAGGTGAGATTAAGACTCTAAGATCAAGAAAATCTGAGAGAGTTTATGACATCAGACTTACACTGCAAGACATGTAAAAGGAAGTCTTTCATCAGAGAAAAGGAGCTTTCATCAGAGGAAAGGAAACCGTAGTAGATAGGAATGTAGATCTAAACAAAAGAAAGATGAGCAACAGAAAGGGTAAATGTCTGGGTGAAAAATTCTACCTAGGAGCACCAGACGCGGTGGCTCCCACCTGTAATCCCAGCACTTTGGGAGGCTGAGGCAGGTGGATCACTTGAGGCCAGGAGTTCAAAACCAGGCTACTCAACATGGTGAAACCCCGTCTCTACTAAAAATACAAAAATTAGCTGGGTGTGGTGATGCATGCCTGTAATTCCAGCTACTCTGGAGGCTGAGGTAGGAGAATCCCTTGAACCCAGGAGGTAGAGGTTGCAGTGAGCCGAGATCGCGCCACAGCATTCCAGCCTGGGTGACAGAGCGAGACCCTGTTTAAAAAAAAAAAAAAAAATTCTACCTAGGCAACTCCCACTTTTAACTATTGGGAACTAATTAATTTGGACTAACCCTCACCTTTTCAATTCATTCTTTAAACAAAAGCCAGGATAATCTCAGAAAATCATAGCTTCCCTTGGTTCTTAGGATAAATGTCCTTACTGTGAACTTCAAGTCCATACATGGCTTGACTCTTGCCTTCTTTTCCAGTCTTACTACTCTCCTCTTTGTTCTCTGTGCTCAGATCGTGCTGACCTTCCTTCAGTTCTGCTATCATAACAGGTTCCCTGATAGGCACTCTGACACCAATGAACTGTACAGAGACATTTTTGGAGGAATCTAGGAAGCTTTGATTGAAGGCATGGTATTAGATGATACCAAAGAATTACTGTTAATCTATTGGGTGTGATAATGACATTGTGGTTATGTAATAGTATACCTGTATTCTTTAAAGCTGTATGTAGAAGTAAATGACACAATTTCTAGAATAAGCTCTAAAATATTTAGGCAAAGTAGGCCAGGCAGGGTGGCTCATGCCTATAATCCCAGCACTTTGGGAGGCCAAGACGGGCAGATCACGAGGTCAGGAGATCAAGACCATTCTGGCCAAAATGGTGAAACCCCGTCTCTACTAAAAATACAAAAATTAGCCGGGCATGGTGGTATGCACCAGTAGTCCCAGCTACTCAGGAGGCTGAGGCAGGAGAATAGTTTGAACCCGAGAGGCGGAGGTTGCAGTGAGCCGAGATTGTGCCACTGCACTCCACCTTGGGCAACAGAGTGAGACTCTGTCTCAAAAAAAAAAAGAAAAAGAAAAAGAAAAGAAAACTTAGGCAAAGTAAATAAAGGGATAGAATTTTAAAAGTAGAAAAACCTGCCTGCACAATTTCTCAGTTTGGATGATGAATTTGTATCAATGATTATCCTTCCTAGTTTGGATATGTTTAAAGTTTTTCAGAATAAAAACATTTGAAAACAAATGAAGTATTTCATTTGCTGCAAAATTTCATTAAAAACACACAGGTTTAATCAACTATGCTTTTAAATAGCCATAAAAATACACTGCAATCAGCAATAATACTTATGAAAATGTGTTCAGATAGGGAATGTTAGATTTAACATTAAAAAGTAAAAGCGTAGAGAAGTATTATGGAAAAAAATGCCATACTCATAGCCATGAAATAAAAGTAATTTTCTCTACTTTCTTATACAAATATAATAAGAAAAGTAATATAAATGGCAATAAAATCACCTGAATTATAATAAAACTAATATAGCTAAAAAATATTTTAGGCTTCTGAAGTTTAGCAGCACCATCAATGAGAGTTGTTTAAAAAACTGAGGAGAATATTACATACTCATTTTTCTAACTTTCTATAAAAACTATTTACAAAACATTTTTCAAAGAACACTTTAAATGAATGGCTCTGAAGTACACATGTTATCACTGAAAGTTCTTTTGAAGCTAGGACCAACCCAAAATGCTGAAATGTACTAATTCTGTAAGGGGTTACTGACTCCCTTCTATGTTCCAGCCACTAGCAAAATGCGGAAGAGAAACCAAAGACACATAAAGCCTTCAAAGATGTTTTTGGTAAATTCTCCAAGAGGTGAAGTTAGGTTGGAAAAACTAGTTCAGATGTAATTTGTTTAGATGTAATGAAAATAACTGAAGTTTATGAAAATCATCTGTAAGAAAATGAAAATTAAGGAACAAAATACAAATATAAATCTGCAAGTATAAATATGCCAGAGTATATGAAAATACAAATGAAAATTTCAACCACAAAAGAGAAAAATGACCAGAGAAAGAGAGAGAGAGAGGTAGAGAGAGATTCCTGTTATCAAATGAATCTCAAGTATTCTGCCCAAATCAAGGTAAAATTGTGGATCTCTAGGACAATGACTCAGCCAAGGTTGCCTGGAACTGCTCTTGCTCTGTCCCTGTCCAGTAAGTTGACTGTCTTTTCCCTTTGCTTATAACTGAGACCCCGTCTTTGAAATAAATTGAATCCTTGTCATATTGGTATGTTTTTTCCCTAGAGTTCTTTATGTTTCCAGTTCCACAAATGCCCATGGCTTAAATCACTCTCCATGTTATGAAACAAATAATTCATTATTTCATTGTTATTCATTCGATTATTCATTCAATAAATATGCTTTGAATACTCAGTATGGTGTCTGTTTTAGGGCACACGTTGGTGAAAATGGGGTCTCTGCTCCCACAGAGATAACAGAAAGAGTTAACAGTTTGATATACAAAAGGAAATATGAAGCTTCTTCACAACAGGATTTCAGATATCCAATTTTCAAGCCAGCGTCTCCAGTTTATTGATAGAGAGGTGACTGATGTCTAAGGAACACAGGACCCATATTATTCATGTGGTTGATTCCAAAGTCAACCACACAAATCAGTTGTCTTCAGGTTGCTGAGGATAAGAGTCACAGCCATGCGACTCACACCTTTAATCAGACAAAACGTACCCACAAAAGTTTTCTGAAAGGTAAACAAAGGAAGTTTTAAGATAGAATCTGACATTGTTTTTCACTCAATAAAGAAAAGTTTATTGAATATAATAACTGACATTCAGTCAAAAGAAATATCTCCTTGGCTGTACAGGTTAATTAATCAAAATTGGATTTCTTTTTTTCAAAACAACATAAACACAGCTAAGACATAAATTATAAATTCAAAGAATATTAAAGAAAAAGAAACTGTCTCAGACCCAGAGGGCTAAACTGACTTATTACACTAAAGATTACAACTCAAAATAAAAGCTGGGTTAGGAGTAGTACGTGGGTCTCCCAGTACCCACTATCCTGAGTTTTTTGTTGTTGTTGTCATCGTTTTAACAGAATTCCTCTATCAAGGACTAATTTTACCTAAAGACAGAAAATGAGTTTATAGTTTATTTTCTACATTCCTATACTTGTCCAAAACAAATTTCTCCTACATAAGAGTCATCACTTTATTTACCTTTATGCACAAAGGAGAAAGCAGTAAGACCATGTATCTTCTAAAGAAATGTGCAATAATATATTTTCCAAAGTTACAATGAATAATTTGGATGGATACTCTCATCTATGATCATCAATTAGTACGAGGAGCTTTTAGGAACTGAAGTCTACATTCTGTAGGCAATACACTAAAATTTAATGTCCAGCTGTCTCAAAGGATTTTTTTACAGAAATCCTTCAAGGGCAAGTTCATTATTACCAAATCCACAACAGAATTTTATTCCTGTAAATGTTTTCAATCTCCAACTTTACCCAAAATATTTCTTACAAATGACCCTTTGCACTTGAATTTGCACAGTTCCTTTCTTTACTGGAACTGCTCGTGGTGAAGTTCTGTAGTTCCAAAGCTTTCAGACAAGATAATTTGCTAGAATCAAAACGAAAAGTGTAAGGCCAAGGAAATTTAATACTTTATTTTTAAAAATAGACACTATTTACATTTTTACATCTGAAATGGGAGGCCTATAATTTTCTACCTCAACAACCATCTGGAATTTATGGCTGTGTCATTTTGAAAGGTACACATAAGGCAGAAAAGAAGCAAAGAAGAACTCGGATACATTTTAATATATATGGTGATGGTGACCACAGAGCTACCACTCTTTATTCATTTGTTCAACATTTATTGAACACATACTATTACTATGAACCCAGGCAGAGTTCTAGGAGCTTGGGATACATCAATGAACAAAACAAAAAATCCCTTCCCTTATGAAATTTCATTGGAGATGAGGGAGAGGACATACAATAAACAATAAACCTGATAAATGAGTTAAGCATATCATTTGCAAGAAGTTGATATGTGTTATCTAAAAAGGAATAATCGGCTGGGCACAGTGGCTCACGCCTGTAATCCCAGCACTTTGGGAGGCCGAAGCAGGCAGATCATCAGAGGTCAAGAGTTCGACTCCAGCCTGGCCAACATGGTGAAACCCTGTCACTACTAAAAATACAAAAATTAGCTGGGCGTGGTGGCGGGGGTTTGCAATCCCAGCTACTCAGGAGACTGAGGCAGAAGAATCGATTAGAACTGGAAGGCAGTGGTTGCAGTGAGCCGAGATCGGGCCATTGTACTCCAATCTGGATGACAAGAGCAAAATTGTCTCAAAAAAAAAAAAAAAAAGGAAGAATCCAGCAGGGTAAGTGGCATCTGGAGTGTAGGAGTCAGTGCAGTTTGTAGTATTAAAGAGAGTGGTCAGGCTAGAATTGTTGAGCAAGTTAGATACGAGCCAAGACTTGGAAGAGGTATGCAGCTAAATCAAGTAGATGTCTGGCAGAAGAGTATTCCAGGCAGAACCTGTTAGTGGGAGAGAACAGGGTAAGTTTGAGGTTGCCAGTGTGTCTCAGGAGAGCAACACAGTGGAAGACTAGTAAGAAAGAAGGCAAAGAGATGACAGGGGCCAGATCATGATGGATGTTATGACTTTGCCTTTTGCTCTGAATGAGGTGGAGTTTTAAAGAAAGGAGTTGTCTTGAACTGACGTGCATTTAACAGGATCACTCTGCTGCTGGGTTGAAAACAGTTTGTAGAAGAACAGGAAAAGTAGAAGAGAGATTATTTATGAAGCCATTCCAGTAACACAGGTAAGAGATGATGAAGGCTCAAATGACAGTGATTACAGTGGATTGGTTAAAAAAAAAAAAACTTGGATTCTGGATATAATTTGAAGATTTTCTGATGGATTGAATGTAGGATGTGAGAGAAAGAGAAAACCCAAGATGACTGCAACATTGACTGGAAGAATCAACTTGCCATCAACTAAGATTGGGAAGGCTACAGGTGGAATACGTAGAAGGAATCGTCGCATAAAACTCAAGAGTCTGATTTCGCACAAGCTGAGTTTTGAGATGTTTATTAGACCTCAGAGTAGAAACACTGAGTAGGTAGTTAGACAAGCAGAGAATTTAAGAGAGAGTTCTGAGATAGGGGTGCACATTTAAGTGTCATCAGCATATAGACCTTATTTAAAGCCAAGGATCTGAATGAAATCACCAAGCCAGTGTGTAAGCAAAGAAGAGGACCAAAGTCTGAGCTCTAGGACTCTCCAACATCAAGAGGCTGGCAAGAAGAGAAAATAGCAACAGAGGAGACTGAGAAGGAGCAGCCACAGGGCTAAGGGTCAAGCCAGGACTTGCCAAGTGGATGAGATGTGTCAAGGAAGAGAGAGGGACAAAATGCTACTAATGAGAAGAGGCCAGAAGACTGACAAGTAAAATTGGCAAAGTGTAGGTCATTGCAGGTCATTGGCCTTACTGAGGGCAATTTTGATGGAGTCTCTGGAAATGGAAGCCTGGTGAGAGTCATTTAAGAATTAATGGGAAGAAAAAAATTGGAAAGCATAAATTTTGCTACAAAAGAGAGTAAATGCATACACTAGCTGATGGAGGAAGTAGAGGGAAGAGAATATTTTGTTTATGATTTTTAAAGTAACAGCGTGTTTAAATGCTGGTGGAAATAGTCTAGTAAAGAGAGGAGAGAGGGATGCCTAAAGAAGAGAAGGAAGAATTGCTAGAGCAATATTCTTGAGTAGGCAAAAAGAAATGAGATCTTGTGAACAAGTGGAACACCTAACTTTACGTAGAAGCGAAGATGCTTTATACGGGAACAGGCAAGAAGGCACAGGGTGTGGATGCAGGTGTAGGGAGGTAAATGGGATGTGAGCTTCTATAAATTCTTGTCTGATTGCTTCAGTCTGCTCAGTGAAATAAAAGTTTATCATATGAGAATGAGAACAGGGAAGCAAAGCGGAGAAGATGGGAAAGAGTCTTCTAGGTGAGCAGAGGAGGAAGGGAGACAAGATGAATAGCACAGTGCCCTAGCCACATCAAGAACCCACTTGAGGTTTATGGCCATGAGTTTAAAGTGAGATAAGACAGCATGAGTGTGTGTTTTCTCTAGAGCTATTCAGTTGCATGAGTGCAGGCTTGGAAAGGCAAATAGATTATATTTATCCAGGGTTGTGGCTTTGCCAACACCAAGTAAAAAGAAGCCAGAGAGAAGCAAGGGATTTATGGTGAATGCGCAAGAGTAATTGTAATGATGGACCTTGAAACTGAAGCCTAAGACTTAGAGTAAGTCAAAAGCCATGCATGTAGGTCATCATCTGCCCCTCTGTTTTTGTCTTACCTTAGGTTTTGAAGGACAAGACCATATTTTCTACATTTTCTATAACTCTCTACAGCAACTAGACCTGCATCCATAATGACAACTCAATTAATATGTATTGATTGTCTAGTCACTTCTAGGTGTGAAAATGTAGCAGGCTCTCCAGTCTTCAGTGATCCTTTCAAAGATAAGCTCCACTAGACTTGACAGATGGTCTATAATTTTTATATTTGAAACACCATATGTCAAGTACCAAAGCTCTATACATACTTAGCTTTGAATTTTCAGGTTTGGGTGATAATGTATTTGGTAGCACCTGTGCTTCAAAATCTGCCATCGAGAAGCTTCTATTTTCTCCTCCCCACATATTCATCACCTCAACCAGATGCTTCCAATTTCCTGCTTCCTCAGAGCACGGTCTGGCCATCCCGGGACCGAATCCCATTTCATTGGGTATTACATAAGAGCCCTGGTCCAGGAGCACAGAGCTGCCGTCTGTCTATTCCCCTCCTTCATTTCATAGAGATCACTTGGTTCCTAACTGCTGTTTCAGAAATATTTGAAGGATGAATTAATTTTCCGCAGCTTCATTGAGTGCTTCATCTCTGACCCTTTCGATTATTGGTGCATGTGATTCGGGCTTATCTACCTAGGCACAACTGCTGGCACCTGTGTTCTAAATCGTAAGTACAGACACTACTAGTCTTCTTTAAAAGATATGGAAACTAAAACCCTGTGACATTCTTATCCTGCGTTACTCAGTATTAACATCATGACATAAGAACTAAAGTTATTCAGATTCCCACTTGAATATACTTGAGAAAACAATATTTTTAAGAATGCATCACCATTTAAGAGGTAGGTCTTCAAGCTGCTGACCTGAAGACAAGCCATATTGCCAATGATTCAAGTGAAAATGTACCTCCATTATAGATGCCCCATCACTTAACTCAATCTTGATTTTTTTCAGGCACAGAACCAGTGTTTCAGCAAAGGTTTTTACCTTATTTCCCTTTGACTTCCACTTTAAAAGCTAAACTACTATCTATTACAAATTTAAGAGTTGGACATGAATATAATAAAATCACATCATAAAATGTAGCAAACAACTTCATTTAAAGGCAAACATTCTATTTGGTACAGGGCAATCTAGAATTAATGATACAATAGCATTAAGAGGTGTGCACAGTTTTTTTAGTGTCACTAAATATACTGTGCTAGACTCTGAGGATACAGAAACCAAGGGAATAGACAGAGTTCCTGCCCTCAAGGATTTACTGTCAAGGGGGGGAAGACAAACATGTAATTACAATGAAGTCACATTATAAAAGTATTTCCTATCCAGAATTATGAAAAGATCCCCTAGACTTTGAAAATTGCATTCTTGTTGATAATATTTCTTCTAAATTAAAAAATGCTACCAAATAGAAGGGACAAAGGAATAATTTAGTCCAGAACCAGGAGTCTGGGTAACTAACTCATTGGTCTGTTGCTGTGTGTGGACATAGAGATCTTCAGAATTAACATAAGATTTATCTCAAACACTTTCATTCTTCTGTATTGACATCCAAGGATATTTCTTTACAATACTGACCTAATGTTTACCATTTGTAATTACTTCTTTCTAAGCATCTTCACTTATCAATGCCTGTTATGACATTTTTGGCAAAAACCACATTCATATAAACAAAACAACCAACTCTTACACATACAATTATCAGGCATTCAGAATAGGCCTTTCCATACAGAAATGTGGATGTAAACTGAAGCGATCCATATAACTTAAATAGAGTTCATTTTATGCAGTGAGTGCGTAGTTATCTACTTGTAAATTTGCAGGTATCATTGAGGCTCCTCCTTTTCTACTATCAATCAATTGTGACATTTCTTAAATGGGGAAGGGAGTCATTTGGTTCCACTGTCAGAGATATGCAAATAGAGGAACTCTTCCACTTTCAAACACGCTTGATCCACAGTTTTGTTTAGTAGACTGGCCCAAACAATTTAATTTGATTTTTAAAAACATCTATTGAATACCTACTGTGCATAAGACATAGTGGTTAGCTATGAGCCACCAAGGAAATTCATTTGGTGGGCCAATATGCTTACCAGTCCCACAGAGAATGAATTTGAGAACAAGAGCTACTTCTCTAATTCCCATCAGTGATTTGCACAATGAGAACAATGTTTCTGCACCGGAAACAACTTCCTGTCATAGAGATGGATGGAAACGGTACCTAAAAACTAGAATTCTGTATCTTTTTGTAATAATACATACTTTTTCAGACTGACGTATTGTGCTTAAAAAAAGATTGAAGTTTTCCTCTAGATCAACTCCTTGGATGGGAAGAAAATCAGATGTCCTATGAGTGACCACAGGTAAAGAGAAATGGGAAAACATTTAAAAACATAGCAAGTCATGAGTATTTGCAATTTGTTTGTCCTGTGTTTTAAAAGTGAAAACTCTGACATTTTGTTTCTAGTAGCCAGATTCCTAGTCTACTGAAGATGAAATCCCACAAAAAGATTAGAAAATTAAGATCTGTGCAGCTGTTTATCCCACCTAACAAATTCCAAGACAGGGAATTTAGCCATTGCAGAATGCAATAGGAGAAAAAAAAATGTGCTTTACCACCACTGACAAATCGATCTTATAAGCTTGCCCTGTCTCCTTTGAAGCCAGTGTCTAGTAATTAACCCTTCCATCTGCCAGCATCTTTTCCACACTTTGAGTCAAGAGACATTTCACATTCCTAATAGCTGTGATTTCAGTAGGCCTCCTGCTAATGATACTTTTTGTTTCCGTTCCCATTTGCTAAAATGCTTTCCTCTAATTTAGTGACCTGAGCAGGGATATTAAGAAGAGTAGAAAACAATCATTCAGAAACTCATTAAAATATCTCAGTGCGAAATGAGAGTGACACACACGAGGAGAATGAAAACAGTGTAAAGGACTAATAAAGATTTCAGAGTCATTATAGCTGCTGTCAGTCTGGCTTTACTCAATCATAGAGGGACTCTGGAAAAAGAAAAAAAAAGTCAGCGTGGTGTTTAAAAACAGTCGGAGCTACTCAAACGATATGTGAAAATAACCTTGTACCATCTTGACTATATGCTCTACCAGAAAATCATCTTTAAAAAGAAATCCATCCTCATCTTTATAAATTCAAATGCTATTTATATGAAAATTGACTTCTGTCTTCCTGGACAGCATTCTGGTGTAGGCTTACAAGTACAACATCCCTGGAGACGTCCACCTGGAGTTGTAATAAAACCAGGCTGTTTTTACTTATTGAAGAAGACTGTTTTCTCTAGTGAGATTAACCAGACAGAACCAAGAGACAGGTTTTCATAACAAAGAAACTGTTTACTTGTTTGACCTTAATTCAATCACTTACCTTATGGGTACTTCATGTTTCCATCCATAAAGGGGCATTTAACCACTAAGATTGCCGGTAAACTATTAAGAGGTAATAAATTCCTTAAAGTAAAGGCAGTCATCCTTAAGATCTCGGGTCAGCTGTCAAATCTTTGGAAAAGAATTTCCTGACTACCAGTCTTTGTCCACACCTCATCCCAGCCAACTTCTGCCCACAGCACACCTAGAGCATCCCCTCCTTTCTTTCATAGCACATAACATGGCTTACAGTTTCATATTTGACTACTGTGTCCCTCTAGTGTATACTCCATAAAGGCAGGGACTACTCTCTGTTCACTGTTATATCCCATCCACACTCCCAGCACAATGTTTGGCATATTAGTAGGTTGCCCACAAATTGTGAATTAAATGATTTTTTAAACCTTGGATTTGGAGAAAAGGATACAAGTTGAGTATCCCTTATCCAAAATGCTTGGGACCAGACATGTTTTGGATTTCAAATTTTTTCAGATTTTGGGATATTTGCATTATACTTACCAATGGAGCACCCAAATCTGAAAATCTGAAATCCAAAATGCTCCAATGAGCATTTCCTTTGAGCACCATGTCAGTGTTCAAAAAGCTTCAGATTTTAGGGCATTTCAGATTTTGGATTTTCAGATTTGGGAAGCTCAGTCTCTATTTAGATTCCTGATAAAGACACGATTGGAGAACCAGTTCTTTTCTTCTTCTTTCTTGAGTTCATACCCTGGAGAAAATGGACATTGCCCAAATCCCTTGGTCAACCCAACTCTGTTATTATGGCCTCTATGCTGAGCAGTGTCACACGGGAGGCATCTGAGCCGGCACTGCCTATTTTACATCCTTCAGGACTCACTGTTTATTTATTATTTTCCTTTCAAAAACAACCAAAGCTTATGAATTTTAATTCTAAAAAGACCTTCCTTTGCTTGTCCCAAAATGGAAAAGAGCAGCTCTAATTCGCCCATACAATTCTGTTTTCAACGCTGTATACGTCTGTCCCTCTCTTCTGTTCCCATAATAAACACACACCACATACATACATACAAACTTTTTTAAACCATGAGGATTTAATAGATGATGTGTACAAAAGGACTATGTTCTTGTAAAATTGGTAAATTTTATTTATTCAGCTACACATACGGAAGCAGACAACTCATTTCTTCGCTAATTCAAAATGAGATAGTAATATAAATGTTTTAAAATCGTGTTTACACTGGATAAAGAAAGCTATCCAGATTATCAATTGATCCTTTTCTAGTAAATGTCACCAGCTTGATATTTTTTCGTAAACCTTGAAATAGGATGATTATTTTGCTATAATCTAGAAAAAAATCATAATTTTTGTTTCTACCCAAACAACTTATCTATGGTACAGGTGTCTAATTTTTCATTTTTTCAGGTATTTTAACTTTGACAAAACCTCTTTCAGTGGCCATCTTTTAAACTGGAGACCCTGTGTTGTTGGTTATCGGTCATTGTTTATTTAATCATTAGTTCAGCCATTCTTTATTGATTATCTGCCATGTATCAAGGACAATACTAATATTCTGTGGGCTCTGAGAACCTCTTCAGGAAAATGAAGAATCCTAGAGCATCTTTACCTTTATCCATTTAATTTAGAATCTGAGTGCTTCCAAATCCTCTAGCCTAAAGCTTGCCCTTTTCCTGATATCCAAATAAAATAGGCCAAACTTCTATCTTATGAGCAGAAAATCTAGTTATTTGCCAAATCTTTCTGGGGATTATCTGGGAGGACTTACATGTCTGAGTTGATTCTTCTCTCCTCTAAATCCGAAGGGTTGCCCCCCTTCCACTCTGATCACCCCTGGATATATCTCTGCTCCTCCATGAGCTGTCTGCTCCTGCATTCCCCAAGGTGGCTGATATACTAAACAGGTTTTAGACTGTTAAGCTAATCAGCTTTACTGAAATCTGAGGCTGTCCTAAGGGAATGATAATGCAGAAGAGGAAAACAAAACTCAAAATCAATACTAACGCGCCGGATTCCAGAGTGGAATCAGCCTTCAAGCCCATCCCCAGGCCTCGGCCTGCCCCACATCACATCTGCCACCAGTCCAGGCTGAAGCGTCAATTAACTAACATCTTGGGAATACACCAAACCAAGGCAGGAAACCATCCTTTTACTTTATTATGATCCTCTTTGTCCTCATGCCTCCCCTTCATGTCTTTGCATAACCTATTGTTCTCCCAAACAGAAGCACATTCCTGCTCCTAGGATGAATTCTGACACAATTTTTAAAATGTGGGGACACTTGGAGTCAACATTTTGCTACAATAGTTACAGGTTTTTCCCTGTACACTCTGCATTTATCGGATTCTACAATAATTGTTGTTTAAACAAAGGAGTCTTCATTCTAAAAAATAATAATACAATTTGAATAACTCAGTGGGGTCACTGGAGGCTTTTAATCAGGAAAGTAACTAGAACCATGCTTAAGGAAGATTAACCTGCACCAGGGGCCTTGCCCTGAAAAAGAGTTTACTTTTGAGAAAACATAACATAGGATGCTTTTAACTTATCTTCTACTGATAGTCTCTATTCTTTCCAAAAGACTAAGAGGGCAAACTCTTAGTGGGTTTATTCGAATTACAGTATCACTTGAAGGACATATATGCAATAAACACTTAACACTAAGCAAGGTCCATTCTATTTTAGTTGAACTGCTTTGGACTAAATCAAGGATTTGTGTCTTAAACAGAATTATTGAAAAAGAAAATAGAAAATATTGGTTCCTATTTCTCTCCTACAGATTTCCTTCCAGACAGCTGCTTGTCCCTAATTAATACGGGGGAAAACTCGTTTTAGGAAATATGGTTCATTCATATGCCATAGTATTTCCTCTAAACCACTCTCCTCATTACCATGCCCAAGCACCCAATCAGAAAGCCAAAACTAAAATGATCTGAATATGTGGGCTGTATACAGTTGTCCCATGCAATTGGTTCCAGGACCCCGCATATACCGAAATCCAAGTACACTCAAGTCCCACAATCAGCCCTGCAGATCACACATATACACAAGAAATCTAGCCTCCATATCCTCAGGTTTCACATCCTATGAGTACTGTATTTTTTTTATTTTTTTATTTTTGAGACGGAGTCTCACTCTGTCCCCCAGGCGCGATCTCGGCTCACCTGCCTGCCATTCTCCTGCCTCAGCCTCCTGAGTAGCTGGGACTACAGGAGCACGCTGCCACGCCCAGCTAATTTTTTTGTATTTTTAGTAGAGACGGGGTTTCACCGTGTTAGCCAGGATGGTCTCGATCTCCTGAGCTCGTGATCTGCCCGCCTCGGCCTCCCAAAGTGCTGGGATTACAGGCGTGAGCCACCGCTCCCGGCCTGAATACCGTATTTTTGATCCACCTTTGGTTGAAAAAAATCTGCATGTTAGTGGACCCGTGTAGTTCAAACCCAGGTTGTTCAAGGGTCAGCAGTACACTCAATGTAAACCACTGGATGACTGGTGATGTTTCACCTTGCTTCTGTATGCTTTAAGACCTTGCAAATACCAAATCCAAAATCTGAATTCCACAACGAGATCGAAACCTAACTGTTCTTATTGGTCCTGCTAAGCTGCCTCAATTTTCTGGGGCTGACAAAAGACCAAGGAATGAAGATTAAAAAGTTCAGTAATTTGTATTACATTGTCATCATTATCTGTCAGTTCTACCTCCATCCTCTGTTGGCCAGCTATATATCACTGATATTTATTCTCCTTAAAGAGAAAGTTAATGTTTTTTTAAATATGAAAAACACACATGGTAATTTTATAATTTTACAACTACAAAATTATAAGTTTATAATTTTACAACTACAAAATTATAATTTTATAATTTTACTACTACAAAATTATAATTTTATAATTTTACAACTACAAAATTATAATTTTATAATTTTACAACTACAAAATTATAATTTTATAATTTTACAACTACAAAATTATAATTTTATAATTTTACAACTACAAAATTATAATTTTATAATTTTACAACTATAAAATTATAATTTTATAAAAGTGGAAAATATAAGAACATTAAAAAATAATAAAAATCATCCATGATCCCACACCCCAGAGATAATCATGGTTATAATTTAGTATATTTCCTTCCTATCTTTAAATGTGTATGTGTGTATGTGATTATGTATACCAGAGTCTAACACTAGTAACCCATTGACGTTGTAATTTAAATTTCCTTGACTGCCAGTTTTCCTATTTTAAAGTCTTGATCTTTCCCCAACTCATAACCATCCCATTGAGAAGAAACTCTATTAAGATTCACAAAAGTCTTCAGAGTCCAAGTCTAGCCTGAGCCTAAGTGGTATCTTCCCATAGACATCCCTAGGACACTGATGGATGGCCCAGCAGGAGCCTGAGAGGAAAACTCATCCCAAGATGTCAGACGCAGAGACATGATTCAATAGCAGAGCCCCGGGCTCTAGGGGGAGATGTCATTCTGACTCATCCTAGTGTCTGCGGCTCAGATTTGCCTTCTTGTTCATTTCTCATAGATTTGTGCTCTGCATCCTAGGAAGCAAATAGGCCCACAAATTAAAAGCAAATAAAAGTAATGTTCACCAAAATTTCTATCAGGCATTGGGTAAAAAGTAGCTCTGCTTTGCGACTCCTGTGAGAAATTTAGCAGAAAAGCTACAAAATCGACTTCTGGACAGAATCCAGTGTAGCTTTGATACATTGAGGCCCGGAAAACACTCCTACACCTTGGCACATGGGGGCCTCCTATGCACCTTACTGGAGTCAGCTCAAGGTAATGACAGCTCAAATGAGGGCATTGCAGGGTAGTAGCTATTCACTAAAGGCAGTTTTAAAAACAGTGAAGACTCTTGTCAACAGTTTCCAGACTAGGAGAAGAAGCACCGCATAGCTTGTAACTAAATGTGAGATAAACAGGGCTGGGTTGGTGGGGACAGTGGGGTGAGGGACAGAGAGGGTGTTAGCAGTGGATATGGGTAAGAGAGATTCTGCCAATAGAAGTCTTACATTAACAAGTGGAAAGAAGAAACACGGACTACATTCACAAGAGGGAAAAGCCCTTGGCCAGGGGAAGCCCCTTCTAGAAATTTGCTCACTTCATACCAGTTACATAAAACTTTATTCCCGACAACCCACAAATATGCTTTGTTTGCCTTCAGTAGATACAGAAATGGTTACAGAATTCTCTCTGTAATTATTATGTATTATGTATGATGAATGAATGGTCTTTAATCGCTATTAAATAAATCCAATGCCTTTTGCCTTTGCTGAAGCCAACCGCAAAGCTATTTCCTCTGGAATGAATTTAAACATTCCTCCCCCTGGCATCTGGCCACTGAGGGGCACCAGGTCAGAGTCAGAGTGAGGCTTCCTTTCATCCCACCCACTAGGGAGTTTATTGTTACATCCTGTAAAGACAGAGAGAGAATAGAACAGAATATATCTAAAATAAACCCATGTGCAATTTCTCTTTTTAAAAGAAAACTACTACTTGCTTCAACTCTGTGCAAATAAGAAGACAGAGGAGGGCCAATGTTCTTTCAGTCATTTGAGTCATCCGTGAATTAAATGGTAAGTTAGGAGAATATATTAAATGACAAGCATCATGAATTGAACATTTGTACAATGACTGCATCCACAGGGTATACTTGTCTCACCACAGACACTTTTAGTTGAACTTCTCTGAAAGATAATGTTAATTCAGGCCAAGTGTGGTAGCTCACACCTGTGACCCCAGTGCTACGGGAGGACAAGACGGAAGTATCATTTAAGGCCAGGAGTTTGCACCAGCCTGGGCAGTATAGTGAGACCTTGTCTCTACAAAAAAATTTAAAAATTATCTGGACTTGGTGACATAGACCTATAGTCCTAGCTACTCCAGAGGCTAAGCCTCAAGGATCACTTGAGCCCAGGAGTTCGAGGCTGCAGTGAGCTATGATTGCACCACTGCCCTCCAGCCTGCGTAACAGAGTGAGACTCCATCTCTAAAAAAAAATTTTAGCACAGTGGCTCACGCCTGTTATCCCAGAACTTTGGGAGGCCAAGGTGGACGGATCACGAGGTCAGGAGATTGAGACCATCCTGGCTAACATGGTGAAACTCCGTCTCTACTAAAAATACAAAAAATTAGCTGGGCATGGTGGCGAGCACCTGTAGTCCCAGCTACGGAGGAGGCTGAGGCAGGAGAATGGCATGAACTAGGAGGCGGAGCTTGCAGTGAGCCGAGATCGTCCCACTGCACTCCAGCCTGGGCAATAGAGCAAGACTCTGTCTCAAAAAAAAAAAAAAAAATTAATTTAAAAAATAATAATGTAAATTCACTCTTAATCATTGAAAAAAGTATTTGATGAGTCAACCAACCTGCCTAAGATAGAATAATCATGATGATGAAGGAGGAGGAGGAGGAAACACTTACTCTGTACCAGGCAATTTTCTAAAATTTGCTTTAACTTATTTAATCCTTACAACAACCCAAGGAAATAAGTTCTATTATTACTTGCATTTTACAGATAAGAAAAATAAGACATGGAGAGGTCTAAAAAAATTGTCAGGGTATTGCAGTAAGTTGAGGAGCCAGATTTCAAACACGGAAATCCAATGTTAAGGTTAGCAACATGCCAACATTTCGAACAAAAATAAAAAGTTTAATCTACTACATTGGCATTGTTGGTTTTTCAGAACTCTGAAGTTGTTTCAGTTGACTGAATTGTTTTCTTTTCACATAAACAACTTTGTTATAATGAACAAAGTCATTACCTAAGAGGCAACACATAAAAACTCAACAGATTTTGCAAATTGACTCATTTTTCATTTCCTTATCACTGAAGTTCAGCTAAATAATGGAAAGTTTAAGATTCAATCATTTGTATTTTGCATAACACAGCTCAGTATTTATTGTAATAAGATTCATGTTGTGAAAAAACCCATTTTCCAGAATAAGAAAATAAAAGATAAAGGTTTGAATTGGACACATAATAAGTCAGTGGGGAAAAAAAATCCATTTTTTATTTCAGAATTATTAATAAATCTCCGTAAGGCAAGGGATCATGTTTCACCTTCCTTCTTGTTTCTTGTTAGCACTTGTAGGTCTTTCAGGAAAGGGTCTGTGTTTTTAAGCAGCCGTGCTGTTCACAAGCACACCATCATCCCCACAGCAGCTCACCGGCCCTTTTGGTTTCCACCCTCCCTACTCTCCACTCTTTCTAGACCTACTTTTCTATGGCCAGGTCTCTAGAACACAATTTCCTTTTCTATAAGCAAAAAAGTAATTAAAATATCCAATGTCTTTTACTGTCTTTCAATAAGTGTTAGTAGATAACAATGACCATCAATTATATTATTAAAATGGATTTAATTTATCCAACAAAGCACAGTGCACGACAAAAGTCACTCTATTCAGAGGACTTGCCAATGGTAATAGGAATGGCCCCAAAGTACAACCAACTGTGATTTTTTTTAAGGGCAGAAGTCATGCCTTTTATTGTTGTTCTTAGTATCTGTGAATTGCTTTTCCAGATATCTATAAATCTTGCATTTTCAAGAATGTTGGTTGGATTTAATTGACTTGAAATGTGAATACCAAAGCTAATAAACTGTTAAAGTTCTTCAAGCTACAAAACTTGACTCATTACTAGATATGCTGTGTTATGACTACTACTTCTGGAGAAACTTGCTATTTGTTACTAAAAAGACAGACAAACGGGGGTGGGATGGGGAGGGAGAGAAAGAAAGAGAGCGAAGGAGGATACAGTGGGATGGTTGCGGAATCCCAGACAGGTGACAAACACAAAAAGAGGCTGCAGCAGAACACAGAAAATAATAACATGGGGACATGCATGGACACTGGAGGAGGTACCTCCAAAAATAAGCCAAAGAATAGAGAGTATAAGATTCAATCATTTGCATTTTGTATAACATAGCTTGGTATTTATTGGAACAAGATTCATGTTGTGAAAAACCCCATTTTTTCACACTACATTGGCATTGTTGATTTCTTATAATTGTTTGTCAAGTTGTTTCAGTTGACTGAATTGTTTTCTTTTCACGTAAGCAACTTTGTCATAATGAAAGAAGTCATTACCTAAAGGGCAAAAGATAATGACTCTATGCCAGATATGACTCTTTTACATTCCTGTTCAGGTTTAAATCCTAGGCTGAAGAAGGTGTAATTATTGGCTATGTCCACAATATCTCAACACTGTCCTCTCGTTTATGCTCTGCTCCCAGTTTATATCTCTATTTGATCTTATCAGGTAAACTTTAAGAGTAGGGTTTAAAATTTCCAGTTTAATCCATTTTCATTAAGATACATACCCATAGAGCAGGTTTCTCAAGAAAGCATCTATTCATTGCTTACGTAAGCAACACAATGAGTGCGCATCTTAAAACAGAATAATAAAGCAGTTTGGAGCAAGGAGCAGTGCATGTTTGTTAATGTGGATTTGACTCATAAACATAAAACCCATCAGCAGCAAAATGTTACATTCATCTTAGTGCTGGAACTACGTAGCTCTTTGATGTACTCCAAATTGCTCCTCGCCAGTGTTTGATGGAAGTTTATTAGCTCTATAGACTGCTAAAACTATCTTTATATAAACAAAATCTTAGAGCATGCTTCTATGGCATGATTTCCAGGGCTTAGAAGTTCTTGAAATTCTTTATTGCCTCCTGTATTTTCTTCCCCTATCTGGCACATTGCATAAAAACATATAACTGATACAAATGAGGATGAGTTATTGTAAGATATGGATTTTGTTTTCCTCTCTTTTCTTAAATTAAACATTTCTTCCTCCCTTATTATGACGTTTTTTATTGTGAAATATGTCATGAATAAAGAGTGTATATAATATTTATACGTAGATGAACAGTTGCAAAAATATATGACACGTACCCATGTGCTTTAGCTTTCTTCTTCTCTTAATGAAATTTTTTAAACTTCTTTTGGACTACTTAGAAAACAAAAATGAAAACATTAAGTCCAAAGGAAAAAAATACATTTTAAAACCTCCCAAGAAATAAATTAAGAAAAATACACAGGGTTAGCCTGAGTGCTATAGTATTTACAATGAATTGATCACAACCAGTTACAGATTTCTTTGCCACATCTTCACTCCCACTGCTTCACTTGACTAGCCTTAAAAAAAAGAAAAAATACATGAGACTAGAGAAAGTTTTTGTTTTAAGTTGAAAAAGAATTAAAACACCAATTTCCTGTTTTGACTTTTACTCCCTTTTTTTAAAAAAAAGTTCTCTCTTCTTTAACCTCCCCATTTTTTCTATTTCCCCTTTCCCTGAACTTCAATTGTCATTAGACAATTAATAAACAAGCTACAAAGCAGATAGTTCTCCAAAGAATGGTTCAGATAGCTGCTAACATGAGATTGGACCAATGATTCCAAGAAAAAGGTATGAAAGTATGAAACTGTTCCCAACCATTCCAACCTCACATCTTACGGAAGTTTCTACCAAGTAAAGCCAGACAGCCTCTGACTTACACGATGGTTTGACTTGGTTTTTCCAACTTTACAATGGTTCAAAAGCAATAGGCATACAGCGGAGACCATACTTCAAGTACCCCTACAACCATTCTGTTTTCCACTTTTGGTACAGTATTCAATGAAGCACATGTGTCAATGGAGAAAAATGATGAGACACGTCTCAATCATTTTAGAAGGTTTATTTGTCAAAGTTAAGGACGTGCGCCCGTGACACAGCCTCAGGAAGTCCTGACAACATGTGCCCAAAGTAGTCAGGCCACAGCCTGGTTTTCTACATTTTAGGTAGACATGAGACATCAGTCAATTTAGGTAAGAAGTACATTGGTTCTGTCCAGAAAAGTGGGGACCACTCAAAGCAGAGAGGGGGCTTCCAGGTCACAGGTAGGTGAGAGACAAAATGGTTGCATTGTTTTGAGTTTCTGATAAGCCTTTCCAAAGGAGGCAATCAGAATATGCATCTATCTCAGTGAGCAGAGGGATGACTTTGAATAGAATGAGAGACAGATTTGCCCTGAGCAATTCCCAGCTTGAAGCGGCCCAAGATATTTTCCTTTCACACATGAGATATCCAACACTCTTATAAAATAGGCTTTGTGTTAGATGATTTTGCCCAACTGCAGGCTAATAAAATTGTTCCGAGTATGTTTAAGTTAGGCTAAGCTAAGCTTTGATATGCAGTAGGCTGGATTAATCCACTTTCAACTCAGAATGTTTTTAATGTATGATGGGTTTTCCAGGACATAACTCCATAATAAGTTGAGGAACATCTGTATACCCTGAGACAAGACCATCATCACAATCCCATCCTCTTTCCTTACCTGTACAGACTCCAACCCTGCTTCTGCTGAGGAAGTTATCTAACCTTGAGGTGCTCCCTCATGCACATAAGCTGAATAAAGCCCTTCACTGCTATTTAAGTTGCTTGAACTATTTCTGCCTTGAGTGTTTCCTTGGTGTTAATGTTCAAACATCCATGTTTCACCACATCATCTTTACTCCCACACAGAAGTGTGCTCTGCTTTCATTCAAAGATAGGACTGCACTCACAGACAGGCTCTACACCCAAGATGGAGACTTCCTCACCAATCTCCAGACTTTGCCAATAGAGGGTAGTGGAGTGGTTAGATGAAAGAATATTCGGTCATCCCCAAAACTGTTGCCCACTGTGTCTGGCATCATTGGAATTTTCTCAGCTTCATTTTTGGAAACATCCTACCCTGAATCCTTCCATTCACTCCTTCAAAGGACTTTTTCTTCTGCACATCTCTCTGCCAACCAGAAACAGAAGCAACCACCACACAAGAGCGCTGTGGGGGATGAGGGACTGACTGCCTCCCCACTGTGGAGCCAATCCAGTCCCAGGTGAGCATCAGGTGACCAATAATGGTGCCTCACGCCCCCTGCAGATGAGCAGAGTCAGCAGATGCATGTGGTTTCCTGCATGCTCCAAAAGTATCTAACCAAATTCCTACATTTTACAGTTGAGCACGCTGAAGCCCAGAAAGCTAAACTGACCTGTCCAAGGTCACAGAATTAATTAGTATAAAGGCTGAAATTAGAATCTGATTTCATCCCAGACATTGACACTGAGTATTGATTAATATAACAACAACAACAATAATAATAGTTAATGTTTGTTGAGTACTTCCTATGTGCCAGGAACTATTCTAAAAACTTACATGTATTAATTCCTTCAACCCTTACTGCAATCTTCTGAGACAGGGATAATTATTACTTCTATTTCACAGATGAGGAAACTGCAACTCAGAGTAATTACAGAATAGCCAGTGAGTGGTCGAGGCAGGATCTGATTCTAGGAAGTTATCTTTCATAAGACCTAGACCTTATGAACCACTCACATTTTTGCTGCACTATGGTAAAATGAAAAAAAGAATAAGGAGAGTGCAATGCATTTTTCTTAAAGATAGACTTTTTCTATTTTAAATACTATCCTTAATTATACTCTGTACTTCCTATTTTAGAATATTAAAAATGCCATTTCTTTTATGAAAAAATATTGAGAGTACACAGTAGCTGGTGTTTTGTACATTTTGTTGTTTAATAAAAATATATTTTGGAAGCTGTTTTTGATGTAAAATTGCAGAATCTGGAAAACCTTTCCTTATATTATGTGTGTGCTGTAGGAATCCTGGGAGAATGTGCAGCAGCTCTCCCGCATCCCCTGCAGGGACTAGTCCCCTGAGAAATAAGGGGCAGGAAAAGGAACCAATTAATATTAATTATGTACCCTGTTCAGTTAGGATTATTTTCATTGCAGGCAAATGACTTCAGTAAAAGTGAATAGATAGATTAATATAACTGAAACATCTCTTGGCTTTGCACTGTACCATATATTGGCTCAATTCTGAGGTTCCCAAGTACAAAATGGCTACCCACAGCTTCAGCCCTTCCCTATGTTCATGTTCAGAGGGGAAAGGGTATCTCTCCCTAGTAGCTTCCACATAGGATTGTACTTTGATTGGATCAACTTAGTCATATGTCCACCCCTAAAGGAGTCACTATGCCTAGGTAATAGATTTATGGCACTTAGCCAGTGAGTTATACACTCTTGAAGCTAGTCATAGAATCAGCTCCAACAGTAGCTGTTCATCTGACAGAAGGGGGAGGATGGTTCTCAAAAGGGAAAATTAGACACTGTTGCCAAAAGAAGAAAGAATGGTGGGCAACCCAACAAATGTTTACTACTCACCGAACATATGTCATTCACTGGGTTGAGAACTACTTACTCAAAACTCTACCATTAAACTGAAGATAAAATAAGCCACTCCTGTGTATTTCAATTACCACTTCATGCAGGAGCTCAGTCACCACCCTTTAAAGCCAACTTCCACCGAGAAGTGTAGCTCTTGAAACCGTTGATTCCTGCCTGTCTCCCACTCCACCAAAAATTAAGAATTCCTTAAATATCTGTCCCTTCTGTCTCCACCACAGTTGAAGGAGCTAAGATTAGAGACAGTGACTATGTCTCACCTCTAGGTTAAAAAGAAAACAACATCTAGAACAACAACTCTAGAGGGTTGTTAATCAAATAAGAGAATAATGTTTCTTCTAAATTTGATTTCAGTTCTCCAGTGTTAAATACCTGGTATCCACACCTCACAGAATACGTCTGTTAGCCTTAAGAATTAAATGTATCTAATTAATTTATCTAATTAAATTTAAAATGCCTAAGAGTGCATTTTAAAAGATGAATTTTATCACTGATACACACAAAAACAGATTTCTATAGCAAGCACAGGCATCACAATTACCCCACAACAGTTCCAGAAAACTATTCTCTGAAACAATAAATCTATCCAATCAAAATTAAGTGTTCAGAGTTGTAAACAGTATTCAATGCTTCACTCAAAATTTAAAACAAGACCATCATTTGCAGCTCCAGACATCTCTAGGCATCCAGACTTTGGCTATAAATAAGATTGCTTTAATAAAATATAAAATCATGACTTAATTTAATATGAAAGGGATCCAAGATCATTAATCTCTATATTTACTCAATGTTAAAAACAATTTCCATTCTTTTCCAAGAAAAATGCTCACATAGGGAGAAAAATAATAGTCATAAAATAAAAATAATTTGAGGCTTTGCACACTAGTTGTAGTGAATCTTGGCAGTCACCTAATATCATGTAAGATAGCTCATGACCTTACATCGACAAAATTCCACCTGGAGAGTTTCCTAGAGATGTTCCCCAACTTAGCCCTCAGTCCACTCCCCATTTCCTGATGAATTCAGAGAGCAGCCTTGGCTCCACTTTTTTCTCCTTTTCACTCCTGCCTAGTCCCTCTAAGCATAGATAGCAATTGTGCATGCTGGACTCTTTAGTTCCAGTCCTGGTGCTTCTCCTAGCACACATCATGAGGCTTCAGGGTAAGTAAATTCACAACATCTTTCCAATTCACATTCACTCATGGTTTGAAAAAAGGAGTCCTCACTTGATAAGGTTTGGCTGTGTCCCCACCCAAATCTCATCTTGAATTGTAGCTCCCATAATTCTCGTGTGTCGTGGGAGGGACCCAGTGAGACGTAATTGAATCATGGGGGTGGGTCTTTCCCGTGCTGTTCTCGTGATAGCAAATAAGTCTCATGAGATCTGATGGTTTTATAAAGGGTAGTTTCCTTACACAAGCTCTCTCATTCTCTCTTGTCTGCTGCCATGTAAGACATGCCTTTCACCTTTCACCATGATGGTGAGACCTCCCCAGCCATGTGGAACTGTGAGTCCATTAAACCTCTTTTTCTTTATAAATTGCCCAGTCTCGGATATGTCTTTATCAGCAGCATGAAAATGGACTAATACATCACTTAAGCCCAGATAAACTAATGGGGGAATCTGCTAAAAAATAATTGAGAAGAGATTACACATTTCTGGGGAGAGAGCATATTCCAAGAGAATAAGAGGCCACCAGCCCAGCAATCTTCATCTAGGCAGAAGAAAGAAGAAGAAGAAGAAAGAAGGAGAAGTTGTCATCATAGCCACAGCAATCTTCATCCAGGAAGAAGAAAGAAGAAGAAGAAGTTGTAATCATCCTTGCTCTTGGAGGGGTCCTGTGCATGGGCAGGAGTGGCCATGCCTGCCAGGAGACAGCAGATGTGACTGCAGTCCCATCAATGCCCTGGCACAGAGTGAGGTGTGGTGTCCAGTGGATCTTCAAAGCACCTCAAGGCAAGGGGGCTGGAGCAGGGTAAAAGGATGGAATGGCAAGAACCATATGGCCAATATGGCCAGAACCTTTATCAGATCCTTGTTTTTCAGTGTCTGGAGACTCTCCAAAATACCTGTATAAGAAGGAAAAAGTGCAAGGGCAGTGATTTTATATTGGGTACTAGCAAAACCGGAATTGGACATGAAATGAGGGTATTGGATGACCTCTGAATGCCTTCCAGCTCTGACTTTGAATAATTATATGATTCTAACTAGCTAATGGTGGGGAAAAGAAATGTTCTCCCCCACCCCACCCCTTTCTCCCAAATCTCTTTGGCTTCAATCCTCATCAAGAGTAAGTTAAATCTCCAGAAGACAGGAACAAAAGCAGCCACTGCTGAATAGGATACTCCTCCCTCCTCCTTGTGATGATCCTCGTGCCCCTCCTGCCCATTCCTCCCCTCTTATACAGAGATCTTTTCCCCAGACTCCTTCCTCCCTGACCCCTCACCTCCCACATCTTCCCTGGGCATCCCTATAGAGCATAAGATTCCAAGAAAAGGCTCCAACCTCCTTTCGAGCCTCCAAATCTCACTCCAGCTAATTTCATTGAAAAGCAGATATAGTAGTGCTTCTGATCTTCCTTTGTCCTGGTCCCTGAAAGCACCACATTCAGGTTCAACATTACTGAATGTTTCAACATTTCAAATGTAGACAGTTAATGGAGGAGTTTCAACTCCATGAGGTTATTAACATGAAACTGTTATTCCTTTAAATCCTTCTTTTATTCATGTTCTGTCACATAACCCTGTCCTACTCCCTAGCAATGACCTCTTGGCACAATCCATAGCTTACCAGACACTTTTTATTACTAATATGACTCCTAATAAAATATCATAGCTGATTGATTAAAAAAATGTTCATCTTCTCTTCTTCAAAATAGCTAGAAACATGATCATAGGTTCTTGGAGTGAAGAGTGAACACAGTGTGGCTCAGAAGCAAATCCTCCCCTCTCTATTTTCAAAGTCTGGATCTTCCAGCCCCTCATGGGCAGGGGGAGAAATAAGTAAATGCAGAGATCATGCCAATGAGGGCAGATGTCCTGGCATCCCTCTGTTGCAGACTCTTTCCCTTTGATGATAAGACACTGTGCATGGTTTTTGTAAGGGCAATGATACATTTTTACCATGCCCCCTACCCAGTCCTGAGGACCCTCAGAACAAGGAATATCCCCTACACCTTACCTATTCCCATCTACAGCACTGGCCTTAAGCCCTTTCTCTGGATTAGGCGGCCTCTTGCTTTATCCCAGTGAGCCCTCTTCCTCTGTCCCTCCCCTCATCTCGGTGTGTTTTCCTCTGTGCCCTCAAAAGGTCACAGGAGACTAGGGTAAGTGTGGCCACATCCTGTTCTTCAGTACCTAACACTATGGCACCCTTCTTACTCTGCTGGTGACAGCTATTACAACAAGCTTCTCTGCTCAGAAATCTCCAGACTGGTAGCACACGAAGCACATCTCAGGCTCTCCTAAAACTTTCTTGCCCTGATCTGTACCACTCCAAAGTCAGTAGAGAGTGAGGCTGCAGGTTCTAGAGCTTAGTACACACCTGTCATAAAGAAGATACAAGTCTCTCCTTCTCATAGATACCCCAACCTCTATGACTGATTTCCCATTGGAAGCCCTTCACTTGGCTTCTTAGGGAGGAGAGCAGCCCACCCATGGGGAAGAAAAGGAAAACCTTCCTGTCTGCACTCTAATAACACCCTCCATCCTGATTCCTCTTGCAGGGAGGGGTGGGACAGGGAATTATGGTAAGGGGAAGGTTTAACCTCCACTTAGTAAATAAATCTGGAATTCCCCAATGGTGGTGACTCTTTGGTAACTATCTTTAGGATATGGGGTCTTAGCTTTTCTTATCCTCCTCAGCTTTATGTCTTTGCTAGAATTCTTGCACTAAAGGACAAAATCATTCTGAATATCCTGTTACAAAATTCAGGAATTAGTAAGAGTTAGTAACTGTATTTTTTTAAAAAAACGTACAAACAAACAAACAAACAAAAACCCTCTAGCATGGTACCTGTACTCTCCACATAGTCAAACAGTCACATCCCAACCCTCTACCTCTAAGAACCTTCCCACTTAAGGGTAAGCCTCATCCATAACCAATTGGCAGAATTACAGTGAGACTTCCAACCATAAGGGAAGGAGATTTATCATCATTGGCTTGCCATCATTGGCTTGTAAGCCAATGTAACAATACTTTTTTGTATAATAGTTTAAACATCAAGAGACAGTAAGAACATATACCCAAACAGTAGCATGACTCATACCCTCACCCCTTACTATTTTGTTATTAATAATGTCATCTCATCCATTGGGAAGTTGAGACCCATAAACTCCAAAATCGCACAGAATAGAGTCAAAATCATCATTGGAGACTTAAAATAACTTCAAGCTACTCCATAGCTCAGTAAAGAACAATGTGTTTTTATTCCTAAATGAAAGTCTTAAACTACCTTCTCAATGACATTTCTTGCTAATAATAAAGGTTATTGAAAGAAATCTGATCTTGGTCTATAAGCCAGAAAGAAATTTCATGTTAATGATAAGCCTGATACATTCTGGGCATGAGTGTAAATGACCATTTGTTAAGTTACAGTTCATTACACAGGGTATGGCACTCTTCCCTGGAATGTTCTTTCATTTTAAATACATCATCTTTGGGAATTTTATATTCTGGCATAATTGTGGCACGTAGAAAAGTGTGTGAGCATCTAAAATATTTCAAGCACCAAGTCAGTTACAAACACAAAATAGGCCTCTTGTTTATCTAAAAATAAACATAAAAGATCAGAACCTTTTGTTTGTCTATAGCAAATAATTTTCTTAGCTTTTCTGACACACTTGTAGCCATCCTGTTGAAAATCTGCAATTAGAACATGATTCATTTGCCCATGACTATAATGTGAGAGCCCCTATTTGTCTTTTTCTTAGAGGCTTCCTATGGTGATGGAAAAATGCAACATCCAAATTAGACTATAAACCCACCCCCTCAGAGGATGCTTTTAGAAGCCTAGATTTTTTTACTTCAACTTGTACACTAATGAAGGCAGTTACCAGTAAGAGTTCCAGGCCCACAACACAGAAAAGCTAGCTAAATGCCAGGTCACTCCCTAAGCTGCAGCACACAAGTAGCCAACAAATATTTCACCAACTTGTGTTGCTGTTGTTGTTGTTGGTGGTGGTGGTGGTGGTGGTGGTGGTGGTGTTATTTGTCCTGGGCTACAACATTGGCCAAGTTTGGTGCACACCAACCATCCGTAGAAGCCAGAGGTTCTCAATCTAGGAAACACATGAGAATCATCTGGTGTGTTGTTCCATTTTCATGCTGCTGATAAAGACTTACCCAAGACTGGGAAGAAAAATAGGTTTAATAGACTCACAGTTCCACATGGCTAGGGAGGCTTCATAATCATGGCAGAAGGTGAAAGGCACTTGATACATGGCAGGCAGTAAGACAGAATAAGAACCAAGATAAAGGGGTTTCCCCTTATAAAACCATCAGATCTCATGAAGTGACATTTATTCAGTACCGCAAGAACAGTATGGAGGAAACCACCCCCATGATTCAATTATCTCCCACCAAGTCCCTCCTATAACACATGGGGATTATGGGAGCTACAATTCAAGACAAGATTTGGGTGGGGAAACAACCAAACCATATCACCTGGGAACTTTGAAAATCCTGATATCCAAGCCAGGTAATTCAGAATCTCTGAGAGAGAGACCCAAGTATCAGTATTCATTACAGACCCCAGAGCATGTCAGTGTGCACCCTGGATTGGGAACCACTGCTGTAAAACAACCATGCTGAATGTGTGCAGAGAAATGGGATACAAAAGCAAAAAGATGTTGACTACTAAAGTGTAGACAGTTCAAAATTGTAATCAAATATAATTTGCAATAGTCTTTCTTCCTCTTTCTACAACCATAAACAGTAGCACTGAGTATCTGAAGGAAATGAGTATACAGAAATAAGGTTGGTGATATGGTTTGGCTATGTCCCCACTCAAATCTGATCTTGAATTGCAGCTCCCACAATTCCCACATGTCATGGGAGAACCCAGTGGGAGGCAATTGAATCATGGGGTCAGGTCTTTCTCGTGCTGTCCTCCTGATAGTGAATAAGTCTCATAAGATTCGATGGTTTTATGAAGGGGAATTTCCCTGCACAAGCTCTCTTTTTGTCCACCACCATATAAGAAGTCCCTTTGCTCTTTCTTTGGCTTTCGCCATGATTTTGAGGCCTCCCCAACCAGGTGGAACTGTGAGTCCATTAACCTTCTTTCCATTATAAATTATCCAGTCTCAGGTATGTCTTTATTAGCAGCGTGAGAACAGACTAATCCAGCTGGAAAAGAAGATTGGACCCTAAAATGAAGCACAGTGAATACTGGAGTAGAATTACAGACTTCACCCTTTAGGCACCAGGGAATCATTGAAGGTTTGGGTGCAGTGAGGTGATGAGATTAAGAGGATATTTTAAGAAGACCAATCTGCCAACAATAATAGGATGAATCGGAGAAGAAGAAAAAAGAGTCAAGGAAACCAGTTAAGAGGCAATTGGGGTGGTCCAGAATTGAAGGGTGCAGGAGCCTGAGTATCAATACCAGCAGTGGAAATGGAAAACAACTGCAACCCTTAACTAGTTATTGAGGAAATAAAAGGAGAGGATTGAAAGTGGAGGTTTGAAGCCAAGTCGGAATGAAACAGAGACGTCAGGAAGAGAAAGAATTCAAAAATAAGAGAAAAAAATTGACATGTGTAGTCTAGGAAAAAGGTTTACTAGGTAGCCAAAAATATGAGCCTGAGGCTCAGAAGAGAAGACAAGGTGAACCAATATCAGATTTTTCTTCTTCTCAAAGTTCAAGGAGAATTTAGAAACAGGTCATCAGTCACCGGACTCAGATTTTAAAGGTAAGAGTTACATCTTAGTCATCTTGTTTATTGTCAGCACCTGGCAAAGTTCCTGATACATAATAGATGTGCAATAAAGGAATGAACATCTATTATGTATCATTTATCTATCAATAAATGAACATCTATTATGTATCATTTATCTATCAATGAATGAACATCTATTATGTATCATTTATCTACCAATGAATGAACATCTATTATGTATCATTTATCTATCAATGAATGAACATCTATTATGTATCATTTATCTATCAATAAATGAACATCTATTATGTATAATTTATCTATCAATGAATGAACATCTATTATGTATCATTTATCTATCAATAAATGAACATCTATTATGTATCAGCTTAACATCTATTGCTTGTAAAGCTGAACTGAAGTATATTAAAAGGAAACAGTTGGAGACTCTGCAAATAATTTCTGCCAAAGTCATAGTTTTGGCTAAGATCTTCCCTGTTTGCCCAATGGTATGAAGACAAATAGAAAGAGGCATGTGAATACACTGAACACCCTGCATTAGAGACAAGTGGGAACCACAGGCAAGCTGTGCAAGCTGATGCAGAGCCTGGCAGAGAGGAGGGAGGGGCCAGCCACCCAGGTGTCCTGGAGGTGCAGCCCATGAGGAAGAACCAACTGTGATCCAGTAGTTGATACTTCCCAGGACTTGATTCCTAAGGAGCTGGTGGGGAATCTCTATAGATAGAATGAATTAGAATAAATTCAGAATAGAAAATTAAGTTTTGAATAGAACTCCAAGTACGTCCAACTTAGAAGAATCATTGAGAGTGAAAAAGCTATTACATTATTACTTTTCATTACTACATAGTAAAAAGGCTAAATATTTGATAACTCTAGGACAAATGGCCCCTAATCTATTAACATCATTCATTGTTCAGAAACGAAAGGAACATTACTTTGTACGACAGTACCACTATTATTCAAATGTATGGGGGTGCTGCTATAATAAGGAATGAAACGTTTACACTAAAAAGTAGTACTCATACTAATATATTTAGAAGCCTATAGTTTATGGCTTTTAACAACATCCAATTCATTATTTTTTCTAAAGTGTATTAATTGTGAATAATTTCAAAAGTACTGTAAAATTATTTTTAATACTATCAAGATTAAATAAAGATATTACATTCAATCCTTTAATATTTAAAGAAATTAATTTATGAAATTATATTAATTTATGTTAATTGTATTGTTATTAACTTATTAAATTTAAATAATTAAATGTAAAGATTTTATAATATTGTTCAAAAATCACATTCTGTCTTCTTTAAAGGGTAAGTTTTTTTACCCACTCTTTATTCTTCCCTCCTTTTCCTGGAAATTGATATTTCAATGTTTATATTTAATATTTTACATATATATATTCAAAACCACCATATATTGTTTTCTGTGGGGCTTCTAATGCTTAAATAAATGATATTATACTATATGGATCTAAATTGCTTTTTGTACTCAGTATTATGTTTTTAAGAGCTAGTCATTCAATTTCACTATTGTATAGTACTTCATTGTTTGAATAACTAGAGTTTATTAGTCCATTTTTTAATCTAGTGTTACTTAGGTTGTTTTCTTCTAACTTTTTTTCTATTGCAAACAGCATTGCAGTGAAGTTCCTTGCACATCTTCTTGTGCATATTTGAAAATCTAAAGACTGAGATGATAGACGTGAGAGTATGCACATTTAACAGAGTATTAAAATAGAAGTTTTGCCTGAGATCCTAAGATGATAGATAACAGTTATCAAAGTAAGATGCCAGACCAAGAAAAAATATCATGGTACTAAAAAGTAGTTTCACTACTCTTACACCCTCTACCCATATTGAATATTAAAAAGGGTCAGACTGTTGAAAATGAAGGAGAGAGAATTTGCAGTAAGAATTTCTTGTAGAGAACCATGCTGTAAGTCTCATCTGGTCCCTGATTCCTATCAAGGAGAGAGTAGGATAGGGAGCTACTTACTTCTCACATAAAGCCAATAAGTGGATCTTGAAAGGCTTAATTTGTGACTTGCAGTGTGCAGGACAGAGAGGGCTGGGGCCAAGTACCACCTACATAATATAAACAGCTTGCTCCTGCATTAACCTGTTCTAACCATGGGCCACTGCTGGCTAAATGCCCAATGGTTCGCAAGAGAGAGAATATTATGGGCCCATGATGAGCCTTCATTCCCTGAGGAGGTCGGCCACCCACCTGGCGGTGGGTTAGTTACATAACATCTCTCACACCTGGGTGGCGGGTTCGTTACATAACATCTCTCACACCTGGGTGGTGGGTGGAAGGGGGCAGCAATGAGTTCACTGGAATTGAGACACATTCTACATCTGTGCACGCCCTCCTTGACCACAGTGCCTCTGTCAGCACTGCCATCTGAGAGTTCACACGCATCTTCTCTATCAATATGGCAGCCTACAGGACCTCACCACAGAACAAGGGATTCATATGACAGCAATAGAGGTGTGTAAGAGGGCTTGTGGCCACAGGATTCTTTGGCTTTATAACATACTCAGAAGCAGTCAAACTGATGGAAGGCCCAAGGCTGGCTGAGGAGCCAACTGGGTGTCAAGACACGTGAAGTTAGCATGCTAGTCTCAAGGATGTAACATGCCAGGCATAGTGGCTCAAGCCTGTAATTCCAGTACTTTGGGAGGCCACAGTGGGCAGATCCCTTGAACCCAGGAGTTCGAGACCAGCCTGAGCAACATAGCAAAATCCTGTCTCTACAAAAAATACAAAAATTAGCCAGGCGTGATGACACTCACCTGTAGTCCTGGCTACTTAGGAAGCTGAGGTGAAAGGATCGCTTGAGCCTAGGAGGTCAAGGCTGCGGTGAGCCATGATCACACCACTGCACTGCAGCCTGGGCGACAGAGTGAGACCCTGTCTCCAAAAAAAAAAAAAAAAGTAACACAAAATTAGACAAGATGGCCAACCGGATGCAGCTAGAAGCACCTCTTCCACAAAGAGGAACCAAAATATCAAGTAAGACTTCAAACCTCCAACAGATCTTTTGAAAGAAAACACTGAAAGTCAATAGAGAGGTGATGCAGACACTGTGGCTGAAGAGGAAGGAGGGGGGACAGCCTGCTCTGTCACCAGGTGCCAGGACCTGCCCCTGAACCCAGACTGGACCCAAGAAAGGGGTAAATGAAGGCACTGCAGGGCACCACATGCCCACCATGGAGCCCTGAGTCCTAGCTACAGGAGTTCCCATGACCCCTGCAGATCTTTGGATTGGCAGGGGGAGTTGCCTAGACAAATGGAGAGGCACAGCGAGAACCTGCATGGAGCCCAGAAGGCTTTGCTGTGCTGGGCAGCTTGTGGCAAAACATGGGGCCAGAGTGAGGCTATCTGGTAAGGCTCTGGACGCGTATCCACTAAGGCTCTGGACGTCCATCCTGCACTAAGCAACTGCAGCTCCTGCTGTCTGCTGGGCCAGTAGAGAACAGGGTACGACCTCACTCACAGGCCTAAGAAACACCCCGCGGCCATTGTCGCCGATGAGGTGCAGATGAATCAAACTTCTCCTTGCCTGCTGGCCCTCCCAAGACCATCTGCCTGGCCACTCCCACAGGAGTATACCCCCAGCACAGCCTCCACTGCCCCATCTAAGCGTTGTGTTGGCAGCATGCCAGCAGCTCACTTCCCCCATCCCAGCTTTACTTTGGCCCCAAGGGACCAGAGGACAAATCCAAGGGCCAGGTCCCAATTCTCCAGGATTCGAGCACATCGCCCAGGGGCATTGAGTTAACAGTTGTGGCCTGATCTTGAGTAGCGGAGGAGCCCCCACTATCAGAACACAGAGTGTGGTGCTGGTTCATGCAGTGGTGTGGGAGCTGGGCACCCCTTCCTTTGCAAGGCCAGGTGGGGAAAGGCATGGCCTGATAGCTGCAGTTTCCCCCTCAGGGAGTCTGGCAGCCTGGAATGCCCAGTAGGGTTCAGCGATCTGGGCGCAGACAGCTTGGGATGAACTTAGCTGGTCAGGCTTGCTGGCTGGACCAGATGTGAAAGGGAGACTCACTGGATCAGGGGAGCTTAAACTGTGTGGGCCCCATGGCTGCCTGCTGGGCTGAAAACCCCGGTCCACTTCTCTTCCCCTAAGCAAGTTCTGTGGCACAGGAGGGTCTTCTTCGTCCCTTCCTGAAAGGTTGTCCTACCAGCCTGAGAGCTACCCCTATGCCTCCACCAAGGTCAGCGCTCACGTCGGCCTCAGAGAGGCTGATAATGGACTTGCCCAACCCAGCCACATCCAGCTTTGCCCCCTCCAGCTGCTCTCAGCAGAGCACAGAATGGTATCCCTGAGACCCCCACACCCTGCCCATCGCCAAGGACAGCCCAGTACTTCCCCTGTTCAACCAAGGCCAAGAAAAAATTCTACTGCCATCACTGCAATTGCCTCTCACCTGCAAGCGCTACTTAAAGGCCAGGAAGTCAACCTGCAGGGCCCATCACAACTTCAGCAGACGGCATAGTACAGCGCTCAGCTGGTTCATACCCATAAGTGCCACCTACTGGCCGGTAGCGTGAACTGCACAACCCAATATAATTTCCACCGAGGGAAGTGCACAGCACTGGAGAAAGAGATAAAACTTCTCCAGACCTGCCGTGAGGGATAGAGCTATCCAGCCCAGATACTACACTTTTCCCACAGTCTTCGCAATCTGCAGACCAGGAGATTCCCTCGGGTGTATACACCACCAGGGCCCTGGGTTTCAAGCACAAAACCGGGCGGCCCTTTGGGCAGACACTGAGATAGCTGCAGGAGGTTTTCTTCATACACCAGTGGCGCCTGGAATGCCAGCGAGACAGAACCGTTCACTCCCCTGGAAAGGGGGCTGAAGCCAGGGAGCCAAGTGGTCTAGCTTACCGGATCCCATCCCCACGGAGCCCAGCAAGCTAAGATCCGCTGGCTTGAAATTCTCACTGCCAGGCTGGGCAGGGTGGCTCATGCCTTAATTCCAGCACTTTGGGAAGCCAAGGTGGATGGATCACGAGGTCAGGAATTCAAAACCAGCCAGGCCAAGATGGTGAAACCCCATCTCTGCTAAAACTACAAAAATTAGCCAGATGTGGTGGCAAGCGCCTGTAATCCCAGCTACCTGGGAGGCTGAGGCAGGAGAATCACTGGGCAGCAGAAGTTGCACTGGGCCGGGATTGCGCCACTGCACTCCAGCCTGGGCGACAGATTGAGACTCCATCTCAAAAAAAAAAAGAAAAAAGAAAAAAAATTCTTGGAGTCTGAAGTCGACCTGGGGCACTTGAACTTGGTGGGTGGAGGGGTGTCCGCCATTACTGAGGCTTCAGTAGGCACTTTTACCCTCACAGTGTAAATAAAGCTACAAGGAAGTTTGAACAGGGTGGAGCCAACCACAGCCCAGCAAGGCTGCTGCGGCCAGACTGCCTCTCTAGATTCCTCCTCTCTGGGCAGGGCATCTCTGAAAATAAGGCAGCAGCCCCAGTCAGGGACTTATAGATAAAACCCCCAGCTCCCTGGGACAGAGCACCTGGGGGAAGGGGCAGCTGTGGGCACAGCCTCAGCAGACTTAAACGTCCCTGCCTGCTGGCTCTGAAGAGAGCAGCGGGTCTCCCAGCACAGCGTTCGAGCTCTGCTAAAGGTCAGACTGCCTCCTCAAGTGGGTCCCTGACCCCCATGTATCCAACTGGGAGACACCTCCCAGTAGGGGCCAACAGACATCTCATACAGGAGAGCTCTGGTGGGCATCTGGTAGGTGTCCCTCTGGGACAAAGCTTCCAGAAGATGGAACAGGCAGCAATCTTTGCTGTTCTGCAGCCTCCACTGGCAATACACAGGCAAACAGGGTCTGGAGGGACCTTCAGCAGACCTGCAGCAGAGGGGCCTGACAGTGAGAAGGAAAACTAACAAACAGAAAAGGAATAGTATCAACATCAACAAAAAGGACACTCACTCAGAGACCCAATCCGAAGGTCACCAACGCCAAAGACCAAAGGTAGATAAATCCACGAAGATGGGGAGAAACCAGTGCAAAAAGGCTGAAAATTCCAAAAACCAGACTGCCTTTTCTCCTCCAAAGGATCACAACTCCTCACCACCAAGGGAACAAAACTAGACAGAGAATGAGTTTGACTAATTGACGGAAGTAGGCTTTACAAGGTGGGTAATAAGAAACTCCTCCGAGCTAAAGGAGCATGTTTTAACTGAATGCAAGGGATCGAAGAAACTTGAAAAAAGGTTAGATGAATTGCTAACTAGAATAACCAGTTTAGAGAAGAACATAAATGAGGTGATGGAGCTGAAAAACACAGCACGAGAACTTTGTGAAGCATACACAAGTATCAATAGCTGAATCGCTCAAGCGCAGGAAAGGATAACAGAGATCAAAGATCAACTCAATGAAATAAAGCGAGAAGACAAAATTAGAGAAAAAAGGGTGAAAAGAAACAAAAGAAGCCTCCAAGAAACACAGGACTATGTGAAAAGGCCAAATCTACATTTGATTGGTGTACCTGAAAGTGACAGGGAGAATGGAACCAAGTCGGAAAACACTCTGCAGGATATTATCCAGGAGAACTTCTCCAACCTAGCAAGACAGGCCAAAATTCAAATTCAGGAAATACAGAGAACACCACAAAGATACTCCGCGAGAAGAGCAACCCCAAGACACATAATTGTCAGATTCACCAAGGTTGAAATGGAGGAAAAAATGTTAAGGGCAGCCAGAGAGAAAGGTTGGGTTACCCACAAAAGGAAGCCCATCAGACTAACAGTGGATCTCTCAGCAGAAACTCTACAAGCCAGAAGAGAGTTGGGGGCCAATATTCAACATTCTTAAAGATAAGAATTTTCAACCCAGAATTTCATATCCAGCCAAACTAAGCTTCATAAGCAAAGGAGAAATAAAGTCCTTTACAGACAAGCAAATGCTGAGAGATTCTGTCACCACCAGGCCTGACTGCACTAAACATGGAAAGGAAAAACCAGTACCAGCCACTGCAAAAATATACCAAATTGTAAAGACCATTGACACTATGAAGAAACTGCATCAACTAATGGGCAAAATAACCAGCTAGCATCATGACAGGATCAAATTCACACATAACAATATTAACCTTAAATGTAAACAGGCTAAATGTGCCAATTAAAGACACAGACTGGCAAATTGGATAAAGAGTGAAGACCCATCAGTGTGCTGTATTCAGGAGACCCATCTTATGTGAAAAGACACATATAGGCTCAAAATAAAGGGATGGAGGAATACTTACCAAGTGAATGGAAAGAAAAAAGAAGCAGGGATTGCAATCCTAGTCTCTGATAAAACAGACTTTAAACCAAAAAAGATCAAAAGAGACAAAGAAGGGCATTACGTAATGGTAAAGGGATCAATTCAACAAGAAGAGCTAACTATTCTAAATATATATGCACCCAATACAGGAGCTCCCAGATTCATAAAGCAAGTTGTTAGAGACCTACAAAGAGACTTCGACTCCCACACAATAATAGCGGGAGACTTTAAAACCCCCACTGTCAATATTAGACAGATCAACAAGACAGAAAATTAACAAGCATATCCAGGACTTTAACTCAGCTCTAGACCAAGTGGACCTAGTAGACATTTACAGAACTCTCCATCCCAAATCAATAGAATATACATTCTTCTCAGCACCATGTCACACTTATTCTAAAATTGACCACATAATTGGAAGTAAAACACTCTTCAGCAAATGCAAAAGAATGGAAATCATAACAAACAGTTTCTCAGACCACAGTGCAATCAAATTAGAACTCAGGATTAAGAAACTCACTCAACACCACACAACTACATGGAAACTGAACAACCTGCTACTGAATAACTACTGAGTAAATAACAAAATTAAGGCAGAAATGAAGATGTTCTTTGAAACCAATGAAAACAAAGACACAACATACCAGAAACTCTGGGACACATTCAAAGCAGTGTGTAGAGGGAAATTTATAGCACTAAAATGCCCACAAGAGAAAGCAGGAAAGATCTAAAATTGACACCCTAACATCACAATTGAAAGAACTAGAAAAGCAAGAGCAAACATATTCAAAAGCTAGCAGAATACAAGAAATAACTAAGATGAGAGCAGAACTGAAGGAGGTAGAGACACAAAAACCCTTCAAAAAACCAATGAATCCAGGAGCTGGTTTTTTGAAAGGATCAACAAAATTGATAGACCACTAGCAAGACTAATAAAGAAAAAGAGAAGAATCAAATAGACACAATAAAAAATGATAAAGGGGATATCGCCACCGATCCCACAGAAATACAAACTACCATCAGAGAATATTACAAACACCTCTACGCAAATAAACTAGAAAATCTAGAAGAAATGGATAAATTCCTGGACACATACACCCTCCCAAGACTAAACCAGGAAGAAGTTGAATCCCTGAATAGACCAATAACAAGTTCTGAAATTGAGGCAGTAAGAGCCTACCAACCAAAAAAAGTCCAGGACCAGACAGATTCACAGCAGAATTCTACCAGAGGTACAAAGAGGAGCTGGTACCATTCCTTCTGAAACTATTACAAACAATAGAAAAAGAGTGAATTCGCCCTAACTAATTTTATGAGGCCAGTATCATCCTGATACCAAAACCTGGCAGAGACACAACAAAAAAAGAAAATTTCAGGCAAATATCCCTGATGAACATCAATGCAAAAATCCTCAATAAAATACTGGCAGACCGAATCCAGCAGCACATCAAAAAGCTTATCCACCACTATAAAGTCGGTTTCATCCCTTGGATGCAAGGCTGGTTCAACATGTGCAAATCAATAAACGTAATCCATCACATAAGCAGAACCAATGACAAAAACCACATGATTATCTCAATAGATACAGAAAAGGTCTTTGAAAAAATTCAACAGCCCTTTATACTAAAATCTCACAATAAACTAGATATTGATGGAACATATCTCAAAATAATAAGAGCTATTTATGACAAACCCACAGCCAATATCATACTGAATGGGCAAAAGCTGGAAGCATTCCCTTTCAAAACCGGCACAAGACAAGGATGCCCTCTCTCACCACTCCTATTCAACATAGTGTTGGAAGTTCTGGCCAGGGCAATCAGGCAAGAGAAAGAAATAAAGGGTATTCAATTAGGAAAAGAGGAAGTCAAATTGTCCCTGTTTGCAGATGACATGATTGTATATTTAGAAAATCCCACTGTCACAGCCCAAATCTCCTTAAGCTGATAAACAACTTCAGCAAATCTCAGGATACAAAATCAATGTGCAGAAGTCACAAGCATTCCTATACACCAATAACAGACAAACAGAGCGCCAAATCATGAGTGAACTCTCATTCACAATTGCTACAAAGAGAATAAAATACCTAGGAATCCAACTTACAAGGGATGTGAAGGACCTCTTCAAGGAGAACTACAAACCACTGTTCAAGGAATTAAGAGAGGACACAAACAAATGGAAAAACATTCCATGCTCATGGATAGGAAGAATCAATATCGTGAAAATGGCCATACTACCCAAAGTAATTTATAGATTCAACGCTATCCCCATCAAGCTACCATTGACTTTCTTCACAGAATTGGAAAACACTGCTTTAAATTTCATAGCAAAAAGAACAAAGCTGGAGGCAACATGCTACCTGACTTCAAACTATACTACAAGGCTACAGTAACCAAAACAGCATGGTTCCAGTACCAAAACAGATATATAGACTAATGGAACGGAATAGAGGCCTCAGAAATAACACTACACATCTACAACCATCTGATCTTTGACAAACCTGACAAAAACAAGAAATGGAGAAAGGATTCTCTATTTAATAAATGGTGTTGGGAAAACTGGTTAACCACATGCAGAAAGCTGAAACTGGATCCCTTCCTTACGTCTCATACAAAAATTAATTCAAGATGGATTAAAGACTTAAATGTATGACCTAAAACTATAAAAACCCTAGAAGAAAACCTAGGCAGTACCATTCAGACATAGGCATGGGCAAAGACTTCATGTCTAAAACACCAAAAGCAATGGCAACAAAAGCCAAAATTGACACATGAGATCTAATTAAACTAAAGAGCTTCTGCACAGCAAAAGAAACTATCATCAGAGTGAACAGGCAACCTACAGAATGGGAGAAAAATTTTTCAATCTATTCATCTGACGAAGGACTAATATCTAGAATCTACAAAGAACTTAAACAAATTTACAAGAAAAAAAACAACCCCATTAAAAAGAGGGTGAAGGATATGAACAGACACTTCTCAAAAGAAGACATTTATGCAGCCAACAAACTTATGAAAAAATGCTTATCCTCACTGGTCATTAGAAAAATGCAAATCAAAACCACAATGAGATACCATCTCATGCCATTTAGAATGGTGATCATTAAAAAGTCAGGAAACAACAGATGCTGGAGAGGATGTGGAGAAATAGGAACATTATTACACTGTTGGTGGGAGTGTAAACTAGTTCAACCATTGTGGAAGACAGTGTGGCGATTCCTCAAGGTTCTAGAACTAGAAATACCATTTGACCCAGCAATCCCATTACTAGGTATATGCCCAAATGATTATAAATCATTCTACTATAAAGACACATGCACATGTAGGTTTATTGTGGCACTGTTCACAATAGCAAAGACTTGGAAACCAACCCAAATGCCCATCAATGATAGACTGGATAAAGAAAATGTGGCATATATACACCATGGAATACTATGCAGCCATAAAAAAGGATGAGTTCATGTCCTTTGCAGGGACATGGACAAAGCTGGAAACCATCATTCTCAGCAAACTAACACAAGAACAGAAAACCAAACACCTCATGTTCTCACTCATAAGTGGGAGTTGAACAATGAGAACACATGGACAAGTTGGGGGGGTCATCACACACCAGGGCCTGTCAGCGGATTGGGGGCTGCAGGAGGGATAGCATTAGGAGAAATACCTAATGTAGATGATGGGTTGATGGATGCAGCAAACCACCATGGCACATGTATACCTATGTGACAAACTTGCACGTTCTGCACATGTACCCCAGAATTTAAATATTAAAAAATATATATATAGCACATTCAATTATGTTCAGTACATAATACTTGAAAATGATAATAAATGACTGGTGATCATAAAAAAGGAAAATAAATAACTAACATCAGAGAAGAACTAAATAAAACTGAAACCCAAAGAAAACATACAAAAGATTAACAATGGAAACAAAAAGTTGAGTCTTTGAATAGGTAAACAAAACTGATAGACTGCTACCTAGATTAACAACAAAAAAAAGAGAAGATCCAAATAAGTACAATCAGAAATGACAAAAGTGACATTACAACTGATACCACAGAAATAAAAAAGATCCTCCCAGACTGCTATGAACATCTCTAAGTACACAAGCTAGAAAATCTAGAGGAGCTGGATAAATTCCTGGAAATGTACAAGCTACCAAGATTGAACCAGGAAGAAATTGAAATCTTGAACACACCAATACAAGTTACAAAATTGAATCAGTAATTAAAAATTACCAACTAGAAAATGCTCTAAACCAGATGGATTCACAGCCAAATTCTACCAGACATACAAAGGAGAGCCGATACCAATCTTACCGAAACTATTCCAAAAAAATCAAAGAGGAGGGATTCCTCCCTAACTCATTCTACAAAACCAGTATCATCCTGACACCAAAATCTGTCAAGGACACAACAAAAAAAAGAAAACTACAGACCTATACTCCTAATAAACATAGATGTAAAAATCCTCAACAATTATGCAGCCAAAAAACAAATGAAAAAATGCTCACCATCACTGGCCATCAGAGAAATGCAAATCAAAACCACAATGAGATACCATCTCACACCAGTTAGAATGGCAATCATTAAAAAGTCAGGAAACAACAGGTGCTGGAGAGGATGTGGAGAAATAGGAACACTTTTACACTGTTGGTGGGACTGTAAACTAGTTCAACCATTGTGGAAGTCAGTGTGGCGATTCCTCAGGGATCTAGAACTAGAAATACCATTTGACCCAGCCATCCCATTACTGGGTATATACCCAAAGGACTATAAATCATGCTGCTATAAAGACACATGCATACGTATGTTTATTGTGGCACTATTCACAATAGCAAAGACTTGGAACCAATCCAAATGTCCAACAATGATAGACTGGATTAAGAAAATGTGGCATATATACACCATGGAATACCATGCAGCCATAAAAAATGATGAGTTCATGTCCTTTGCAGGGACATGGTTGAAATTGGAAATCATCATTCTCAGTAAACTATCGCAAGGACAAAAAACCAAACACCACATGTTCTCACTCATAGGTGGGAATTGAACAATGAGAACACATGGCACAGGAAGGGGAACATCACACTCTGGAGACTGTTGTGGGGTGGGGGGAGGGGGGAGGGATAGCATTAGGAGATATACCTAATGCTAAATGACGAGCTAATGGGTGCAGTACAGCAGCATGGCACATGTATACATATGTAACTAACCTGCACATTGTGCACATGTACCCTAAAACTTAAAGTATAATAATAATAATAAATTTAAAAATAAATGTTGCTTTAAGCTACTAAAAAAAATATCCTCAACAAAATACTAGCAAACCAAATCCATCAGCACATTAAAAAGATAATTAATCACTATCAAGTGGGTTTTTTTATAGGATGGAAGGATGGTTCAACATATACAAATTACTAAATGTAATTCACCATATAAACTGAATTGAAAACAAAAACCATATGATCATCTCAAATGCAGCAGAAGAAGCATTTGATAAAATATCTTCATGATAAAAACCTCAACAAACTAGGCATCAAAAAACATACTTCAAAATAATAAGGGCCATCTATGACAAACCCACAGCCAACATCATACTGAATGGGCAAAATTTGAAAGCATTAACCCTAAGAACTAGAGCAAGATAAAGGTGTCCACTTTCACCACTCCTATTTGGTATTGGAGTGAAATCCTAGTAAGAGCGATCAGGCAATAGAAAGAAATAAAAGGCATCCAAATAGGAAACGAAGTCAAATTATCTCTATTCACCAAGAACACGACTCTACTACCTAGAAAATTCTAAAGATTCCTCCAAAAGACTACTAGGCCTGATAAACAACTTCAGTAAAGTTTCAGGATACAAAATCTATGTAAAAAATGACTAGCATTTCTGTACACCAATCATGTTCAAGTTGAGAAGATTAAGAACACATGTTCATTTACAATAGCCACAAAAAGAATAAAATACCTAGTAATACATTTTACCACAGAGGTGAAAGATCTCTATGTGGAGAACTAGAAAACACTGATGAAATAAACCATACGTGACACAATCAAATGGAAAAACATTCCATGCTCATTGATTGGAAGAACATTGTTAAAATGACCATACTACCCAGAGCAATCTACAGATTCAATGTAATTCCTATCAAATTACCAATGTCATTTTTTACAGAATTAGAAAGACCTATTCTAAAATTCATATGGAACCAAAAAAAGAGCCTGAATAGTCAAAGCAATCCTAAGCAAAAGAACAAAGTCGGAGGCATCACATTACCCAACTTTAAACTATACTACAAGGATACAGCAACCAAAATAGCATGGTACTGGTACAAAAAGACACACAGACCAATGGAACAGATTAGAGAATCCAGAAACAAAGCCATACACGCTGCAACCAACTGATCTTTGACAAAACCAACAACAATAAACTATGTGGAAAGGACACCCTATTTTATAAATGGTGCTGGGAAAACTGGCTAGCCACATACAGAAAGATGAAACTGTACCCCTACCTCTCACCATACACAAAAATTAACTCAAAATAAATTACAGACTTAAATGTAAGACCTCAAACTATAAAATTCCTAAAAGAAAACCTAGGAAAAATTCTCCTAGACATTGGCCTAGGCAAATAATTTATGACTAAGTCCTCAAAAGCAAATGCAATGAAAACAAAAATTAACAAATGGAACCTAATTAAACTAAATAACTTCTGCACAGCTAAAGAAACTATCAACAGAGTAAACAGTACACATACCAAAGGGGAGAAAATATTGGCAAACTATGCTTCTGACAAAGGCCTAATATTCAGAATCTATAAGGAACTTAAATAAATCAACAAGAAAAAAAAACACTAAAAAGTGGGCAAAGGACATGAACAGACATTTCTCAAAAGAAGACATACATGGCAGCCAACAAACATATGAAGAAATGCTCAACATCATTAATCAGAGAAATGCAAATTACAACCACTATGACATACCATCCAGACCAGTCAGAATGGCTATTATTAAACAGTCAAAAAATAACAAATTTTATTGAGGATGTTGGTGGAAATGTAAATTAGTTCAACCCCTATGGAAAACAGTGTGCAGATTTCTCAAAGACACATAAAAATAGAACCACCATTCAATCCAGAAACCCCACTACTGGGTACATACCCAAAGGAAAAGAAGTTTTACCAAAAAGAGCACTTGCATGTTTACTGCAGCATTTCACAATAGCAAAGTCAAGGAATCTACCTAAGTGTCCATCAAAGATGGCCTGGATAAAGAAAATGTGGTACATATACACTGTGAAATACTACACAGCCATAAAAAAGAATGAAATCACTTCCTTCACAGTAACCTGGATGCAGCTGGAGGCCATTAGTCTAAATGAATTAATGCAGAAACAGAAAATCAGATACCACCTTATTACAGATGAGGGTTAAACAAAGGGTACACGTGGATATAAAGATGGAAAAAATAGACACTGGAGACTCCAAAAGGAGTCCAAAACCACCTATTGAGTACTATGTTCACTATCTGAGTGATAGATTCAATAGAATTCCAAACCCCAGCATTACACAATATGCCCATATGACAAACCTACACATGTACCCCCCGAATCTATTTCTCAAAAACAGAATGAAACATATGCATTGAGTTAACAAATTATATATCCTAGTTTCCAGTGGCTAGAATTAAACCAAAAGTCCAATACATTTTAGTCGCTCATCACAAGAAAACCAGTCCAATCCAGTAACCAAAGGGTGGAAATTAAAAACAGCCCTCCACGGTGGCTCACGCCTGTAATCCCAGCACTTTGGGAGGCCGAAGCGGGCGAATCATTTGAGGTCAAGGGTTCTAGACCAGCCTGGCCAACATGGAGAAACCCTGTCGCTACAAAAATTAGCTGGGCGTGATGGTAGGTGCCTGTAATCCCAGCGACTCGGGAGGCTGAGGCAGGAGAATCACTTGAACCTGGGAGGTGGAGGTTTCAGTGAGCCGAGATCATGTCACTGCACTCCAGCCTGGGTGACAGAGTGAGACACCGTCTCAGAAAAAAGAAAAAAGAAGCAGCCCTCTCGTAATTACACCCGATAACCCATTTGAGGAATTTGGCCTCCAAATTTGGACTCTGAAGGGTTACAGGTATTGGCTTTCTTAGAGAGGGGGAGTAGAGTCAGTAAGAGCTGCACTGAGCTGAAAGCTGCAGCTACAATGTTGCCAACGAACTCTTTAGTGTTCAGCAGGCAAATGAGTCACTGTAAAGTTGGTGGTCATTGATACTGACACCCATGAGGAACTAGGGCTGCACTCCACAAGGGAGCAGGAATGAGTAGGTCTGAATGCTGGGGATTCACTGGGGTGTCTCATAGTGCTACAAAGCCTAGTATTAACTATTCAGGAGCAATTATAGCAAATGTGTCTGAACTTGGGTAAAGCAGGAACTAACCCTGACAAGGATCTGAGTGCAATTAGTTTATTTGGGAATAAGCCCAGAAAACTTCAATAGGGAAGTGAGCAGCAAGGTAGGAGGTGGAGAAAGCCAGTATTATCAACTAATTTATCACTGTAGGCAACTGGAGCTCACTCCTGCTGGGCAACTCTGGCAGTCAGTGTGAACATAATAAGCCCAAAGGTGAGGAAGGTGGGTAATTCTACATCATCTCCAGGTCCACCAGTGGTTCAGGGCTGCTTCCAGGGGATTCACTGTCTAATACTCTAGCTTGTTCTTTGCCTGCATCCAAAGAAAAAAGCCTTCAGACATAGAGCATGCAGATGTTCACAGTATGCAGCCTTCAGAAAGTAGAGGTGAATGCTGAGGTTACCTAGAGAGGACACCAACGCTATCCGCTACAAACCACAACCCAAGAAGGGCAGAACAGCTAAAAGTTCACATGAAAGTCTGGACCCATACATTAGGCAAGCAATCCAAACCAGCTTAATTGCTGACCAAGCACAAGGGGAATCCACAAGGAGTGGTGGTGGAGGTGAAGCAAAGATGGAGAATATAAAATACAACATCAAGACCCATCACAGTAGCTGGACTATTACTCATGCCTTGTATCCTCCCAGGCATCACAATGGGATACCAGTTTGAAGAGAACTCTGTATCTAACTGGGCTTACTCCTCTCCTCTCTGAAAAGAAATTAGCATGCCCTGTTCTCATGAAAATAAAAAGGAAGACTCCTTATTATAGTAACAGAACCTGAAATGAGAGCATGATTAGATTGGAGTGGTTGACAGGAGGAGACTGTATGTGACCCAGATTGTTCGTACCTTCTCAGATTCCCTTGTCTGCCTCCTGGACCATGCTGCCACATCTAGGGCTGGACCAGTACTTGCCTGCTGTGTGCCAGGGCCTCCCTTTCATTACTGTCACATGGCATAGACCGTCAGCCACACATGTAGAGCTTCTGGCTTTTCCCACCACTTCCAGATGTAAAGGAAATACTACAATGTAGAGCACAGGCCCAGCATCCCAAACAGCTGCTGAGGGGGCCAGATGACTTAATCTGGAAGTGTGGTGGAGTCACCTTCCCATAGGCTAATTTTGACCAATAGGAAGTGGGTCTAGGGAGGAGCCAGGTGCATAGATCTTTGTCCCTTCCTCCTTCCCTTTAACTGCTCTGAGTCAGCTACTCTGCACAGCCTAACTGGAGGCATCTGACATGCTGAGCACCTGCTGGGGCTTGCCACCTTCACCATGGGGTAGTGGGCAGAGCAGTGAGAGTTCACTGCATGGCTTCCCTCCTCCCCTACCTCAGCTCCCTCTCCCTCATTCCAGCTGCCCTGGGTTGCACTTCCCAAATAAAGTCTCAGCTCTTTAAATCCTTGCTTCAGGTTCTATATTTTACAAAACCTGGCTTAAGACATAACACTTCAACCAGGATCACTCTCAATTCAATGTTCAGCTTGGAGTTTTTCAGATCACACAGATGCTGTGAATCCCAGCCTCAAACCTATAGGTGGTGATTAAGAATTCTTGGGAATTTTTTTTTTTTCAAGGACTGTTCCATTGTACACTTAGCTAAAACCAAAGCATGCCAGTCTCATTCTGTGGGGAAGTTTTCTTTCACCCTTAGCAGGTTCAAGTCTCTAATCAGACCTCTTACCTTTCTGGGCACTAAGCTATCTTTGTTTTCTTTCCTTGCATGGACATGGAAAGCCAAGGGTCTAGGGCACAAGGTAATCTTAGGGCAAACTAGAGATCCAGAGCTCACTTACTCCTGGGGAATCATGCCTTCTTGACATTCTGGTCTCTGTTTCCCTTTTATACTTCCTGCTCAGCCATGCTTTTAAGAAGTTGTTTCCTTTTGTTTTATATTCTGCATTTTAAGTATCTTACACTAAGAGGGTTTTCTTGGGACATCTAGTCCACAGTGTTGCCGGAAAAAAAATAATTTTGGAGAACATATATTTTATATTGTAACAATCTGAAATTTACAGCAAAGTTGCAAGTATAATATAAAGAACATTTTTTCCAGAATCATTTGAGATAAATTGCCAAAATGATGCCCGTAATCCACCCACCCTTCAATAATTCAGCATATGTTTCTTGCCCAAAAAAAGGATAATTCTACAAAACCTCATACAATGACCAAAATCAAGAAATTGACATTTATATCCTAATCCCCAGATCTGTACAAGTCTTGCCATTTGCTCTAATAGCTGCCTTCATCAGAAAAGGATCTAATTCAGAATTATGTGTTTCATTTTGTTGTTATGTCTTTTTATTCTCTTTTAATCTGGAATGGTTCCTCTGTCTGGCCTTGACTTTCACAAACTTGACAACTGTGTTGATTAAAGAATAGTTATGTCATAATACGCCCCTTGATTTGGGATTGTCTGATATCTCCCCACGAGTATGCATATATTTGGCAGAAATGTCATAGAAGTGAGGCTGTTATCTTTGATTCGTCCCAACACTGATGATGCTCACTTGATGCAGTGTATGTCTACCGGGCCACTCCACTGCAAAGTTTCTCTTTTCTGTTTTAGAATTAATGAGAATTTGAGGCCGGGCGCGGTGGCTCACGCCTGTAATCCCAGCACTTTAGGAGGCCGAGGCAGGCGGATCACGAGGTCAGGAGATGGAGAATATCTTGGCTAACACAGTGAAACCCCGTCTCAACTAAAAATACAAAAAATTAGCCGGGCGTGGTGGCGGGCAGCTGTAGTCCCAGCTACTCTGGAGGCTGAGGCAGGAGAATGGCGTGAACCTCGGAGGCGGAGCTTGCAGTCAGCTGAGATTGCGCCACTGCACTCCAGCCTGGGCGACAGAGTGAGACTCCGTCTCAAAAAAAAAAAAAAAAAAAAAAAAGAGTATTTTGTGAGGATTTTGAAATTATGTAAATTTCCCATTGCTCATCAGAATGTCACTTTATTTATTTGGTAATGTATATTAGTACACACTCAGTGGGTTCTAAAATGTTACAAATTGTCTTAGTCCATTCAGCTGCTGTAACAGAGTACTTTAGACTAAGCAATGTACAAACAACAGAAATTTACAGTTCTGGAGGCTGGGAAAACCAAGATCAAGGTGCTAGCGGATTCGGTGTCTGATGAGAGCCCACTCCTCATAGATGGCGCCTTCCTGCTGAGTTTTTTTTTTTTCAATGGCAAAAAGGGCAAACATGCCCCCTTCAATCTCTTTTATAAGGACACTAATCCCATACATGAGGGAGGAGTCCTCATGATTTAATCATTTCCCAATGGGCTCCACCTCTTAATACTATCACATTGGAAATTAAGTTTCAACATAGGAATTGAGGGGGGTACACCAACATTCAGACCATAGCACTATTTGCTGTGATAGTGATGCTCAATATGATGTTCAAATTGTCCTTTATTTGGCTCCCAAACAATCAGTGGCGTAAACTAAGAAACACATATATGCTTGTATGGATATGTATGCATATACATAAATACATGTATATACGTACACTTAAATTTATATTTATTCCTATACCTGCCTATCTATATTGAGAATTCCAAGTTTACACAGATACCACCAATTTCAATCCAACCATTACAGTTTTATCCCCTTACACTTTGTAACTCTCCCTCTCTGACCATGAGATATCTGGCTCCCAATTATTCTTAATATACTTACTTATTTGAAAAACATCCCCATCTGTAACCAACTTCCAATCTCTCCTGCACTCCTCTCTCCCATATGGTCACTCTTCTCACCCCACTCAACCCCACCCACCATGCCAAGCAGCCACCCCTGTCACCTGGACTTCCTCCTCTTCAGGCCTGGGCTCTGATACCCCATACCAGGCAGCCCTATGGAGATGCCTCCCTCACACAGTACTGCATGGACACCCTCCTCACCTATTGGCTTCACCACCCTGCACTATGTCACCCATTGTGTGGATGCTTGATTGACCCCTCTTAGCTTCTGACACCCTGTGCTGGGCAGGCCTCCTGTGCAAATACCTTTCTTACTCCATTCTTGCTCTGACACCTGCACCAGGTGTACCCCTACATGAACATCCTCCTCACTCGGCTTGGACTCCATTGCCCCACTCTGGGCCACCATGGCTAGCACCCGCCCACCCCAGCACAGATGCCTATATCTTGCCCTAATGGCTTTAAAACTGAATTGTTCAGAAAGAGAGGGGGAAGTAGAAGGGACACCAGAATTTTTAACATGCATATTTAAAGTATACACTTAGCCAATAGTCCTATCTCCATCCCTATCATTTCATGCACTTGGAAATGATAATTACTGGCACCACTATATCTGCACACCCCAGTGTCTTAAATGTTATTGTTGTCAGTTGGTTTTTCTCTCCTTTTTTTCCTTTTTATAGCTCTAAAATTGCTAGTTGTTATAATTATTATTTTGTATAGTCAATACTTCTTTATACTAATCAACATTTTACCTGTTTTGTTCCCCATTGCCTATTATATCCAATTCCTTCCATCTAGATTGATTTTGTTTTTCCTAAACTATATTCTTCAGTAGTCCTTTCAACAACAGTCGACACTTAGGAGGAGCCAAGATGGCTGAATAGGAACAGCTCCAGTCTGCAGCTCCCAGAGTGAGCGACGCAGAAGACGGGTGATTTCTGCATTTCCATCTAAGGTACCGGGTTCATCTCACTAGGGAGTGCCAGACAGTGGGCGCAGGTCAGTGGGTGCACGCACCACCTGCGAGCCGAAGCAGGGAGAGGCATTGCCTCACTTGGGAAATGCAAGGGGTCAGGGAGTTCTCTTTCCTAGTCAAAGAAAGGGGTGACAGATGGCACCTGGAAAATTGGGTCACTCCCACCCGAATACTGCGCTTTTCTGACGGGCTTAAAAAACGGCGCACCAGGAGATTATATCCCGCACCTGGCTCGGAGGGTCCTACGCCCACAGTCTCGCTAACTGCTAGCACAGCAGTCTGAGGTCAAACTGCAAGGCGGCAGCGAGGCTGGGGGAGGGGCGCCCGCCATTGCCCAGGCTTCCTTAGGTAAACAAAGCAGCCGGGAAGCTTGAACTGGGTGGAGCCCACCACAGCTCAAGGAGGCCTGCCTGCCTCTGTAGGCTCCACCTCTGGGGGCAGGGCACAGACAAACAAAAAGACAGCAGTAACCTCTGCAGACTTAAATGTCCCTGTCTGACAGCTTTGAAGAGAGCAGTGGTTCTCCCAGCAAGCAGCTGTAGATCTGAGAATGGGCAGACTGCCTCCTCAAGTGGGTCCCTGACCCCTGACCCCCGAGCAGCCTAACTGGGAGGCACCCCCCAGCAGGGGCAGACTGACACCTCACAGGGCCGGGTACTCCAACAGACCTGCAGCTGAGGGTCCTGTCTGTTAGAAGGAAAACTAACAAACAGAAAGGACGTCCACACCAAAAACCCATCTGTACATCACCATCATCAAAGACCAAAAGTAGATAAAACCACAAAGATAGGGAAAAAACAGAGCAGAAAAACTGGAAACTCTAAAAAGCAGAGCGCCTCTCCTCCTCCAAAGGAACGCAGCTCCTCACTAGCAATGGAACAAAGCTGGACGGAGAATGACTTTGACAAGCTGAGAGAAGAAGGCTTCAGATGATCAAATTACTCCGAGCTACGGGAGGCAAAGAAGTTGAAAACTTTGAAAAAAATTTAGAAGAATGTATAACTAGAATAACCAATACAGAGAAGTGCTTAAAGGAGCTGATGGAGCTGAAAACCAAGGCTCGAGAACTACTTGAAGAATGCAGAAGCCTCAGGAGCCGATGCGATCAACTGGAAGAAAGGGTATCAGCAATGGAAGATGAAATGAATGAAATGAAGTGAGAAGGGAAGTTTAGAGAAAAAAGAATAAGCCCTAAAAGAGCGCCTGAAAGAAGCGCTAAACATGGAAAGGAACAACCAGTACCAGCCGCTGCAAAATCATGCCAAAATGTAAACACCATCGAGACTAGGAAGAAACTGCATCAACTAACGAGCAAAATAACCAGCTAACATCATAATGACAGGATCAAATTCACACATAACAATATTAACTTTAAATGTAAATGGACTAAATGCTCCAATTAAAAGACACAGACTGGCAAATTGGATAAAGAGTCAAGACCCATCAGTGTGCTGTATTCAGGAAACCCATCTCACGTGCAGAGACACACATAGGCTCAAAATAAAAGGATGGAGGAAGATCTACCAAGCAAATGGAAAACAAAAAAAGGCGGGGGTTGCAGTCCTAGTCTCTGATAAAACAGACTTTAAACCAACAAAGATCAAAAAAGACAAAGAAGGCCATTACATAATGGTAAAGGGATCAATTCAACAAGAAGAGCTAACTATCCTAAATATATATGCACCCAATACAGGAGCACCCAGATTCATAAAGCAAGTCCTGAGTGACCTACAAAGAGACTTAGACTCCCACACATTAGTAATGGGAGACTTTAACACCCCACTGCCAACATTAGACAGATCAACGAGACAAAGTCAACAAGGATACCCAGGAATTGAACTCAGCTCTGCACCAAGTGGACCTAATAGACGTCTACAGAACTCTCTACCCCAAATCAACAGAATATACATTTTTTTCAGCACCACACCACACCTATTCCAAAATTGACCACATACTTGGAAGTAAAGCTCTCCTCAGCAAATGTAAAAGAACAGAAATTATAACAAACTATCTCTCAGACCACAGTGCAATCAAACTAGAACTCAGGATTAAGAATCTCACTCAAAACCACTCAACTACATGGAAACTGAACAACCTGCTCCTGAATGACTACTGGATACATAACGAAATGAAGGCAGAAATAAAGATGTTCTTTGAAACCAACGAGAACAAAGACACAACATACCAGAATCTCTGGGACGCATTCAAAGCAGTGTGTAGAGGGAAATCTATAGCACTAAATGCCCACAAGAGAAAGCAGGAAAGATCCCAAATTGACACCTTAACATCACAATTAAAAGAACTAGAAAAGCAAGAGCAAACACATTCAAAAGCTAGCAGAAGGCAAGAAATACCTAAAATCAGAGCAGAACTGAAGGAAATAGAGACACAAAAAACCCTTCAAAAAATTAATGAATCCAGGAGCTGGTTTTTTGAAAGGATCAACAAAATTGATAGACCACTAGCAAGACTAATAAAGAAAAAGAGAAGAATCAAATAGACACAATAAAAAATGATAAAGGGGATATTGCCACCGATCCCACAGAAATACAAACTACCATCAGAGAATACTACAAACATCTCTACGCAAATAAACTAGAAAATCTAGAAGACATGGATAAATTCCTCGACACATACACTCTCCCAAGACTAAACCAGGAAGAAGTTGAATCGCTGAATAGACCAATAACAGGAGCTGAAATTGTGGCAATAATCAATAGCTTACCAACCAAAAAGTGTCCAGGACCAGATGGATTCACAGCCGAATTCTACCAGAGTTGCAAGGAGGAACTGGTACCATTCCTTCTGAAACTATTCCAATCAATAGAAAAAGAGGGAATCCTCCCTAACTCATTTTATGAGGCTAGCATCATCCTGATACCAAAGCCGGGCAGAGACACAACCAAAAAAGAGAATTTTAGACCAATATCCTTGATGAACATTGATGCAAAAATCCTCAATAAAATACTGGCAAACCAAATCCAGCAGCACATCAAAAAGCTTATCCACCATGATCAAGTGGGCTTCATCCCTGGGATGCAAGGCTGGTTCAATATATGCAGATCAATAAATGGAATCCAGCATATAAACAGAACCAAAGACAAAAACCACATGATTATCTCAATTGATGCAGAAAAGGCCTTTGACAAAATTCAACAACCCTTCATGCTAAAAACTCTCTATAAATTAGGGATTGATGGGACGTATTTCAAAATAATAAGAGCTATCTATGACAAACCCACAGCCAATATCATACTGAATGGGCAAAAACTGGAAGCATTCCCTTTGAAAACTGGCACAAGACAGGGATGCCCTCTCTCACCACTCCTATTCAACTTAGTGTTGGAAGTTCTGGCCAGGGCAATTAGGCAGGAGAAGGAAATAAAGGGTATTCAATTAGGAAAAGAGGAAGTCAAATTGTCCCTGTTTGCAGATGACATGATTGTATATCTAGAAAACCCCATTGTCTCAGCCCAAAATCTCCTTAAGTTGATAAGCAACTTCAGCAAAGTCTCAGGATACAAAATCAATGTACAAAAATCACAAGCATTCTTATACACCAACAACAGACAAACAGAGAGCCAAATCATGAGTGAACTCCCATTCACAATTGCTTCAAAGAGAATAAAATACCTAGGAATTCAACTTACAAGGGATGTGAAGGACCTCTTCAAGGAGAACTACAAACCACTGCTCAAGGAAATAAAAGAGGATACAAACAAATGGAAGAACATTCCATGCTCATGGGTAGGAAGAATCAATGTCGTGAAAATGGCCATACTGCCCAAGGTAATTTACAGATTCAATGCCATCCCCATCAAGCTACCAATGACTTTCTTCACAGAATTGGAAAAAACTACTTTAAAGTTCATATGGAACCAAAAAAGAGCTCGCATCGCCAAGTCAATCCTAAGCCAAAAGAACAAAGCTGGAGGCATCACGCTACCTGACTTCAAACTATACTACAAGGCTACAGTAACCAAAACAGCATGGTACTGGTACCAAAACAGAGATATAGATCAATGGAACAGAACAGAGCCCTCAGAAATAACGCCGCATATCTACAACTATCTGATCTTTGACAAACCTGAGAAAAACAAGCAATAGGGAAAGGATTCCCTATTTAATAAATGGTGCTGGGAAAACTGGCTAGCCATATGTAGAAAGCTGAAACTGGATCCCTTCCTTACACCTTATACAAAAATCAATTCAAGATGGATTAAAGACTTAAATATTAGACCTAAAACCATCAAAACCCTAGAAGAAAACCTAGGCATTACCACTCAGGACATAGGCATGGGCAAGGACTTCATGTCCAAAACACCAAAAGCAATGGCAACAAAAGCCAAAATTGACAAATGGGATCTAATTAAACTAAAGAGCTTCTGCACAGCAAAAGAAACTACCATCAGAGTGAACAGGCAACCTACAAAATGAGAGAAAATTTTCGCAACCTACTCATCTGACAAAGGGCTAATATCCAGAATCTACAATGAACTCCAACAAATTTACAAGAAAAAAACAACCCCATCAAAAAGTGGGTGAAGGACATGAACAGACACTTCTCAGAAGAAGACATTTATGCAGCCAAAAAACACATGAAAAAATGCTCACCATCACTGGCCATCAGAGAAATGCAAATCAAAACCACAATGAGATACCATCTCACACCAGTTAGAATGGCAATCATTAAAAAGTCAGGAAACAACAGGTGCTGGAGAGGATGTGGAGAAATAGGAACACTTTTACACTGTTGGTGGGACTGTAAACTAGTTCAACCATTGTGGAAGTCAGTGTGGCGATTCCTCAGGGATCTAGAACTAGAAATACCATTTGACCCAGCCATTCCATTACTGGGTATATACCCAAAGGACTAGAAATCATGCTGCTATAAAGACACATGCACACGTATGTTTATTGTGGCATTATTCACAATAGCAAAGACTTGGAACCAACCCAAATGTCCAACAATGATAGACTGGATTAAGAAAATGTGGCACATATACACCATGGAATACTATGCAGCCATAAAAAATGATGAGTTCATGTCCTTTGTAGGGACATGGATGAAATTGGAAATCATCATTCTCAGTAAACTATCGCAAGAACAAAAAACCAAACACCGCATATTCTCACTCATAGGTGGGAATTGAAGAATGAGAACACATGGACACAGGAAGGGGAACATCACACTCTGGGGACTGTTGTGGGGTGGGGGGAGGGGGGAGGGATAGCATTGGGAGATATACCTAATGCTAGATGACGAGTTAGTGGGTGCAGTGCACCAGCATGGCACATGTATACATATGTAACTAACCTGCACATTGTGCACATGCACCCTAAAACTTAAAGTATAATAATAAAAAAAAAAAGAAACTGAAAAAAAAAACAACAACAGTCTACAAGAGATGAACTTTTTCAGCCTTTTTTCAGATAACATTATTTCACTCATACTTTTTAACAACATTTTTTTTTTGTTCTCACTCTTTAATGACAGCTTAACCACATAGAGCAGTGTAGGGTGATCAATGATCTGCTTTGGACTGAGGGATTTCCCAGGACTTGGAACTTTCAGTGCTAAAACCAGGACAGTTTCTAGCAAAATGTCATGGTTGATCACCCTCTGTTATGTTCCATTTCTTTGCGCTCACCAGTATTAAAAATATCATTGTCTTCTGATGTCTAGCTGTGCTTCTGAGAAAACTTCTGTGTGCTAAATTTTGTTTCTTTGAGGATAACCTATTATTTCTCTCTGGCTGCTTGTAAGATTTTCTCTCTCGTAGTCTATCCACAGTGTTGCTTTATAAATTTATTTTCTGTTCATTCTATTCAGGACTAGTTACACTACTGAATATAAAGATTTCATATCTTCCAATTTTGGAAAAATTGTAACCAATCTTTAAACATTTCATCTCTTACTTTAGAATTCCTGTTAGATATTGTCATGAACTGAATGTCTTTGTTCCCCCAAAATTCATATGTTGAAATACTAACCCCCAATTTGATGGTATTAGGAAGTGGGGCCTTTTGGAGATAATTAGATCATGAGGATGGAGCCCTCTTAAATGGGATTAGTGCCCTTATAAGAAGACGTGAGGTTTTTGGCTGGTTTGTTTGTTTCCTCTCTGCTCCCCACCAGATGAAGATACAATGAGGAGACAGCCCTCTACAAACCAGGAGACAGGCCCTCACCAGACACTGGATATGCTGGTACTTTGATCTTGGACTTCCAGCCTCCAAAATGGTAAGAAATACATTTCTGTGGCTTGTAAGTCACCCAGTTTATGAAACTTTGTTTATCAACCCAAGATAAAACAGATATTCTGTATTTTCTTACTATATTCCATATGCTTCTTTATCCCTCAGATTTTTCTACCTCTACCCTTTTCTGCTCTGCATTCTGGATAATTTCCCCAGCCCTATCTTCCAGATACATAGGAATAATTTCAGTGATATTGAATCGATGTTTAAGCCATTGTATTAGTCCAACATACCCCAGACTGGGCAATTTACAAAATAAAGAGGTTTAATTGGACTTACAGTTTCACATGGCTGGGGAAGGTCTCACGATCACGGCAGAGGGTGAAAGAGAATTCTTACATGGCAGAGGGTGAGAGACAATTCTTACATTGTGGCGGCAAGACAGAATGAGGAAGAAGCAAAAGTGGAAACCTCTGATAAACTCATCAGATCTTGTGAGACTTACTCACTATCACGAGAATAGCACAGGAAAAAACCACCCCCCGTGATTCAATTACCTCCCCCTGGGTCCCTCCCACAATATGTGGGAATTCTGGGAGACACAATTCAAGTTGAGATTTGGGTGAAGGCACAGCCAAGCCATATCAGCCATTGAGTTTTTAACTTTATTGGTTAAAATTTTGTTTCTGGAAGTTCTATTTGGTTCTTATTCAAAGATTTTTAAATTTTTTTTCAGAAGGTTATGCTACTTATTTGTGCCCTGTTATTTTTCTCCCTCTTTAATCCTTACAAACCTTTTCTTTGTATTCTCATTCAGATGATTTCACTGAGTTCAAGGTCTCCGACCTCCCTACATGTGCTCTCTCTTTCTCTCATGATGGATTATTTTCCCACATGATTTATGATTTTGATTGTGAGATAATAATGATAATAATTCTAGTGGTTTATTTTTTCTATGAGAGATCTGTGGGCCTGCTTATGGAAATGTATTTTCAAAGTGGTTTTGCATTTGCTGCTGCCTGGTACCCCAGGGATACCAATACACAGTGATGAGCTTTAATTATTTTTCAGTTAGGGATTTCTGGGATGCTAAAGAGTGTTTAGAAATCCAAACTTGGGAGAGATATAAATCGGAGTTACAGGTTCCTCTTTGGATATGTACATATATATTTTATCAAAAGCTCAGACCAAGAGGCATAATTGCCTCTTCATCTCCCTGCAATGGTGGACTGCTTTTCTAGTCACTTCTTGCTTTAAGACAATGGTCCTTTGATGGACTTAGCTTTATGCAAAGGTCTTATGTATAGCACAACATTTCAATCAGGCTCAAGGTAACTAAGACAGAAAACCCCATCCTCACCTTTACCCATGTAAAGGACAGCTCCAATATCCTGTATTCAAAACTGTTTTATCTAGTACTTTTAAGTATTTGCAGTGGGAGATTTGGGACATTGCCTTTGTCTATCCTGCGAAAATTGCCATTCTGCCCTCTTGTACACCACCAGGCACCTCTTATACACCACTTAGGATCATCTCAAGTACACCTGTCCCTTGTTCTGGCTTCTGCTGTAGTTAATAAGCTCTACTTGGATTCTGACTGGCTTCAGCAGTCACAAGCTGACAGGTTTTCTAAAACTGCCCCCACTTTCTCCTAAAAAGGAAAAGAGAGCGGGCATTAGTAACAGTCTCACATTAGTAACAATCTCATTAACAGCATTAGTAACAATCTCACTAACAGCATTAGTGACAATCTCACCTGTCTTTCACACATTTCCTTGTTCTTCCACATGTGCCACTGAATTCAGCGTCCATAACAATGGCTTTCATGATCTGGCTCTTGCCTCTGCCATCCAGCTCAAACCACAGCTCTAAACAACACTTAAACATCCTTGCCACATGGCTTTCACACCGCCCCACCTTTCTATTTGGACATCTGACTTTACCATTTCCAATTTTCACCTGTACCCCAGATTCTAACTTGACCCTCCTCTAAGTAATTACACTGTAAGCATTCTACTCATTCTCTGTAGGTCTGGTGTAATTGGTTCCCAATACTGATCTGAAATGTCTCATGGCCACATACCACACTGTGCTACTACACAAGTTGCCCCTGGTTTCCTCCAATCCTACCGCAATGGCCTTTGAGGTGATGTTCCTGCTCTCCCATCTAATCACTCTTCCCAAAGGCTGCCAGACTTGCCCTCCTCAAAGAGCAATCTGATCCTTTCTCTGCAGTTCTGTAGCATTTATAACTTGGTGTAGCCATTTAGTACTTGTTGATCTACTGTTGTTTTCTTTGTTATTGTTTCCTATGTGTAAGTATTGTTCCCTAACTTAAAAGCTTATAAAGCAGAAGTCAGCAATTTGTTTCTATAAAGAACCAGATGGTAAATATTTAAGACTTTGTGGGCCATATAGTCCCTATGTCGACAACTCAACTCTGCCATTGTATCAGGAAAGCAGCCTCAGATGATGCATACACAAATGCCTGCAGATGTGTTCCAGTATAACTTCATTTGCGAAAACAGGCAGCCAAGGCTGGGCGTGCTGGCTCATGCCCATAATCCTAGCACTTTGGGAGGCCGAGGTGGGTGTATCACCTGAGGTCAGGAGTTCAAGACCAGCCTGGCCAACATGGTGAAACCCTGTCTCTACTAAAAATACAAAATTAGCCAGGCATGGTGGTGGGCACTGGTAATCCCAGCTACTCAGGAGGCTGAGGCAGGAGAATCTCTTGAACCCGGGAGATGGAGGTTGCAGTGAGCTGAGATCACGCCATTGTACTCCAGCATGCCAACCTCTGTTCTAAAGGATATGATGACTGCATATTATTCTTTATCTTCTTCAAATAGGGAAACCTCAATAAATGTTCAATACTTGGATATTCATACTCCTTGGCATTTATAGTGTATGGAAGAGCTCAGAAACAGCTGCCTGGCTATTCCAACCCCAATAAAAGCACAAGCCAATTGGATTTTAAATCCCCACACTAAATATTAATCAGCATTTCAGTATTTGCCTTGATTACATTGAAATCTAGGAATTGTTCCCTTGTCCTCAGCCCCTAACATTAATTGGACATTTCAACTTTTTTCTTCTGGTTGTATTAGCTGATTTCATTCAGTAAGGTATTTTTCAGAGAGAAGTAGATGAATGCACAAAATCACGAATGGGCAGTCCAGGTAAGAGAAGCTAACAAATATGATGCAAAAATATGTGGCATTCCATAGAACTATACCAATTATTTCACATTGTTAGCCTCATCTTATCTTGGCTCCTTTCTGTTAAGGCTTGTGAAGTCTTGAGAGCCCTTTTACTATTTTTAAGCATAAGCTTATATCCTTTCTGTCCTTCCCTACAACGATGACTTTTACAGCATGTGGGAAATAACAACAAATAAGTACTTAAAGGCATGGTAATTATTGCTTAGTGATGTATATTTTCCATTGTAAATGAGTATATTTAAACCCTCATTAATCTTTTAATTTTGTATTAATCTTTTGGAAATTTGGTTTGTATGACTCCGTCAGGCCAAGCAATTCCGGGACCCCAACCCAATCAAGTTCCTGCATCTGTGGATCTGAGGACAAAACACACCATTTTGCCAAGGCTCTTCTAAGACTGACAAATTATCGTTCCTAAGATGCAGCCCTTCATCAGTGCCTATCTATTTTTACCCCAGTGCCAAATAAGGATTAGATTTCAGGAGCTGTTAAAGAATAGTAAGAGGAAGAGGCAGAAAAGAGACACCAGAAGAAAGCTGATAGAAATAGGAAAAGGTCAGGCTCCGAACGGTGGCTTTGAGATCACTCTCCAGCAGCGCAGGTTCCTAGAGCTGTGCGCTCTGCCCAGCTAAGGGTACTCTCCTGTACAGGTTGATCTGAATATCTGACATGTTTAAATTTTGTCAAAATACTTTGCTTTCTACCTCACTTTCTGTTTTTTTTATCTTACTTTAATTTACAAAAAGAGAGATAGAAGAGAGCTAACTCAGGCAACATCTTCTGACAAGGGTTCCAAAGGATGTTTGGTGGAAAAGTGCTGTAAAGAAGCCAACTATCTATATTTTGCACTTCTAATTCCCTAAAGCTTCACTTAGTTGGAAACCATACATTCTACAAAACTAAGGACATAAGTTATATGTGGTACTTATGGGGTGTGTAGAGTGGTACTTCCTTTTATTTGCCCTAAAATACTGCTCTTATTTTGTTACATGTAGAAATAGATATTGTTCCTATACATGTAGAAATAGATATTTGATCTTTCCCCTCTTTTTTGTGTGGGGGTGGGGTGGGATTCTTACATCAATACCCACCTCATGGTCCTCAGAGCAATTGCCATTTGTTCTCTTGCCCCAGATCCCTAGGTCCAGTAAGTACTAAGCACCAGCATCACTTAGGATTCAACAGGAAAACGAACCCACACATGCAATTTCAACATTGGAATTAGAGGGTAAAATGAACAAATGAAAACACTGAGGTAGACCAGAGGTACAAAGCTCAGGAAACATCTTCCACCCTTAGGGCTATAGGACAAACAGAAAAGGTTGCAATCACTAAGACCTGGGAGCTCAGAGGAGAAGCCCAGGGACCCAGTTCAGACCTCTGAGGAAGGAGAAGCCCAGGGACCCAGCTCAGACCTCCAACGAAGGGCACTGACAGCTGTTTCCAGATCTGAGTGCCAAAAGAAGCAGGAGGCTGGAACCAACTGCCCCTGCTGAGGCAAAATGCTACAGGGTGATGCTGATGGACCAGCAAGCAGGAGAGAGGAGGGCCCTTCTCCCCTTCATCCTGCCTTTCCATCTTCTTCTGAGGCTCTCTAGGGGTACAGCCTAATAGAGAACCAGATGGCAGAGGAGGGAAGAAGAATGTAGGTTAGAATGTCCCAGACCCAGCATCACAAAGCCAACTTGAGAAGATTTATTTGGAACTGAGAGATGCTATCTTAATAACCAGCACAGCACCTGATTCATGTTGGTCAGATTTTCTTAATTTAGAGCGAGAAAGAACAGGAGGTCGTTCTCTTCAACAGTTGGAAGATGTTGTTTCCTGACATTGGAGAAAACTTGACAAAAGCCAGGGCAATTTGCACTAGTTGCAGAATCAATTATTAGCATCAATTAAAATATCTGAAAAGGAACCTCCAGGACAGGATCAATTTTTAGAAAAAAAGATGTACTCATATAGAGTAGCTATAATGACCAGAAACTCAAACAGTAAATTCTTGCCCCTTTACACACACACAGACACACACACACACACACACACACACACACACAGTGCCTAAGAACTATTATCTGTCCAGACCTCCTGTGCTTCTATGCTTCCACCACCTCTAAGAGTCACTTTTCTCTCACTTGTATGAAAAACTCTAAATCTCAGTTCCCAACATGCCAACAGGTAGAGGAAACTGGCTGTAGCATATTTCATCCTGGATGTGTAGACACCTTCAGAAACGCTTCATAGATGTAAAGTAAAGTTAGAGTTTCTAGAAGCAGTACATGCTAAGGGCATAATCTCTCATATATAACACTTGCATATGCAAAGAAGACAAAATACTGCCTCATATCCTATAAAGTAAAACACAAGGAAACAAGAATTAAAAGAATAAAAGATCCTACTAAATTTCTACCAAAAATTAGAATTTGTCCTGGGGATTCTGAACATGTGAACCATTCCAGGTCTAGACCAGAGAAGAAAAGTCATATTTACTCAAAAAGTTACTACTATCACTGCATATACCTTGACTTTTAGCAAACCGAACTTAGGTAAATCCTGCTAAGGCTAGAGATAAGTTAATAAAAATGCATGCAAATAAACAAAACATGTGGACTAATAAAATGTTTTATTACAAGGGAAAGGAAATATTATTCTGAACAGCTGGAGGAAGAATACACATTGAGAATTATTTTCTATAAAAGAAGAATTTTTATTGTGTTAAATTATACCTAACATAAAATAAATATTTTTAACCATTTTTAAGTGTACAGTTTAATGGCATTAAAGACATTCACATTGTTCTACAGCCCAGAATGTTTTCAAAATTTCTTCACAATCTCCCCCAAAATACAAAAAGACAGTTTCTTAGGAAAAAAAAATAATACAGGGGACTAGCAGAAGAGAATAGATTGCAATAAAGGCAGAAATAAAGGGAAGAAGACTAAAAACTAAGATACAATATGTTTTAATGAAATTGTATTAAAATTCACATTAGAGGCAGTAAAAAGCAAAACTGACAAAAACCTACTCAGCAAGTAGAGGATAAACTTGAAAGTCTCCCAAAACAAAAAAGAAAGATGTAAGAAATACAAACCATAACAGAGATGAGAACAGAAGTGAAACCAAGTTGACTGGTCTAAGCCCTGCCTCGGTCTCATAGTGATTGGTTCCAAGTGGGCATATGACCTGCGATTACCCAATCAGAGTGAAACACAGAGCTTTTATTCAACAAATGTGAGAACAGACGCTGTCTCTCCTCCTGGGTATGAATAGAGAAGGCTGCAGCCCTGGAAACTGCTGGCAACCATATCACTTAAGTGAGGGAAAGTATGCTGAGAATGAAGCTTACAAAGGATTAGAAGGGGCAGAGCCAGGAGAATTGATGCCCTAATAACAATAGGAATTTAGGGTATGTGACACCTAAACACCTTCCTGTCTCTGCACCATTCAGCTTTTTATCTAACATAACACTTTGTTGTTTAAGCAAACTTGAGTTTGAGTTCTCTTTAAATTCAAAAATATTTTAATGAATACTATCGGTAAAATCCCTGGATTAGTAAAATTCTCTGAAATCAGAATGCCCAATCTGAAGATTTTTTTTAAAGAAAGATTAATTCTAAGAAAGCTAATTTAAAAGACCTACACTTAGGTCTAACCCAGTGAAAGTTTTAAATGTCAATGGAAGAGAAAATATACGAGGAACCTTCGAACAGAAAAATGTCCATCTTACGTTAGATTTCTTAGAAATACTAAACATCACTGTGCAATGAAACAATGTTTACAGAATTTTGAGAAATTATTGTTTTGACTCAAGAATTTAAAATACAGAAAAACTTCATTTGGATGTGAAAATAGTAAAAAGATTTATCTAGCTATACAGAAATTGTGAAAGTATAACAATAGCCTTCCTGAAAGCTTAATCAAAAACAATATAAGTAAACAAGTGATGAATCAAAATTATAAATGCAAGAAAGTAAAAATGATAACATAAATATACTGGTAGTAAGCACAAAATTTGTTAAAATGCTTGAAAAATTCAATTCAAAATCCAAAGTACCAATAAGTCTTAAAAAATAATTTCCATGGTTAAAACAATAAATGATATTTAATAAAAATGTGGCTTTGTTATATCCATTTAAATTAACCAGCCCTTAAAGGACCCAACGGGAAAGGATGGGAACTTAAAAGCATGAGACAGACTAAATTCTTCGCTGGGCAAAGGAAGGAGTCAGAGGTTATAATTCCAAGCCAGGCACGGTGGCTCATGCCTATAATCTCAACACTTTGGGAGGCCGAGGCGGGCAGATCACCGGAGGCCAGGAGTTCAAGACCAGCCTGGTCAACATGGCGAAACCCTATCTCTACTAAAAATACAAAAATTAGCCAGGCATCGCAGCAGATGCCTGCAATCCCAGCTACTCGGGAGGCTGAGGCAGGAGAATCACTTGAACCCAGGAGGCGGAGGCTGCAGTGAGCCAAGATCATGCCATTGTACTCCAGCCTGGACAATAAGAGTGAAACTGTCCCAAGAAAAAAAACAAAAGAAGTTATAATTCTGTTCTTGATTTCAATAAAGGGAGAAAGTTTAATTAGATATTTGATAATATTAAAGGCAATCACTACCACAAATAAAGGCAAATCATTTAATTTTTAAAACACAATTTAGATGGGTCAATAGGTGCAGCAAACCACCATGGCACACATGTACCTATGTAACAAACCTGCACGTTCTCCACATGTATCCTGGAACTTAAATTTAAAAAATTTTAAAAACCACGATTTAAAAAACAAAATAATCACTCAGTACATGTAATCAAAGACAGAAAACAGTAGAAAGCACAAGGGGATAGAAAAACAGCATAAACTAAGTGAGGAAAAACCAAATATAGGTGCATGAGAAAAATTAAAGGGAATATTCCCTTTTATTACAAGAAACATTTCCACACATTGGAATATTTTAAAATACAAATCTCTATTTATAAAAGTTAAGTGAAATTTTAAAAAGATTAAAAATAAAAGAAACAGCAATGATGATCACATCATGATATTGGAAAGACTTTTCCTATTGTTTTAGAATGTTGTTTAGAGTCCCAAAATTCAGTATATTAGAAGCTATGTAGCATCAAATTCCAAAGAGAACATTAAGAACCTGCCATACATGCCCTTCAGGGTTTATATTATAAAAGAGGGCTTCATCCTCTGTATGGCAACCAGATCACATAAAGGAAAATAACTCAAAAGAACGTTAGTTGAATAGAGAAAGATTTTAGAGGGGGCCGCAGTGAGGAAGTGTGCCGTGGCTTTTCTCTTTGTGGAGGAGAGGAGGGAGCACCATCTCCCAGCTCTGTGAAACCAAATTAGAGGTGTCCTCAAGAAAAGGGGATCTGCATCTCAGTTCCCCCATTGACCCCTTCACATGCTGAACTTCAGAAACTTGTAAACCTATTTAGATGTTGCCATCAGAGCATGGGAGCACATAGTAAAAAAAGTTCTTTGAAGTTTGACATGTCTTCTTGAGAGTTGGGGAGCTTATGTGAAAATGGAGATGTCTTCTCTGGAGAATGATGAAAGCTGGAACCTGGCTGGAGTAGAATGGTATGGAAAAGAAGAGGTAACGGTGCAGTGAGACAAAAACAGGAGAGTTTCCTATGGCCAGGAGGACACCAGGAAAGCTAGGCAGGCTTGGGTCTTCTTGAAGATACCCCTTCAAGAAAGGTGACTTACAGGCGGAGGAAACCCAACGGAAAGAAGCGTACTGCAGGGGTGAGAGCTGTGGGGAGAAGGTCACAGAGACAAAAGAATTATGCACTGGGTCTGTGATGGTCAATTTGATGTGCCAACTTGGAGAGGCCACAGTGCTCAGGCATTCAATCAAGCACTATTCTAGATGTTTTTCTGAAAGTATTTTTAGATGAGATTAGTATTTCCATCAATGTACTTTGAGTAAAGCCGATTACCCTTCATAATGTGGACGGACTTCATCCAATCAGTTGAAGGCCTAAGGAGAGAAAAGACTGATATCCCCCAAGAAAGAGGGAATTCTACCAGGTGACTGCCTGCAAGCTCAAACTGGAGCATCTACTTTTTCCTGGCTCCTTGGCCTACTGGCCTGCCCTGCAGACTTTGGACTTACTGGCTCTCTACAATTACATAAACCAATTCCTTAAAATTAATTTCTGTCTCTCTCTCTTTCTCTCTGTGTGTGTGTGCGCACGCACACACACACACACATCCTATTGGGTCCTACCACACAGAAACTACCTAAGGCCAGATGATATGAGACAAGACATCACTACAACATAGGATTACTATGTTCTTCAAGTTTCAGGACTTTTTCTCTCATTGCTTCTCCTATACACACACCACCACCCCAAAAGAGCCACAAAAAGAAAAAGGAACAGTGAGAAACAGACCCTGCCTGTCTCATCAATGTCCTGAGCTTGGGTTAGGGGGACACAGTGGGGAAGTGCAAATCGATGAGATATTAGAGTTTTATATTAGACTGAAATAGACATTTTTATCCAAAATATCATCAGGAACTAGGGAAGGGAAATATGCAGGGTACTTTTGAAGGCAGAGATCTAAGAGGAAAAAAAAAAGCTATTTATAATTGTGTCTCAATCTCTTCAGATTATAAGTCAGTTACTACTGTATCAGAACAATACCAAAAGGTAAGCTAAGGAAGGAGGAAAGACAGAAGGAAAAGGAGAAGGATGAAAGACAGAAGTTAGCAGGTAAAGCAATATAATTAGCAAACTAGAAAGAAGTCAAGGTGGCCTGGCGTGGTGGCTCATGCCTGTAATCCCAGCACTTTGGGAGGCCAAGGTGGGTGGATCACTTGAGGTCAGGTGTTTGAGACCAGCCTGGCCAACATCGTAGAACCTCATCTCTACTAAAAAATACAAAAATTAGCCAAGTGTGATGGTGGGCACCTGAATCCCAGCTACTTGGGAGGTTAAGGCAGGAGAATCACTTGAACCTGGGAGGCAGAGGTTGCAGTGAGCCAAGTTCATGCCACTGCACTCCAGCTTGGACAACAGAGTGAGACCTTGAGAAAGGCAAGGCAAGGCAGAGAGAGAGAGAGAGATGGTGGGGGGAAGCAAGAAAGAAAGGAAGGAAGGGAGGGGGGGAGGGGAGGGGAGGGAAAGGGAAGAAAGAGAGAGAGAAAAGAGAGGAAAGAGAAAGAGAGAGAGAGAGAAAGAGAAAGAAAGAAAGAAAGAAAGAAAGAAAGAAAGAAAGAAAGAAAGAAAGAAAGAAAGAAAGAAAGAAAAGAAAAGGAAAAATGAAAAGGAAAGGAAAGGGGAAAGAAAGAAAGAAGGAAAGAAAGAAAGAGAGAAAAGGAAAAGAAAGAAAGGAAAGAAAGAAAAAGAAAGAAAAGGAGAGGAGAGGAAAGGAAAGGAAAGGAAGGAAGGAAGAGAAAGAGAAAAGAAAGAGAAAGAAAGAAGGAAAGGGAAAGGAAAGGAAGAAAAAAGTCAAGGCAAGCGTCATTAAATTGGAGTGTGGATCATTTTACATTTATTAAAGTATAACTCACAATAGCATTATAACAGACATGAACCTAATGTATTAAATAGTAGAGTATCACAGACCTGAGGGAAAATAAAGGTAGGGGAAAAATAATCTTCCAAAACTGAGCCTAAAAATATGAGCCTGAAGAGGCCAATAACTCCAGAAGAAACTGAAAAAGTTATCAAATAATCACCTGTCATAACAGGTCTAAGTTAAAATATTTTATAGATACATATCCAAATGCTTGAAGGAACAGATAATTCCCAGGCTACATTATTTTTTTAGGGCATAGAAAAAGATTAAAAGTGACCCAATTCACTTTGGGAATCTAGCATAACCAATTCTGACCCCAAAACCTGACCAAAAAAGTTTTAAACAGGAAAACTACACATTAGTCTCATTATTTTCAATATCAATACTAATTCTATATAAAATACTAGCAAATTTAATCAGCTTAACTTTCAAAGAAAAATCCACCATGACCAAATAAAATTATTCCCAAAATGCAAAAAAATTATTATTAGTGAATAAAAAGTATCAGATCAATAAGCCAATAAAAAATAAACCATAAGATCATGATGACATATGCAGAATACACATTTGATGAAATTCCCAGCTCATCTCTAATGATATAATTTAAGCCTAGAGCTATTATACTTAACAAGGACATATTACAGATATCACTATTAAAGTAAGAAACAAAGTATACGATATCCAATATCATAACCGTTATTTGATATTGTTCTGGAAGCTTTAACCAGTATAAGACATCCATAAAGGAACACTCTATAAAGCATAAAAAATTTCTTCAGACAAGAACTCCAGCTTGAAGGTACAGTGAAATAAGGAAGACTTACTATATCTTCACATGGTGATTTACGTATGTGTATATGTATGTATATGTGTATTGTGTGTGCATGTAATTATGTGAGTATTTATTTTATTCATGCCTTACCTTCTTCAAATAAGAAACAAGAGGATAAATCTTGGAAAAAAGGAATCTTTCTTTGCAGACAACAAATGAGAATATGCCTAAAAATTCCAACAGGATCAAATGAAAATCTTTTTAAACGTGAATATATAAAACTCTATCATCTTTATGTATGGCAGTAATAACAAGTTAGAAAATACAATGTACAAAGTTCCTTTTGCATTACAGCAACAAAAAACAAAAGATGTAATACCTAGAAATGAACTTTAAAGACTGTTGAACTTATGTGAAAAATAACTAAACTTTACCAGGAGAGTTCGGTGTATAAAAAAGCACATAAAATAAGAAAAAAAAAACACCCCTCAACACATTAATGAACCAAACATATGATCACTCGCTAAAGAGAAAAGGCAAATTTTTTAAGTTTTTCTTGAAAACATAGTTTTAGAAGTAAACCTCATTAGTAATCAAAGAAATGCAGATTAAAATCAAAATGGCCCCATTTTTTACCTATCAAATAAGTTTTTGCTTCTTTGATTATTTCTGTTTTTAATGGTACTACTCAATTCTGGCAAGAATGAGGTAAAATAGATAGTTTAAATACTTTCACAAACTGCTGGTACCAGCACAATTGGTTGGAACACTCTTTCTGAAAAATAATTTGCATATCATTGACTTTAGTTAGAATATACATTTGCACCTAGTAATTCTTCTAGGTATTCCTGGGAATTTCTTAACATATCAACAAAGATTTGTCTCTAAGATGTTCATAGCAACTTTGTGGCAAATAATGGAAGGGCAAGGGAAGACCTAAACAGACATTAGAAAATGTTTAAGCACATTACAGTATATTTATACACTGAAATATTATATAAATCTTTAAAAATGATGTTTATAAAGAATTTTTTATTTCATTGGGAACTACTTACTATATATTGTTTTGCCAAAAAAAAAGGATGCAAAATCTTTTGATGTAAATGCAGCAAATTTTTTAAATGAAAATAAAAAGATTAAAAATAGCTATCCCATGGTGCTGGGGTTATAGGTAATTTTTCTGCTTTTTTTCTTTTTGTTATTAAAATTTTAAGAGCATATATTATTTTAAAAGAAAAACATACAGCAGGGGTTCATAACCTAAGGTTGGTTGATGGATGGGCTTTGGTGTGTCGCTAACTTCTTTAATACAATTATGCAATTTTTATGTGTAACCAAATTTCCCTGGAGGGTGATAGGTTTCAAAGGATTCTGTTATCCAGAATTATTAAAACTTAGTTATTGAAAACTTTTAGAAAGAGGTTTAGAAGAGTCATAATTACATATTACATTTCAAATTTCCCCACATCTTTATATTAAAGAGCTTATATTTTACATATAATGATTTTAAAAATTAAACTTCAGCAATAGTTCGTTTGATATTCAAATGGAAAAACTCTTAAGATACCATGAGTATCTTTCTCATTTAAATTATAACCACTACTAAAACTGTTATTCCATAAATATTTATGGAGCACTTATAAAGGAACACCATGAAGCATAAAAAAACTTTTTCAGATAAGAACTCCAGGTTCAAGGTACACTGAAATAAGATGTACTATATTGTCACATAATGATGTATGTATGTATGTGTGTGTGTATTGTGTGTGCATGTAATTATGTGGGCGTTTATATCTATTCATGCCTTACTTTGTTCAAAAAATATTTAAGGAAGCTTACCAAAGTAAATATAACAACATAGCATAAAATAAAATGTCAAGTAAGTAGGTGAGTCAATTGGGACAAAGGCTAAAATGAGATTGAAAAGGTAAGGTAAAGCCAAGAGTAAGGTCAGTACTCCCAGTTCATGCCAAAGTGTTAAGTTTCCTTATAAGCTTAACAAAGAGGCAACCGTGATCTGTTACATGATTCTTGGTGCCCAGAAGATAAAAAGAAACCAGTCACTCAAGAGAAGCCCGACTACTGCTAGTTCTAACATCGAAGTGCAAGTTCTCCCATGAGTCCTCATAAAGAGGACAGCTTGTAATATAATGAACACTTCACGGGATTACATAATGAACTCCCTCATGTAAAATACTAAGCAAAAGCATGTGTGTCATACTAGGTATCATCAGGACACCTTCACTGGCCAGCCTATTTAAAATTGCAACACCCCAACTCCCTCCCTTGCTTTATTTTTTCCTGTAGCACTTATCATCAACTCTCATTTTCTTTCCCTTTTTGTAATCTGTCTTCTCCCCACTAACTTAAATATAAATAGAATAAACACAGAGATTTTTGCCTATCTCATTCATTGGTATTCCAGGGCTTAGAAGATAATCTTGCATGTAGAAATTGTTCAATACATATTTATTGAATAATGAATACATAAATTATCAACAGCATTATTATTATCATTATTATTGGCAGGATTCACAGAATTCTTTTGCATAATATTCTTCAAGGTAAACAAAGGATAAAGTTAAAATATAATTTACCAAAAGCAAGTCTATAGAAGTCAAAACAATGTGATATAAGACTATAGCTTTCAGCGGTCAAGATACAGACTTCATAATATCTAAAGGAACCCATAAACTGCAAATTTTTAAACAATCCTTCATAAATATAGATTTGATTGTTATGATAAAGCCACAAACTGGGTTTATATTCCCTAAAAGCATTTGGAAAGCAGGTATTCTATGTTCCTGTGAAGTGCACAGCTGTATGATTTGGCTCATCTAAACTGGGTAAGAAATTAGAACGAAGAGACTGAAAAATGACATATGCCTGAAAATAAGTTTTGTCGCCTCCCTGCAGAGACAGGCCAAGGGATAACCCCCAGCCAGAGCCAAGTTCTTTCTCAGAAAAAGATTAGCTGTTCATGTTAACATAAAGGCCGTTAGACAACCATGACACCAAATGTTTCTGCCATAGTTTAATAGCCATACGAATTTTAGCTTAGAAAAAATTTAAAACAAGATAGCCAAATGTTCATCTGAGCCATAAAACATCTTAGTAAGACCTCCATGAGATAACATAACCTTTTAGTATATTCCAGCTGTAAAACATATACTTAAATAAGCAAATAAGCTAACTTGCTAAGTAGATATGTTTTCCACAAGGGGCTTAAATGTCAAGAGATATTTACAAATATAAGAACTTTCATTTGATAATAATTGCTCTGTATCTATTCTTTGTGAAACTATTATATAACAGTACCAGTTGTCAATTCAGGTCAGTTCTGGTTGCTGACAAATATATATATATATTTGGCATATAGGAGAATATCTTTTTTTTTCCCCTTGGGAACTGGGGAACTGGAGGCCATTCATCTACCTCATCTTCACCTGGTACTAGTTCTTTTTTAAAATGAGAGAGAGTAACCACTCAATCTTTTTTTTTTTTTAGAGAAGGAGTTGCACTCTTGTCACCCAGGCTAGAGTGCAGTGGCACGATCTCAGCTCACTGCAACGTCCGCCTCCCAGGTTCCAGTGATTCTCCTGCCTCAGCCTCCAAGTAGCTGGAATTACAGGCACTTGCCACCATGCTCAGCCAATTTTTGCATTTTTAATAGAGACGGGGTTTCACCATGTTAGCCAGGCTGGTCTCGAACTCCTGACCTCAGGTGATCCACCCACCTCGGCCTCCCAAAGTGCTAGGATTACAGGCGTGAGCCACTGCACCCGGCCTAAACCTCCTTGTTTTATTCCCACCAAATATTATAATTTGATTCCTAAAAGCCCACATACACCAACCTGACTCTCACATTGACAACTAATGACCACGTAAAATGGGAAGGGATTTGTGCCCAGGGGAAATGTTGTGGTGCACAGCACAGATCCCCTGTCAAGACTGAAGAACTTGTATCCCCCAACTGCTAGGCATGCTGCCCACTTTCATCTCTCCTCTGCCAGCCTCTTTGGGGATTGCCCCTCCTGAAGAGAATTACTTGGGCCATGGCCATGCTCCTTCCTGGGTAGTGTTGCTAAATAAAATATAGGATACTTAGTTAATTCAAATTTAAATGTCTGATCAACAACAAATTATTTACAGCATAAGTATGTCCCAAATATTGCATGGAACACATTCATACTAAAAAATTATTCATTGCTGATCTGAGAATCAAATTTAATTGGGCATTGTATAATTTTATTTGCTAAACCTAACAACCTTATTCCCAGGCAGCCAGAGCCAACAACTGCTCTAAGCAAAGGGGTACAGGCACAACCTCCTCACCTTAACTTGGAACAACTGTGAGGGTCATCCTCATTCCAGAGCTGCCCTTTGGGTCAACTGCGGTTTTCATTAGGATTGTATCCCAGCCTAACTTCTCCCTCTGCCCAGTCTTGCTTCCTTCCCTTCTTTAGTCATTCATCCCAAAGAACACACCCACTAGACTTCCTGCACACCAACCTTCCTCGTAGAGTCGGCTTCCCTGGAAACCTAACCCAAGACAGTACCCTAGGAAGAAGTAAAGGGATATAAAGTGTAGGCATTCATAGACAGAGAGAGCACTTGCTGGGAGAGTCTGGAAAGGCCTCTGGGAGTAGATGGCCTCTGAGCAGGGCCTCATGGCAAGCTAGATTGAGACATGCAGAGATGGGCAGGCCTGGAGAACACACCAAGGCACATGAGGTCACTGAACAGTTTGGCTTGGCTCTAACAGAAGATGAATGACAGATAAGTAGGAGCTACTCTGGAGAGAAAAGTTCAGGACAAGTTGTGTAGCATATATATACCCTACAGTTCAATGCTGCAAGGTAGACCAGTTCATAGGACACACTTCAGTTTATAATTTAGAAGTAAAGATCTATTTGACTTGCTGTTTCCGAGTTATTTCACTTAAGATGATGGCCTCCAGTTCCAATAATTAAGCAACAGGAAGCCAAATACCGCATGTTCTCTTACAAGTGGGAGCTAAATAATACATACACGTGGACATAGAATGTGGAATAAGAGACATTGAAGACTAGGAAGGGTGGGAGGGCGTGAGGGATGAAAAATTATTTAATGGGTGCCATGTAAACTATTTGGGTAACAGGTACACCAAAAGTCCAGACTTCACTAGACAACCATGATGCCAAATGGTTCTGCTATAGCTTAATAGCCGTAAAATTTTTAGCTTAGAAAAAACGTAAAGCAAGATAACCATTAAATGTTCATCTGAGCCATAAAACATCTCAGTAGGATTCCTAGGAGGTAACATAATCTTTCAGTATAATCTAGCACCAAAACATACACTTAAATAAGCAAATAAACTAATTTGCTGGGTAGATATGTTTCCCACAAGAGACTTAAATGTCAAGAGATATTTACAAATATAAAGACTTTCATCTGATAATATTGCATGTAAAAATAATATATTGTTTATTACATAAATAACAATACACTGGCCTGCACGGTATATCCCAGCTGTAATACAATATTCAAGCTGTGACCCCACCTGTAATCCCAGCATTTTAAGAGGCTGAGGTTGGATGATTGCTTGAGTCCCATAATACAAGACCAGCCTGGGCAACATGGTAAGACCTTGTCTCAACAAAAGATAAAAAAAAAATTAGGCCAGGCGTGGTGCTTCACGCCTGCAATCCCAGCACTTTGGGAGACTAAGGCTGGCAGATCACAAGGTCAAGAGATCGAGATCATACTGACCAACATGGTGAAACCCCGTCTCTACTAAAAACACAAAAATTAGCTGGGCGTGGTTGTGCACACCTGTAGTCCCAGCTACTCGGGAGGCTAAGGCAGGAGAATCGCTTGAACCCAGGAGGCGGAGGTTGCAGTGAGCTGAGATCACACCACTGCACTCCAGCCTGGTGACAGAGCAAGACTCCATCTAAAAAAAAAAAATTACCCAGGCATGGTGGCTGGCATCTGTGGTCCCAGCTACTCAGGAGGCTAAGGTGGGAGGATTGCTTGAGCCCAGGAGGTTGAGGCTGCAGTGAGCTGTGATCGTGCCACTGTACTCCAGCCTGGGTGAGAAAGCAAGACCCTGTCTCTCCGCCAAAAAAAATAAAAAGAAAGAAAGAAAAAAACTGCACTTGTACCCCCTAAATTTATACCAATGAAATTTTTTTAATAAAGAAGTAAATATCTAGAAAAGCTCAGTCATTTGTGATGCTCTGTGGAAGGAGGAATCTGTGAAATGAAGGTATCATGGTAAGGTGTTATTTATTTGCCTTTCACCAGTGCTTCCTGAAGCTTTCTTCCTATTCTAAGAACAGAAGAGGGTGAACTTCTATAGTATGTGGCAACATGAAATTCCTTTAAAGTCTTTGCTTTAAATATTAGTGCAAATCATGCCTTCTATTTCATAATTTGCTGTTTCACATTAAAGGAATGTTTTTATCAAAATTATTCAATTAATTAACTGACTTCCAGGAAGATATTCCATGATATTTCTATAGCTTTATATACCTTATGGTATCAGCCACTCATCCCTACAGGCATTCTTATCTCAGGTAAAATGGTACAGCTTCTAAGGGATCTATTTCTCTCTGGGTTAATTCTAAGGAAAATCATGTCAGCCTGTATCCAGAATCTCTTTCTCCCAACTAAAACGTTCTGCTCATGTAAGAAAAACAAAAACAAAAACAAAAAACTGTACTATTGCAAGGCATCTTAACCCTCCTTTGCTATTCTACACCAGTTCCAGATGTGTTTAATAGGCAAACAATGCCTGAGGTTAATGTAAAAGTCTTTTGTCTGTGTTGCCCTAGCAACACTTGGTAACTAGATGCAAAAACTGTATTTAAAGATACCAGGGCAGAAGCTCAAACAGATCATAAAGCACCTAAGTGAATGGTATTGTTACTACATCACGTGGGCCATTTTCCTCTCAAGTTATTGTTGGCTACTTGCCCTCATGGAAGCTCACCTCCCACTTTAGTTGAGATTCTCCTTCAGTTTGCTGCTGAAATTTGACATTTCACTAGCTAGAAAAGTGCACAATTATGAGGACACCTGAAGTTTCATCATGTAATCCTAATTTCAAATCATCTATGAAAACCTTAATTTGAAAACTCCAAGCCAGGCATGGTGGCTCATGCCTGTAATCCCGGGACCTTGGGAGGCTGAGGTGGGCAAACCACTTGAGGCCAGGAGTTCAAGACCAGCCTGGCCAATATGGCGAAACCCCATCTCCACTAAAAATATAAAAATTAGCCAGGCATGGTGGCATGCGCCTGTAGTCCCAGCTACTCGGGAGGCTGAGGCAGGGAAATCACTTGAACCCGGGAGGCAGAGGTTTCAGTGAGCTGAGAGAGTGCCACTGCATTCCAACCTGGGTGACAGAGCAAGACTGTTTAAAAATATATATATAGAAAAAGAAAAACCCAGGCTCCACTGCTAGTCCCTTACCACTTCTCCATCCAGTCATCCCACCCTGCCTTTTCTCTTGTTAAATCTGGTCTCTATTGTATTGGTTTTCTATTGCTGCAGTAACTAAATTATCACAAATTAGGTAATTTGACTTCAAACAACACACATTCATGATCTCACAGTCCTGAAGGTCAGAAGTCTGGCATAGTCACATTGGGCTGAAATCAAGGTGTTCACAAGGCTGTGTGCCTTTCTGAAGGCCCTACTGGTCATCGTCATCCTCACCTCTTCCAGCGCTAGAGGCCCCTGCCATTCCCTGGTTCATGGCCCCCTTCTTTCATATTCAAAGCTGGCAACACAGCATCTCTCTGACCTTTCTCCCATCATTGCATCTCCTTTTGATCACAGCCTAGAAAAGTTCTCCACTGTTAAGAAACCATGTGATTGGTTTGGGCCCACCCAGATAACCCAGGAATCTCCCACTAACTTAATCACATCTACAAAATCCCATTTGCCAAGGATGGTAACATATTGACAGGCTCTAGGGATGAGGGGTGGAGCAGAGGGAGTATTATTCTAGTCTACTGCATCTACCCCTAACAAAATATTCTTCCTTATCCTGGGATAAATCATTAAAACAAGTTCAAAAATATTTGAAGAGTTAAAAAAAAACAAATTAAATACTAGTGTGTCAATAAGGAAAAAATGAACAAAATTATGCTGAGCCACAGCAAGCTTCTCCTTTTCTACATCATTTTTTTCCCTGTGAAAGATGTTGGTTAGATGAGTAGAATATAATCTCCCCCTGCAGCAACCATGTAAGCCATCCCCAACATTCTGTGAATACAATGTCTATAAGTGAACAACTAATCTTACATCATAGAACATAGTGAACACAAGGTCTAACAATTAACAACTAATATTACATCTCAACAGCCCTTCCATGAAGGCTAAACCTATATAGAATTGTCAAATTACATTGATACTTGTAGAATTTTCCTGAAGATAAAAAAATCAGATGTTCCTGGACTATGAACTGAGTCCTGCATTGATCAGAATGGTAGGTAATTGTCTCATATATAGGAAAATTCTTCAAAATGCTAAGATAATTTTAACTCCAAACTCTGAGCTATTGAAGTGGCTTGTTTCTATATAAAATCAATTTCTGCCATAACCTTGTCAACATAATATTTATATTCCTTATCAAGTTGAAGTAGTAGAGGTATATCTTTCTTCTGGAGCAGAGAGAAATAAAGAATGCTTACCTCTGGCTTTTTACAAAATGTTAAGATTACAAAATATGCATTTGGGATATCATGAGAGTCTTAGAAAAATGAATAGCATAGTGTTTGCGGGAAAATAGTCATCTATTTTTCATGCTACAAAGATATTCATTTATTTTTCATGTTATGAAGATATTCTGTTCTAAGCTCACTTCCAAACCTTCTGCCTTTTTGAAATTTCTTGAGAAATTTATATGCAAATTCTTAATCAGGAGGCAGCTTTTACAGTTAAATACAACCAAGATTTATTGTTTCTCCTTCCTCTGTGAAAACATCTCCATTAGTGCCCCATTTGATTTTCTAAAAGACTAAGGAAAATAAACATTTGTGAATATTTTTTGACTTTTAATATAGTGGAAGCAATCACTTCAGGGTACCTCTGACACCTTCTCCCCTGCAACTGCCAGTGACATCCTCACCCATTACCATCACTCCATCAAGAACTAACAGCAAGCTAATGTAAACCGTGAAAATGAGTCTCAGAGAGGTGCTGATAAAAAGAAAGTGTCGGCCTGTACTCCCTGCTACTCAAGAGGTGGAAGCAGGAAGATCACAGGAGGCCAGGAGTTTGAGGCTACAGTGCCCCATGACCACGCCTGTGACCAGTCACTGCACTCCACCCTGGGCTAGACAGCAAGAGTCCATCTTTAACAAAACATTAAAAAAAAATTTTTTTTTTTGAGATGGAGTCTCGCTCTTTCGCGCAGGCCAGACTGCAGTGGCGCTATCTCTATCTCGGCTCACTGCAAGCTCCGCCTGCCAGGTTCACGCCATTCTCCTGCCTCAGCCTCCCGAGCAGCTGGGACTACAGGCGCCCACCACCACTCCTGGCTAATTTTTTGTGTTTTTAGAAGAGAGGGGGTTTCACCGTGTTAGCCAGGATGGTCTAGATCTCCTGACCTCGTGATCTGCCCACCTCGGCCTCCCAAAGTGCTGGGATTACAGGTGTGAGCCACCATGCCTGGCCAAAAAATTTTTAAAAAAATAAAAAGAAAGAAGCAGAGAAAAGCAGCATCAAGAGTTAAAGTCACAGGGAAAAATGAAAACAATGACTATGTCACTCTAAAAGCATCAGCACCCAGAGCAATGCCTGGCATCTATAAATTTATTGAGTTCAACTCAATGAATGTTTATTGAATGGTGAGACTCCTTGAACAATTTCTCACTACAGCCATGAACAACCTGCTGTCACAGAGACAGTGTGTCCAGAGATAATAATATCCACAGGAAAGGGATTGGCAAGGTGGGTGGTTATGTTCTGGTCACAGCTCTGTCAAAACTAGATGTATAATTTTAGGAAAGTTACCTCAATGTTCTGGATATATGATTTCTCAGCTGAAAAATGGAAGGTTTGGACTATAGCGGTAAGATTTCTTAATATGCAAATTCTACAATTCCTACAACACAAGAAGGAATGCAGTTATTATAGTACTGTGTCCTGCCCTTAGACCAGAGTCAGATTCTACCTTCTTCCCTCACACTGTGTATGGCTGTGATGTCCAACTCTATACTGCCACTACCTCTGGCCCTATCTTAGTTCCTCCAATCACAGGCCCAGCCAGTGTAGAACCATCATTAACATCAGTGGCTGGCCTGCTTAGGGACATATTGAAAACCATTCTCCCTCAACTTCCATTCCCAAAGACTTTGTACCCATTCCTTCCTCCCTTTTATTCTTTCTTCTTTTTTTTTTCCCCAGTATGGAAATGACCCTGCTGGTATATACAAAAGCCAGTTTGTTTGGCATGGTGCTAATGACGTCAAGAATACAAGGAAGGTTTAGCATCTTTCTGTTTCATGAGCAGCCATTGAACTTTAATCATGGCTTAGCCTAGCCATCTGTGGGCTATTAGTCAGGCCTCATGCAAAGTCTATCCTGGAAAAACATTCCCAAGAGCGTTCCCCATTGCAACAGTGAGTCCTAATAGACATACAACAAAAGGAAGCAGCTATCTCTTATCTCTTCTCTTTCACTTAATTCTGGCATCAAAACGTCAGGTTTCTCACAAACAGACTGAAAAAATATATATTATCTATGATTTATAAGGCCAAATTCAAGACAAGAAAACATTTATTTAAGCAAATTCTTGAATATTCAGCCTTAAATAAAAGATAGAAAGCCTCCTGAATATTTTACTACAAGGTCCCCTAAGGATCTCGAAACACACAAATACACACAAATCATCTTCAGGAATCCTTACTGAAACGCATTAACCTCTTCCACTCTGACCTGTTCCTGAGATATGTTCAAGTTAATTCGTTAGTAAAATACCATTTTAAATAAAGAATGCTTTTAATGCAAACCAGAGAAGTAGAGCTCAAGTCCACCCTCCTGCCTCATTTTCACTGATCAGTCAGTAACTATTATAAACACTGAATGAATCACATGGCTTCCTTAGGGAGAAAATACAGGCAAGGAAAACAAGCTTTTACTCTATGGACGTGACTTTTTACAATAAATTTCAGAAGAAAATGCTTGGGTTCATCAATTTTAAAATCTGCTGAAAAGTTAAATTAGTGGCACAGCATAATAACTCTTGAGTCTAATTTATCAACACAGGATTTAGGTATGCAAATTTCAGGAGGAATGAGTCAGTAAGGTTGACTTTCTCCTAAATTAGTAATCAACTAGTTGTTCCAGATCTGAAATTAACTAAAGTCAACTTGTTCAAGAAAATATCATAATAGATACTCAAATAACAATTATTTTAGCAGCTTCAAGTCTCTTGGGTTCCACATTCTGCCTAATCAGAAAACTGACCTAACTCTTTTCTCTACAAAGTTTGAGGCCGAACCCTTAATATGATGCAATGTCTCCCCAAGAAGATTGAAGGATTCAAATCAACCATCCAGATATCCTGGGACTTTGTTTCCTGGAGAAAAACAAAAGTAAGATTTTGAAACCAACAAGCTTTGATTTTATAAAATGATCTCCTTCAGATCCTAATCATATTTTAAGGGGAATAATTGAGAGAATTACATAAATTTCACCTCATTAGATAACATAGGGTATTTTACATCAAGCAACAGAGAATCTTTTCTCTGTTGCTTGCAATATTTGCAATATTAGGCAATTATTATTCAATATTTATGCAAATATTATTCAATATTATGCAATTATTGAATCTTGCATAATAAGTCAAAATAATGATGATAAAATTAAAATCAACTTATAGGATAAACCTGTGGGAGAGAAGTCCCTAAAGTAAGAACATCAAACTAATATTTAGAATCTGCATATTTTACAGAGCATATGCCAGCAGAGACATCCATTATTTTCCTGTATCTAGTCACAGCTTACAATTGAGTTTCTTGCAATAGAATGAAAAGAGAAGGTCATAGCATCTTAAACACAGTATTGAGCCAAATCTAAAATGACCTCAAATTGATGGCAAATAGAAGTACAAGTTAATTTCATCATATTGCTCTATTCTTTCATAAAAACAATCTGAAATAGGCAATAGAAGTGGAATTTGATCGGGGATGATGCTGTGTGCTGAAAGAGAGGTCGGGTCAGGATTAGGGAGGAGAAGGAAAGGATGCAGTCAGCCAGAAAGCATCCTGGGAACAATGGGTGCTGAGAACCAAGAGGAAAGCAAATACTAAAGATCAGCTCTCCTCAATTCTCCTTTGAGGATTTTGAATCCTCGAAGTTATAAAACTAGTGATATTTAGTTTTATTTCCATTTGTTTGGGATATACTATCATTGGCCCAATTTTCCCTCAAACAGCAGGGAATGAGAGATACAGCTGGGACAGGATAGCTACTACTTCTATCTCCTTTCCAACCTTGGTATGATTGGTCATCATACAGCTTCCTAAGGTGATTAGACCCTGAACTTAGCAAAACTAGCCACAAACAGGTATCTTTTTCCCTCGATCTTATTTTCAGAAGCTACTGGAAATGACCAACACAAGAGCAAATGTTTCTCTCAGCATGAAGACATGTTCATAGATTTTAGATTTTTTTCAATCACTGGAAAAGCTGTGCCTACCAACAATTTATGGCAAAAAAAGATTCTGAATAGGTATGCCCTTTGAGAAACTCTTGTCAGGAATGATCCACACTTTGACTCTCAACTCTTCCTTCCAAACATCCAGGATCCTATGTGGATTCTCAATTCAATGCTCTTAATGACCCAGGACTAGTTTCTTCTTGAAGAATCTGCTTGGTTCAGTTTAGGTTGGGTCATGGACTATCCCTAGATATATAGGAAGCAGCCCAGATGGTGTATATACTGGTGTCCAGTTGCATTTCTCAGAGAAGGAGGAGTTGTTATAAGCTGGGGATGATCAGACAGTAGGTAACTGCCTCAGTCCTTGAGATTTTGTGGTGCCCCTAGCTATTCTGGTCCTGCTAACCCCTGATACAGCCTCTATGATATTCCTACATAGTTCTACTACCCCACCACTGCAGTGCTGGCTGTGAAATGACAAGCCAGAAAACCCACACATGACTGTAGTTTCTCTATCAACAAGAGACTGTCAATTCACTGATGAGAAAACATTTCATTAAAAATAATTCTTTCTATATACAGATCACTTGACAGTTCACAAATCACTTTCATGGGTTATATGACAGAACCCTCACAACAACCTTAGGAGATAGAAAATGTAACTTTTATCTCCCTTATAAAAGCAAGCAAACTCAGAAATGCTACTTGACTTGTTTCCAATTACAGAATTAATACATAATAGAGACAGAACTTGAGCTCAGGACTCCAGACTCCAAGGCTGAACATGCTTTCCAAGGTGCCACGGGGCCTCTCACTTCAGCAATGAAGAAAAGCAAATCTGGAAGCCCAGCACACACCACCTGGGATGCTTACAGACTGCATACAACACAATACTGCAAATCGGTGGGGACTCAATAAGGCCAGAATCCCACCATTGGCCTACCTTCTAGACTTGGGTTTACTAAAGGATAACCTTTGGTTCAGCAGACTCCTCCGCATTCGAAGTGGTATGTCAGTCATACAATGAGGTCTAAAACAGCAAATTTCTAACCCACAACTTATTAGAATCCTTTATCAAGTATTATTAAAATACCGATTCCTAGACCTAGACCTCCTAATTCAGAGTCTCTAGATATATAGCCTGGGAATATGGACTTTTTAAAAAGCTCTAAAGGAGCTATTGATCAAACTGAAGGTTGTGATCCACTTTTCTTAAATACAATCAACTCTGCATATCGATTATACTCCTAAAATAACTACCAATTAAAGGGAGGGGAGATTCAAGGCTTACTGGATATGGCAGTAATAGGCTTAATGTTGTTGTAATAAAAAATTTTCAGTTTTCATAGCCAGAGTTCTTCCTACTTCTAAGAACTATAATTATTCTCCCTCTTGGAAAAGTCATGTTAAGAGGGAGTCATTCTCCTCTACCTTCTGCTATGCTTATGACTGAGGCAGTGCTCATTAAAAGATAAGTAAACAATTTGCCTGGCTTAGAAACAACCTGAAATAGTAATAATAGAAATTTCTGCAAATGCAAGGAGGCAGAGTTGCTTGGAAGACCCAGGTCCAGAAGTAGCCCTGGGGAACATACTTTTATCAGCAAATACTTCAAGCCATCTGCATATGTAACAAACCAAAGCAGGAAAAAAAGAAAAAAGGAACCCCTGTAACTAGTGCTAACCTTCAACTAACCCCTATAGACATACATTAATCAGACTTTTCATCTACTTACAGATATCGTCAAAGAACAGACACTATTTTGTGTAACTGACCATGACTCTGTGTTGGCCACTCTAAATTTTAGGTCTCAATTTAGACTGTACTCCTAGCAAAATGTTAGAAGTTTTTAAAACATCCATTGGTTCATTCAGTTTACTAATCTCACTCTGGCTTCATCTTATTTTTTTCAATCTTTTATTCAATTGCTTGACCTACTTATATTTAATTATATTTTATCTTGTTACATGCTATATATTTTTATAAGTTGCCCCACATCCTTTTAAGAAACAAGGAAAAAGGGGAAAGAACGATGAGAAAGAGGAAGAGAAAGGGGGTGGGGAGAAGGTAGGAGGGAAAGAATGAGAGAGAATATTCTAGAGCAGGGGTCCCTAACCCCCAAGCCATGGACCACTACCAGTTCGTGGCCTGTTAGGAACCGGGCCTCCCAGCAGAAGGTGAGCAGCAGTCAAACATTACCGCCGGGGCTCCCTCCCGTCAGATTAGCGGTGGCATTCGATTCTCATAGGAGCGAGAATGTGCATGCGAGGGATCTAGGTTGCGCGCTCCTTATGAGAATCTCATGGCTCTGAAACAATCCCCCTGACCCCGTGCGTGGAAAAATTGTCTTCCATGAAACTAGTCCCTCGTGCCAAAAAGGTTGAGGACTTCTGTTCTAGAGCAGCTGCAGCCCCAAAATCTCCAACTTTACTGAACGCTTGTATTTTTTACTAATTACAGATGCTAGTCTTATAAAGCTGGGTATCATATTACTTCAAGTTATTCATAACTCACTGCTGTGGTTTTCTAAAACTGTGTTTATCTGTTCTAAGAAATAAGATTAAGTATCCTTACTTTTTTTCAACTTAGAACTGTAAAATAAGTGAAGGGGGTACAATTTATTTATTTATTTAGAAAAACCACTTTCCACACATTGTATGTTAGTCTGTCTCCCCTGAAGACATGTGACTCTTGCCCATCACAGTATCCTGGCACAGGGTAGCCATTCAATAAATTCTTGTTGAATTAATGAATATGGCCAAAGCAAAGCCATATTTGGGGATGCAATCATGCCTAAAACAGGTCCTCAGCTCTCTGACGTTCACAGTCTAACAGAAGGATAAAACATATATGCAAGTATATACAGATGATTGTTATGAAGGTACGGCGTGATAAGTATATGAATGGTAGAGAAAATAAGTGTTATAGAAATCCCAAGATGAAATAGGTTTTTTTCAGGAGAGCACACAGGGAAGGATTCATGGAAAAGGTACATTTCACTAGCTGGAGGAGGCAAAACACACCTTTTTTTTTTTTTTTGAGACGGAGTCTTGCTCTGTCGCCCAGGCTGGAGTGCAGTGGCACAATCTCGGCTCACTGCAAGCTCCGCCTTCCGGGTTCACGCCATTCTCCTGCCTCAGCCTCCCGAGTAGCTGGGACTACAGGCGCCCGCCACCACGTCCGGCTAATTTTTTTGTATTTTTAGTAGAGACGGGGTTGTTGGCCAGGATGGTCTCAATCTCCTGACCTTGTGATCCGCCCGCCTCGGCCTCCCAAAGTGCTGGGATTACAGGCTTGAGCCACCGCGCCCGGCCAAAGCACACTCTTTTTAAGCAGAGAAAAACCCACAGGAGCAAAGGAAAAGTGGGAAAAAGCAAATGTGTTCAGGAGACAAGTTGAGTTGGAACTGGGATGGAAAATGATGATTCGTGTGAAAAGACTGTTAGCTATTTCCAACATCCATCATTCTTCTCTTTATTTATTTATTTATTTATTTATTTATTTATTTTTGAGATGCAGTTTAACTCTTGTCGCCCAGGCTGGAATGCAATGGCGTGATCTCGACTCATGGCAACCTCCGCCTCTCAGGTTCAAGCAGTTCTACCACCTCTGCCTCCCGAGTAGCTGGGATTACAGGCACCCGCCACCATGCCCAGGTAATTTTTGTATTTTTAGTAGAGACGGGGTTTCACCATGTTGGCCAGGCTGGTCTCAAACTCCTGACCTCAGGTGATCCACCCGCCTTGCCTCCCAAAGTGCTGGGATTACAGGCATGAGCCACCGCGCCCAGCCACCCTTCTTTCTCAGTAACAGAAACTCTGATTTGAGCTGGTCCTCTTGCTGCCTCACTAAGAGACAACTTCCTGTCCTTTCCAGATGGTAGGTGAATCCATGGAATATTTTCTGGCCGGTGGGATGTAATCTGAAGTGTCATGTGAGACTTCCAGCAAGTCTCTATAAACAGAAGGGGACACATTCTTTTCTTGCATTATGTGCCTCATACTCATTAGTGTAGACTGAATTCTTAGCAGTCTTCCTGGACCATGAGAATAGGGAGAGTGAGACCTAGAAGCAGCCTTGGTCCTTGAAGAGTTCTTAGAGACACATACAATTCCTGCCTATTTCCTGTCTTGTTTTACAAGAGAAAGAAGTAATTTCTATATTGCTCAAGACTCTGTCATATTGGGTTTTCATGTTATGTGAAGCCAAACCTAATCCTGATACATTTAGAAAAATATGTAAGCAAAACACACTCAACAAAAAACAAAAAATATAACCTTCTTCCCTTAAGTTGTTCAACTTTTCCACTCATCACTTTCTTGACTTTCCTAAACCCAGATGACACAGCTCTGCTACATTTAAGTAATGTTTACCACAAACATAGCTCCTGAGAAATCATCCTCAATAGCATCATCAAAAGCAATTTTCCAGTATCTGATTCTGGTATAAATCATTAAGATTTTTGCTTTGGTATGCCACAATTACAGCTAGGCAAGGCTGCAGTATGGAATTAATCAAGATGTAGTAACCAGGTCAGCTTCAAAGGACATAATAATTTCAGCAGGAGATGATGTCAAGGACAAGGGAGGGTGTGATGCTGAACTTGGCCATCAAGGCAAAAAGCTGCCCATCTCTAAGCAGGTATGAACCCTGGATTAAAAGAGACAATTGTGCATCCAGATAAAGTCCTTATTTTTATCTGTAAAGCAAAATCGGTAGCCTTCTGAATAAGTGCCGAAGAGAATATTTCTGTAGCCGGAGCTCAATGAAGTATGTTAGAGAGAGAGAGAGAGAGAGAGACAGATACAGACAGACAGAGACAGACAGTGGTGGACAAGTCAGTTTGGGAAAGGGTGGTAGTGATAAAGAACATGAGCCACGTAGTGACAGCAAGGAACACATAAGGAGATTAGCAGTTCCCAGCTGATTAATCATCTAGCCCCCTCCTTCCTGTGGTCCCAGAAGTAATGTCAACATTTGCCAGTGACTTTCTTTGAAAGTCCCTTTTGAACATTAGCAATGACTGCAGAGCAGGGACACATTGCCTCCTCCTCACTGCACTTCCAGTTGAACATTTTGCCAATTCAGCCCTTGCCAAAACCCAACATTCAACCTCATCCTTCTCATTGTTTTCTTACTCACCATTAAAAACACCCCCCTAAAAATTCATGCCTTTATTAAAGTTAAAAGGCATTTCTGCATCTATCTTTTGATCCCAGTAACCACTTAAATGAAGAAGCTGAGTCCCAAGAAGTTCCATTTAATTGACGTTCCTTACAGATTGGTTTTTTGCAAGGCACCGTTCAAGGTGCTGGAAGTGCTGGACCAGTTTACTGATGGAAAAGAAGAAGGAAGAGAGGAAGAAAAAAGAAAGGAATCTGTACGAGCAGGGACAGAAGTCAAGGAGTGCGAGGTACACTCCAAAAAGAGTGGCCTGGTTTGGACAAGTATCGGTTACCTAGAGGAGAAAGAGATCAGGATAGAAGGGTAGGTGGGGTTTATAATGCAGAGGCCCTGAATGCCAAGGAGAGAAGCTGCTTTTTGACTCAATGTGAAGCCAACGAATGTATCTGTGCAGGCTAATTACACGCTAATTACATGCCTTCAGAACTGGCTTTAAGAAACTAATCTGATAGCAATGTGTAGGTTGTATGCAAGTGGCAGTGGCAAAGCCTGCATTGAGGCAGAGGCTTTAGAAAAAAAAATGATGACATGACAAGTATAATTTTCTCTCTCTCTCTCACTCACATATCTGCAATTGGTTTTTAGTTTTTTGGGTTTTTTTTTTTTTTCAATCAAATCTCTTCCTAAGCGGAGGTGTCTCTCACTTGTGGATTTTAATCCTACAAGCCTCTGCTTCTGCGTGGCTGCCTTTGTGAAGCCTGACTCTGTCGGAGAAGCACATAGGCACGACACTTAAGGGACTCTGCTCCTCCAGCAGCTGCCCAGCATCACCACAAAACAAATATGTGTGACTGTTGACAGAAAGTAATAACCCTTCCAACAGCTGTCGAATAAATTGCCTATTAGCAGATCCCACACCATAATTCATGTCAGATCATGTAGATTCAGCCCTTATGAATGACTGGGAAAATCTTATCATTAAATGAAGTTCTATACCAAATCCCTAAGCATTTTCTTGTTATTTCCAGCTCATTCCTCCTCCAGGCTCATTCCTGAACTTTCTGAGAGCTGGCAGAATCAAAGACAAGCAAAAAGTTCATACTCTCTGTACACAGTTCCTCTGGGAAAGGGCCCCTTGGGTCCTTGGGATCTATATTTTAGAACCACAATTGAAATGCAGATTTTTAACTCCCATGTTGAGCAGGCAAGGAGGAGCTTCTGACTTGATTAAAATGCTGATGCATACATTTTATACTTAACATTTTTCTCCTATAGCATGAACCCAGCTAAGTGGAGATGTTTTTAATGAACTTTCAAGTCATGCATGAGGTTTCAAGTAAGTTTTCCTTTTTCTAGATAGGTTTTCTAAGCCTTAAAGGAACAGGATTCTGGAACTTTTTAAATAGCATTTTAACCACATCTCTTACTGATGTATGTCCATAAACTAATGGGACATTTGACCATTTGGTCTTGTGTGGCTGGAGGAGGCAGGAGAGCCAGGAGACAGGAGATGAAATGTGGGATTTGCAGTCAGGCTGCCCAGTGTCCTGCACCTTGGAGTTAGGAATATATCTGAATCATTTTGAGCCTCAATTTCATAATTTACAAAAGTCAGGCTGGTTGCTGCAATGAAATGAGCTAGCAACTAGACATCACCCGAAACACAGAAATCACACAACAGACATCAATGCCTCACTCCTGCATTGAGTGCATCTTGTTACGCCATTTATTCAGTGAACCTGTAAAAATCACTCCAACAATCTGGTCCTCCATTTCCTTGCTTGTAAAAATGAGAAAGGTTAGAGTAGACGATCCCCTAGGTCCCTTCTAGTCCTAAAAAATGATGACTCTCTGATCCTATATTAAGCATCAAAACTCCCTAACCAATATGGGAACAAAAACTGTAAGTAGTGGGCAAACAGTGACAGGTGGCTCAGCATGAAAGAAAATGCATAGATGGCAAACAGGATGAGAAGTGAAAAGCTTGAGGGAAGTAGGGAAAGCAAGAAGAATTGAGGCAATTCCATCTTTTCTTCTTCTAGCTATACATAGGCTCTCACTTCAAGGAAAAGAAAGACAACAAGATGGGAGTTGGGGGGCATGAGAATGGCATGGTGCTGGAGGTGGGGTAGACAGAAAAAGTCGATGAGAAACTCAAACAGAAGATGTAGTGTATACGACTTAAATACTATATAAGATGTGCCATGTAAAACAGAAGATTTTCGAAGATACTATGCTACAGGCAACAGACCTTCTTACTAGCAATCCCAAAAGGACACCTTCTTTTATTCTCTTTCTCATCTGAAGCCCTTAAAAGTCATGAAATGCAACCTTGAGATTTGAGTATAAATAACTCTCTCAAACAAATGCCTGTCTAATTCTATTTGATCTTATTCACAGTGACTAGGCAATCTAGTAGACAAACAGGATGAGTGTCATCTGTGTCCCCCAGCAGCCAGGAGACAGTTGGTGAAGGGTTTTAAAAATCGCAACGCCCATCTTCCCCACTTCTTGAGTTGGAGGCTTTCCTTCATTACGCATGGCAATTTTCTCAGGAATTCAGCAAGAGACCAGCCTCAACCACAGGTAGCACTCAAGCAAAAGACAGGTGGCATTCTCCAAGAAAGTTCATCAAAGACATTCTTGGCATTTTATTACTGATATGTCCAATTTTAAAAAAAATAAATGTTGTTAATACTGAATTCAAATAGAACAATCATACTCATGCCGATTATCCAAAGGAAGCAAGATTCTTATGAAATATTTCCATAACTTAGTTAGAAATGTATTTTTTAAGGATTTATTTTAGAAACCACGCTCATGTGATATTTTGGTTTAAGATTTCAAAGCATGTTATCAACATGCTTTTAACTTTTTCCTGGTTGGGGTGAACGTAATGAGATTGTTATTGTTATTTTTAAAGGAATTGACAAATGAATACCTTTAAAATTTCTCATTTAAATTGCTAATTCAATAAATACCAATAGACATAAACCACATAAATAAAAGATCTTGGGTCCTTCAATAATCTTTAAAAGGGTAAAGGATACAAAGACAAAAAAGTTTCAGAACCACTGAACTAAAATGTTATGAATCCCCTATAGCCTTGTGGTCACAGAATTCTTCTCACCTACTCCTTCCTCAGGTTCCCTTCCAAACATACCAACCAGGTCATTGCTAGGCTGGGAACCCAGATTGTATCCTCGACTGCTTAACTAAGTCCTAAGTCCTAAGAACTCCTGCTCAACTTTCCCAGTCTCTCTCTTAAGTGGCTCAATTCAGTTTCTCATAATAGATGACATGATAAAGCAGCTTCATCACAAGGGCACAGTCATCCAAAATGAATATTTTTCTGACATGCATTTTTATTTTAATTCATTTTAGCCTGTTAGCCTTCTCTGTTATGTTTGTGAGAGCAAAATTAAAATTGGAAATAATCCAAATATTCAATATTTCATGCCTTTGCTCAAGTTTTTAGCTTACGAAAATTTGCACAAGTATCTTTATGTATGAACTTTTTTTAATTTAAGAGGTCATTAAATTATGTCAAACAAAGAACAACCATAATTGTCTAAAAATGAATGGTACTTTTAAAATGTTTTAATTTTTTTAAGCCCATACGTGTTTTGTTTCTATTGTTAGGGTTTTTTTTCCATATAAGAAAAATAATCGATTAATTAAGAAACAAATCAGAAAGCACAGAAAAACAAAAAGAATATTTATAGTAAAACTGCCCCAGAGTAATCTCATGTTAATTCTTTGGTGGTATCCCCCTTCCATAGATTCTAAATGCACAAATACATTCTTTCTATATAGACTCATTCCAGGCATGCCATTTTTATCTTCTTTTTTTCTTAAATAAGGTAGCATAGATATCAAGCTCCTCACCATGGCTTACAAACTCCTACATGCCCTGCCTACCTCTCCAACAAAATCTCATATCCCTCTGCCCTTTGAACATTAATACTCCAGCCACACCTGACTGCTTTCTGTTCATCTGTCTTGCCAGTTTTCCTCCCTCGGACCTTGGCACTTATTTGCTACTTCCGCAAAGAAATACATCCCCCCAGCTCTTTGCATGCCTGGGTCCTTCTCATCCTGTAGGCCTTTGCTCAAACATCACTTTCTCAGAGATACCTTTCCTGATCACCCAATCTAAAATAATGCTTCCCTCAACCCCCTACTTAAAACTCTATCATATTGTCCTCTTTCCTTCTTGTTTATTGAGGCCTTGTTCGCTGCTGTGTCTCATGTCTCAATAGTGTCGAGCACATAGTAGACCCTCAACAAATGATTGTAGATGAATGAATGAATGAATGAATGGATGGATCTATTGGTTTGTGTAATATGTATCACAAAACATCCCTTTTAATGATCCCCACTGTGTTCCATCATATAAATATAACAAACAGTTTAAAATATTCCATTATAACAGGTCAGACAAGAAAGAAATTGAGTAAAGCTGTAAAATGTGGAAAAACAGAAAATGCAAAACCATGCATAAAAAGTTGCCAAATTCACTCCTATTGATTCATCAAAATTGCCTTACCGATTCGTTGAATTGCCTAGACTATCTATTTTCTATGAGGCTGCCTTCAACAAGCACTTTCCAGTACCCCTAAAGCCACTCATTAAAGATATGGATGAAACAAAAGCATAGAATCATAAGCTACTGCTCTTATCACTGTGGACATGCCCCATTAGTAAGTCTTCATTATGGCTCCCCACACCCGACTTCACCAGGGCCACTTGCGTGTCTTCCTTGTTCTGCAGACTGTGTGTCTTGTAAAGTCCCACCTTGATAACTGGTCAGTCTCCCCACAGACTTGCTGGGCAGGCCCTTTGTATCCCTTATATGGCATTTTCCATCTACCATTTAATCATCCAGCAACACCTGGCATTAAGGACAGTTGTTACCTGGCTGGGTAGTGTCAACACAGAGGCTCACACCAAGACAGGCCAGATCTGGCCTCCTACCTACTACCCTTCACTACTCCTGCACCAGAACCCTCTCCTGTTGAAAGGATGGGCTAGATCTTTAACACAGAGCTGCTTCTTTGGTTTGTGTTAAAAGATCTTCTCCAAACCAGCTGAAAAGACCTCTTGTTTCTCTATTAATTCCTTGAAGCTAAGACTTTTCCTTCTAATCTAGCCACTAATCTAAAATATGAGCCCAAGTTGATTTTTTTGTTTATTGTTCACCTCACTTGACCTGCAATTAAAGTGCCTACCAGTTCCATTTTCTCTCAGTTACACATGATTAACCAATGCTGTCTTGAAAATGAATAGGAGCTGAAAGAGGGCTGCCTTTTGACAGAGCTTCCATCCTTCCCTTAGAGGTCCCCAGGTCTGTTTCCAATCAGAGAAATCCACAAGAGATTCTCCCTTGGAATTCTTACTCACATACCACATTCCTGCTGCATTTAATCTTTCTGTTTTTTTTTTAACCTGTAGATTCTCCTAAACTTCTTGGGAAACATGTAATGATATTTAATTTTAATTCTATGGCTGCAATGGATTTTGCTGATTAGAAATGGAGGCTTCTTGATGCAGTACCTTAATCTTCTTTAAAAACAGCTCCTGGAGTTCTCTGCAGCTGTAAATTATAAAAACCAAAGCAGGATTAAAAAATACACATGCACTGTGCATAATTATTTAAAAGTGCAACACATCGGCTTAAACAGTAATATAAATGCATCTTTGAGATAAATGAGGCATTAGTGGTATAAGTTTTGATTATTGGTTACTCTTCTCTGGTTTTAAGATGTGGTAAGAATATAAATCACTCCAAAGGGAAAAATTAACTCATACCTGTCCTGTCACCTCTTGGATCAGGAGATAGACATAATAAACACGATGAATCCTTCTGCTTCTGTTACAATAGGAGGCATTCCCCACCTGACCCATGGCCCCTCTGTTACCTGCCCTCATAGACCACGTCTTTTATTTCAGATTCATGTTTAAATTTATAATTTTATTTGGCACCAGACTATAAATTCTCTCAGGGTGGCCTTGTTGTTATTCTCATCACAATCATACTCCTAGCATAAGGTCACCAAACAATACTAGTTTGCCTGGGACTGTCCCAACTAGGGCACTAAAAGTCTTGCATTCCAGGCAACCCCTCAGTTGCAGGCAAACTGGGACAATGGTTTCCCTATCCTAGCACCACAAACAGCTTTTAAATGAAGGTACAGGCATAACAAGTAGCATATATCATTCCTAAAAGAAATAACATTCATGAACAATAGAATAGTGCAGTGGTCAAGAGCATGACCATGGAACTAGACAACCTGGGTCCAAATCCACGCTCTGCCATTTCCCAATTACGTGATCTTGGATTACTTCATCTCTCTGTGTCTCAGTCTCTTCCTCTGTAAAATGGGAAGTTAATGGTAGCAGCCACAAAAGGACGTTTGAAAATCAAATTAGTTAACGTAGGTAAAGTTGTTAGGTAAAGTTAAGTTGTTAAGAATAGCGCACAACATGTTTTATTAAAATTATGAACACATCTGGCTGGGCACGGTGGCTCATGCCTGTAATCCTAGCACTTTGGGAGGTCAAGGCAGGCAGATCACTTGAGATCAGGAGCTCAAGATCAGCCTGGCCAACATGGTGAAACCCTGTCTCTACTAAAAATACAAAAAAAAAAAAAATTAGCCAGGCATGGCGGCAGGCACCTGTAATCCCAGGTACTCAGGAGGCTGAGGCAGTAGAATAACTTGAACCCAGGAGGCAGAGGTTGCAGTGAGCCGAGATCACGCCACTGCACTCCAGCCTGGGGGACAGAGCAAGACTCTGTCTCCAAAAAAAAAAAAAAAAAAAAAATTAACACATCTAACATAGTACTTGGCTCCTAGTAGCTGTTAATAGATGACAGATTTTATTCTATTTAAATTATCATAAACAGGAACAACCCTGTGCCAAATCGTAAACTAAGTGAAATTGTTCTTCATTTCCTCTCATTTCTTTTTTCCAGGCTTGTCAAAAACCAGGTCAAGTGATTTCCTCCTGGGTGTTCATACAAGCTCTAGCTAACTCAACCCCCTCCCCCACTGTAGAACACTCTGCTTTTCCTCTCTCAGGGCACGACAGTCTTTGGACTTGACCCTTCTTTGCTCATCAGCATGCATTTTGCATCCACTACTGCCTTCATCCTGTTACAGAAATGAGTTGCTGGTCGCTAATACATTCATTTATACTAATATACCTCCTCCCCAACCTGCCTCACCTCCCACCCCAGGGATTTAATTTTCAAAGGGAACTCCCAGAGACCTCATGTCTTTTAATCTCAGGGAACTAATCTCTAATGATTGGGATTTGAGACTATGTGGGAGGGAGGAGAGAATTTGGGAGCAGGGTCATTTCAATGGCATTTCGCAAATCGCTATGAAGCCAACTGCCTGCTACGTGGAGAATTCATTTTGTTGGATGCTCTCTCCACCAATTCCTGCTTTGAGACACATATTTATTACTGATTAATATGTTCTGATGTTGATTCTATTGAAAAGCTGCTAGCAGACAAAGACATATCTCTTACCCTTGAGTAGAGGTGCGAGAAAAACAAGTTCAGATACACAGAGAGAATGGAAGCTATCGTCCCACCACTCATTCATTAGGGTAAATTCCTGGAGGACAAGGTCTTAAGAGAGATGACTGAGGTGAGGCTCAGGATGAGTGAAGAACACTTCTACTTTGACCTTCACCTTTACCTGGGAAAGAAGTCTTAGAATTGCTGAGCCACACACAAAATTGTGATGTGACTAAACATTAATGTATAATTTCTCTTTCATTGATAATCCTTTTCCCTTTAGTAGCCTGGACTCAGGCATTCAATGCCAGCTAAATCCACTCTGATGACCCTCTTAAGTCTGTCTTTCTATATAATACCCCACACTTCCAACTCCCCTCTTTCATCAAAACTTGCTTGTCTCATCTCTTATTCCTTCAGCACCTTACTCTAAAGCAAATCTAAAGAATGAAGTTGGGCTAAGAGCTGATGGATATTGGTTAGCATGTGACCCCTCTTATTTTTATTCCTTATTGCCTTAGCCTGAAGGTAAATTTCAAGTGTAATAAATTTCAAACATTTATAATAGGCATATCAAGAAAATATTTAATCAAGACTGTACATACCATACCCTAAAAGCATATCCTAGAGTTTTTACTGATAAAGAAGGTAGAATTTAATGTCAAAAGTCCTTCTTCCCATGGCAAGATTTTTATTAAATATTGTTTTATTTTATATTTGATCATTACTTAAAAATAAGTCAACTTTAGTTTGAGATTTTAATTTTACAAAAAAGAAGAAATGTGTTTAACAGCTCAAGTTGACACTTGGTGATCATCCCCCACCTTCCCAGTACTATTCCTTATGTAAGAAAATTGATACAAACAATAATATGCCTGGGAACTCCAGGAACAAGACCCCCACCCTCCTTCCTTAATAAGCCTGGACAACTCTTACCCAAGAACTTGACCACAGACTATTGACAACAAAGCTTAATGAATAAAGACTTTCACAGAAGCTCTAAAGTTCAAGGTTAGCAACAAGAACCTCAGCAGTAATATTATTGGTTAACACATACCAATCAGTAACCAATAAACCTTAGTCAGAAAATGCCTCCGGTACACAACTCAATTACTTGGGTTGTAATATAAGTCCCTTCGTTCAGTTTTCCAGAGGTCTAGAGAACCAAGGTGAGTCATTGGTTCTGACCTGTGGAGTGATGTCTTCATAGATAATGTCCTCTGGAGAACTTTAAATTATTCCCATGGCAAAATATTTTTCTTTCCCAACTGTCACAGAAGCTGAAATTTTTATTCATTCCTTTCAGCTGAAGCTGAATTTCTCTTAAAATTCCCTGAAAGTTCCCCAGAAATGATAACATATTAATCCAACACCTATCATTAATACTTTTTATTGCTAGGAAGGATGGAACAAAAAGAAGAACACAGTATTCAGATCCAGAGGTTCTATCACCTAAGTGAGTAAATGAAGCAGCAAGTATTTTAACTGATGTATTGGAGTTTTCCTAATAAAGTAGAATTATATACAAGCATTATGGACTAAATTGTGTCCTCCCCAAATTCACACATTGACGTTCCAACCCCTAGTCTCTCAGAAGGTAACTGAATTTGGAGACAAGGCCTTCAAAGAAGTGATTAAATTAAAATGAGGCTGGTAGGTGTGAGGCTCTAATTCAGTATGACTTGTGTCCTTGTAAGAAGAGAGACACCAGGAACACACGGGGCAGAGGAAAGGCCATGTGAAGACGCAGTGAGAAGGCGGCCATCTGCAAGCCAAGGAGAAAAGCTAAACGTGCCGAAACGTTGATCTTGGAATTTTAACCTCCAGAACTATGAAAAATTTAATTTCTGTTATTTAAGCCACTCAGTCTGTGATGTTTTGTTATGGCAGCCAGAGATGACTAATATAAGTATCTCACTTAAATATGAAAATGGCATTGCATCTGGCTCATTCCTAAGAACAGATACCATGTGTGTTGGGTTCAGTAGAGAATTTCAGTGCCCAGTGGTAAGCCTTCCTCAGTGCTCATGGTAGGCCTTCTCTTTATATGTTTGTTGCCTAAATGAAATGATGGAGAGATAAATACATAAACAAGCTAATTGTATCCAGTATATTTAAAGTGTTGCCTGACTGAAAGATAAATAGTGGAAAGCAGGAAGTATATGCTCTTCTCTTGCTGGTTGTCTGCTCTCCCTTGCTACTAATGGTATGTGGCTGACTACTTTCAGCCAACTCACTCAGAGCCCAAAGATGCCAACTTCTGCCACAAAACAATTTGCTGGCCTTAAACCACCAGATATTTTAGGTGGCAATCATATCTTTATTTTTTCTGTCTCTCTGTTTTTCCTCTCTGTCTGTGTGGGTCCCCACTCCGTCTGTGTCCTCCTCTCTCTCCATGTTCCTCTCTCTCTGTGTCCCTGTTCTTGCAGCAGAATAATTTTATGGCAATGAAGAAATGGTAACAACCAACCAAAACAAAAAGAGCCTGATGTTGGAAGGCTGCTACAGAGATCCTTACAGTGACCAGTTCGTACTCCTTTGAGTGGACTACATCAGCACACATCAAGTCCAACTGCCAGCGTCTGAATCTCATTGCGTGGGTGATGTATATGACTGCCAAAACCCAGAGCCCAGAGTCCATGTGGTGCTAGATAATGAATTCCCCACATGTACACACCACCGCCCTCCAGCTACATTCAACCAATGACTAGCAGGAGTTGGTGTACAAATATGCTAGCTAGCCCTCTTACCCTTAGGTGATACAGCTCCGCATAGAAGGGTTAAGGGCCAGTTGTCCACATTAGTAACTTGCTAGGTAAGTTATCTTCATTTTCTGCCTTTCCTCCTGATTCATTTTCCCACTTTCCTTTCACATTCCAAGTAAACTACTGGTACCTGAATCCGTCACTCAAAGTCTGCTTTTGGGCAAAGACAAATTCAGCAGAACAAAACACACCTGGTTAAGAATCCTGGCTCTACCACTTACAAGCTTAGGCAACTTCATAATTTCCCTTGGTCTCAGTTTTTCTATTTCTAAATGGAAATGGTTAACACCTACTTTGTGGGTTTGATTGAAATAATAAATGACAATCTCCTGAACTGTGTCTGACATATTGTATCTACCTAACAAGTTCAGGTTTTCCCTCTTCAAGTTTAACTCCCTATGCAAGAGATTTCAAACCAGTAAACAGCTCTAACATTTAAATCTGCTATATGACAAACCACTCCCAATTGGGTGGCCTAAAACAACTTTATTTAGCTCACAATTCTTAGACTCAGCAGTGTGGAGTGGGTTCAATTGGATGGTTTTTCTGCAGGCCTGAGCTGGGCTCACTTGGGCAAACGTGAGCAATAGCTAACTGTTTGCTGGGGTGGCCGAGGTGACTGAACCATGTGTCCTGTCACCTAAAAGGCTAACCCAGCCTTCACGTGGTGGCTCAAGTTTCCAAGAGCAGCAAGAGTGAACAGGTTGTTTGGTGCCATTTTTGCTACCGTCCTTTTGACCAAAGCAAGTCCTATGGCTTAGCTCAGATGCAATGAATAAAGATTCTGCTTCTTGGTAGGAGGAGCTACCAAGTCACATTGCAAGGGTTTGGATATAGAGGGTGTAGAAATTTGTGGCCATGTTTGTGATCTATTAGGTTGGTGCAAAGATAGTTGTGGTTTTGCCATTAAAAGTAATTGCAAAAACCACAAGTACTTTTGCACCAACCTAATACTACAGAAAATATGTCTGGCATATATCTGAGGTGCTACTAATGTGGGCAACTGGCCCTTAATTCCTATATGCAGAGCTGTCTCACATAAGGGAAAGAGGGTTGGCATATTTCCATGCCAACTTCTGCTAGTCATTGACCGAAGGTAGCTAGAGGGTAGCAAGATATCTGGGGGCCACCAAAAATTAGTGGTGGATCCCCTAATGCTGGGTAACTTGCTAGATATTTGAAGGACAGTTTGGCTCTCATAGGACACAAGAAGTCTTACTAACTTTAGGGGCAAATTTTAAGTCTGATTTTTATCTTTGATCAAAGTTAGAAATCTTTGTTGGAAGATGATACAGATAAAAGATTTTTAAAATCCAAAAATATATTTGTTATACTACATTGTTCAGATGTGTTATCATTTTTTAACCATATTGATAGTCATGTGAGTGGCTGAAATGAATGTTTATACTTCTGAATGCAGGTATTCAAACAAACACATTCTTCAAGATTCTTGAAGATGTAACTGTAGTCAATTCAGGGAACCATTTTAAGCCAAGAAGGCTCTGCCTTTCATCAAAGACCAATTAATTGCAAGCCCAAAGACTACGTGAAGAAAATAACAATAATTAGTGCCTTCTCATGAAAGCAAACCATTTTTCTAAGTTGATTGTGGGTCATATTTACTCATCTTAATTTCAGTAATAATTACCTCTATAAAATTCCTTATAAAAACCCCTTTATAAAACTCTGCTTTATAAAAACTTTTGTAATAAAGAAGAAAAATTATAAATAATCTTGGGGGAAACAGTACCGTGGATTCAGTAAATTGCAAGTAGCATTTCTGGCTGGTGAACAAAATTTGGTCTGCTCCATAAAGCCCACAGAGGTTTGGGGCATTAGCCATGAGATAGAAATAATTCTTATGCTGTTGTAATTGCGTTTATTTCCTATTAAACTGCCACATACTTCTGATATTGTATTAGACTGTGTATAATTAGGATAAAAGAATTAAGGCTTGAAATCCTGCCTTCCAGGAAGTTATTATTCAGGAGAGGACCTAGGATAGTGGCAACAACCCACACCCTTCCCCAGCCCATACGCAAGAGTAACCACAAGCAGCTCGAACAAGATTCATAAACTTTTTCTAAGAAATTCAGTCAAGGCGCAGAGCAATGGCTAAGGCACATTATTCCATTACATTAGTGCAAAAGAAATTGCAGTTTTTTTCCATTACTTTTAATGGTAAAAATGGCAATTACTTTTGCACCAACCTAATGGAATAATTTGCCTAAGTATAACTCTCCTGTGTGCATAGACGAGAGAAAAATTCAGCTCCCTGCCTTCCACCCAGAACCCGCTCTGGGCCCCTTTGGAGGGACACTTCTCTAAGGCAGGGCTAAAGACTTAGTCATCCTCTCTGAATATGGAATCCAGAGTGGGACTTCTCTGAAGGTGGAACAAAGGGAAAGATCCAAATATAAGGAAACTCTGGGTTCAGCTAAACCATATCCAGAGACAGACTGCACAATGAGATAAAACAGCCCCAAAGGGAGAGTGATCATATAAAATGAATGCTGACCATATAGAATGAACACATCCAAACCAGGATACTCCTAAGTATACCAGGACAGTAGGGGTAAGTGAAGGCTGCCCCCAGTTTGGGCGACCTTTATATGGGAGAGCTAATAATTTGTCTGAAGACTTAAGAGAAACTTTTTCTGGCCTTGTGAAACACACTGATCCAACCAAGCTACAATAGAGCAGAAGTCAACTCTAACATATTACAGGGCCTCTTTAGCACTCAGCATCCCAGCAGAATTGTAACGAGCTACACACAGCGATACTGACAAGTGCAGCTCACGGCGTCACACAGGCACCATCCCTGTGACTTTAGGGAGAATCAGGAAAATATTCAGAAGGCTCCTCATCCCCAGCCTTTGTTCTACTGTACTCACAATGTGAGCCACTAGTAGGAGAAAGAGAAGGATTTGTATTCTAACAGAAAGACTCAGTGGGACCAAATTTGTGGTTTGGCAAAAGCGCTCACATACTAAAATACCTTCTGAGAAGTCCCAAGAACTCTGACCCCCTTACAGATCTGTGAGGTATTTCCAGTAACTTATCTTCCTGCTCATGCATGGCTTCTCACATCCCCCTTTGGAATGATCTGACAGCGTTCATCCGTGTCTTCCAGGTGTCAGCTCTGAACATTACAGGCACATAAATAGCGCCATTAATTATTCCATCGCCTGCCCGGAGCCCTTGAGCGTTGACCTTAGGGAGTTCAGACAACAGAGAAGGCTACACCATGGTTTAAATCTCTCTCACTTTTGAGACAAGAGAAAGATTAGAATTTTAGTCTTCCTTTGATTATTATAGAATTTCTTTTCATCTAGACACTTCATGGGAAGAAAAAAAAAAAAACACTGTCTCCCGTCCTAAGTGAATGCTTACACCACAGATGACAGTTGGAAGATCTTACAGAGGCTCAATAAGTATTAAAGTATTAGAGTTTTATCTCATTTGAAAGAGGACTGACGTACGCTGCCTGCATGCCAAGTTTCTTTTTTATTGCAAAGTCGCCAAATATTACTGTATAAAAACAGGTTTGCTGACATAATCCAAATTACCATGAAATCTTTACAGTGAACATTCACTTCGTCACTGCCAACCACTGGGTATTCCAGTCCTGCCACTCATATTAATACCTGCCATTTGCAACAAAGCTTTCTTTAACCCTTTTCACGCCCTCTCCCCCATATCTCATCACCTTAAATTCTTAAGAATCAGCTCACTCCTCCACCCCAGCTCCTAACCTCATGACCTCACACCACAACTACAGCAACAGCCTTCTAACTGGACTCCCAGTCTTCAGTCTCACCCACCTGCAGTGCATCCCACCCATTGGTCAGATTAATCTTTTTAAAACATGCCTCCTAGAGCATGCCATCACACTGTTTAAATCATTAGAGGCCAAGGTGAGAGGATCACTTGAGCCCAGGAGTTCAAAACCAGCCTGGGCAAAATGGAGAGATCCTATCTCTACCAAATAAAAAATACATTAAAAATTAGCCAGTTGTGGTGGCATGTACCTTTAGTCCCAGATACTGAGGAGGCTGAGGCAGGAGGATTGTTTGAACCCAGGAAGTTGAGGCTGCAGAGAGCATTGATCATGCCACTGCACTCCAGCCTGGGTGACACAGTAAGACCCAGTCTCTAAAAGGAAAGAGAAAAATTAAATTGTTAGAGGTTCTCTCTTGACTTTGAGAGAGTGTTCAGGCTCTTCAGATGGATCTGCCAAAATATGGCATCAACCTAGCTCACCATCGTTATCTCTCACTATTCAATGAAGGCTGGGAGCTTCCACTCCTCCCAAACAGACCATGGAGATGCCTACACTCACACTGTGGGTTCAGCCAGCTTCCCACCAGGAACGCTCCCCAACTTCCCCAACGCTCCTCCTATTGTCTCGGTCAGAGGTCGAAGTGATGCAATTGCTGTATCTGAAGATAAGGGGGCAACAAGCCAAGGAATGCAGGTGGCCTCTAGATACTGGAAAGGGCAAGGAACCAGAATCTCCCCGAGAGCCTCCCAGAGGAACTTAACCCTGCTGACATTCTGAGGTCAGCCCTGGAAAACTCGTCTCAGACTTCTGAGCCTTGGGGCTTCCTTTCTTTCCTCTCTTGTAGCATTTATTATGTGTACTGATAATCTAACACACAGTACTCTCTATCTTAGATCATTATTACTTTGTGTACACATTCTTCTCCCCTACAAGATTTTAAACTTCTAAGTGGAAGAATCAAGTTTTATGTCTCTTTCTCTCTTCAAGCACACTTAGGCCACTCTAAATATTTCATTTGTCTGCCTAAAACCTTCACTAGTTTCCTAATGCCTTCCAAATTAGGTACAAACACTTAACATTCTGAGTCTTCTGCAATTTGAAACCTAAATATTTTTGTTTTCTCTCTTACCTTGTTGCACTGTCGTGTTCCCCAAATTATCCTGAACTTTCCTGTCACCATGCTTCTGCTGATGCCATTGTCTTCATCAATGTCTGTGCTCCCAACATGGAGGCCACTAGCCACATGCAGCTAATGAGTCCTACAAATTGGGCTTCTTCAAATTGAGATGCACTGTTAAGTGTAAGGTCATACCAAACTTCAAAGACTTCACACAGGAACAAAAAGCATGTAACATACCTCAATAATTCATTTATATCCCTTACATATCAAAATGATAATATTCTCGATATTCAGAATTAAATAAAATATATTATTAAAAGTAATCTCAGGCTGGGTGCCTGTAATCCCAGCACTTTGGGAGGCCAAGGCAGGTGGATCACTTGAGGTCAGAAGTTTGAGACCAGCCTAGCCAACATGGTAAAACCCCATTTATACTAAAAATACAAAAATTAGCTGGGCATGGTGGCGGGCGCCTGTAATCCCAGCTACTCCAGAGGCTGAGGCAGGAGAACTGTTTGAACCTGAGAGCTGGAGGTTTCAGTGAACCAAGATCACGCCATTGCACTCCAGCCTGGGCAACAGAGTAAGACTCTGTGTCAAAACAAAATAAAATAAAATAAAATAAATTTCACCTTTTTTTCTTCTTTAATGTATCTACTAGAAATGTTTACATTATATTTGGTTTATATTATATTTCTACTGGATATAGCTAGTCTAGAAGGTTCTCTTCCCACCACCTCTCCTAAACTAAATCTGATCTTCACCCCTTCAAGTTTTACCCAGCCTCTAGTCTCAAATGAAATACTGTTTGCACAGATCCATTCCTGATTCTTGATCCTCATTTCCAGGTGTGATTTGTTCTCTTCTGAACGCTACCCATGACTAACAGCATTTTATTTCTACCTATTTAAGAGGTAGAAATCAAGCCGTATGCTGCTTTGAATTAACAGGTTACAGCGGATTTTTCTTCACATCCTTTTCATTGACTAGCACAGTTCACTATATGTAGCTGTCCCTCAGTATGTGGAAGGGATTGGTTCCTGGACATCCCCATACCAAAATCTGGATATGCTCAAGTCCCTCATACAAAATAAAATAGTGTTTGCATATAACTTAGGCACATCTCCCATATACTTTAAATGATCTCTAGATTACTTATAATATTTAATATAATGTAAATGCCATGTCAATAGTAGTTATATTGCATAGCTTAAGGAATCATGATGAGAAAAAAGTCTGTATATATTCAGTACAAATGCTTTTTAAAAACTATTTTCAATCTGCAGTCAGTTAAATCCATGGACGCAGAACCCACAGATGATGCAGGACCGATTGTACAGTAGTAGCTATCCATATTGAACACTGTGGTAGGCGGAATAATGGCCCCCAAAATGCTCACAGCTTAATCTTCAGAACCAAGGTGAATAGGTTACCTTACATGGCAAGGGGGAATTAAGGTTGCAAATAAAATAAAGGTTGCTAGTCAACAGACCTGCAAATAAGGAGATTACCCTGGATTATTCAGGTGGCACATCATAATCAAAAGGATCTGCTATGGTTGCAGTGTTTTTGTCCCCTCAAAATTTATGTTGAAACGTAATCACCAGCACAACTGTCTTAAGAAGTGGGGCCCTTGGGAGGTGATTAGACCCTGAGGGCTCTATCCTCAAGGATGGAATTAGTGTCTCACAAAAGGGCTGATGTGTACTAGCAAGGAAGCTTTTGCCCTTCCATCCCTTCTGCCCTGTGAGGACACAGGCGTCTGGCTCCTCTGGAGGATGCAGCAATAAGGTGCCATCTTGGAAGCAGAGACGAGGCCCTCGCCAGACAACAAGCCTGCCAGTGCCTTGATGGTGGATTTCCAGCCTCCAGATCTGTGAGAAATAAGTTTCTGTTCTTTATAAATGACGCAGTTTCAGGTATTTTGTTATAAATCCAGCATAAATGGATTAAGCTAGGGTCCTTTAAATATGGAAGAGGCAGGTAGAACAGTCAAAGGAGATATAACAATCAGAAACAGATTTCGAAGTGAAGTGACTGCTGGCTCTGAAGATGAACGGGGCAACAAGCCAAAGAATGCAGGTGGCCTCCAGCAGCTGGAGAAGGTAAGGAAATGGACTCATCCCTAGAAACTCCAGAAGGAATGCAGCCCTGCCAACAATGTGACTTTAGGCCAGTGAAACCTGTTTCAGTCTTTTGACCTTCAGAACTGTAAGGTGATCATTCAGTGTTGTTTTAAGTCACACAGTTTGTGGTAATTTGTTATAGCAACACATCCTAATCACTTGTAATGAGGCAGGCACTAAGCTAGAGCTTATCATTTATCAGCTCACTCAGTCTACCCTGCAACTCTCTAAGATAGTTACTACTATAACCCCAATTTTACTGGTGACAAAATTGAGCCTCAGGAAAGTGACCCAAGGGAAACTCAAGACTCTCTGATGCAAACCCTCTGCAAGGAACCATTTCAAACCCATCTCAAATGTGTAAAAGGAAAGGCTTACAAGATAATCATGGGGAAAACAAGAGAGAGGAAGAAACAGCATTGCTATCTCTTGGCTGGCCTGCCTAAGGGAAAGAAACAGCTTGTTGCTTTTTTCACTGAACTTGTAAAGTACAAAAAGAACAGGCTGTACCCTGTCTCCACAACCCAGAGGATGGTCAATTGGGTGGCTTCTGGGAACTCACACACAGTTTCTCCCTTGCATGCTTGCACATGCTGAGGAAATCTTTTTTAACCGTTTGTAGGCCATGGGAAGAAGAGAAGCAGGGTATGAGAGTGGGGTTCCTCTGGGCACATGTTTGACTCTTTCCTTTGCTAAAAAGCCTCCCCAAATAAGGCAGAGGATACCAGTCTTGAGAAAATGGAATGTTCCCTCTACATATTGCTTCACATTTAGACTTTCACCCAAAACAAGCCCTCCCTGATCTCCCTCACTCAATCATACACCGCCTTTCAACCCTCCTGGAGCATTGAAAATCTGACCCTTGAAACATTGTCACTGTTACACTTTTCCACTTATGGGATTATTTAATTAAAATGTCTCTCCCCAGCCTCCATGAAAGAGGATTATGTCTATCTAGTTTCACATTTTGTCCTCAAGGAGTTATCCTTGATTCCAGCCTTTCTCAGCTCCCTCCACCCCCCAGAATCTTCTCAGCAAATCCAGTCAACTCTACCTCCAAATTTATATCCTGAATCCTCCTACACTTCATCTTTCTTGATATCATCAATGTCCAAGCCTTCATCACCTCTCATTTGGGTGACTGCCATAGCATCCTGCTTCTACTACTGCCATCGAAAATGTCCCCCTGCACAACTGCCACAGATCACAATTACAATGAAATCCTAAACCTTTATCCTGGCTTCCAAAGTCCGGACCCCTGCCTTCCTTTCCACCCTCATGCCATGCCAACCTCATTTCAAGGTCTGCATTTTTTCTGCCCACATAACCGGTCAAGTTAATCCCAGCCTTGGGCCCTTTGCCCTTGTGTTCTCTGCCTGGAATGTTCTGCCCTCAATCTTCCCTCACATGGCTGGTTTCTTCCTGTCATTAAATATCAGCAGGCATCACCTCCTCTGATGTCTACCTGGGAGGCATAAGCATAAATGAACTTGCAAATTACTTTTATCATGATTCCTTATATTTGTATAGTCACCCAACAAATACCACCCAAGTTTTCTGGACCATTTCTGCTGGGATAAAAATAGAATTACAATAAAAGTGGAAAAATGGTAAACAATTGGCAGGCTCTGCCTCCAATTTCTCTGACAGGACTGCCTGACACAACTCCCTGCCCTCTCTTCAAATTTGTCACAGAAGTTGTCTCCTAAGGGCATCTTCTGCGTGCTACATGAACTGACCTTCTTCATAGTCACATGGAAACATTTCCCTCATTTCCCACTTTGACTCACTCTGGTAGAGCCTCTATTAGCTGAGGCTAACAAGAGCCCACCAAACCCACCACTGGTGAAGACCATGGGGTGGTCCCCTCTCCAGGAGCCCACTCTTTTTTGTGATGCAGTTGCCAGTGCTCATGGGTTGAGGGTGCTATTGAAGTACTCTAATGACCCCGAAGGTCATTTCCCATCACTGCTGAAACTGCCAGCACCTATCGGCTGAGTTCTTCTCTGTGGTCTCAATAGTCCTCCAGATATTTGAGAAAAATGATGATTTTTAGTTTTGTCTTGCTTATTTATTGAAAACTATCCTCATCCCATCCTTCCTCCCATCCAGACTGAAGTTAATTGTGTTCTGAATCTCACCTTCCCTTATGGACCAATTATTCATGAACCAAACTTGGGTATTTCAGCTTTCTCTCTCCTTAAAATAAACCATCTCCTAGCATGCTGGGTGGCCAAGCATATCAATAAATCATCAGGTAGATATGCCTTACCAGTACCAAGATGAACACAGCTTCGGTTGTGTTGACCCTGCAACTCCACAATCACACATATAAACATATTTCATTTGTTTCTTACAACAATCATATAGTGGGAGCAAGGCTGCAGTTTCCACAACTATTCTTTATGTATGAAAACAGAAGAAAGATTAAGTGAATTGCTGGAGACCACATGTACTAGTCTATTTTCATACTGCTATGAAAAAAATACACAAGACTGGGTAATTTATAAAGAAAAAGAGATTTAATGGACTCACAGCCCCACATGGCTGGGGAGGTCTCACAATCATGGCAGAAGACAGAGGAGGAGCAAATGCACATCTTACATGGTGCAGGCAAGAGAGTGTGTGCAAGGGAATGCCCCTTTATAAAATCATCAGATCTCATGAGACTTATTCACTATCATGAGAACAGCAGCATGGGGGGTAACTGCCCTCATGATTCAATTACCTCCCACTGGGTCCCTCCCACAACATGTGGGGATTATGGGAACTACAATTCAAGATGAGATTTGGGTGGGGACACAGCTGAACCATATCACCACACAACTAAGTAACTTCAATTTAGGCCTCTAGACAACTGTAGCACTCTCAAATATCTCAAAGCCCTGTTACCATCTCTGAGGCTCTACCTATTCCCTCACTCTTCTGCAATCACAACCAACTTAGAAGATCTTGAATCTCTTGAAATTCTACTAATTTCCAAATGAAATTTTTAGTTTGCACTTTTTTTAAAGCTAATCCCTTAGTGAAGCCCTCAATTCTGCCCCTTAGAAGGTTCTCTGATGCTATGAAGCTGAATTCCTATTGCTTCTAAAATAGTTTCCCGTAATATTCAGCAGGGTCATTAGAAAAGAGGCCCAGACCTTAGCAAGTCAAGCCCCTGTTAAATTCAATCCCTTTGCCTTTATTTCATAACTAAATAATTTATCTAAAAAGGATTCACCATCTTTTATGGATACAGAAATTACTCCAGTATTATTCAAAAGGATGATAACATGGATTTTGGGGGGAGGTTTCACAGGAATGATAATCTTCTTTGAACCTCAGTTTTCTCATCTATGAAAAAGGGAAAGCAGCATAAATTCATAGGGTTGTTATAAGCATCAAATAGATAACCAGTAAAATACCAGCACAGGGCAGCACCCTAAGTAGACATTCAATAAGTATTTTCTTACCTCCTGGCCTGCAGCAAATTGGACAACTAAAATTTTATATACATTCTCTGTTCTCTTCAAGTTTACGTAATAAGTTGTAATTAATCTATACAAAATTTTTCCTAAATTACTTTTTAATCTTTTGCCTTTTAGAAAATTTTGACTCTTTACATTATGAAGAGTAAATGGGTTTAGGCTAAATTAGCATTTGGTCTTTTGAGTATTTGGTGCATTGGGTATTGAAGATGATGACATTACCCTGAATTCTTCTCTTTTCCAGGTAAAAAAGTCCCAGTCCCTTCAACAGTACCTCCTTCAACAGGCTTTTCAGTCTTTTTTTCCATAGATCTTTCCTTTCTCTATATAAAGGTTCTGTCCTAACTCTTACGCTGACTTTACGGAAGTGGCTATATGAGAAGACCATCAGAATTATGTATTAAATACTCCTTACTTGCTCTCTCTGGATTGCCTAGCTCCCATTTCCTAAAGGAAATAGTGTTTGATCCTCAGTGCTCACTGGATCATTTCTGAGCAGTTGCCTTTAATTTGCTTTTTGATATTTTGGAGTTGAACAAACTTGAGTCTAATTCTCTATTTTTGTTTAATTTTTGCTTTTACAACTCTGTGTGGTAAATATTTTCAAAATTCAGAAATGTTGAAAGAATACACTGATCTCTCATATATTTCTACCTATATTCAATAATTAACATTTTACCATCCTTAATTTATCTCTCTCTGTACACACACACACACACACACACACATAGAAAGAGAGAGGGAGGAAGAGAGAGAGAGATAAAGAGAGAGAATCATTTCATAGAAAGGTGTAGACATTATGGTACTTAATCTCAAAATACTTCAGCATGGATCTCCTAAGAGTAAAGATATTTTCCCACAGTATCATTATTATACCTAACAAAGTAATACAAGATACAAAAATTCTATTATCTAACATGCAATCTATATTCAACTTCCTCTACCCACTCTGTCATCTGTGTGATAAACCCTTGATTTCTTTGAGCTTCTGTTTTCTCATTTATAAGATGGGGTTAATAAAACTACTATAAAGAGTAGTTGTAAAGCTTTGAAAAGTTATTCTTTTATTCAACAAACATTTCTAGAGTATCCATTTATGTGAGCCAGCCACTGTTCTAGGGACCGAAGTTAAAGTGATAAAAAAGGCAGACAGAGTCACTGCCATCACTCTAACCAAGGGGAAATCTATGAAAATCTTAAAAGGTCAGTAGAAACCCTCTTATTTATCAAAATTCAAATTAGCAGTTGGGTGGTTAGTCAGAAAAGTCAGTTGAAAGATATATGCATTCCTCATTTTAATTCAAAACATACATGCACATATATTACGAATTTTGTGACATTAGGCCAAAGCCCCCCTTTGGGCATGAGTCTGCTGACTGGAGGTCAGCATTGACTTTCTTGCACAAACCACACCCATGATGCACTATCTTAGATTTCCAGTTGCCATTTCTTTAAAATAGAGAGTAAGGATGTCAAGAGTCTTGCAGGTAACTCTGCTTTCAAGTGGAAGATTGATTACATGTATAATATCACATAACAATTTTGTTGTTTCTTCTCTATATTCCTAGACAACTAAAATGACCATAAAAGAACTTAAAAGATTATGATTATTCAGAGATAAAGAGAATAGAGTAGGAGACACAGATATTCAGAAAATGAAAAGTGGAAGGAGGGGCCACTGTCTTAACAGAGTATGAGGAATCATATGCCGAGCGCCTTCAAGGAGAAGAGGATGGCGACGAGTGAGACATTTCCCCCTGCAACTCAGGGACTCCAGATTTCATGGCACTGGGTAACCCAAAGGGTGGGTCCAAGGACAGAACAGGTCAGGAGTGAGACACAAGACTGAACACAGAGGAATTAAGCAAAGAATACATATGACAAATGAAAATATCAGCCTCCTTCCCACCCCCTAGAACATGGCAGGTAGAAAATACTACCTCCTCCATCACCTTCAGCACCACTCATGAGGCAGGAGAGTGGGAATCTAAACTTGAAAAACTAAACCGCCCCCTACCAGGCTTTGTGGCTCACCCCTGTAATCCCAACACTTTGGGAGGCCAAGGCAGGCAGATCACTTGAGGCCAGGAGTTCAAGACCAGCCTGGCCAACATGGCGAAACCCCATTTCTACTAAAAATACAAAAATTAGCCAGGCGTGGTGGGGCACGCCTGTAATCCCAGCTACTCAGGAGGCTGAGACAGGAGAATCACTTGAACCCCAGAGGCAGAGGTTGCAGTGAGCCAAGATCGTGCCACTGCATTCTGGCCTGGGCAACAGAGCAAGACTCCATCTCAAAAAAAAAAAAAAAAAAAGAAAAGAAAAAAAGAGAAAAAGAAAAATCAAACCACCCTAGCACCCCAGAAAGACAACTGGCATATTTACATTTGGTGGGGGGAGAGGGAGTCTCTTGATGAAGAGGCCAGATGGTCTGCTTTGTAGTAAAGCCCACCATCAACAACCTCCCCACTCACCCCCACCCCACCGCCCCCCCACACACACACAGATGTTCCAATCAGCTTTCAATCTAGAGCTTCACTCATATATGAACAGACAACTCAAGATCATAAATGCTTGAAAAGAAAGACTTCAACATGAAAAGGTGAATTCAAAAGCAATAGCCAAAAAAGAAAAGGATCTTAGAAGAAAGGTAAACAATTAGGTAACACTCAAAACAAACCAAAAAAAATTGCAATTAATATCAGAGAGCTTAGATAATGCATTTGTAAAATAAAAATTGATATTTTTAAAATCATACAACAAGCAGAAGCTCTTAGAACTTAAAACCATGACAACTAGGATGAAATACTTAATAAAAGGAATGGAGAATAATGTCAAAGAAATCTCCCAAAAAGTAGAATCAAAAGGCAAAGAGTTAGGAAACGGGAGAGAAAATACAGGGGACCAACAGCTGACTGCTGGAGTTCTAAAAAGGAACAAAGAACTAGATGAGTAGAAATTATAATAGATACTAGAAGCAATTTTGCAAATTTAAGGGCGTGATCTCAATACTTAAAAGGCCCAGCAAACACCTGCCACAATCATTTTTTGTTAAACCTCCAAATTGCATAATCATGGAGTTAGGGAATAATAGGTATGAAGAGAACGTCATAATTGCATTTGTCAGAGTAGCATCTGACTTTTCTCAAAAGCAACACTGGGTATAGAAGAAAGTGGAGCAATGCTTGTAAAATTCTGCTAGACAGTTATTTTCAACCTAGAATGCTTCCACTAGACAAACAGGGTGTGCTTGTGTAGAAGTCTAATAATAACACACATGAGGAAGCAAGGACTAAAAAACATTACTTCCCATGAGTGCTTTCTAAGGACACTCCTGGAGTACATGCTTTAATAAATTGAGGGAGAAAAATCAAGAGAGGAAGACTGGGAATCCAAAACACACAGGTCATCATTCCTATGTTTTCCTACGCAAGTCATCAGTGAAAGGAAGTGACCCCTGAACAACGGCTGTGCACCAAGTCCGGAGGGCAGCAGGGCCAGCTCAGAGCAGCAAATGGTTACTATGGCACAAGGGTGTAGGGGTGGCAGAGAGTGCAACTGATGATTTTGAATGTTTACATCATTTTTTTCTGAGTGGCTGACAGATATGTTGAAGCATTTAGAAAAAATTATAAAATGGAGAAGGAGGAAGGAATCCTCACTCACCATAACAGGAAGTCAGCAACTACTGACTGAAATCAATCACAAAACAGCAGTAATGGCATATTGTTAGATACATGGAGAAAAACATCAAAAGAATCAGCTAAAGTTATTGAAAGCGGCTGCCTCTGGGAACTACCTAGAACATCCAGCATATTGCATCTTCATCAGAATTATTTCAGTTGCAAGTGATAGAAACTCAAATTAGTTTAAGCAGAAAGAAGAATGTATTAGCTTACTTAGCTTTTAAAAACATGGATCAAGATAGCTAGATTCAGGTTTTCAATAACATTTATATAATATCCGCAAGAAATTGTCTCTTGTTCTCCATGTCTCATCTCTCCATCTCCTGCTTTCTTTTCCCTGGATTGGCTTAACTTTCCGGCAGACTTACCCCATATGGGAACAAAGATGACCTCCTGCAGCTCCAGACTTCCAGGCCCTTAGCTTTCAAACTCTAAGAATGATACAATGGCTCAGTCCTGGTAGTTCTGGCAAAAATCCCAGGACTGGCTCTCATTGATCTGGGTTTGGTCATATGGCCAGCCTTGAAGCAATCTCTTTAGCCAGGATACTTTGATGCTATGATGGGCCTATGTCACATTCTCACCCTTGGAGTCAGAAAAATGAGGTCAGCTCCACCTGATATACATGGACTAAGGAGAGTAGTTCTCCAAAATGAAGTTGGGGTATGCGATAGTTCATTTTATTGTCATTTTTACTGGCAACAACTCAGGTACTCAAATATGTGGCCCAACAGTATTCTAGACGTTTCTGTGAGGTATTTTTTAAATGAGGTTGACATTTACATCAGTAGACTTTGAATAAAGTAGATTATCCTCCATAATGTGGGTGAACCTCATCCAATCAGTCAAAGGCCTAAGGAGAAAAAAACTGATCTCCCCCAAGAAAGAGGGAATTATGCCAGCAGACTGCCTTCAGGCTTAAGCAGCAGTATCAACTTGTTCCTGGTTCTTCAGCCCGCTGGCCTGCCCGGCAGATTTTGGACTTTCTGGCCCTCCACAATCACATGAGTCAATTCCTTAAGATGAAGAGATATATATATATATATATATATATATATACACATATATATATATACATATATATATATGCATACATCCTCTCTGCTTCTATTACTAGATAGAAAATTGATAGACAAAGAAAATCTACTCAGTGATTGATAGTTTTACTTTAAAATCTACCTACTAAAACAATCAGTTCTATATTAAGTGGTAAAATAGGACACACGTGTCCATAAACTCTCAGTCACAAAAGCCCATGCAAGGGTAAAGGCATGATTCATCCAAAGTGATAGATATAGTTTGGATGTTTGTGCTTTCCAAATCTCATGTGGAAATGTAATTTCCAGGCCAGGCACAGTGGCTCAGGCCTATAATCCCAGCACTTTGGGAGGCCAAGGAGGGCAGATTATTTGAGGTCAGGAGTTTGAGACCAGCCTGGCCAACATGGTGAAACCCTGTCTCCACTAAAAATACAAAAATGAGCCAGGAGTGGTGGCGGGTGCCTGTAATTCCAGCTACTCCGGAGGCTGAGGCAGGAGAATCGCTTGAACCGGGGAGGCGGAGGTTGCAGTGAGCTGAGATTGAGCCACTGCACTCTAGCCTGGGCAACAACTCTGTCTCAAAAAAAAAAAAAAAAAAAGCAGACATGACATGTAATCTCCAATGTTGGAGCTGGGGCCTGGTGGGAGGTGGTTGGGTCATGGGGGCAGATGCTGCCTGAATTGCTTGGTGCTATCCTTGTGATAGTGAGTGACTTCTTTTGCTGAGTTCACATGAGATCTGGCTGTTTAAGAGTGTAGACAGTGAAAGCCCGTCTCTACTAAAAATACAAAAAATTAGCCGGGCGTGGTGGCAGACACCTGTAGTCCCAGCTACTCGGGAGGCTGAGGCAGGAGAACGGCATGAACCCGGCAGGCAGAGCTTGCAGTGAGCCGAGATCGCGCCACTGCACTCCAGCCTGGGTGACAGTGAGACTCCGTCTCAAAAAAAAAAAAAAAGAGTGTAGAACCTCTCCCCTCTCATGCATGCACTCCCACTCTCACCATGTTACACTGCCTGCTCCCACTTTGCCTCCCACCATGATTGGAAGCTTCCTGAGGCCTCACCATGAGCAGATGCTGGGGCCATGTTTCCCGTACTGCCTGCAGAACTATGAGTTAATTAAACCTCTTTTCTTTATAAATTGCCCAGCCTCAGGTGTTTCTTTACAGCAATGTAAGAACAGACTAACATAGTGATTAAATAAGTACTTATCTTTGAAATGCAGTTTTCTATTTTATTTCAGACATAGAAGATAAAGGCAGTCTAGAGGCTTCACCAAGCCAGGAAGAACAGACGTGGACTAAAAAGTGACTCATGGATGACAAAAGACCTGTAAATAGCAAAAGCAGCTGATGGCACCACAGAAGCTGATACAGCTGACAGGATTCCCAGCCAGGGCTGAGGGCTCAAGTAACCTCTAAGTATACTGAACTTGCCCTCAGGATTCTCAGAGTTAGCGAGGAATGCTTGTAAGAGATTTTAGGAAACTTTCAACTATTTATTCTTCGGGTTTGTTGTTGTTGTTTGCTTGAAAACAGGATCCTTTTACTAAACTACAGCCAGCATATCTTAGCAAGTGAGAAAATTGATATCAACATTTGGGTAGCATGGGAATTGATTTTTCTTAGGTCTTTGGATAGGGCACACACTACTTTAAGTGAAACTATCTTAAAAATGAATCCAGGTCATTTCAATCTATGACACAAAGGTTATACCATGAAGCTTACTATAAAGCTTTTTCTAAAGGGCAGCTGGGAAGATAACCAACATTCTCCACCTACCGTAAATAACTAGCAATAATAATTTTTAATATTTCATACAGACTGCCTTTCACTGAGGCACAACAACTCTTTTTTAAATAAAAGCAACAATTTCAGGAATTTTAAGTTACTGGCCTTCTAGTCACATCACCTTGCAGTCCAGTCCGTACCAAGAAAAGTTGACATGCTGGTACCATGCCAACACCACCTAAACAGAGCTAACTTCTCATAAAACCTCCCTGAGGAGGCAGAGAGTAAACAGTTTAGATTTCAAACTACTCGAGTGAAACATGCTGCTTACAAAGAAAATATAAATAGGGAACAGAGATGATGACAAAGCAAGTCATAAAAACTAGTGCAACAAACCTAACTTGAAAGTAATTTTCCTTTACTGATATTGTTTGACTATATCCCCACCCAAATCTCATCTTGAATTCCCACGTGTTGTAGAAGGGACCCGGTAGGAGGTAATTGAATCATAGGGACAGGTCTTTATTGTGCTGTTTTTGTGATGGTGATTAAGTCTCACGAGATCTGATGGTTTTAAAGAATGGGAGTCTTCCTGCTCAAGCTCTCTTCTCTTGTCTGCTACCATGTGAGACATGCCCTTCACCTTCCGTCATGATTGTGAAGCCTCCCCAGCCACATGGAATTGTAAGTTTATTAAATCTCTTTCTTTTGTAAACTGCCCAGTCTTGGGTATCTTTATCAGCAGCGTGAACATGGACTAATACATATACCAAACAAAAATGCAAAGGATCCCCCACAAATTCAACTTCACTCTTTGCAAAATGTCATAGCTCCAAAATGATCACAATATATAGACAAAATTAAAACTCAAAAAGTGAACAGGAACGATAGAGTGGTAAAAAATGAAGCAGGATAAATAGACATCATAAACAAAAAGATAATTTAAAAAATAGTAAACTATGAGTATTAAAATGATGAAAATGAATAGATGATATTAGGTAAAAGAATAGTCTAGAAGAACTATGTAGTATAGGAATAGTTTAAAAATAAAAAAATTAAACAATTCTCATAAAGGAAGGAAATAAAATTACAAATGGTTCTAGAAATTCAGAAGTCCCATGATTAACATCCTAACAAGAGGTAAATAAGGTCCCTTGGAGTGACTGTTCATTATTCTCCCCAACTGCTGAAGTTTCAGGGGTTCCTTATTCCTGGACAAATATCCCTAAAGAGATGCACATTGTCCATAGGATGCCTCAAAGTAAGGTCTGCACATGCACACATATGTCCATCACAGTGCTATTCATAATAGCAAAGACATGGAATCAACCTAGGTACTCATCGGCGGTGGATCAGATAAAGAAACTGTTGTACACTTACAACATGGAATAACTACATGGTCATAAAAAAGAACAAAATCATGTCCTCTGCAGCAACAGGGATAGAGTTGGAGGACATTATCCTAAGCAAATTAACGCAAGAACAGAAAACCAAATATAATGTTCTCACTTCTAAGTGGGAGCTAAACATTGAGTACACATGGACACAAAAAAGGGATTAGACACTGGGGCCAACTTGAGGGTGGAGAATGGGAGGAGGGAGAGGACTGAGAAACTACCCATCAGGTACTATGCTCATTACCTGGGTAACAAAATAATCTGTACACCAAACCTCCATAACGTGCAATTACCCATGCAACAAACCTGCACACATGTCCATGCTAAAACTAAAAGTTCGAAAGAATTTTAAAAATAAATACAAAGAAATGTAGACCACATTCCCAACTACTACTCAAAACAAAAACAAGAAGAAAAGAAATCACATTACAAATAGCACATACATTGAAGGCAACTAACTTCTTCTTCTTCTTTTTTTTTTTTTTTTTTTAGAGGGAGTTTCGCTCATGTTGCCCAGGCTGGAGTGCAATGGCGCAATCTCAGCTCACCACAACCTCCGCCTCCCGGGTTCAAGCGATTCTCCTGCCTCAGCCTCCCGGGTAGCTGGGATTACAGGCATGCGCCACCATGCCCAGCTAATTTTTGTATTTTTAGTAGAGATGGGGTTTCTCTATGTTGGTCAGGTTGGTCTCGAACTCCTGACCTCAGGTGATCTGCCCGCCTCAGCTTCCCAAAGTGCTGGGATTACAGGCGTGAGCCACTGCGCCCAGCTGGCAACCAACTTCTTAATAGGCTTTTTGGGGAGGAAAAACTGGGCTCTAACAGGGACCTGCTTAAAACCCTATGCTCCTAGAGAGCTGGGCCACCAGCATGAAGCACAGAGACTGGGGGTAACTGGCTATTAAACTGAACAGAGCTGAACTCTACCAGAGACCTCCAGCTTTATGGAAAGTGCATGCTAACAGTGTCATCAGCCTGTCCCTTTAATCTCAAAACACCTCACCAATTTGATTCTCTTCCTCAACATACAGCCTAGAATATGTCTTATCTCAAGCTTCTCAAGCTACAGAAGCCAAGGCCCTTCCGGTTTTTAGCACCTAAATGACAGTAGTGAGGACTAAGATGAGAGGTGGACCAAGGTCACATACTGAAGAGAGCATAAGCAGGACACTAGAGCATCGTACTTGGCAGGGTTTTTCAAAGTTAGGTTGTTGGACGACCTTGCCTCAGAATCTCTAGGGGTGCTAGGTCAAAGTGAGATTCCTGGACCACATCACAGACCTAACAAGTCAGCATCTTGGAGGTACAGCCCAGGAATCTGCATTTTAAAGAAGACCGTCCCCTCACCTCCCACCCCAAATGACTGGTATGCTCTACAACTTTAAAGATGTATTGTCATTAAGGGAAAGTGGAATCAGGGTAACCTCGGGGCGAGCAGCCAAGGAACAAGGAGAAAAAACTGGGGGAGCATCCAACAGCAACAGCAGGGACAAAAGGAGACAAAGCCATAGAAGCAGAAAAGCAATGTGACGGGTCACAGTAAATTTTCTGGACTTAAGTAGGACTTCACTGGAAAAGCTACAGTCCCCTTGCCCCTACAGGCATGCCTCTGCAGCTATTAAAGGCATGGTACTCTGACAGATTACAGCTCCTTGCTAATTAAATTGTAAATCTTGTTTCAACTGTTTAAGAAAATCAAGGACACTAAAATGCAGTCATCTCTAAGCTAGAGTAGAGCAGCTGTCTTATCTTGAAAGAACACAGCACCCCAGCAGAATCTACATCAGAGGGAAAGCAAAGAGTCCCTGGGAGCTGGAGATGAGACGAGTGAGCTTGATAAAGTGCAGTTAAATGTTACCGGAACACTATGTACTAAACAAAGTTTCAGTAACAATCTGACAGCCTGCTTTTCAAATTTAAAGCCTACTCAAAAGGTCAGACTGCCGCACATCTCCAATCTCCTGCTCAATTCTAGATAGCTTCTAAAGGCCTGGGTCTCTCCTGCTTTCTGAACTATAACATTAGTGTTTCTCAATCTACTCATTTTAATAGAGTACTCCAGAGCCACACATCCAGAAGGTTCTTCAGAGGTCAACTTGCTATGCCTCTACTTTAAGAAAGAGCTCAGCTACAAACTGTGTTTACAAAAGGTATCTCTGCTTGTCCTACTAGTTCATGCCAGGGATTCGAATTAAAATGCTCACATTTTTATTGAAAAGACATTTCTCACACACTCTCACCCAAATGTCAACCTCCTGCAATGGGGAAAAGGGGTGATACATATTAGTCAAGGAGTTGGTGATGGGAACCTTCTTTTACCTCTCTTCAAGTTTCCATGGGACATCATCAATATAACACACATGACCTCTCCCCACGCACTCACTTATTTTATTCCATGGTAAGTGGAATGATCTATATGATGAGTGAGTTTGGAAAAGAAACAAAGCAGGCATTCTTCAGCCTTATTTTCCCATTTCTCTGCTTGCTGGCAGACACCTCTGGTCTGATGCTCTGTTTCATCAGGATTGCAGAGATGTCCATGGTTTTCTAGCCCTACCTAGGTAGGTGAGTCTCCCCAAATTGGAGAAAGGAGCCAGGAAATTATTATTGCCATATGCCTGACCCACATTCTCCAAACTAGCCTTTATTACTAATAAAGGGGCTATTTGGAATTTCATCTGCCTTACTCATTATCTCTCTCATAATTGGTTCAGAACTAGGTGGAAAGAAAGTGGAGTAGTGTATAGGTTGCCCTCAAGTCCCCAACATTTGGCTTCTATTATACTTTCGGTTTAGGAAAGACTCAGCATAAATCTTTTTGGTTAGAGGAATAAAGGGGATCCTCTCAGCCTAATGCCAATAATTCAGACCGTGGAGGAGAATCACCTCCTAACACAGCTACATTACATGCATTTGAGGGTGATTATTGGTAGAAAAACAAAAACAAACCAAAAATGCGCCAGTTGCACAGGACTTATGTAGGTACGTAGGTAAAAATTACTATTCCATTTGTAGACACTATTGCTCTGTGATCTACCCTTTATTTTTGGTTGTGAGTGGACTAAATATAGGTGCTCTGTTTGCCATTTCCATAATGTTTGCATTTTCTCGCCTCCAGACCTTCGTACACACCACCACCCATGGAATGGCCTCTGTTGGGGCCACGATTGTTCATGTGGAAAATGCCTGCTTATCCTTCAGGACTTATTTCAGATTTTAACTCACCCTGATCTTTTCAGAGTTAAATACTTCTTTGTCTTACTATAGCATCTCATTTATAACTCTATTAGTGTGTGTGTGTGTGTGTGTGTGTGTGTGTGTGTGTGAGAGAGAGAGAGAGACAGAGAGAGAGAGAGTCCTGCTCTGTCATTCAGGCTGGAGTGCAGTGGCACAATCACGGCTCAGCAGCCTCAACCTCCTGGGTTCAAGCGGTCCTTCCACCTCAGCCTCCCTAGTAGCTGGGACCACAGGTGCATGCCGCCACATCCAGCTAATTTTTTTTTCTGGTTTCTGTTTTGGTTTTGGTTTTGGTTTTGGTAGAGATGGGGTCTCCCTATGTTGCCTAAGCTGGTCTCAAACTCCTGGGCTCAAGTGATCCTTCTGCCTTAGCCTCCCAAAGTGCTGGGATTACAGGCCCTCACTTTTTTCACGTCTTTCCCTCCTCTCAACACCTGCACCATTACACTGGGAACTCTGGAAAGCATAACCATCTTTTATATCATCTTTATCATCCCCAACCCCTAACTCAGTGCCTGGCATATGGTAATGCATAATAAATATGTGAGGAGTGAGAGGCAAGTAAAAGAAGAAAAGAGACAGAGACATGGGCACAGATACAGAGAGCCAGGTAGAAGACAGAAAGAGAGAAACAAGGATAAAGACACACAAAGAGGGACCAGAAAGGTGGAGAATAGGCATGCGGGGGGATAAAAAGAAAGGAAGAAAAGAAAAATAAAGTCATAACCACATAGTCTCCCTCCTCCTACCAAAATACTTGCTAAGGTCTTACTGAACTCTAAGGATAGCTATGAATGGGAGAAAACTGGCCAACACAACCAAGGACCATGACAAATGTAAGTGGCTGAAAAGCAAAGGGGATGCTTTGAAAAACTCTGCCTAGAATCCAAGCAGATCTGCAGAACCGCACTCTTGTTGCTAGCCCAAGTGTAGGAAGAAGAGAGAGCTTACGTGCAAAAGGTATACATGAACCCTCCCACAAGTGGAAGCTTTCTATTTCGACTGTGCTATGAAGAAATGATTTATCTGCTTGCTAACAGCATTTCCCAATCCTTCTTGTTTCATTATTGATATAAAGAAGAAAAGAGTTTAAACTGATTCATTTTTTCTTTTGACCTCTAAACCACATTTGCTTGCTTACCTGATTGTGGAACTTTCAGGAGATTATTTAAACTTTCAGGTTTGCATCATAAGGTACTTTTTCTGTAGGCATGCCATAAATCTGCGAGATGAACTGTGATTCATTCCTGTAGGTATTAGTATGTCATTATGTAAGCATTGCCAATAATGAAAAAAAATTACTAGCAAATGTTATGGCAAAGAACAAATAAAAGCAGCTATATCTAAGTATTATATCTCTATATTATAATAAAAGATGGGCTGTGTATAAAGAAGTAATTTATAACAGCTCACAAGCAACTCAACATTTTTCAGATGATTATCAGCCAAATTGTCATGTACCAAATAGGAAATTAAACAAAACAAAAAGTCATACACAGAAATAACCAATTAGAGATTCTCCTCTTTACACTGTTTTCTGAAATGAATTGGATTATTTCTCCACAAAGACATAGTAGGCTCACTAAGGAGGACCACGGTATGTACAAAGCATTTCCCATGTGTACCACAGCGTGTCTGTATTAGGCAGTCAAATCCTAGTGGCCAAGACCTAAGTAACTCCTTGGTTAGCATTTATGACTACAGTGTGTGTCAATAGGCTTTTATGTTTCTTTGTTGGTTGTTGTTGTCATTTTGGCAAGGGGTGCTATTTTGTTTTGTTTTGTTTGTTTTGTTTCAAACTCTATGCAACCAACATTTATTAGCAGCTCCTGTTTGGCAAATACTGAGCCATACCCTAAAGAAACTTTTTAAACACGAGTAAGGCTCAAACCCTGTATTCAAGGATCTCATAGGTCTTTCGATTTTGGCAGTGCTACAAATACAGACATTCTGTCTGCTGCTAGCCTAGGCCCCCATGGAGCTCCTGGGAAACTTAACAGAGAGCAGGCATAGAGGTCCAATCTGCCACCCTCACCCTCTCCCTTTATCATCAAACCTACCTGTCTCACCAGTTTCAAATGACTCTTCCAACCCTTATTTTATTTACCTTTGTGTCAATGCCATTTGTCTATTTCCAACATCCCTCTAAGCAGATCATATGTGTTTTAAGTACAAAAATAGGTCTTACTTATTTTGATGTCATCTAGAGCAAGGAATTCAGTGTGTAGATTAATAAACTGTTTCCATCTGTCTTACCTTCCTAATGGTATCATGAGTTCTTTGAAGAAATAAACATTTTTTGGTGATAACCAAATACCTCATACAAAAATATTTGGTTATCACCAAAAAAAAAGAGAGCACTTCAATGATGGAAGGTATTATATAACATAACTATTAAGACTAGACAATCTCAGGGTGGAGGAAGACCTTCAGCTCTTATTTTGAGGGGTAAGGGGAACTGAATTCTCATGCTCTGGACCTAAATGTGCCCCCTCCATCAAAAATGTTTGGTTTGTCAAATTCATGGGTGGAGAATAAGGGAATTCCCCAAGGTGTGTATGAGCATTGCAGAATAATGGTTCTTAAGTGTGTAGGGCTCATGAATGGGCTTTAGCCAGTTCATTAACATGTACCCAAAACATGTTTGTGTGTGTAGATGCATTTTTCAATGCAATTATTACATAGCTTGGACTAGACACTCAAGGGAATCTATGACTTAAGATAAAATTAGGAACCCCTGCTGTTAGATAATCTTAGCATAACTACTGTTTTTCCCTAAAAATCATTGGAGAAAATGTTCTTCCATGAATTAAAGTGTCCAGAAAGAGCATTATACATGGGGTGAATATCACACTTTGTAAAACCAAAGAATAATAATAATTAAAAACAGAGAACTCAGAAAGAAGAGAAATGCCTTATACCCAGAGGCACAAAATAGTAATGTGCCCTCTGAAACAAACAATGACTAAAAGCCAACACATGCTTGTTTTAACACCTAGGTTTGAGATATATTAGAAAAAAAATGTCATAGTAATTAACCTTCTACCTCCCATCCATATTCACGGGGAGAAAAATAAACAAAAGTTTAGCAATTGCAAAACTCAGGGAGCCAGATATACCCAACTATTTCCTTCAAGAAAATTTTATCACTGCTTTCCATTCTACTCAAATGATCACAGTATAGCCTAGTACAGAAAGGAAAAGATCGCTGACCTACTGCTTTTATATAAACTAATTTCTTCATGTGTCTTATTCCTTTATAAAGCAAATTGAGCCAGGCACTGTAATAGGTGCTAGAGGTAGAAAAGACATCCCTAACATCAGGGAGTTTGCAATTTGAAAGAGAACAAGATAAGGAGGCAAAATTCAAATAAATAAAATGGTTTAAATGGTTATATGTTATGTTTAATGCTATTGTGGAGACAAACAAGATTCTTAAGTTTAGAATAGTCAAGGAAGATCTTTCTAAAGAAGTGTTACTTAAGCTAAGACAAAGATTGTTAAGAAGAGCTGTAGACATACATAGAATGAGAAAAAGATTCTACAGATGAGAAAAGAACATGTTCAAAGACTATGAAACAAGACAGAGCATGGAATTTTTGAGAAAGGAAAAAGAAGAATGGATGAAGTCCATCCACTAGGGAAAAGAAAGTTAAGACATATGATTGAAGAAGGGATGAGATTATGCAAATCCTAGAGATGATGGTTTAAACCTCAGACCTTGTTCTAGGTACAATGGCAAGTCCCTGGAGAGTTTTAAGCAGGCCTGGGGGTGACCTCATACAATTTCTGTTTTAAGCACATTACCTTTAATAATATGAGAAGAATAAATTAGTGTGGGAAGACTAAAAGATATTGATCTGGAATAAATGGTAGCAATGGAGTTCAAAAAAAGGGAGATTAGGGCATATTTAAGAAATACAACAAACATAATCTTCTGATAGATGAGACTTGTGCAAGAAGAGAAAGGAAGGAATCAAATATCATTCCTGGGATTCTTGGAGTAGCCAAGAGGATTGTGAGGCCATTTGCTGAGATTGAGATTTGTGGGAAGTGTTAACAATGCATTTTGAACTTATAAATTTTGCCATATCTGTGAGACACTCAGGTGGAAATGTCAAGTAGGCAGCTGGATCTGCAAGAATGGAGTTCTGATGAGGGATCAGGGCAGAAGGTATGTTTGGTAGTCTTTAACATTAGGACCAAATTTGTTTGGTATTTGAATCCATAGAATAGATGAAATCCATCTAGGGAGAAAAATCAGAAAAGGGAAAAGGGTCCGTAAGAGCTCCCCAGAAAACAATCATTTAGAGGATTAGTTGAGCAGGGGAAGCAGGCAAGGGAGTCTGAGCAGGGGGTGCTGGTGAAATAGGAGAAAGCCGGAGGCATGAGGAGCATTAAAAAAGGAGAATTCTTCAAGAAGTGGTCAAGTGGATTAGATGCTGCTAAAAACAATCACGTTAGATAAGAATAGAGAAATGTCTACTAGATTTAGCAAAATGAAAATCACTTTCTACCTTGACTTTGACAATGGTTTCAGCAAATTGGTGGTCACAGTGGAAGCCAACTATAATGGCTCAGGGAGGAGATGAAAAATGAAGAAGAAATTTCTATAATGGCTGCACAGACAACGGTTGAAGTCTGACCAGGAAAAAATGCAAAGAAATACTCCAGCCCGAAAGGTCAAGGAGTTGGTTCAAGTCCTTGCTTGTTTGCTCAGAGAGCCTAGAAAATGTTTGTGTGCAGCTGAGATGATCTGATTGAAAGGAAAAGATGACTAAAGCAGGAGGAAGAGAACATAAAGAAACAAAGTTCTCAATAAGGTGAGCTGGCATAGGATCCAGAGCACACAGGGAAGGGCTGACCTTTAACAGGATGGCAGTCAGTCTGGTCAGGCAGTCAGTCTGATCATGTGATATCTCACAGCTGACCCCCTTCCATGGGTTCCCAAATCAATAAAACTCTTTGTTATCTTGAGCAAATCAGTCTCTCTACATCTCAGCATCCTCACCTGTAAAATAAAGCAAGATTTCTGAGATATCTTTTAGCTCTAACTGTGATACTCTAAGAAGCCTCACGTAGAATGTCCATTTGCTCAGGCACATCAGTTTGTCATTATCCCCAATGTTGATTTGACTTAAAACATACCTTAAACCAGTGCTTTCCAACCTTTTACACATCAAGGTCATGTAGAAAATGATAACATACTTTATGGCATCGTGGGGGAAATGGAGGGTATTTGGGGTCTTGCTGAGGCTGCCCATGGCCTGGGGTCACCAGCTATGAAATCTCAAAAGACAACAATACCATGATTTTGGCTTAGTCTGTGACAAGGTGAATGTATCAGTTAGGCCTCTCTCAGATATAGAGAATAAAAATAAAAATAAAAAACAAGCCAAGCTAACATAAGCAAAAATGTAAAGAATTTATTTTAATAACACAAGGGTAATTTAATGCAAGGGACCTCAGGACCAAAATACAGCCTGGTCTGGGGACAGATTGGAACCAAGAAATAGCAAGCCATCGACAACATGGGTTCCTCCCAGGCACCTCTCATGGCAGCTTCTCTCTGCAGCCTGCTGCACTCTTCTTTCTCACCATACTAGTGCTCTCTGATACTCCATATACATGGTACGTTGTCATCCCTCCCAGGTTCAGAGACTCTTTCTCTCTGTCCCAATTCCAGATTCCTGAGGAGGAGACTTTGGCCCAACTTGAATCAGGGATGCATGCCTGGTCTAAACAACCGAGGCCAGAGGAGCTACTTTGCATAAAATGGCTGCCAGAAAGACACTGTGCACTGAGCACACACACCTAAAAGATATTGCTATATTCAACAGGACACTTTCAGTCATCTTGATTATATTATGTCCCCTTGATTCTGATATATCAGCCATTGTAAAAAGAAAAAAAGAAAGAAAGAAAAGGAAAAAAAGCACCAATTTACTGACAATCTTCCAGAAAAAGCAAATACTATATTAATTATATATTTTAAGAACCTATAAAAGTTTACATTTATTCATACCATTACACACCACTTTCTGTGCCAATATCAATATGACCATCAAAAGTAGGTTCTAAGCTTCTTTTACAAAGTATAAAAATAATTCTGAGTCTCTTCTAGATCATAATGATATTCTGATTTTCATTAGCAATGCCCATTGTCTTGACAGATGTAGCAATTTTAGTATTGGTAATATAATTTAACAGCACATTAAAGAATCTGCTATTTTGTCTACGTTTCCTCTTTAATTATACTTATAGAATTTTCTAAGTGAATTACATATCGCTGGACTTTAAACTGCTTTTCTTGAAAGTCAGCTAGAAGCTTTTATCTGATATTCTGAGCTTCAGTGATAAAACTTCAAAAAACTGGTTTTACTCACCTCTTTCTTACAGCTTTGAAAATTCTATGATGCATTCTGAAAAATCTGGCATTCTCTGAAGTCTTTAATTGCATTGCCTGCTGTGGGATAGACAGTCTTCTGTATTCACAGTAACTCTGTTTCAATGCTGCACTATGGGGGAAACCCGTTTGAAAATATTTTTGTTGCTGTTTTACAATGACACTTCTAAATTAAATTGAGATAGCGTGCACCAGTGGTGCTCCCAGTGATACTAAATCAAATGAAGTGAACACCTCCCTTCTGGGCCTGGTAAAGTTGCCACATGCACACACGCAAGCAAAAGCAACTTGTTAGGTTCCCTGGCTAGCACCTGCAGAGCCTCTTTTGAAAGCTCTTAAGAGCCATCCTGATTTCAGACATGTCAAGATATGGAAAAATGTGCATCTTGCAATCAAGCAAATATGTCACTTTCTTTTACTGAGAAGGAATGCATGCTACACTTTTTTTTTAAACTAAGTGTGTCACATGGTTTAATTCATTTAATTCTCACAACAGTCTGACAAACAACAAAATGGCTCTTATACCCATTTTGTGAATGAGGAAACTGAGGTTGTAAGATTAAGTAATTTCTCTAAGACCAACCAGCTAGTAAGTCATAGAGCCAGAATATGAGCCCATCCTATCTGATGCCAAGTCCCGTGTGTTTGTTTAATCAGTATATACAAATGAGTCTTAATTAATTGTGTAATAGACAGTCATTAAGATTAATTAATAAGATAAACTATAACATTAGTAACATAAATGAATATGCTTTGCTGTTATTCAATTAACTGAGCTAGGGCTGTTTTTCCAAGAAATGTGGACAAGGCTACCACAGTAACTACTGTACATGTCAATATCATTCCTGGTACAACTTGGGTAAATCGCTATTCACATGTACTTTGTTTTCACATCCATCTTTAAATTCATGGAAGCATTTCTAATAATAGTAATAAGTGGGAAAACAACTTGCAGTTAGGGTTCATGAGGAGCCCAGTTCCTTCCCTCAGGTCTGAAGTGACACTGGCTTCTCCTAAACCAATTGACCAAAGCAGACCACTGTTGAGCCACTGCCTGAGCTGTTACAGGACAGCACTACCCTCTCCATTGCTTTCACAGGGAAGGGGACAGAGCAAAATGATATAAAAAGTGTCTTATCACTTAAGGTCAGTGGTCCTTTCAATTTAGGATTCTGCCTCTAGGAATGGTACCAAGAAGTGGTGTTTGGGACCCCAAGGTGTAGCCTCAGAAAGTGTTAGAAGACAACTCCAAGCACTGTAGCTTTCCTTAGGAACATTAGTATTCTCCATGAGCTTATTTCTTCTTATTTGTCAGGTAACAGTGATGCTTCCTCATCCTAACACATCATCATTTAGTGAGCAAGGCCTTATTCTAGTGAAGGAGTTAAGACTATGACACCCCAAAATACGCTGCTCTAGCATATTGACTATTTTGAAATAAAGGCACTTAAAAAAATAGTAAGTACAAAAAGATCACTCTAATCTCCATTCTGTTTCTTAAAAGCAAGAGACAAAATTCCCACATGAAGGAGGTCCTCCCTATACCAGAAAGAAAGCAACAATCTTATCAAGAATAGAAAGTTGAAGCCTAGGGAAGTTTATACAAGCAAACCTTGTTAAACTAACTCTTATTTTCCTGGTCACGTCTCTACCCAATTAGCTAACCTAGCCCAAGCCCCTTTACTTATCACATTTTCACAACTTGCTTTTCTTTGTCCAATTCAGTATGTAAGCGATGGGCTCTAACTGCTCCTTTGGGTCTTCATTTCCTTATGAGGTCTCCTGTGCCACATAAAGCTTGTATAAAATAAATGTGTGTACTTTTCGTCTATTAATCTAGCTTATGTCAACTTAATTCTTGGGCCCAGCCAGACCCTAAGAGGAAGGAAGTAGAAATTTGCCTCCCCAACACTGGCCACAGCTGAAGGCAGATAGAAGACGGCATCCCAGACCCAGACACCACCAGCCACTCCCCACTGTGGTCCAGAATTGCCCCTTCACCAACCATGCAGAATAGCAAACCTCTTGCCTCATGAGTAACACTAAATAAATAAAGCTCACAATTAATGTTGTAATTACAGCTGGAGGAATAATTTGCAACCTGAGTGTGGTAACTCACCCAGGGTACCAAGAGGCTCATAGTATTTACTTTCCTGATTCTGGAGAGCCCATCCTGTAAAGCTTTGTTGACTTTCCAAATGCTGTGGCTGGGTTTTTTTTTTAATAGATCATTTAAAGAACTCAAGAAGAAACCCATTATGATTGCTTACAGAACTCAATAAAAGACACAAAAACCTTTATATGTGAGTTTTCAATGTGTTTGCCTGGTTTCTCATTTACTTATAGACCCAGAGACTGCTCCAATTCACCATCTTTATGCTCATCTCCCTGTTAACTTTTTCCATTTCCCTGGTGCTAGTCATGGTAATCGGCATGGCTTCTATGTTGAAACCAGCTGCCCTCTAGTTGACTTACCCTGTTCTTTCATTCATTTTTTTTCATTCATTTGTGCTATAAACATTTATTGAGTCCCTACCACAGCCCAGGTCCTGCTAAGTATGTTTATCTGTGTTACTAACTCACTGGGAACATTGAAATCACTTCAAACAGACCCTAATTTTTTATTTAACAATGAATGGAAAATTCAGTTCTATTTTTCCCCAGAATCCCAGTTGACTTTTGAGTTCCCCCTTGGAGCCTCCTTAGAATGGAGTCTAGCTCTGCCCCCTCCTTATGTCATCATCCCTGCTGTTCAAGGAGAACTCAGCAGTTAGAGGATTGTGGATTTTGGCATTGGTCAAATTTGACCCACATTTATCACACTTACCAGATGTAAGAACAGAAACACGTTTTATAAATTCTTCAAGTCTCCATTCACTCATTTACCAAATAGGACAATCACATCTATTTCACAGCATTGTTCAAAGGCTCAAATAAGTTACTACAAGTATGCAAAGAGGCAGCCAATAAATGTTACTTCTCCAATACATATCGCTTTCTTATTTACATGTGCTCCTTATTTATATTCTGTTATATATTCATTCATTGTAATTTAGTGAGCACCTATTTTACATGCTAGGCTGTGAGGAAACAGTGGGAAACAAACTGTCAGGGAGGAAGCACATTCCATGGAGTTGTCTGGAGCAGATAAACTCTATGCAAATAAATATAAAGAGAGCTCAACATTTTTCTACTTTTAAAATAGAGCAGAAAGTGACAGCTTCAAAATTTCTAAATAAGAAGGGCTTAGAGGCCATCTGGATGGAATGGAGACTTGCATTAAGGCTGTATTTGAAAAGCAAGCTAGATTTTTTACTAAGAATCTATGTACATGGGACAGGTGGGCCCATCGGCCAACTCTTTTGGTAGAGAGTACCTCCTTCTGCCTAAACCTAAATAGTCCAGGCCACTGCAGACCTTCTCCCTTGCACTGCTGAGTTTTAGCCTGTCCTGACTGATGAACCAGGAGAAAAGAAGGCTCCACCACTTCCCACATCCCTGTCCAGAGTCCCCAGCTCTCCTTCTATACTGGCTCCCAGGAAGACAACTAGTTTCCCTGGTGATAAACTTCTCCGCCTGGCTGTTGATGACAAGACCCCTAAAGCAACTTCCTTCAACCGATTACCACTCAACTGTACCTTCTACTCACATTTTCATTGCTTATTTTGCCACTCATTTCTTCATTTAATATTGATGACAAACCCTTTTTCTTTATTATTTCCTTTATGTTGAATTTTCCAATGTATAAATGAATTAACTTTATGGGTATATAACATCTGTTAATTGTTTTTTTTAGGCCACCAAATATATTTCACATGCATTATCTCATTAAACTCTTATGACAACCCTGAGATGTAGGTATTATTACTCCTCCTATTTTGAAAATTTAAAAAAAAACAAACAAATATTAACCTATCTGGCTGCTGTGCTATGGTAAAAAAAAATGAAAATTCAAAATAAATAAACAACAAATCTTAGAATCATTAATATGTAGGAAGGGTTTTCAACTCCAAATGCTCTTCTCATTACCCCAATATTGAAGAATTACCACAAGTACTCTACAAACCATTTCACAAATTTAATCGGATATAAAAGCAATACATGCAATTGCCTGACTGATACATGCATTAGAATTCCCTTTATTTTTCTTTTGTTAGAAATGTGGTCCTGAGCACTTGGACATCTACTATTCTGCAGGGAACAGTTGAGTCTAAATTTCGAAAAGCAATACGTCAATTAATTTACCTTTTCGAGGGGCCATTTAGTCTTATATTTTCTTAAGCATGGGTAGGCCAGAGGACTTTGTAAAAGTAATAGAGTACAATTATAACCATATACATCAATTCTTCATGTCTACATTGTATTTATTTACTGATGAAGCCTTTTCCCCCTACTGTCAGCATCGTATCTTTAGTATAGGTTTAGAAGAGAATTGTAGTCTCCTCTGACTCATACATCACTAATAAAACTGCTAGCAAAGATCTAATTCTCAATTACAAGCACAAAATAGTGCTACATTTTAGCATACAGCAAGCCCATCTATCTTAACAACTATTCTCCAGCACTGATGTATTTCATCCGGACAACTCAAGTTATTGGAGACCTTGCAAGTTCCCCTAACATATTATTAACTGGTATTGATCTCTTCGATCTTCAATTTGTGCCTCATGTCATAAAATCAGTAGTGACCAGTTTTAAAGCAGATTTTTTTAAAGGATATGTAACTTTGACATTGACACCTCACTACAAAGATGAGAAGACCTTAGCAAACTTGGAAAGAAAATTACCAAAAATTTCATCAGTCAGGTTTCCTGTGGCAATAACCTACTATTTTATTCTCTCCCACCCTAGTAAACATCCAACAATGTAGCATATCTAAAACATCACAATATAAATGCCTGTCTTAGTCTTCTCAGGGCTCTATAACAGAATACTACAGACTGGGTGGCTTAAACAACAGACATTTATGTCTTACAGTTCTGGAGGCTAGAAGTCTGAGATCAGGGTGCCAGCATGGTCAAGTTCTGGTGAGGGCTCTCTTCCTGCCCTACAGATGGCTGCCTTCTTGCTGTGTTTTCACATGGAAGAGAAAGACAGCGAGTGAGCATGAGTGAGAAAGAGAGAGAGAGAGTGAGAGAGAGAGAGAGCAAGCATGCAAGCTCTCTGGTCTCCTCTTATAAAGGCACTAATCCCATCATGAGGATCCTACCCTCACAACTTCATCTAAACCCAATTATCTCCCAAAGATCCCATCTCCAATACCATTACTTCCAAGTTAGGTCTTCAACATATGAATTTGGAGGGGACACAAGCATTTAGTCTGTAATAATGCCCTTATAAACTATGCTATAATCTGTCTGAAAGGCTTTAAATTACTGGCAATATTACTGGCTTGTGCACAACCTTAAACATACGCTGAGTATCACTTTGCTAATCACAGTGTCAACAAAAAGCCACGGTAAGATTGGAGAGGAAGGGTAGAAGAAGAAAATGCATTAGGATCATTTAAAAAATAGACAAAGTCTAAGTCCAGGGACCTGGAATCTTAGAAAAGCTGTGCCACAAATTCCGTACTCTTAAACTACATCTTTTACTTGGGCTGCATCTTGCCTACCAGAAAAATGAGTGGACCAGGATGTCCTCCAAAGTATCACTAATTTTAATAAATAAAGATTCTATGATTGTCTGAATAATGTATATCCTGAAATTATTAAGAAAACATACCACGAACATGATTGAAAAAAACTTTACAAAGAATTTACTGCGGCCAGGCACCAGTGGCTCATGCCTGTAATCCCAACACTTTGGGAAGCTGAGGCGGGCAGATCACTTGAGGCCAGGAGTTCAAGACCAGCCCGGCCAACATGGCGAAACCCTGTCTGTACTAAAAATACAAAAATTAGCCAGGCATGGTGGCACACACCTGTAATCCCAGCTACTCGGGAGGCTAAGGCAGGAGAATCACTTGAACCCGGGAGGCAGAGGTTGCAGTGAGCCAAGATTGCACTACTGCACTCCAGCCTGGTGACAGAGCCAGACTTCATCACAAAAAATAAAAATAAAAATAAAAAAAAGAATTGATTGTGAACAAAGTAGATAAGTGAAATAGTCATCTTGCTAGTTTATCTTTTTATTTCTAAAGGGAAGGGTTGAAGTGAGAACAAAACTTTTCCATTTGGAAAAAATTAACTCTTTAACCTACGAAATAAGAATATATAATCTACAATAAAAATAATGCTTGCCATTTGTTGGGTGCCTACTCTATGTTAGGCACTTTATAGACTTAGCTCATGTAATCCTTAAACAACTCTGCAAAGCAGACCTCATCATTTCCTTCTCTGTGTTCCAGTCACGCTGACCTCCTACCAGAGCCTCATATGCACCAAGCTCACCTCCACATCTCCTAACTCATGGGTCTGGCTTCCTCTCCTCATTTGGGACTCAGCTCAAATGCCACATATCCTCTTTTCCCTGGTTTCCCTGACTAATGTACCAACTCTGCCTTTATCCCCAGTCACTTTCTATCCCATTGCCCTCTATTCTTCACACCACAAATCACTATGTGAAATTACTTTGTTTGCATGCATATTGTTCTCTCTCTCCATTCTGCAATCTCTCTACAATGTCAGCTCCAGGAAGGCAGGTACTTAGCCTACACATAGCTATGTTCCCAGCACTTAAAACAGTACCTGTGGCCGGGCGCTGTGGCTCACGCCTGTAATCCCAGCACTTTGGGAGGCCGAGGCGGGCGGATCACGAGGTCAGGAGCTCGAGACCATCCTGGCTAACACGGTGAAACCCTGTCTCTACTAAAAACACAAAAAATTAGCCAGGCGTGTTGGTGGGCGCCTGTAGTCCCAGCTACTCGGGAGGCTGATGCAGGAGAATGGCGTGAACCTGGGAGGAGGAGCTTGCAGTGAGATAGCACCACTGCAGTCCGGCCTGGGTGAAAGAATGAGACTCCGTCTCAAAAAAAAAAAAAAAAAAACAGTGCCTGCTTAGTTAATATTTGTTGAGTGAATGAATGTCATTCCCACTTTACAAATACAGAAACCAAGGCCCAGAGAGGTTTGATGACTTGCCCAAGGCCACACCCATTGAACCAGGAATTCAAGTCCAAGGTTGCCTAGCCCCAACATACATATTTTTTCCAGTGTTTCTTAAGTCTACAGAGTAGGGGGCATAAGCATTGTTTTCAGTTTTCTGTTTTTGTTTTTGTGGTAATCTAAAATAGAAAAGCAGGCATGTTTAAATGATACAGATCACCTTATCACCTTGTAAATGAATACTGCTGCAAGATTTTAGGGCTTACATCTAAAGTTTGCAAATAGGTTAACACTGTCTAAGCAATACATCAATGAGGCTTTTCCTCAAGAATAAATGATGTCATGATATATTGTAGGAAACAAAAGTTTTATAATAGCTCAAACAGAAAAAAAAGATGAGGAAAATTGAATTACCACATGACTCACACTGATTTCAACATACCAAACTCAAATGAACCTGCATCATAGCATCTAGCATTGTGGTGCATCAAGCAGCATTGTCTAAAAATGGTCCTAGGAGCTCACTAGGTTGCCTGGATTACAAGTTCTGAGTCAACTGGAACTGCACCAACCCCAGTTCGGTGACCAGCCTCCCGCAGCAGGAAGGTCTGTACCCAAACCCAACTCCACAATGGCCCCCAATGGCCCTAGGCAGCTGATTTCCCAGATAACTCTTATAGTACTGGATCCAAGTCCAGATATCCTAATTGTTTGAGTAGTATATTTGGCTTCTGACATGGTGATTTCGTGTTTATACTATAAAAAAGTAAAGCAATAAAAAGCAAAGAACCTTTATTAAAACATACATCTGCAGCATGTCCAGCAAAGTCTGCTATCCATAACACATCTCCCTCCATGGACAACCACAGGCTTTCCTCCTTGCTGACTCTTTCCTTGTAAGTTTCCCCAATGAAGCCTATTTCCTATTCATCCTAGCTGGTGTTGTGAAATTATTTTTAAGCCGTATTGCAGGACAGAGAGTAATCATGATAGGACTCATCTTGAATGACAGGTGATAGCAAAAAAGACATTTATTCAGCACAAGTACCATATTCACATGACAAAAGGTAATTTAATTTTCAACAAGCCAATATTAAGTAAACTTTGTAGATTTGGATTCTATTGGCTTTAAAGGAGATATATTTAGCTTGTAACTTTGATTTGGGCTACAATTGTATAAGAGCTATAAGCACAAAGTATTCATATCTGGTTCTATATTTATTGACATTTAATCAATGTCTTAACAAAACACTTAAAATAATACCAGAGGTTAGAAGACATTGTTCTGTTTGTAAGTTCTGGTCTCTGCTCAAGTTCAGATTAGTAACTGTAAGATTTCATCAAAAACATTTTGTTTATCCACGGTAAGAATAATCTAAGATGTTACATCTAGGTAAAAATAAGTTTCTGTTGTACAACAATGGTTATTGCCTAAGTAGCACTCTGAATATTTGAGCATGAGAAAGCCTATATTAGGAGGATGTTATTCATCACCCAATATGAGAAGTTATTCAACTGACTTTCCCTCTGTGGTCATGAATTGTACTGAGTCACTTGTACCCACTTGGTGCTCCTAGAGATTGATGGGGGAACCCCTTGAGACAAAACTTTTCTCACATCCAAACTACTCGGGCAAATTCTGACCTTAGGAGATTTACAGGTTCACCTGGAACATGGGAAAGGAATAGACATACTACAACCCTACATCATTACTGGATGACTGATATGGTTTGGCTGTGTCCCCACCCAAGTCTCATCTCGAATTGTAATCTGAATTATCACCCTCTTGTGTCAAGGGAGGGACCTGGAGGGAAGTGATTGGATCATGGAGCCAGTTTCCTCCATGCTGTTCTCTTGATAGTGAGTTATCATGAGATCTGATTGTCTGATAAATGTCTGGTGCTTCCCCCTTCTCTGTCACTTTCTCTCTCCTGCCACCGTAAGACATACCTTTCTTCCACTTCCCCTTCCACCATGATTGTAAGTTTCCTGAGACTTCTCCAGCCATGCAGAACTCTGAGCCAATTAAACCCCTCATTTACGAATTACCCAGTCTCAGGTAGTATCTTTATAGCAATGTGAAAACAGACTAATACAATACTGAAAAATATTCCGAGTTTCTTTACGGAATCAAGCAGTCCCAGGTCCATTCTATGATGCCAACACTGAATTCACTGAAGAAACCTAGAACAGTGTAAGTTACATCAGACACTAGAACCAAACCAAGGAGTATAAAGATAAAGGATAGAGTCTCTGGATGCCTTCAGGTTTTTTCCTTCATTAGAGTTTATTTATCAAATCTACAACCCTTGGTCCCCTTTCTACTTCTCCCTTGGCCTTTAGGAGGCTCTTGATAAGCATGTAATCACTTGGAAATGAAGCTATAATCACTGCATCTCTTCTCAAGATAAATTGAGTTCTTCTCTCATTTGTTTTCCCATAAATCATTTGAGCTTTTAAGTTTTTCAGCAAGCATAATTCATAAATGCATGTGTTACTGAGGTTCTCAACATAATTTTAAATCTATAGTTGAATAAGCTGACATAGCGATGTTCTGAAGATATCAGATCTCACTATTGATCATCTCTTGGCATGCTGTGTCCACCCCGTGTCCTAGCTATATATATATTCTTCCAAAGAACTAACTTATTAAGTCAAAGTGCCAGGAGATGACAATATTTAATCCACTGCTGTTTGTTTACAGTAGTTGATTTGTGTATAGAGAAGCAGCCAAATATTATATTAATATATAACATCATCAAAATACATAACATGTCAAATTCTATTTTAATATGCTGATTACTGTTGTTTTAAAATATCCAGATATTTACCAAATGCAATTATGGCATACATGTACTTTAAATGAAGCATCTGTTTTGCACTCATTTAGGAGAGGGTTTGTAGTAATTGATTTCCTGTTTTGTATTGAATGAGACTAAACAGACCAGTAGAAAGCTCATAGGAATTGTTCAGACACCCGAGGTAAGAGCTAAATAATAGAACTATATTTTTTGATGTTTATTTAAGACATTTTCTATAAGGATTTTGAAGAGCTGTGGCAGTTTAGTTGCTCTTAAAAGGAGCTTTTATTAAAAAGAATGAGATATTACTAAAGGAGTAGAATTTAAAAGAGACTTTGAATTACAATTAAAATGTAATTTAATATCATAGTTTAAAAGATTAAGACCCTTATTCAAGTTTTAGTCACGACTGAAAATATGATAATAAATTCTGATGACCATACGCTAATCCCCTCACTGGAGTATTTCCCTGTTCATACTCCCTTTCCCAAGGGTCCTGGGAGAAGATGGTCTTCAAACCTTAAGAGTGCAGGCATGTCAAGAAACATCCAACTGCGTTTCTCAGTGTTTTATTTGTGCACAATGAGCTTCATATAGAAAATTAGACATAGCAATGTTAGACAGAAAAACAAAAACAAACTCACCCAGAGAGCTCAAGGCATGGCAGCTTCGGCCAGAGACAGATTTAAGTAAACCTATGCAGCATCAGTATTAATGCTAATAACTGACATACCCAATCATATGGATCTAACAGATGTAAGTAGGGAACTCACCATGATAAAATAGAAACTCTACCTGCTATTTAAGTGTTCATTCATTTACACAAAAATAGACCACACATTAGGCAACAAAGAAAATCTCAATTAATTCCAAAAGGTTAAAAACCATACATGTAAAATTCTCTAATCACAGTGTGATAAGTCTGGAAATGGATAACAAAAACAGAACAAAAACCCACATCATCTAGAAGTGTTTAAATTCTCTCTTAGGTGAACAAGAAGTCAAAGCAAATATTTCAACTAGGTAGGCAGAAAATAGTGATAACGAAAACAGATGATTAAAGCAGCATTGAGAGGAAAACTCATTAACTATAAATAATTGTTAAACAAAAGGTAAAAATAATTCAATCTAAGGAAATTAGAAAGCGCTACACATTAAAACTTAGATAATAACAGAAGGAATTAATGAAGATAATAGCAAAATAATGAATTAGAAACGAGAAATGATAGAATCAATACACATACTGAAGAACTAGTTATTTGAACATAAAAGTTAAACTACCTAATCAAAAAAAGTGAGGAGAAGAAAAAGCACAAATATATAAAATTGGATATTGGGAAAACAACCCCCAAATAACCACAAATAGAGTAAATTAAGAGAATTATAGAATACTATCCAGGTTTGGTGTCACATGCCTATAAGCCCAGCTACTCAGGAGGCTGAGATTGGGAGGACTGCTTGAGCCTGGGTGACAGGAATGAGACCCCGTCTCAAAAAAAAAAAAAAAAAAAAAAGGAATACTTTATTCCACTTCATGAATACAGGCTATTAGGCTGTAATATATGCAATCATCATTTTTATGGGTCAAGTAGAGTCACATATTGACAATTTCATATGGCTCAACCGACTATCTAAAAATTTAGATCAAATGGATGATAAGAATATGGCAAAATATAATTAAAACTTATCTACATGTATCTCCAAAAGTAAGTTAAACATTTGCTATGCTAAACAGTGAAATGTTATGAGTATTTCCATTTAAATCAGAAAGGAACAAAATCATTATGTTCACTAGCTTCACTGGTAAGAATTTCCTGTAAGTGCTAGCCAATCCAATTCATAATAATAGTTAACATTTATTGAATCCTGACACCAGGAATGATTGTAAATTTTTTATACATATTATCTCATTTTATGCCCCCCAATAACCCTATCCCCAGTTTGCTGACAGGGAAACTAAAATGCAGAGTGGTTAAGTAACTTCCCTGGGGTCAGAAAGAGAAAAAGTGGCAGAGTTAGGACCTGAATCTAGACTTACTGCAGGTTCATGATCTTAAATATAACTCTATTGTCTTCTACTATGTTCACAGCGTAAAGAAACAGGTGATGAAAATTGGAAAGGCAGAGACAAAATTGCATAAGATTTTACATTTGAAAAACACAAAATCAATCAAAAGCTATTCTAAGCTATTAGAATAAGAATATTCAGTAAAGTGACAAGTTACATTAATATCTGAAAGTCAATAGATTTTCTATATGCAAAAATTAGATGGATAGTGCATCATTTCTGTGTATCATTTAAATACATATTATATATTCTAAAAACCATCTTTTAAATAAACCTATATATTTACAGTAGCAAGAGAAAGATTTAAATATCTAGAATAAATTTAACTAAAAGTCGGCAGACCTTTACTGAAAAACAAAAAAAGGTATATCTCTGCTGAGATTTATAAAAGAAGACTTAAATAGAAAAACCTACCCTATTCATGGATAAAAAGCTTAAAGATGTCAATTCCATTTAATCTATAAATTTAGTGAGACCAAAAAAATTACTGAAAGCTTTTTAATCTTGTGAAATTGCAATTTTTTCTTTTGTATGATTTCATTGGTGAATCCTTTCAGAACAAAATTAAATAATAATGGTGAGAGTTGTTATCATCGTCTCACTTTTGACTTTCAGTTGAGGCACTTTTCACCATTAGTAATTATGCTTGCGTTTGATGATACCCACACCCATACAGTAATTTTTTAGTTACATTAAATAAACTCAACACTTCCTCGTTCTTATTTTACTGAACACGCTTGGGTCCCCTTCCACACTATGGAAGCTTTGCTCTTTCGCTCTTTGCAATGAATTTTGCTGCTGCTCACTCTTTGGGTCCACACTGCCTTTATGAGCTGTAACACTCACCTTGATGGTCTGCAGCTTCACTCCTGAAGCCAGCGAGACCACGAACCCACCAGGAGGAACGAACAACTCCAGACGCGCCACCTTAAGAGCTGTAACACTCACTGCGAAGGTCTGCAGCTTCACTCCTGAAGCCAGCAAGACCACGAACCCACAAGAAGGAAGAAACTCCGAACATATCCGAACATCAGAAGGAACAAACTCCGGACACCAACGCCTTTAAGAACTGTAACACTCACCGTGAGGGTCCGCGGCTTCATTCTTGAAGTCAGTGAGACCAAGAACCCCCCAATTCCGGACAAATATAAGAGTTAAGAAGAGAAACGCTTTGTTTCCTGTTAAAGATTTTGGGAAACTAACTGGGAAACCTAGCAAAAGCCTCCATAATCACATTAGTTTATTTCCTTTAGAAAAATCAGGTATATTTTTAAAGGATGCATGCATTTCCAGTATATACAATAATCCGTTTACAGTGGCTGATTACGGGGGTGGAGGAGGTAAGTAGTAAAACTGGGATTGGAGGCTGGGCGCAGTGATTCATGCCTGTAATCCCAATACTGTGGGAGGCCAAGGCAGGCGGATCACTTCAGATCAGGCATTCCAGACCAGCCTGGCCAACATGGTGAAACCCATATCTACTAAAAATACAAAAATTGCTGATCATGAGGTCAGGAGATCAAGACCGTCCCAGCTAACACGGTGAAACCCCTTCTCTACTAAACATACAAAAAGTTAGCCGGGCATGGTGGCAGGCGCCTGTAGTCCCAGCTACTTGGGAGGCTGAGACAAGAGAATTGTGTGAACCCACCAGGCGGAGCTTGCAGTGAGCCAAGACCACACCACTGCACTCCAGCCTGGGCAACAGAGAGAGATTCTGTCTCAAAAAATAAATGAAATGAAATAAAATAAAATAAAATACAAAAATTAGCAGGGCATGGGTGCGCATGCCTGTAATCCCAGCTATTCTAGAGGCTGAGTCAGGAGAATCCCTTGAACCTGGGAGGAGGAGGTTGGAGTGAGCCGAGATAGCACCACTGCACTCCAGCCTGGGCAACAGAGCAGGACTACGTCTCTAAATAAATAAATAAAAATGGGATTGGTGACGGTATCAATTTTCTATTGCTGCTATAATAAATTACCACAAATTTATTTGCTTACAGTTCTGGAGGCCAGAGATCCAAAACAAGTGCAAATCATGGTGTTAAATCATGGGCTATGTTCTTTTTGGAGGGTCTAAAGGAAAATTCGTTCTTTGTCGTTTCCTGCTTCTAGATGCCACCAGCAACCCCTGGCTCGTGTTCACCTTCCATCTTCAAAGACGGCAATCGCCTCACTTCTGCTTTTGTCAGCCCATCTTTTATTTAAAAGGACCCTGTGATTACACCTGAGGTTAGTCAGATAATCCAGAATAACCTCCCCATCTCAAAATTCTTAATTTAATCACACCTGCAAAGTCTCTTTTGCCAGATAAGGTAAGATATTCTCTTGTTCCAAGGATTAGGGAGTGGACGTCTTTGGGGCTCAGGGGAGAGTGATTATTCTGCCTACCACAGTGATGAAGGGGAAAAGAATAATATACAGCAAGAAAAGAATGCATTAAGAACCAGAGATAATAGCATGCCTCACCTGAAGTTAAAAATTCCATGTTTCCCCAGAGTGCCGACCAGCAATTCTCAGCATTGGCTGCACCCTGGAGTCACCTGAGAAGCTTTAAAACAGCCCACTATCCAGCCAACTCCCTGGACCAATTAAGTCAGAATCTCTGACTAGGCAGCATCAAGACTTTTTAATGCTTCTCAGGTGATTTCAATATGCAGTCAAGTTTGAAAAGCCCTGGAGTATCCACTTAGTGCTTGCTGAAGGCCTCTGCCTGTGGGTTTTTTTTATTCAAGAGGAAGTGCTCCTAGTTGGTGATGGGGCCTGCAGCTCTCCTGGTTGTCTGACTCCTACTTTGGATGTTTTCAACCCAATACTGCTTCCTCCACTCCATAGGAAAAGTCATTCTACCATTCATTCCCTCCAAGCTCTTCCTTCTCCTTGGTCACACCCATGTCTCCAGGCCATCAGGATCCAGCACACCATCTTACTGAATTCTCACCCCTATCTCATGATGTACACTGCTGCCTAAGACCCTTCTACCACCTTCCCAAACCTGCTTCCAAAGGGTAGTAGCAGTGTTCTGGTTTTCCGGAAAGTCCATTCTCACCTCCTCGACCCTGTCTCCCTTTTGCCCCTCCAGCATCCAGGATACCCAAAACAGGACAGAAGTAAGAAACATACAGATGCCTGCAGACCCCGAGGTAGAAATGAGGACAAGGAATGGAAGACAGAAGACAGGTGCAGAGGGAGCTATAAAAATTGAGCAGTCAGTTACAGACTGAGTGTGTTTGTGTGCATCTGTTAAACTACATGGGTGAAAAGTGGAAATCATTTTCATTATTGAAGAACTCCTAGAAAAGCTAACATTTTGTCCCAACTCTGTAACAAATACTACCAAGTAATTTTCATGAACTACTGATTACTTACCAAATTATTAAGCAGCACAAAGATAATTTTTCTGTCACATGAATGTGTGTGTGTGTGTGTGTGTGTGTATCAATAAACATCAGATTGGCAGGGTACAGTGGCTCACACCTGTAATCCCAGCACTGTGGGACGCCTAGACAGGTGGATCACTTGAGGTCAGGAGTTCAAGACCAGCCTGGCCAACGTGGTGAAACCCTGTCTCTACTAAAAATATAAAAATTAGCTGGGCATGGTGGTGTGTGCCTGTGGTCCCAGCTACTCAGGATGCTGAGGCAGGAGAATCACTGGAACCTGGGAGGTGGAGGTTGCAGTTGACCAAGATTGTGCCACTGCACTCCAGCCTCAGCCACAGAGCAAAAAAAAAAAAAAAAAAAAAAAAAATCAGATTAACTTGTCAGTTTCATTTGAGGTGATGCTTACTGTTGCTTATATTGTTCATATTACATATTCACAATTTGGTACTCAGGCTATAGTCATCTACTAACAACTTACAGAACTAATAGGGAACGTTAATTTAACATATCCATAATAATTTATAATACCAATGTCCAAATGCAGGGTAAGTTATAGGCTTTTAATATCATTCAGAATTTTCAGAGCGTGAGGTTCAGTTTTAAAGTCTGTTGTTTGATTTCCAATATATCCAATTAGTGCCAACTGAGTCCTTTCCTAGTCAGTGATTCTTCACAGAGCTTTTTACAAGATTTTATCCAATAAGGCATGACCTGGTCTAGAAACTAGAGTGATTAATTGAAATATTTTCAGTAAACTGCATGTTGCTATTCATAATGTAATATTCATTCTTCCAGCAGGGGGCTCTCTCACCATTAGAAGTACAGAAGGGGAAAGTTTAGGAAAATTATTTGTTCCTTCATTCATTTACTCGTTCAACAAAATGAGTTCTCACTAATCGCCAGACTTTGTGATATTTTCTAGGAATATAGTAGTGAAGGCTTTGTTCTCATGGAACTTAGAATCTGGTATTTCATTTTTGGCCACCTCCACTATAAATGATCTTTTTTTTTAAGTAAAAGTTGTTGTTCCTAGAACATTCATTTGGGGAGGGGGTGATTTTGGTTGCTGAGAAGGTAAGTGCTTTCGAAAAGGCTTTGAGTACACATTACTTTTGACTCTATTCTCCTTTGTGCTCTGAGAAGTGTACTCCTTCCTACAACTAGAAGAGAAATTGTCTCTGTTCCCTGGATAGCCCCTTCTCAGCTCCAGCCAATGCTGGGTTCCAAAAAGCAGTGACTAATCGAGGGGTAGAAGCTTACTGGACCAACAATTTCAAATTTCTAGACTTAGAATCTATTATTCTAAGAGTGATGAGGGAATTAAAAACAATATGCAAGACGCAGGGACTAAAAACATCATCAAATACAATGGTGGTTCAAGAAGCAATTTAAGAAAAATCAAAATTTTTCGGATCACATGTTTGTTTTCCTTCCAAATGAAAATAACATCATTGTGTCTTATGGGGGAAAAGAAGTCTTAAAACTTAGATCATCCACTTTAATAAACTTTAAAATGTGAATGAAAATGTTGTTTAATAAACCACTAAAACATCGACACCTGGGCACATTCAAGAGGTAAAGCATGATGGCAGCTTCCAGTCTTTCTTCTCTACATTTCAGGTTCGATGCAACTCAAAGGCCAGAGGATGTATGTTATTGATCTAGTGCCCAGCCATTCCATTTTGCAGATTGGACATCTAGAGCCCAGAGGGGATGCAGGACTTGTCCATGTCACACAGTAAGTTCTCAAAACATTTTATATTTTAGGCTCAGTTTTTAAAGATTGTGAAATCATAGCATCTTAGAGTTAAAGTGAATCTTGGGAAGTCAACCAATCCAATCTTCTGCCCAAAGTGAAAGTCACTTCAGTAGCTGAAGGATGAAAGGATGTCATCCAATGCAGTGACAGAGAGCTGACTGCCTTCCACTCCTCAAAGGGACCCATTTCTTTCATAAGAAAATCTCAGCATTATGAAAGTCTTACATCAGGCCCAAAGATAACTTCTCATTGTTTCTAGTTTCGTTGTCTGGATTTATATAAAAAGCTGCACTGTAATTATTTAAGAATAACCATCATAAATGCTGTTCTCTTTTCTAAGTAAAACATCCTCATTTTTTCAGCCATTTTCTAAATGCTATAGTTTCTCTTGACATCCTTAACTACATTTCATCCAGCTCTTAAAATTTGATGCGAAATGTGGTGTTACTACAGATAAATCTGACAAGCATTGAGTGCAGTGGGATGTACAAAGATACAAAGAATGTTCATTCCTCAGAAAACATATTCTACCTAGGGATGAGAAAATAAAGAGTACCCCTGAGCAACTAAAAGACAAACTGTCTCTCATGCCATTTCAACTCATTAAAGACTTTTTCAGTTTAGCCGGTTCTTGAATCTAAACAATAAGTATATATAAAACACACAAACTGAAAAAAAAAAAGACATTTCATCCATATGATAACAATACAAATCAACCCAGAAATTCCAAATGCCACCATCTTCCCACCCCAAGTTCCAGGTACTGGGCTCGGGATTAACTGGGTCCAGATGGATCAATAAATACTTAGAAGTTCAGTGTTCTCTTAAAAATTCGCCCTTGTCATCAAGCATATGTGCTCCGTCTCTAGAGAAATAACAATAAGGGATCTTTGGGTTCAAACGATAGGCCTACCTAGAAATCCACAAGGAGTCAACAATGAATATTGCTTCGATTAATAAACACTATTTGGATGTGTTTATGCAAATCAATGAGTGAAAAATACCCATTGCAATAATTTCCAAACAATGTCCAGTTCCTAAAATTAGTTTTAGCTAGTTAACCATGGTAAAAACTAATCTATTGTCCTCAATCCTGCTGAAACTCTTTATGACACTTCAAGCAGCTCAGTACTCTCTCAAAATAGCCCCAGATTGGAGGCCAGAATGTCAAGATGGGCAGATGCTCAGAGTTTAACATGAGCCTCTAACAACCTATGTGGATCATGCATCCTTTCAGGCAGAAACCAGCCACAGGCTCACCTACTGTCAGTGTATCAGGAGAGAGTTTCACAGGCATACAGGGACCATATTCACTGGGTCAAAATTAGCTAACTTATGGGAACAATGTAATAATATGTTTGAATTAGTACCCTCAGAAAATTTAAAAGTCAGGTTTTAACACGTATGCCAATTTAAACTTGGGCATGTTAAGTTTACTAAGATCCTTAAGGCATAAGTCATTAAAATATTGCATGCATACTCAATTTACTGTCTTTGAAGGCATGGGACATAAAGATGATAGTTCATTGTATACCTAGTGCAATCTACTGAGTGTCTTACATAAACTATTTTATTTTGTGTTTGTAACAAATCTTTTCACATAGGTACTTTACTGATCTGCATTCTTCAGATGAAGAAACTGAGTTTTAGAGAAGTGAATTCACTCACCCAAGGCCACTTAGCTAAGAAGAGATGGCAGAACTGGGATTTGATTCCGGGTCTGCCTCTACAGTTTCTGCTGAACACCACTCTTTACAGAGTGTGCCTCTCACTAAGGAAGAGAGGATCTGGATGATGCTCTGTGTCTTCTACCTGGAAAGAATAAAAACTATCTGGGGTGGAAAGGACTCTTTTCCACTTTTGACAATTCCCTTAAACACCAAACCAAATATAAATACCCACTTTCTTAACATTTATTTTTGAAAATCCTAAAATCTCCTTAAAATCAATATTGAGATCCAAATCCATTAGTTTTCCTGCACAGTGGTGGTTTCATGCAATGAAATTTTACAGAGCTGAAGTCAAAAAACTTCAACCTCACCAGATACTACTGTGCATATGTTATTCTCTGAAACTCTACTCCCTCAACTCTGGGATAAAAATAATATTACCAACTCCCTGAAGCTGTTCTACATATTAAATAAGAATAATATATGTTGTATTAGTCCATTTTTATGCTGCTGATAAAGACATACCCAAGACTGGGTAATTTATAAAGAAAAAGAGGTTTAGTGGACTCACAGTTCCACGAGGGAGGTCTCACAATCATGGCGGCGGGTGGAAGGCATGTCTTACATGGTGGCAGGCAAGAGGGAAATGAGAGAGCATGTGCAGGAAACTCCTCTTTATAAAACCATCAGATCTAGTGAGACCTATTCACTATCAGGAGAACAGCACAAGAAAGACCCCCCCTCATGACTCAATTACCTCCCATGGGGTCCTTCCCACAACACATGGGAATTATGGGAGCCACAATTCAAGATGAGATTTGGGTGAGGACACAGCCAAACCATATCAGATGTGAAAAATATTTTACAAAATTCTCTACAAATATTGTTATTATTATTACCTTTCTATTTCTTTCTTTTTTTTTTTGAGACGGAGTCTTGCTCTGTCGCCCAGGCTGGAGTGCAGTGGCACGATCTCAGCTCACTGCAAGCTCCGCCTCCTGGGTTCACCCGCCATTCTCCTGCTTCAGCCTCCCGAGTAGCTGGGACTACAGGCGCCTGCCACCACGCCTGGCTAATTTTTTTTTATTTTTTTTTATTTTTAGTAGAGACGGGGTTTCATCGTGTTAGCCAGGATGGTCTCGATCTCCTGACCTTGTGATCCACCTGCCTCGGCCTCCCAAAGTGTACCTTTCTATTTATTTCTATAATTTTGTACTTTAGTCATAAAATGTAACAATCTAGAATATTTTCATATTTCTACCTTTATCATGGCTAGGCAATAACAAGGTTTCAATAGAGCAAAAGAATTTCCAAATGTTAATTTTCATAGTTTGCCAAACATACAATAAAAAAATGCTTAAACTATATTGCTCCTGCCATTTTATTTTGCTTGTTTTAACAAGTACAGAGAATATTACATTTAGCTAAGAATGATTTCAGATTAACTTCTCTTACATAAAGCAATCAACTTTTATAATATATATGTGGCAGGTAATAAGCACATAAATGTAATTGCTTTTTAAGAAATATTTGTTTTCAGTGTGGGTTTCAGAGTAAGGTGGAAGACTAAATTATATTATTTTAAATGGCCTCAGTCAGCTAAAACTCTCAGTATCAGTAATAGATTGGGAAATGGAAGCATAGTCATAGAAAAAGGAAAATGAATTTTTAAAAGCATTACACCTCAAACTCGATCATTCTTTCCTATAATGAACACAACAGTCTAGTATTGCAATAAAATTAACAATCACATTTCATAGTATTTCTATATATAGTTACACGTACTCTGTTATTATAACATTTTATTTTATTTTATTTTATTTTATTGTTTTTTGAGATGGAGTCTCACTCTGTCACCCAGGCTGGAGTGCAGTGCTGCAATCTTGGCTCACTGCAACCTCCACCTCCCAGGCTCAAGCAATTCTCCTGCTTCAGCCTCCTTGGTAGCTGGGACTACAGGTGTGCACCACCACATCTGGCTAATTTTTTGCATTTTTAGTAGAGACAGGGTTTTGCCATGTTGGCCAGGCTGGTCTCGAACTCCTGGCTTCAAGTGATTCACCTGCCTTGGCTTCCCAAAGTGCTGGAATTACAGGCGTGAGCCACCATGCCTGGCCAGTTATTATAACATTTAAAAATAGATTTTATTCCAAAGTTTTCTTTTTTATAACCAAGAAACAAAGTACATATGTGTTCATTCTGATGCTAACTTAAAACTGAATTTCTCTCATTCCGTACCTTTTTAACTTTATGTCTGAAGAAAAAAAAACCTGCGTGTTTAGGAAATGCTATTCCATTTACTCCTGCAAAGCCCTTCCCAGCTCTACATGTCTGACTTACAATTGAGGGGGCCTCCATTTCCATTTCCTCTGCCTTTACACTGGTACTAAGTTCTAATCTTGGAATTTCCTTACTCCAAAGTCAGCTGTTATTTGCTGTGTCCCCCTCCCGCCAGTCTCTATTCTGTCCTGCTGCATTTCAGCTGGTTACCTTATGCATCCAATTCTCTGCGGGCCAACGGTTCCCTTTATAGATCTTATAAAAGACAAGACAGACAGGATATTAGCAATCTTCATCTTTAAAAGAAAATTCTGGCTTTGAAATAGTCTTAGAATGGTCTCTGTCCAAAAGCAGAGACGCCAAGTGGCCCTTAGAACAGCCATCTGTGCATGTGTTCATTTGTTCACAGGTGGTGTAGCAAAATGGTAAAAGCATGGTCTCCAGAACAATGTTCCATTCCAGCTCTGCCACTGACTCGCTGTGTGACCTTGGATGACTGACTTAACCTCTCTGTGCCTCAGTTTCCACATCTATAAAATACAGAAAATAATTGTACCCATCTCATAGAGTTATTGTAAGAACGGACTGAGTTAATATGTGTAAAGTGTTTAAACAATTCCTTGAGCATAGCATATGTGCACTGTGTTTCCTATTATTACTATCATTTGTCTATTATTCATTCATAAAATATTTACTGATCTCTATTAATGCTGTTCGGCCAGGTGTTATTATACAACAGTGAGTGAAGCAAAAAATAATAAATAGCCCTTATGAAATCTACAGAGAGACAAATGTTAATCAAATAATCTTACAAATATATGATAATAAATGATATAAATGCATGAAAGATGACTACCCCCTAAAAATCTCGGGCCTATCTACCAGATTTCTTAATGCTCATAGTTCCTCTATTTTTCCCGGGTGGCAGAAAGAAGTGGCCTGGTTACCACAGTCAATGAACTAGTACTGACTTAGTTGTCTGATTCTTTTGTGCCCTATCTCCAAGAAAAGGCCTGTTTCCCACTCTTCCCCATCCTGTTCTTGAACCGCTCTGTTGAACAATATACCCACATCTCATGCTTCACCACCACAACACTGCCCCTTTGAAACTCTGCCTTTGCCCTGATTTCTTTAAATCAGCAGTCCCCTTGGACTTGGGTGGCAGTGAGTCTTCTCGTATGGCCTATTATTCCATTTGCATCTCCGAGCTTGCCCTCATATTCCCGTTCCCTTCTAGTATACGTACTTTAGAATACCTGGCTCTGGCTTCAAATGCTGCTTCTGCTATTAGTACTTACCAGGTGTGTGAATTTTACCAAGTTACTCAACCTATCATTTCATCTGTAAAATGGGTATAAAAATATCTATACCACAGAACTGAGAGGCTTAAATAAGACAAACCCACTTACACAACTTATAGTGTCTAACACTCAATGAATAAGTTCACTCACACAACCATATTCATCCCCAGGCAGTGAGGTCATGCATCTAACAAGTATTTATCCCCAAGCACAAAGGATTTTAACAGGTTAAAAAAATACATAAATCATTTCTTCATTTGTGAAAACTGCAATTCTATTAGGAGAGGCAGCCAAAAGTTGAAAGAATGTAAATTGTAATGAGAACCATATAGGAAACAATAAAAATTCCTGAGACAGAAAAACAAGAGAGACTTGCTAGAGTTCAAGTGGCCAAGAAAGGGGGAGAAAAAGAAGCAGCCAAAGGAAGACGTTTGTGCAAAGGTCCTGAGGTAGAAAGATTAGCATATTTGAGCACCTGAAACACCACTGTGGCTAGAACCTGAGGAATCAGGGATGAAGAGACACAGATGGGGTTGAAGAGATGACCCTTCTAGGCCTCCATGGTACATGGTTTGGAGTTTACTTGCAGTTTAATTCCTCTCCCTTCTATACCACCTCCAGGCCCCAGTTTTGTGTTTTAAATACCAGACAGCTATTGCTATACAAAAGCCTAGCTGAGCTCCATCCTAGGAGTTGATCTTTTTAATACTAACCCAGTTCTTTATGGAATAATGAGGTTCAAGGGAGAGAAAGATTATGTGGTATACACAATGTTCTTCTGTTTTCTCCCTCCTTTTCCAACAGAGCCCTCAGACTCACTTCCATCTCTGTGCTTTCCCTGGAAATGTCCTTCAGTCCCATGGCTTTATGTGGCATTTGTAACCCAACGACTCCCAGTTTATATCTCCAGCTGTGACCTTTCTGCACTCTGGGTGCATATCCAATGGCCTACTTTACCTGACTACTTGGGTATCTAAAAGGCATCTCAGATTTAACACAACTGGAAGAGAACCCTTCACTTTTGCCCTCCAAACCTGTACTTCTCCCAGTCTTTCCTCTTCCTATCACCATCCAACCTTTTGTTCAAATCAAAATTGTAGATATAATCTTTGATTCCTCCCTTTCTCCTGCCCTCTTGCATCCAATGTATCAAGTCTTGCCAGTCACACATCTAAAATAGATCATTTATCTGTCTATTTCTCTAACTCAATGGCCACTGCCCAGGTCAGCCTGGGCTACTGAAATAGTCTTCTAAATGATCAATATATTTTCCCAAAAAAGCAGTCGCTTGTTGAATATTACCTCCAACAATCTACTCAAATACCAGAAAAAGTGATCTGTTGAGAACATAAACATAAATAGCATAACGTTACTCCTGTGCTTAAAACCTCCAGTGACCTCCCATCGTACATGGAGTACAACTCAAGACCCTTAACCTGGACCCAAGAACCTACACCACCTGGCCCCTTAGCTTCCCATTCCTGCATCACTGCTATTCCTCTTCTCCTGTGTCACCTAAGTTCCAACCATACTGTCTTCAAATACACCCTGAGGGTTTTTGCCGTACATCTTCATGCATCTTGTTCCCTCTGCCAAGCACATCCCGTCTCCAGATCTTTGCAGGTCTGACTTTTTCTTTATTTTATTTATTTTTAATTTACAATGCAGCTGTGCTTGGAAAGTCTGGCTTTTTCTTATCGTTTAGGTCTTGCCTCAAATAATTCCCCTTCAGAGAAGCCTTCCCTACCTTCTCATTTTTTTTTCATCTTTTTTAAATTTTTTTGAGACAGAGTCTCACTCTGTCACCCAGGCTGGAGTGCACTGGTGAGATCTCAGCTCACTGCAACCTCCACCTCCCAGGTTCAAGTGATTCTCCTGCCTCAGCCTCCCAAGTAGCTGGGATTATAGGTGCCCATCACCACACCTAGATAATTTTTGTATTTTTAGTAGAGACAGCGTTTCACCATGTTGACCAGGCTGGTCTCAAACCCCTGATCTCAAGTGATCCACTCTCCTCAGCCTCTCAAAGTGTCTGGATTACAGGTGTGAGCCACTGCACCTGGCCCCTGGCTTCTCATTTTAGAGAAGCCACTCATTCCTCAAGTCATTCTCTGCAATAGCTCTGCATGGTAGAACTTCCTGTGATGATGGAAATGTTCTCAAGTGCTATTCCATGCAGTAGCCACCAGCCAGGCACATGTGGCTACTGAGTTCTTAAAACCAAGTAACTGTGGCTGAGAAACTGAATTTCTAATTTTATTTCATTTTAATTTAAATAGCCCTGTGTATGGGTAGGGCCTACCCCATTAGAGAGAATAGCTCTATAGCATCACCATGTTTTATTCTCCTCAAAGCTCTAATAACTACCTGAAGTTATCATGTTCATTTCTTTCAAAAGTTCCATGAGGTCAGGGACCTGGTCTATCTAGAAAAACTGCCACACACACAAAAAAGTACTACATACATTATGTATTTCTGCATAACAAATTACTATAAATGTAGCAGCTTAAAACACCACACAATTCTTATCTCACAGTTTCTGTGAGGTCGGGAGCCCTGGGCATGGCTTAGCTGGGCATGTGCTCTGCTTCAGTGTCTCTTACAGATCAGCAATCAAGGTATTGGCCAGGGCTGGGATCTCATCTGAAAGCTCAACTGGGAAAGGATCTGCTTCCAAGCTCACATGGTTGTTGGCTGAGGTCAGTTCTTCAAGGGCTATTGGAAGGAGATCCTCAGCACCCAGCTGGCTGTTGGCTGAAAGCTGCCACCAGTCCTTTGCCACCCCAACATAGCAGCTCATTTTGTGGCAGCTTGCTTTATCAATGTGTGCAAGCCAAGAAGGAAACAGCAAGAGAGGAGTTACAATCTTATGTAAACTATCATAGAAGTAATATCTCATCACCTTTGCTGCATTCTACTGGTTAGAAACAAGTCACTAGGCCAGCACACACTCAAGGAGAGAGGATGATGCAACAACATAAACACCAGAAGGCAAAGATCACTGGCGTCTGCCTACCCCAGGCAGCTATTACATATTTGCTGAGTGGATGAATGAGTGAAAGGATGAAGGCAAATATCACTGGCGTCTGCCTACCCCAGGCAGCTATTACATATTTGCTGAGTGGATGAATGAGTGAAAGGATGAAGACCCTACTCTACTCTGGCTGAGTTATGCCAGTGTAGCCCCTTTTTCCTCACTGTGAAAGATAAAGTCTTGTGTTAGAAATTATCAAAGAAGAAATAGAGATTCTTTCCCTAATGAAATCTGAAAAAAATATTAAAGCTATGGAAAAGGAAGTTTCTTAGCAAAGTAGACAGATTCTTACTTGATAACTGTTAAGAGCATGAACAAGCCTGGGCAACATAGCAAGACTTCATCTCTAAAAATAAAAAAAATAAAATATAGAAAAAAATAGCCAGGCATGATGGCTCATACCTGTAGTCCTATCTAGCTACTCAGGAGGCTGAGGTGGGAGGATCACTTGAGCCTAGGAGTTCAAGGCTACAGTGAGCTAGGATCACGCCACTGCAATCCAGTGTAGGCAACAGAGAGAGAGACCCCACCTCAAAAAAAAAAAAAAAGTATGGGCCCTGAAGTCAAAATGCTCAGATTCAAAGCCTAAGTCTGCATTTTTACCATTTGTGTACTTGAACTCCTTTGTGTCTCAGTTTGCTTATAGGATTATTGTCAGGATTTAATGAGTTAATAGGTGAACATTTTATAGAACAGCACCTGGCACAGAGTACATACTTAAGAAATGTTAGCTATTATTATTGTTATCACTACTATAATAACCGAATTTTTTTTTGGAAAACAAATTTTCCACTTCTAAGGCTGTTAATGTAATTCTTACAAGCTAATGATTGTATCACTCTGGGTTCTTAGTTGCAGGCAAGAAAAAATCAACTCCAGCTGAGTTAAGCAGAAAATGGAATCTATTAAAAACATAGTGGGTGACTCCCAGAATCACTGAAAGAACTGGAAAATGGACAGGGAGTTGTGCAGCTGATAACAACACCCAAAATCACAAGGTAGAACCCTCTGTCCCCTTGGTCTGCCAACGCCCCTAGTCCCAGATGCTGCACATGGCCAGCTACCCTAAGGAACTCAGTCCTCCTCCAGCTGCTGCTCCTACAGAATGTGATTCTTCCAGCGCGCACATCACTGGTAGGCTGTAAGAACACTGCTGGTTTCTCAGCCTGCTCCATCACATTGATGAAGGCTAGGTCTCAGAGATATGCCTGAAGAGCTGGTATTTGGCATTTTCTTCTTCTATGGTTACAGGCAAGTCTGCCTCCTTCCAAGACTCATTGGAAGGGTAATTTCCAAAACATAAGATGAGCATTCCCACGCTGGACAGCCAAAATAATTTTAAAAGCAAATGTCCACTAGAATAGCCATTAATGATTTCTCCTTGTTGAACATGATTTTTTAATCCACATATTAAAAATTCAATAAGTTCCTGCAGATAAGTTCTCTCAAGGCAAGGATTTATATCTCTCATTATATTCCTTTCTAGGTCTACATGGTAGTTTTGAAGCTGGGATAAAACAATGGTCAAGATACTAGTTGTTTGGTTTATTTATTTGGTGTCCTTATTTTTACAATGATGGATTCCTTCACCAGCAAATCATTAATTGCATATTATATTTCTCCATTAAGCCTTGTGCCCTTTCCACACTTGGAAGCTGTAATACTACAAGCCTCTTGCCCTTTAAAAATTAAGTTGTCTCTATTCACGACCTCCTTAGAAGAGGTTCAAAATCTTATTGCTTGTGGTATTTTTATTTTATTTTTCTAGGGGACAGTTATGAGAGTTTCTCTCAACAGAAACTTTGGAATGAGTGGTTCTGAGCTTTTGTGATTGGTACCAGTGAGACTGATATGAAGTAGAGGCTCTTCCATACATTAGAGAAGGAGCCTCTGACAGCAGAGTCAAGGCCAAATGGACTTCCAAAAAGATTACACCATTTTACATGCCTACCAACAGCCTCATTTGATGTAAAAGCAGGAGACTCAGAAAGTTTCTGCCTTGGATAATATTCTACTCCAGTGTCTCAAGAATTTGGAATTTTTCCCCAAAGTCTTTTTTCCTTAAGACCATAATGGCCTTTCTTATTTTCCCTAATGATATCCATCTGTAGAAAGTTGTCCAATAAGCATACATTTGGTAAGTTTATCTCATTGCTTTAAAAAATACTTTACAACACTGTGAGGGGGAAGAAAATTCCATGTGCAATCCATGTGCAGTAGGTAAAGTTGAAGCATACAGTCTTGGTTACTCAATTCAGTCTGATTCATCTTAATCAATGGTTCTCAACCAGGGTTGGTTTTGTACCTTGAGGGACATTTGGCAATGCCTGGAGACATTTCTGGCTGATGCAACTGGGGATGAGGAGGTACAATGTTACTGGCACTTAGTGGGTAGAAGCGAGGGACGGTGCTCAACACCCTGTAATGCACAGGACAGCTCCCCACAAAATATTATCTGACCCAAAATGTCAATACTTTGGAGTTTGAGCACTCTGATAGGAATACAATGACTTTCATAGGCATTTCCAGTTTTCCTTTCTCACTCCATAACTCTTCCTCCTCAACTTCTGGCCTAGTGACATATTTTCTGGCTGCCAGGTCATTAAAGCAAGATTCTTTCTGATCTCATCCTCAAACGTGGACTGTGGAAGATGAAGCCACACCCAGATCTCCTGTTCTGAAAATTCTGAAACATATTTATTCAATTATGTGCATTGAAACTGGGGACTTTAATGAACACAACTCCAGTGCTTACTAACCCATGTATGTCTTCCCCTGATTTTTCTAAACAGTATAGTCCTGAAGCCATCATGGACATCCAGCTCTTCCACCTACGGCTTATATGGCCTTGGAAAGTCACAGAATCTCTCTCTGTTTCATTTCCACAACTGCAAAATGACTTAAAACAAAACCAACTTCATAGGGTAAGTTTGATGTGCACGTGAAATCATGTAAAAGCATTTGACAATCTATAAAACAATAGGATGTTTGTTTTTACCATTATTCTTTTCCTTCCGAACTCCTTTCCACAATCTACTGTCCTGTGGTTAATAAGTATAGGCCTCCATGACAAGGCTGTCTCATGGCATGCATGCCAGTTAAGTATTCGCTTTAAGCTACAAAATCAGCATATCTGTAACATGCAATCTGTATTACACTTGCTCCTACCCAGAGAATGAATCTGCATAGTTACATATTTTGAGGGGTAGAGAAGGGGTCATACTACAATTGGACCCTCCCCAAATTTACTAGAAAACATACACATAGGCCGGGTGTGGTGGCTCACACCTGTAATCCCAGCACTTTGGGAGGCCAAGGTGGGCGGATCACAAGGTCAAGGGATCAAAACCATCCTGGCCAACATGCTGAAACCCCATCTCTACAAAAAGTACAAAAATTAGCTGGCATAGTGTCGTGTGCCTATAGTCTCAGCTACTCGGGAGGCTGAGGCAGAAAAATTGCTCAAACCCTGGAGGCAGAGGTTGCAGTGAGCCGAGATCCTGCCACAGCACTCCAGCCTGGTGACACAGTGAGACTCTGTCTCAAAAAAAACAGAAAAGAAAAGAAAATATACATATATGTGGTTCCAAATTTTTACTATACAGTGCCTAGGGATAGAAAATAAAATGAATCATCATAAAATATCACATTTTCTCATAAGAACAATCTTACGATTTGTTATTGAACAAAAATTTGACATAAAATAGATCAAAGAAAGAACAAATGTATAGGTATAATCTTTAAAACAGAAATATTATGCTCCAAGCCTTATTCAATCAAGAGAAATGTGTTGAACATATTGATACATGATTTTTTCATTAGTCTTAACATTTATAAGACTTTTATTTATGACTTAGATATTTTATGTTGTACAAAGACACAGCTCATGGAAGTTGGAATTGCCTTCTTTCTCCCTTAGTAAATTACCCTAAAGCTGGCAGAAATATTCATTCTCTTTCTACTGGAGGACCTTGCAACACGGAGATAATTATTCATAGAGTTCAGTGCTGGATCTGAACATTTGAAGTTTCCCAAAGTACTGTAATTCCTCATTCCTTTATCCTCCAGCATTGGAGGGGAAAATAAGCCACATAAGGAAAGCTATAAAGAAATAAGTGACATAAAGAACAATCACAATCCTTTGGCTTTGGGCACTGGAAAGTGTTTATCAGTTGACTATTGATGAAGCACAGAGCTTCTGAAGGAGCAGGTCATGGAGACATCTTCTCCCTACCTCATATTGCTCCAGTTACTGGCAATACGAGGTGAGGAAAAGATGCTACTGCCCAGAGTCAACAGCGTGAACTGCTTCAGAGACTGGAATGAACCTATTTGGAAGAAAGTAAATTATAGGTGTTAATTGCTCAGTTACATACATTAGTATCTATTTGTGTATATTTATGTATGTTTCCTAGTAACCCATCTTTCCATTTTACAGAATTTGATTCCTTTGCCCCATATGTATTCTTAAGTAAATACAAAGCAAGACATTTCAGAATTATTAGTCAGAAGTGTTACAAATGCAGACATTTCAATGTGTGTAACTTGAACTGAAAATCCATTTCCCTCCAGCTACAGGCATGTTTTTGGAAGTTATCCTTGATGCATCTGAATAGAGGTTATATTGTCTTCTTATTGTTACCGTAACCAGCACTGACATGTTATTGATGCCTGCTCATCAAGACAGGTTGTTGTTTAATAGTCCATCAAGACTTTGGCTCTTCCTTTAAGGTTTTATTTGTTCAACTCAATATGGCAGACTTTGCCATCTAAATTTCTGTCTCCTAAACCATCTGGTTTTACAATGAATCCAGGGTCCATTTCAGCAACTGCTGTCACCTGTGTCAGACTGACATTTGCCTTTTTCTATTATATATTTAGGAATGCAAAGCTAACATTTCAAAGACTATTCATCTCAACCAAAGATGTACCCTAAAATTCAGGTACTGCCAAAAGTGACTAGTGGTGCTGGGCACCAGAATCCACATAGCTGTGGTTAATAAAAGAAAAACCAGCACACTTTCCAGCTGGTTCTATTCTGTCTGTGACAATACATTTGCCTCTATAAACCAAGGCAATAAGAATAAAACAATAAGAAATGATCAATGTTCCAGGCAATAGATATCCTAAATACCTTGATTTCATCACATTAAATCACACTGCATACATGTATCAAAATTTCACATGTTCCATGTACAAATACGTATTAATTTACAAATAATTAAAAAATTTAAAACACCAAAAAAGTGAAATACAATTTACAAAAATGAAGAAATTCAAACATCTCGGTAATGTTCTTCTCATAATAAACTTTACAAAAAGTCAGGATCCCCCTTATCTTTAAACTAAACATCTCTGTTTCATCAAGTTCACTCACCATCTTCCTAAAATGATTCATCCTCTCTCAGCTAAGCCAGCCACACTCTGAGTCTGCTGCTGCCAGCAGGACCCAATCCTTGGTAGGTAGTTTCTGAAAGATCAGAGCTATAATTTCAAGGCCCCTCACGGTCTCCATCTTCCATAAATTAGTCCACTGAAGCACAGCCTACTCTTGTTTTAAAAATGAAGCTGGATCCTTTGAAGCAGAGTATCTAGGCAGCTCTAGCTCCACATTTGATCATTCCGGTTGTATGTCCAGCCCAACTGCTGTGGCCTCCCAGATTCGTAGCCACACACACACCCCACCTCATCCCACCCCCAACAAACGCACACACAACATAGCCTGTATGCTAAGATCTCTGACTCAACTCAGGTCTTAGACAATTACTGCTCGCTGACTCAGCATCTGCTGCCTAGAACTCAGTGCTGACACTGTACCTTACTTTTAGAGAGCTTAATCAGCCATGGTGAAGAAAAGGGCTCTCTGAGATCTCATCTTGAAATTGTTTAACTAACTATGGCCAGCTGTGGTGGCTCACACCTGTAATCCCAGCACTTTGGGAAGCCTAGACAGGAGGATCCCTTGAGCTCAGGAGTTCAAGACCAGCTTGGGCAACATATCAAGACCTCATCTCTACTAAAAATAATTTTTTTAAAAAAAGAAGCTGGGTGTGGTGGTGTGCACCTGTAGTCCCAGCTACTCGGGAGGCTTAGGCAGGAGGATGGCTTGGGCCAGGGATATTGAGGTTGCAGTGAGTCATGATCACAACACTACACTCCTACCTGGGTGACAGAGAGACGCCCTGTCTCAAAAAATAAAAATAAAAAAAGTAACTATACATGTCTTAGCTGTTCATGATACTGAGTCTATATTTAGATTATAAGCAAACAAAAAAAGGAAAACAGAAAACTGACTTTTATACTCATGTAGGCTTTCTGTGTGGGTTTTTTGTTTTGTTTTGTTTTGGTTTGGTTTGGCTTGGTTTTGGTTTTGGTTTTGGTTTTTTAGACAGAGTTTCACTCTGTTGCCCAAGCTGGAGAGCAGTTGCATGATCTCTGCCCACTGCAACCTTCACCTCCTGGCATCAAGCGATTCTCCTGCCTCAGTCTCCCGAACAGCTGGGACTACAAGCGTGTGCCACCACTCCTGGCTAATTTTGTATTTTTAGTAGAGACGGGATTTCACCCATGTTAGCCAGGCTGGTGTCGAACTCCTGACCTCGGGTGATCCGTTCTCATCGGCCTCCCAAAATACTGGGATTACAGGCGTGAGCCACCGTGCCTAGCTTCTGTGTGGTTTAATACCATTTTAGCACTGCAGTTGCTCTTGCCACATTTGAAAACTTTGTCAATAATATTTTATAGGTCATACTTTTTCCTCTCAAGAAAATCCCTGCCAAAAGTGCAGACATTTCAATGTGTGTAACTACCATCCATTCAACAGGTTCATATTACTATCAGGATTTGCCTTCACAGATTTGTACCAGCTGAATCCACCCACTCCCTGAATCAACCAAGCCTATACCTGCCTTGGTTTTTGCAACTGCTGTTTCTTCTGCCTCAAATGCTCTGGCTGCAGAGCATTGAGTAGGTTGGTCCTTCGCATCCAAGTCTCAGCTCCGAAGGCCCCAGAGAGGCCTTCTTTGACTGTCCTGTCTCGCAGATATTACTCCCTGACAGCATGTGCTATTACCATGCCCTTCTTTAGTTTCTTCATAGCACTAGATATTACCTGAATTATCTTATTGATGTATTATTCATAATCTGCCTCCTTTGTGACATATTTATGTCCATGAGAAGAGGGATCTTACCTGTCTTAATCACCATTTTCTTCTTAACTCCTAAAACAATGTTGGCACTGAATAGGTATTTATTGAATTACTTGTAAATTCTTCTTGTGTTGACTGTCTTGTAGGCCTACCTCATTACTCGTTCTTCGCACCCGACTTTTATAAAACTTTTTACTGCAATGACTTGAAACTCCTTCAATTGAATTGGACATAAATCCTGCTCTACATAAATATAAAATTAGCATTTTTTTCTCTCTTTTTTTTTTTAATTATACTTTAAGTTTTAGGGTACATGTGCACATTGTGCAGGTTAGTTACATATGTATACATGTGCCATGCTGGTGCGCTGCACCCACTAACTCGTCATCTAGCATTCATGTCCTTTGTAGGGACATGGATGAAATTGGAAATCATCATTCTCAGTAAACTATCGCAAGAACAAAAAACCAAACACCGCATATTCTCACTCATAGGTGGGAACTGAACAAAATTAGCATTTTTATATCGAAAATTAGAAAACTTAGAAAAACATCAGGAAGAAAGCAAATAACAAGCATAATCCCACAATTCAGGGAATGCCATGATTAATATTTGATTCCTTCTAGCACTTTCCTAAGTACACATCTACACAATACACTTATATAACCATTTTTGTTATGTTTTTCCTATCTCACATTAAGAGTTATACCATAGTTCATCAGTTCTGCTGAACGATTTCAGTGGCTATCTATGGGGAGATAAGTGGGGTTGTGCAAGGAAGAGATTGTGGACTGCAATAAACAATATTTTCACTTTTTACTCGGTGTACAATGATGTTTTCCTAAATTTTAAAAAAAAATAAGCATGCATTCATGCATTACTTTGGTAATATGAAAATAAAAGAACATGATCCCAGCTATAACTGTCATGGCCATCTTTTAAGATAATTCTCTTTTTTTGGTGTTTTGAAGCAGACCTCAAAATTCTTTGGGTTTGAGTAATATGTAGACCCTGTTTGTAGGTGTTGCCTTGGCCCATTGCCATGTAAAGATGAAGTGACTGAATATTCAGGCATGAATCTTGATTAACTCACATTCTTAATTATGCTGAGGGAATTCTCCCAGGATACCTACGATAAGCACTCCCATTCCAAAAGGGAAAGAATGAGACACAGCCAGCCATCATTAGTCTGTGGCACTCTCGGAATCCTGCCCAGCAGACATTGCAAGGGTCCTCTCAACCAGGGTGGGAATGTTCCTTGATTAGGCCTCAATCCTGACCCATGGTACCCCCCACCCCCACCCCACCACTAGCACATTGTTTCCTGTGGTCTTAGCTCTACCTTCTAGAGGGTTTTTCTTTGTTTGTCTGTCTGTTTTTGAGACGGAGTCTCGCTCTGTCATGCCCAGGCTAGAGTGCAGTGGGACAATCTCGGCTCACTGCAACCTCTGCCTCCTGGGTTCAAGTGATTCTCCTGCCTCAGTCTCCCAAGTAGCTGGGATTACAGGCACCCACCACCACGCCCAGCTAATTTTTTGTATTTTTAGTAGAGACTGGGTTTCACCATATTGGCCAGGCTGGTCTCGAATACCCGAACTCAGGTGATCCACCCACCTCAGCCTCCCAAAGTGTAGAGGGGTTCTTTTCCACTATGAAAAAAATAAAACGTGGGGCCTGATTTACTATGCCAAAAGAAAAAAAAACTTAAGCTGAAAGCTGAGTCATGCAAGAAGCTGCCTTTCCTGTTGTTCCTAAACCGATAGCTACAGACAAAAGGTTGAACATCTCCACAGGTAGCCACTCTATGTTCACCGTATCTTATATAAAGTGCTGATTTACTGACCACAAGACAAATACACAATTAACTATTGCCCTACCTGCTTCTTTTCTCTTGCAGCATGTGGACTATCACACACTCCCTCTTTCCCCTCCAGCCACTTTTCGCCTTTAAATACTGAAGCCCTCAAAGTCATCTTTGAAGAAAGGCACAGACCACAGACTTCCTGTGATTCCACGTTTATTTGTTCCAGGTATGTCCTTAATCTTGGCAAACTAAACTTCTAAATTGATTGAGACCTGTCTCAGATACATTTTGGTTTACAAATTGGTGACCAACACGGGGAACTCTGAATGGAGGTGGCCCTGACCTTTAACAAATCTATCAATGCTTGGTACCAGCTTGAACTATCTTTATTGCTCAAACCAATGGGACAATTTGCTGAGGTGCAGAGATTTCCTCTCCAGAGAATCCCTGATCTCCCCAAATTTGGTTGAGACCTAAGGTTTATCTTGCTGTACAACTCCTTTTCTGGAGTTTCGCTCACGTCCAACAAGGAAAGTGAGTTTTTCTGTTTCCATGTTGATGGAGTGCAGGCAACTCCTTTCTGGATTTTCAGCTTGCTTCCAAGAGGAAAGGCAAGTTTGAGGTTTTTTTCTGCTTCTAAGATGGTAGAAAGCAGCCTTGAGCCTGGGCCGCACTCCTAGTAAGCAGCTGAATTGGGATTTTGTCTTGAAAATTCTCCTTAATGACTAAAAGTTAAGATTGGCAACCAGCTGATCTTAATTCCTCTTTACCATTAGAGCACTCAGTAATTATATTCTTTGGTTTGTTATTGTTGCTCCAGTCTTTCTCCCATCAGATTTGACCACCTTTACCTGACTTGGTCAAATCTAAATGAGAATTACAAATTATGGGAAGGAGTCCTCTGAATTAGCTAAAATTCCTCACAGCTGAAAAAAAAAAAAAAAACTTTATTTCTCTGTTTGCTTCCTTTCTTAAAAAATTGTTCTTTTGTTTACTTTTCTTCAACCCTATTCCTTCTTCCTCTTTTGTCATCTTCGGTATGAAGTGGAAAAAAAAATCTAGATAAGGCTCCTAATGACTTGGACCTCTTAAAGAACTCAGAATAAATGTGCCACTCACCCTTTTCTGAGGTGTTCTGCTTTCTTTGTGGAGTTTCAAGAGTCATGGACAGATTATTCTCAGGTCTAAGGTTTTGCTTTCTTGTATGGCATTACTTGACCTCTTTGGCTTTTTGGGGATACCAGAGATTACCCTGTACTGTAAGAGGATTTGACCTTGGTGTGTGTAACAGTGGACAAGAGCTACAATGTTGGGAGTAGCTGAGGATTTTACAGAAAATGACCATTACTACAGCTGACTACTTGTTTTTTTGAACATTCTTGAATATAAGAAAGTTGTACATGCTTTCTTGGCCCTATTCCTTAAAAGGCTCCACCCTAAAGCCAGTAATCTAATGAAGCTACAGTTAAAATATCATCTATCAAACTAAGTTATTTTAATAAAGGAAATTTACATAATTAAAGGAAATCTTTTTTTTTTTTTTTTGAGACAGAGTCCAGCTCAGTTACCCAGGCTGGAGTGCAGTGGCAAATCTCCACTCACTGCAACCTCCACCTCCTGGGCTCAAGTGATCCTCCTGCCTCAGCCTCCCAAGTAGCTGGGACTGCAGGGATGAGCCACCACACCCAGCTAATTTTTGTATTTTTGTAGAGACGGGGTTTTGCCATGTTGCCCAGGCTGCTCTAGAACTCCTGAGCTCAAGTGATCCACCCACATCACCCTCCCAAAGTGCTGGGATTACAGGCATGAGGCACTGCACCCGGCCAAAATCTCTTTTTTAAGAACATCTATGTCTCTGCACCTAAACCACTAGGAATTTTAACTAAGGAGAAAACAATGGCTTAAAGTTTATATAACAGACCTTGCCTTTGTTTAGATCTAAGAATGTGCTTTTGAGATGTACATTGTCTACCTTGTTTTACCTAAAGTTAGGTCTTTGGAGATCCAAATTTCGTTAACAATTGTGTAGGATACAGAAGAGGTAATCAATAAATTAATAGTCTAAAGTAGGGAAGGGAAAATTTTTGAAAACAGGCAAATGAAAAACTTTAAATCCATAAGATCTGTCTGTCTGAGTCTGATATGCCTATATGTTCATGTATAGCATGTGAAAATAATATTTCACTACCAATTATATAAAAGAGCTCTAATTAATTGGCCTAAAGAAAAGTAAGCATTTATCAGACTAATAGAAACTAATTCAGAGGCTTTTCAGTTCACATGACTTTAGTAATCTTTGGTAAGATTAATTTGGTAAATATAGTCTCAAAATTCTCTCCAATAATTTAAAATCTTAAAGTCAGGTCATGTTAAATTAAGTAATCCTAGGTTTTTTACTGGGAGTAGGGTTACCAAGAGTTAGAATAGACCAGACATGGTGGCTCACACCTGTAATCCCAGCACTTTGGGAGACTGAGGCAGGCAGATCACGAGGTCAGGAGATTGAGACCAACCTGGCCAACATGGTGAAAGCCCATCTCTACTAAAATACCAAAAAAAAATAGCCAGGCGTGGTGGCACACACCTGTAGTCCCAGCTACTCAGGAGGCTGAGGCAGGGGAATTGCTTGAACCTAGGAGGTGGAGGTTGCAGTGAGCTGAGATCATGCCACTGCACTCCAGCCTGACAACAGAGTGAGACTCCGTCTCAAAAAAAAAAAAAAAAAAAGAGTTAGAATAGCAGGAGAGTAGGATGTTTTGGTGAAGTTTACAAAAAACATGAATATGTGGTTTTTGCTTGAGAAAATGTAATTTTTTCTAGTTTAGAGGACTTTTCTGTAACGAAAACACAACTTCAGTTGTTCACTGCTTACAGAGTCCAATTAACAAGAGCAAGGTCTGGTATAAAGAAAGTGACTTTTTATTCCAAAGCCAGCTTAGGGGAATAAGCTTCCTGCCTTAAGGGTACCACTTTGCTTTTGGAGGCAGAACGCAGACACTTTTTAAAGGGGGCTTGACATGAATGGCACACAGGGAAGAAAGTGAGCAGGTGGGGGTCCACATAACTCTCTTCAGTGCCTTATCTGCTGGGTGGTTGAGCTGACAACTGCTGGCACCTTCCTGGACAGAACTAGGTTGTAAAGGTGCCCAAAACTCTCCAAGTGAGAGACATTTTCATAGCAGGTATACTTTGGGTTGTAGATTGACCGTTGTCTCTCCAGGCAACCTCCTCATGGGTGAGAGTTCCACCCTGAAGCTTCTAAGCACATAATTAGATGAACTTTCCCTGTAGGGAGTGTCTGGTGAAAGGAAGGTAAAAGGTTATAATTGCATTTCTAAAGGGCTAAGCAGAAAGTAGAGGGTGGGGAAAATGGAGAAAAGATAAAAGAAGAGAAAAAAATAAAACACGATAATAATTCATTCTCTTTTTCTTAGAAAAATGGAGGTCTTTGATTGCATTGCTACTGGTGTGGAGATAAAAACCACTGTTCACATCCAACCATTTTTTTTTTTGTAAACTGGTGAGTTTGTATTGATATTTCACGGTTAGAATTCCAAAGTAAAGGCTATAGGATCCTTATTTGTATGGGTGTGCATGTGTGCTTAGGTGTGTTTACATGTACATGCATGTGTTTTGTTATGTGTTGTGGCCATAAGGTACCAAACTGGTTTAAAAATAAAGGAGTATTCATTAAGTAAATAAGCCCAAAGGATTCTCAAGTTTATATAACTTAAGTAAATCTTTAATAAATAGGCAGGCTTTAAAATTATTAGTAAAATAATATTAGAAATGTCTTCAGAATTGTCTACATACATTATTGCAAGCTTGTCCAACCCACAGCCCCTGGGCTGCATGTGGCCCATAATGGCTTTGAATATGGCCCAACACAAGTTCATAAACTTTCTTAAAACATTATGAGATCATCTCATGTGATTTTTTTTTTTTTAGCTCATCAGCTATCACTAGAGTTAGTGCATTTTATGTGTGGCCCAAGATAATTTTTCTTCTTCCAATGTGACTCAGGAAAGCCAAAAGATTGGACACTCTTGCATTATTATTTAGATTTTTTGGTCAAGTGGTTGTGTATTTATCTCTGCTAAATATTATAAGGTGTCAAGATTTTGCATGATGCTTATAAAGTTATAAATGCAGCTGAAAAGGAAATTATCTTTGTGCAATTTTTTGATAAATAAGGCATTTAATATTGTTGGATTAATGAAAACAGCTAAATCCTGAGTTGTTTGCAAAACACACACACATACACACATTTATTTAACTTTAAGGTTCTTACTTAGGTATAAACACCTGAAATTCACAGGTTATAAAAATGTTTAACAGGGAAATAACTTCAAATGATGACTATCACAATTTTCATAAGTAATCTACGTAAACTACTAAAAAATTAATTAGGCAAATGTAATGGAATAAATGCTTGTAAATAAACTTGTAATATACCTTAGAATCTGAAATTAGATAATAAATATGTATTAAATGTCTGGGTCAGTTCTGATTTTTTAAAAAATTACATTATAGGAAACCATTTTTCTAAAAGAAGTGTTCTTATTGGCTGAGCACTGTGGCTCACACCTATAATCCCAACACTTTGGGAGGCCAAGGTGGGCAGATCACAAGGTCAGGGGTTCGAGACTAGCCTGGCCAACATGGTGAAACCCCATCTCTACTAAAAATGCAAAAAACAATTAGCTGGGCATGGTGGCAGGCACCTATAATTCCAGCTACTTGGGAGGCTGAGGCAGGAGAATTGCTTGAACCCAGGAGGTGGAGGTTGCAGTGAGCCGAGATCATGCCACTACACTCTAGCCTGGGTCACAGAGCAAGACTCCATCTCAGAAACAAAAAAAAAAAAAAGAGGTGTTCTTATTAAAAAAATAATTTTTGTCTAAGTCAAACATTATTTAAAGGTTATTTATAAAACAAGGTAAACAGAACCAGTAAATAAGAGAAATGTAAAGAAAATTATGAATATAAAGGGGGTTTTTTAGTAAGAAAACTTAAAAGGAAAAAAATTCTATATGAGAAAGAATCTTGTGTGATGAATTTTTTGTCCCAAAATAAAATGACTGGTTATTAAAGAAAGTGGGATGAAACCGGAAGTCCAACCATGTTATAAATGGTTTGTGTAAGTCATAATAAGGTTTGTATAAAGAAATTATGAAAAAAAACTTTATGTGATCAAGTTGGCTATAATTAAAAAAGGAAATTATTTATACTAGTCTTTCTAGAGATTGGCCTTTAATATTAAAAATATATATTAATAAACTGAAGAATTGTTTAGAAAAACAAAATTTTCTTAAAGTATTAATTTATTCTTATAAAATTATAAGAAATTTTAACATTTTTAACCCAAAAGCTCAACTTTTATTGTGTCTCACTGTTTTTGGCTTTCTCTCCCCTTTGAGAAGGCCTGAGACAATAACTCTCTCCTTCAACTTTTTCATGAGCTCTTATAATTTTTTTCCTCAGGTTCTAACTGTAGTTGTGGCCTGATGCTAAAAATGTTTTATCCCAAAGATCTAATGAAAATGTTTTCTTCCAACATAACATTCTGTGCTCTTAGCTTTAAACTCTTCTATTAAATAAAAAACTTTCCCTTATGACCTAGGCCACACTCTTCCTAATTATTCAAGTCCTAGAAAACTGAGATTTTAAAAACTTAAGGTTATTACATCCATGTAATTTTCTGTATTCTTTTTAAACTCTTTGTGCTGTTAAGTTACAGGGCTTTGACTCCTGGATCTAAAACGGACACCAAGTCTTGCTAATTCTTGCAAGCACTGACATTAGCTAAAGCCTTATCTTCAGACCTGAGAGAATATGACAATCAAAGTAAACTGCATTCATGAGACACAGAGTCAGAAGTTAAAACTATTCAACCCCTCTAGGCCCAGGAACTAGTGTGAAATCTCACACTGAGTGTGTGAGATTATAGGGCTGATTCTGGGAGAGAAAATTAGTTCAAAGTTTCTCTGTAAATTAAAAATTAATATCAATGGCACACGATGCAAGATGAGCATCTGAGCCCCTGTGTCAGATTAACAAGGTTTTCTTGGAGCATTAACCCACTCTCTAATTAAAAAAAAAAAAGTTATTACAAGGTTTATAGAAATTATATCTTATGGTCAAGATGATTAAAATGTAATGGATTAGCCTGGTGGGGTGGCACACACCTGTAGTTCCAGCTATTCAGGACTAAGCTACTCGGGAGGCTAAGGCAGGAGGATCACTTGAGCCTGGGAAGTGGAGGTTGCAGTGAGCTGAGATCATGCCACTGCATTCCAGCCTGGACAACAGAGAAAGACCTTGTCTCACAAAAAAAACAAAAACAAACAAACAAAAAAAACACCAAAAAATAAAATTTAATAGATTTGTTTATGAAATTTGAGAGACAGATTTAATCACCTTATGCTGTCTTTATTAGGGCTTATTGTTTGGGAAAGTAAGTTTCCTTTCTCAAAGAATAAAAGTTTTTGCTTTTTTTTTTGGAAATCTTTGAGTTATCACTTTGCCTAAATAAATGACTTATTTTACAAGACTTGTGACTCTATTTTGTGATACCAAGAGTTTTAAACTTTTAATATCGGACAGACTTTCCAAAATCAAATGATAAATTCAATCCTTTTGGCTTCATTAATGTTTTGATATTAGGTCCCCTGAAGTCCCAAGGAGACATATTCAGCTTATTTGGTATAATAAAATCATACAGGAGGCATTGTCAAATATAAAATGGTGTTTAAACTTCTTTGGATAATATTTATTTATTTATTGACTTATTTATGAAATACAGTCTCACTCACTCTGTCACCCAGGCTTGAGTGCAGTGGCACGATCTCAGCTCACTGCAACCTCTGCCTCCTGGGTTCCAGCAATTCTCCTGCCTCAGCCTCCTGAGTAGCTGGGACTACAGGTGTCCGCCACCATGCCTGGCTAATTTTTGCATTTATAGCAGAGAGGGGTTTCACCATGTTGGCCAGGCTGGTCTCAAACTCCTGACCTCAAGTGATCCACCTGCCTTGGCCTCCCAAAGTGTTGGGATCACAGGCGTGAGCCACTGCACCTGGCTTGATTATATTTATATAAATGTGTCATTAGCATGTGTTCCAAAATTGTATGAGATTCCTGAGATTCTGATATGTCTTAGTATATATTATCAGTAATAATTATAATTGCTATGTAAAACTGTTGTATGCCACAGAAGTAACCAAATTTCCTTGTCATTTGTATCTTTACCCATGGCTGTTCTAAGACTTTTGTCATCCATGATTGTTTTACTTCATCCTTTTATAGGGTGGTTTATAATCAGCTATAGAACTCTGAGGAGTACTCTTAAATATAGGTTTCTAATATCTTTAGAAAATATGCCATTGGAATAAAGAGAAAGAAAACTCCCAGAACTCTCATGGAGAGCTGATGTATTCAGGAGGATTGCTGATCCAATATCGAGCAGAACAGGAATTAATTGCATGGACTGAACTAACAGAAGATTGAAATCCTCTTTTATGGCTTTTTGTCTAAAACACTTGCTGATTCTTCCTGTTTTGTTTTCTAGAGTCAAGAAAGTTTTCTCTTCTTTAAGCTGTTTACAGCTTTTAACAATTGAGTAAAGTATACTCTAATAAGAAAAATTTAAAACAACTCCATTGCAATTGCTTCAGAATTTGGAAACTATTTGGTGAATATCCTTAGTTTATGACAATGTAGTTCTTTGCATAAATTCAATAAGAATCTATTTTCTTTTATAACAGGACATAATTGGAGACACTGGTGATTTCATCAAGACTTTGATTGTAATGACATTTTCAGATGGCCTTGAGAAAATGAGGCTGACCTATAAAGCCAATAAAAGCGCCTTGGAAAACCTGGGATCATACATTTTTATTTGCAGCGTACTGACTTGGGATAAGTAAAGAATGTCACTTTCTGACAGGCCCAGGAAACTCAGGTTTTCTTGGGACCTTGAAAAAAGAGTAATTCACCCAATTCACACAGGTATCTGCAGGCACAGTAAATTCTTAGCTGGGCTCAAGGCTTTTAAAAAGTTCAAATCTTAGATTCCTTATGAAAAGCTTCCAGCAAAGCCAATTTTATAAAGAGAAAGAGAGAGCCTGCATGGCAAATGATTATTCTTGCTGAACTTTATGCAAATAATCAAGCCAAGTAAATAGAACTAAAACTTATTTGAAACATAAATTGGTCCTACTATGATTTTGTCTTTAATAAAATTTGAAAATTGGAGACAGAAAAATTACATTTCAAACTATAGTACACCTGTTATTAGATTCTAGTCTTGCCTAATGTTTCTGATTTTTATTATTTTCCACAATTTAGACTGAATTCTAAAATTTTTCCTGACTATAAGTCTCCAAAATAATGTTTACAATTTTTTTCCCTTTTTCCTTTTTTGTCCATTTTTCCTGACTTGAAATCACTAGGAATGAAGCTGTGCTCTTCTTAAAGCCGTGCAAACTGAAGCTAGACAACTTAAACTTTGCAAGAAAATAACAGCAACCTATTTATATACATAAACCACTTTTATACCTGCCTACTGATGTATGGACTTCAGAGTAATATGGCCTATATCAGTTTTCCAAGACTGTTTTCACTTTTTGTTTGTTTGTTGTTTTCTTTCTCTCTTCCTCTCCCATTTTTTTTTCTTTGTGGGATGCGAGACCTTACAACCTGCTAAAAATGAGCTTTCCTAACAATGTGGGACCTGTCTTTCTAGGAATAAACTATCCTAGGCATGAGAGATCAGACAAAACCAGAGACTCATTTTCTTCTAAAATGCTTTCTCCGAAAGATTTTAAAAAGAAAAGGGCAGCGAAATGTGAAAGGAAAATAAAAACAACTCGAGTTCACAATGCTAAAAGAAAAAAAAAATTAAGCTGAAAGCTGAGTCATGCAAGAAGCTGACTTTCCTTTCTGTTCCTAAGCAGATAGCAACAGATAAAAGGTTAAACATCTCCACAGGTAGCTTCTTTATGTTCACCTTATGTAAAGTATGCTGGTTTACTGAGTATGAGACAAATACACAATTGACTATTTCTCTACCTGCTCCTTTTCTCTAGCAACATGTGGATTATCATACCCTCCCTTTCTCTCCTCCAGCCCACTTCTCCCCTTTAAATACTGAAACTCTCAAAATCATCTTTGAAGAAAGGCACAGATCACAGACTGTTTCTGCGATTCCATGTTCATTTGTTCCAGGTATGTCCTTAATCTTGGAAAAATAAACTCCTAAATTGATTGAGGACCTGTCTCAGATACTTTTGGGTTTGCACCACATTATCCCTGTCCTTATCTATTTCTTTTTTTTTTTTTGAAGACAGAGTCTTGCACTGTCACCTGGGCTGGAGTGCAGCAGCGTGATCTCGGCTCACTGCAACTTCCGCCTCCCAAGTTCAAGCGATTCTCTTGCCTCAGCCTCCAGAGTAGCTGAGATTTTACAGGCACCTGCCACCATGCCCGGCTAATTTTTTGTATTTTTAGTAGAGATGGGGTTTCACTATGTTGGCCAGGCTGGTCTCAAACTCCTGACCTCGTGATTCACCCGCCTCGACCTCCCAAAGTGCTGGGATTACAGGCATGAGCCACTATACCCGGCCTCCTTGTCCTTAAGTGAGCACTGGAAAATGTGATCTCCTTAAAGTCTGAGCAGCGTTCTCAGACAACTCTGTCCACAGAAGGTTGAAGCCCCACTCCCACTTGGAGTCTATTTACAGTTTCCTTTAGTCTTGACTGATAGCTATTTTGGCATGTCTCTCAAAAATTTAGCCAGCTTCTTCCATATTTGATTCAAGCTAGCTCCACATACCATGATTGTGTGTGTCTCCACTGCACTAAGTCACAACTTTCTCTTTTAATTCTTTCTTGTAGGTACCTTGAATCTATCCAGCTCTGTCATGGGAAGACCTGTGCCATGTTGTTCAACTGAAAAGATTCATGGGGTACCACTTTAATCTATTCGGAGGTTTTAGTCATGGGTGTGACTATCACACCCGTAATTTGATCCTTGCCAAGAGGTTGAGTTCTAATCAACCTTTGTTGCTCATCTCAGTTTTGTTTTTAATGAATAATAATGAGAATCACTTGCATCTTCTAAACGTGCATGTCTCCAAGTTTATAGCTTCCTATAATCACTTTCTTTCCTAACTGCAAGCTGGACAATTATTTTCTAAACTCATCATTTCCTGTAGTATTGAGACAGGAGAATAGGGTCTGGAGGCACGGAGATTAATTAAATCTTTTTTAATCATCTAAGGCTGATTCACACTGACTTCCTAAAACTAAATCAAAAGGAAAACCCCAACTTCCCATGCCTAAGTAACAAATGGACTCAAGGCTACTCCCTTTGCAACCCCCATCTTTTCTGAGTGTCAGATAAAAAATTGTAAGTACCTCTGACTGGTCCCCTCCTGCAGTCAATCAGGCTGGTCACAGGCCAAGTCTTCCTTTGCATAGGAGTATAACTTTGTAACTTCACTTCAGCCTCTGATTCATCACTTTCTGCAACCAATTAGTCGTTTGCATAGGGTGTAACTGTAACTTTGCTTCAGTCTCTGATTGTTCCCCTCCTGCAACCAATCAGACTGATTGCGGGCCACTACTTCATTTACATAGGGTGTACACCAAGTAACCAACAGGAAACCTCTAGAGTGTATTTAAACCCCAGAAAATTCTGTAACCAGGTCCTTGAGCCACTTTCTCCAGCCTGTTCCCACGCTACAGAGTGTGCTTTCATTTTCAATAAATCTCTGCTTTTGTTGCTTCATTCTTTCCTTGCTTTGTGCATTTTGTCCAATTCTTTGTTCACAGTGCCAAGAACCTGGACACCCTCCACCAGTAACAGTATTTTATATAGTCAATAGTTACTGATACATGCCACCAGCTTTCCATTTTCTGGCCTTTTCCTCTAGAACTACTAGACCTTCCCCATATTATTACAGTTTTGCCAAAGGTTTCACTCCTGTGAGTATGAATCACCATCTTTACGGCTTCTCCTATCACTTCCTTTGTTGTATACTCCCCAGCCACTGAGCCAATGCCATTTATTTAAAGGTTTTGTTCTAGTAACATTCCCATTCTGACACTAATTTCTGTGTTAGTCAAGATTGGTTCAGTGTTCCTCTAGTAATAAACACCACAATTTCAATGGCTGAAAACAATACAAGTTAAATTCATATTCATCCTATATATCCATTATAGGACAGTGAGGGAGCTCTGCTCATTGTAGTTACACAGGAACCCAGACTGACTGTGTAGCCACTATCTTGCATGTTGCTAGTTGCTGTAGTAGAAGGAAAGAGTTCTGAAGGGTCTTACAATGACAAGCCTGGAAGTGACTCATTTCACGTCTGCTCATAACTAATAGGCCAAAATTAGTTACATGATATTATTCAACTACAAGCCAGGAAGAGCAGTTCTCTCTTGTGCCCAGAATGGCAGACAAAGGAATTATTTGTTTAACACCATGAATACTTACCAAAATAGGTAAACAAAAAAGATAATTAAAATACTTGTGACATGTGCTGTAAATGGGGGAAAAGCTGGGCCCTGTAAGTAATTGAAGGACCTATTTAAAGTGGGTGGTCTGGGAGGTCTCTCTGAAGGTTTGCATTGAAACCTCAAAAGTCAGATGGAGTGAACAAGACTTAGATGAAGAACATTCCAGAGAAGAAACAAGAAGCATAAAGGCCTTAGGGTGGAATGAGCTTGGTTTAGCTTGAAACTGACAGAAGACAAGATATTTCAAAATCAAAGAAACAATGGGGGTGGCAAGGGACTGTCATGAGATAGGAGATACTATCACCTACCATCAGCAGTCAGTGCACAGAAGGCCCTGAAGGCCATATCAAGTAGTTAGGATTTTAACCTACCTGCAATAGGAAGCCTTTGAAAGGCCTTAGGACAACAAGTGCATGTTTAAGTTTTAAAAGAGTAACTCCCAAAGTGGGGAATTATCTAGAAAAGGATGAGTGAAAATAGGACACCAACAGGGAGGCTATCATAGCACATAGCATCATAGCAGTGTAGACAGAGATGACAGTGACAGGGATGGGGGATATGTGAGGGTGCAGGGAGTAGTAATAGTGAAGATGGCAAGAAATGAACAAATTTAAGACATATTTTGAAATATTTACTGATGGATTGAATAAGAGAAAAGTTGAGAATGGGAAGAGTGATTATGACTCCCATGTTTCTGGTTTTAGTGATAGGGTGGTTGGCAGCGCCATTTACAGAGATATGTGGGGGACAACTAGGTTTAACATCTACAGGAGACCAGATCCTATTCTGGACATGTTAAGTTTGAGAAATCCAAATGAGTAAGAAGTTAAATATAAGAATAGATCACATAGGAAAAGTCTAGTTAAAGATTTTTTTTTTAGATGATCTTGCTCTGTCACCCAGGCTGGAATGCAGTGGTGCCATCATAGCTTACTGTGGCCTCAAACTCCAGGGCTCAAGTAATCCTCCTGCCTCAGCTTCCCAAGTAGCTGGGAAGGCAGAAGTCCGCCACTGTACCCAACTAATTTTTTTAATCTTTGTGTTTTGTAGAGATGGTGTCTCATTTTGTTGCCCTGGCTGGTCTCCAACTCCTGGCTTCAAGCGATCTTCCAGCCTTGTCCTCCCAAGGTGCTAGGATTACAGGCATGAGCCACTGCACCCGGCCAAAGATATAAATCAAGAGCTCTCAGCATGATGTAACTCAGAAATCACACAGGTGGGAGTGTGTTGGAGAAGAGATGGAGATTCTAGGACTTGCCTAACAAATTCCCCCTTGAGATTTGTTTCCAGAAATCGTATCACTATTGGGTATGTGGATTTGTATTTCTAATTATCAGGGAGTAAAATTAACAAATGACAATCTAGGTAGATGTTAATATTTGGAGGGATTTCTTCTGATTTGAAACCCATTTGCTATTCTACTCTAAATGATAGCAAAAAAAAAAAAAATACATTTCCAAACACTATTGACATCCCCATTTTACACAAGTGGAAAACTGAAGCAGAAGGGGGTTCAGTAACTTGCCCAAGAAGACACAAAATTAGCAAGAAGTGGGACCTGTATCGCAAACTAAACAATTTGGCTCCAGAGTCTGTTTGGAACCCCTACACTGTACGGCAATGGTGGTAAAGTAGCTTAGTTAATGTGTTTAGTGGGTTACAAATAATAGATTATATATATGAGTTTTATATATAGTAATAGTTATATATGTATATATATTATACGTATATTTCTAGCTCCAATAAGAGCTTTTATTGGATCTATGTTCATGTGCGCATGCCTGGATCATTAGGGTTGTGAGGAACAATTCAAGTGGTAGCTATGCACTATGGCATTACAACTAAACCCTAGGAAGAACAGAACTGACTTCACCAGAACAGTCCTGAAGTTTCAAACCATTAAAAACAAACAGTAAATTTAAAAAACGCAAATTGTACTAGACAGTTTGGTTTGCTCCACTTTACGGCATCAAACTGAATGCCTGGACGTCATTTGCTGGTCAGGAAGATGAGTTAATTTTTTTTTTCCTGCCACACACTTAAGTTTTTTGCTCCAGGGAACATTATACATAGTGTTAACACACTCAATTTACATTGTAGTTTTAGTGTTGAAGATTTCCTGGAGGGCAGGAATAGCGTTATTCCATCGTTTTTAGCCCAGTCAGACTGGATGACGGAGAGAGGGAGGGGTGAAAAGGAGGGAGGGAAGGGGAAAAGGCAAGGAAGAAGGAATTCAAATTAAACACTCTTCCTATACATTTTTAGAAGCTGAGCAAGATGCCCTCCAAGATTATGTTTTTTAAAAAGTAAAGTTTTTCCCATTAATGGTGGTGCAGAAGCGTCCTAATCCCATCGAAAGTACTCTCACTCTTCCTCCATTCGCTGTCTTGACCTCCCCCGGGCCTCCTTCATTCTGCCTCCCAGTCCCGCCCACTTGTCGCCGGCTCCTACCCTCCACTCTAGCCTTCCCGGCAGCCTGTACATTGCGCATGCGCACTAGTGGCGTTCGCGCCGCGGACCCAGAGAGAGGCGTTCCGCGGAGGAGAAGAGGAAGAGGAAGTTGGGGGAGGGTCCTAGCGGGGAGTGAACCGGAAGTGTAAAGGTTCCTGCCTCTCCTCGGCCAGGCGGAACCTCTCTGCTGGGCCCGGTGGCCGCAAAAGAACTTTCTTTCTCCCGCCCGAACGGTCGCCGCGGCCAACTGCCTCGCCCGCCTGGCAGCCTAACCCTCCTTCTCTTCTTCTCCTCTCCGGCTTCGCGCGGCCCTGCCTCCCTCTCGCCCGGCGGCATCCGCTTGCTGCTGCCACCGCCTCCTCATCTTCTGCCCGGCCAACCGGCCTGCCCCGCTGCAGTGATGTGCGACAAGGAGTTCATGTGGGCCCTGAAAAACGGAGACTTGGATGAGGTGAAAGACTATGTGGCCAAGGTAAGCGGGGATGAGAAGAGTAGGCGAGAACACGGAGGTGGGCTGGAGATGAGGCTGAGGAAGCTGATGGGAGCTGGACTGCGGGGATGGGGGTGGGCGGGAGGAGAGACTTCCTGGGTGGAGGCGGCACCAAGGAGAGAGGGGCGTCTAGGGAGGAGCTAAACTGAAAGAAGGGTCCAGGTAACTTGGTAGCGTTCTGTGTCAGGTAACTGCTGCGTTAATACAGTTAGGCGCTACCTGACTTCCTGGCCTCTTGGGGGAGGGGAGGAGTGGTGTCTGGCTCATCCAGAGTTTCTTCTGCGCACTGATCATTTGAGTTTGGCCCTCTTCTACACCAAAGTTACTTAAACCTTTCTTTGAATGAGGTAATTCTCCATCTTGGACTTACCCATTACTAAATGAAGTAACCTAAGTAATTAGGATCAGAGGAACATGTTTTTTAACTCTCGGCCTGGTGTGAAGTTGAAGAATTCATTGACCGTGAAAAGAGTACCGAAAATAGAAATAGTTAAAATTCTGAAACTGAGTATCACTTCACTGTGGTGTCTTAACTTTGGGTGTGGCCTTTTTCCTTTCCCCCACCACAACAAATACATATTTGCTTCAAGTGGTAAGGTTGTCAACTGGCATCTGGGAATGTTTAAGGTATCTGAATAGTTTTTAAACAAGCATGTTAACTTCAGTTATTCCATTCTTCTCCCTGATTTCACCTGAAATGCTTACATGTGTAGTAAATAGCAATGCAGTTTAGTGGCAGTGTATTTGGGGGGTAAAATCATGATGAAGAAAGACAAACTCAAACCTCAGCCCCAAATATAAAACTGAATCGACATTGTGGCAGAGTGGGAAACTTAAAATTCCAAGCTAGCCTGTCTTTCCATCCTGAAACTGTGCCTTTGTAATTATGAGAGAACTTAACATGTGATTTTAATTTAGTGATAATCTAAAATGAATCTTCCAAAACAAGTATAATTTTATGACAACCACGGATGGCATCTTGCTCACCTTCTAAAAGTGTGAGAACCCAGTCTAGATTTTAACTCTTCAAAGAATAGGACCTGACCTGGGTTTTTGCTTCAGAGGCTGTGTTAGGAAGCAAGTAAGCGAAGCAGTTTCTTAAAACTTACAGGATTGTGCAAGGCAAACTGCTGAAGGTTTTTACTTTATTTAATGCCATTACAATTTAGACTTTTTGGATGCTGCTTACCTGCTTAGTTTTTTGCAGTGGAGTTTTAGGACAGGCTGTCTTCTCGTCACTGCCTTCTCAGCTGGTAGCCAACTGAAACTTGACTTATTGGCTATTTCAATATAAAGCTAAAAGGTAGAAATTATTTGGTACACTTACCAGTGGTGGGACACTGCAATACTCTGGAAGTAAGTGGGCTTTTGTTTTCCTGTCATGGTGGAACCTAGGTTGTTTGATATACTTGAAATACAAAAAGTTGATTAAGTACTAACTGAACTTACAGCTACCAAAATAACACAATGTATTTAGTGTTTTCCTGACACATTATTTTATGTCATCCTTGTGAATACTGGGAAGTAAGTCCTATTATTGGTCCCATTTTACAGATTACTGAGATGCAGGATACTTAAGAAAAGTTATGGAGATGGTAAATTGTGAAGCAAGAACTAAATTGCTGACTCCAAAACTGAAACTCTTTAACTGCTCCACGCACTATCTCTCAGTCTAAGATCTAATTGTGAAAGCGTATCATACCAAGATTTCTAGTAGGACATTCCCAGGGTCCACATTCAGGCAGGTAAATTGTGCCCAAAGAATTCTCAACTACACAAAAATATTTATATGAAAATATATGCCAATAAAGATGGATTAATTTATTTCCAATTAGTTTTATAATTAGGTTAGGTTATCATGTTCAATTTGATTATTTTCCCTATATTACTACCGTAGCCTGTTCTTCATTAATGTAAAAAATTTGCATAAGAGGGAGGGTAGACATTCAGAAAAAGCAAAAGGGAGTATTGAAAGTTGGACTATCCAAAAAGATATGACTGTAACTGTAATGTAATCTGATGTACAGAGCATTGAGCTTTATCCTTTCTTAGTTTTGAAGATTTCATAAAGTATCTTTCACTTTGTTAATGAGAAATAATAACAAGAACTGAAGTTTATACTGACTCAGCTCCCTTACGGTGCCCATTTATACTTTCAGGTCCTTATTACAGTTTCTTCTGCCCCACAGCTGTCTTCCCTGCTTATTTATTGACTCACATTTTTCATCTACCAATTTGTGAACACTCACTTTTTGAGTTTCTGTAATGTGCATCTATCTGAGTAGGTGTGTACAAAGAAAATACTAAAGAAACACTTAGACCTGTCTAGTCTTCATTCTCAGGGGTGAGAGTCTATTTTAAAAACTCTCCTCAACATTCCTGTGAAGATCTCTCATATTGTTAACCTAAGAATCTACCTGTAAGAGTAAGATAAGCATTTTAGTATTCCCCTCCTCCTCCTCTTTTTTTTGGAAACAGGGTTTTTTTGTTTTTGTTTTTCGGAGACAGGGTCTTTGCTTTGTCGCCCAGGCTAGAGTGCAGTGTCGTGATCATAGCTCACTGTAACTTCAGCCTCCTGAGCAGCTGGGACCATAGATGTACACCACGACACCCAGCAAATTTTATTTTTTGTAGAGACTGGATCTCACTTTGTTGTACAGGCTGGTCTCAAACTCCTAGCCTCAAGCGATCTTCTGGCCTCGGCCTCCCAAAGCACTGGGATTACAGGTGTGAAAGCACTGGTTCACAGGTGTGAACCCGTTTTTCCTTTATAAATTAGTATTTTTAAAAGTCAGTAATTACACTTTTCTACCTGCCTCTGACTTCTCTATTAAAGTTCGAAGTGTGAGTATCCCTAAATCATTGGTTTTAGGTGAGTTCTTGAACTTAGAAAAGTCAGTTCACAGTCCCCAAACCACTGAAAATTGTATTTTGAAATGGAAAAGACAGTATTGAGAGAAAAATTTAGATTATTTAGAGAAAAATTTAGATTATTACATTAAATGTTTCATGTATAACTTTAAGACAATATCTGAAGCAATTTTAAAGTCTTTCAACACTACATTTGGCTTCTTGACTGACTTAAGGACCACATTTAGTTAATTCATTCATTTTTACTAGGCATCTTTCAGGTCTTAAACTCTTTAGTAGTCCTGGGATGATAGTACAGAAGTTCGACACAGTTTTCAGGAAACGTAAGCATCTATATTTAGCAGACCTGCGTGAAAAAAAATTCATACTTTTATAGTAGTATGCAAATTATAAATAACATCTCATTTTCATAAAATTCAGTTGTCCGGCTGGAAAACAAGTGAAAGCCAGAAAATAAGGTATTCATGAGCAGCTATAAGAGATATTCATAGCCCCATTTTTGATCTGGATGTTTCTTTTGGGTGACATTATTTTTGACTTTGTCTTACATTTCTGCCTTTATGTTCTCCTGTTGGAGTTAATTCTAGCCTCACCTGAATTTCAGACTGCATAAGCTCTGTTCAGACAAATTCCAAATTGAGCTGTTTTCCTCTCAAAAACTGTTTTTATTCCTATTGTGTCTCCATTTTCACTAATGGTATCATGACCCAACCATTTGTCCAAACTGGAAACTGGGAAATTTTCCTAGATTTCTGAGGGTTACCAAGACTACCTTCTTAGTCTCCCTCATCCATTCCTCACTCTCCTTTCTTCTTACTACTTTAGATCAGTTGCTGCTTCTTTCCAGCCTGGACTATATTTTCTTTCTTGACTATAAGAAAATAGTCAAGAAAGAATATATAGTCCAGGCTGGAAAGAAGCAGCAAAAATTGACCCCTTCCTGGTCAGTTTACACAGTTTAGGTGGAGGGATCTCTCAATAACATGAATATAAGCATGTAATCTTTTTCAGCCAGTCTCCTGCACTGCCCTTAAAATATTAATACTTTTGTGATTTCTCACTGCTTATTTTAAAAGGGCCAGCTCCTCATTGGTATGGTGTACTAGGCCACTATTATCTGGGCTTGCTTTTCTACACTTGCCTCTCTCTAAGCACTCTGCTCCAGACCCTGCCATCCTGTTTCTTCCTTGTAGATCTTTACATGTGTTCTTTCATCCTCCCTGACCAAGTCTGCTCACCTCAATCCCTAACCCCCAACCTGTTAAACTCCTATTTACCCTCCTAGGGTAAGTATCACCTCTAACAGAAAAACACCATACCGATGAGGAGTTGGCCCTTTTAAAATAAGCAATGAGAAATCACAAAAGTATTAATATTTTAAGGGCAGTGAGGGAGACTGGCTGAAAAAGATTGACTTCACATAGAGTGCTGCTTCTTTTACTGTTTTGCTCATCAGATTGCTGTGATTTTGTTTACATGTGTCTTCATTAGGCTCTGAACTCCTGGAGGGTAGATAATATATTCTTTTTCATCTTTCTGTCTCCAACATAGCGCCAAGGAATTTTACACATTAAAATCATGTTTCTGGTAAGAAATTCATTTTATTCTTAACTTAGCAATAATTTCAGCATACTTCATTAATTACAGAATAATAATTACCATTGACTGGATGACTTACATTGTCAGGTACTGGAAAGCACTCTGCAAGATGTTTTACCTAAGTTTTTATTTGCTTCTTACCACAGTGTTTCAGTATAAGTAATAATCTTATTTTAAGGATGAAGAACCTGAGGCTTAGAGAACTGAAGTAACTTGACAAGGTCACAAACTAAGTAGCATAACTGGATTTTAAACCCAGAACTGTCTGAATCTACATGGGGTGTGTGTGTGTGTGTGTGTGTGTGTGTGCGCGCGCGTGCGCGTGTGCGCGTGTGTATTTATAACCATATCAGTTTGCTTTAAAAGTGGTTTTTTTTTTTGCTAACAACACTTTAGAATTAAGAAAACGAGAAAGAGGCTTGTAAGAAGCCGGTACAACTAATTAGCTCTGACTGTGAATGAAGACAAAAATGGCAACCGTATTTTAAAAATTGTAAATGTAACAATTCAGAAATAATTAGTATAGAGACAAACATCTCTGTAAACTTAAACTCTCATCAGAGACTGTCATTACTCAAGACGTGTCCATAAGAGTGACTGATAGCCTGCAGAATGTTTTGTATTTATGGTCACATATAATCTAACCTTATAATTTATGTTCCTAATTGTGATCCTACACAGTCCAGAAAAAGTTAAATTTTGTTTGTTTGCCTTAGGAAGAAACAAAAATAACTAAATTATTGAGATTTCTATTCATAATTATTTAAATAAAACAAGTAACATTTTGAAAAAAGTATGTTTATTAAATTTTATGTATTTGAGGATTGTGATGCAGTATACAGGTATTATTTCATTTACTTATCAACAGTAAGCCATGAGCATTATTAATAATGTTAACCCCATTTTAGAGATTTTAGAGGCAGAGATTAAATAACTTGCTCAAGATCATAAAGTTCTTAAGTGGTGAAGCTGAGATGTGAACTCACTTCCTTGGGTTCTGAAGGAGTTTCAAAAGCCCCATGCTGTTAACTACTTCAGCATACCCTTGACCTTCATTTCTCAATAAGGCCAGAAACTAGGGGGGTACTATATTATTGAGTAAATAGTAAAAATAATCATAGCAGGATGGTAATTATCCATTGAGACTACTAAAAGGTGAGCTTTCTGGTGGATTTTGAGGATCCAACATGCTTACAGGTGAGTGCTTGTGAGTTGCATTGATAAATAGCCCCTTTTAATCTTCAGCAGGTCTGATACATGTACTCTCTTGTTTACATGTACTTCTATTTCACTTGCTGTGAAATAGAAGCCTGGTCTCTAACTTCCCTTTCTCTGTGGTTTCCTTTCCCTCCAGCCTCCATTCTAATTACATCTGCCGTTGACACTCTAATAGGTTTGAAAAGCAACAATTGTGCACCATGTGAAAGGATAGAATCTCTTGAACCTGAGAAAGATATCAACTCTAATCTTTAGAAATTCCAAGACTCATTGAGATCACTTTTCACTTTCCTAATAAAATAGCCAATTTAAAAGAGGTCCTGATTCAATCTACTTTGCATTTATTGGTTTTAGGCAGCTTCCCTTTTTTTTCTTCTTTAAATTATTAGTTTCTTTCTTATAAAAATGTATCACTGTGTGTTGCCCTTTCTACAGAAGGGCTGGTGACCTATTCAGAAAGCATATGTCAGCTTGTATAAGATACAGGTGCCCTCAGTAGACAGAGAAACATTAGTATAGATTCTTTTCTAATTATTAATGCTTTTAGTCATTTTAAAAAATATATAAAATAGAGGAAGATCTTTTTTTACATTGGAACATAAATGTTCATTCAGATGTACATAGGCTATATAAAGTGTTTTGGTTTGAGATTCTAAACATTTTCCTTTTATTAGTGCAGATAATTAAAAATTTAATGAATTAAAACTGATAGAAATTATAACAATATTATGAGCTTGTTATTTAAAAAAGCAAAGCTGTATTGAATAAAGTAAAATATCCCATTGACTATTTTTCCTACCTATGTGGTTCCTCTCTTTAAAATATAAAATTGATTAGGTGTTTTTAAAACAGAAAAGAATAAAGAAGACAAAAATTGGCCAAAATTTTACTATTTAGATAACTCCTAACTTTTAAAAAGTAAAATTAAATTAATTCAGATGTGGATTTTAAAATGCCACAGTTAGGACTGAAAGGTAAAGATCTCCCCTCCCCAATGCCTGTGAACAAATCAGCCATTCTCAACAGGTCCATGTAATTAATTTCAGAAAAACATTGAAAATTTACTTACTCATCTGTTTTTCCCGCTTAAAAAGTTCTGTAAACACTTCTGCACTTTGCTTTCCACATTGAAATGTATTTATTCTTCCCTTTTTAAATGGTGAATAGTATTCCATTTTCTGGATGTTTATTTAACTATTCCCGTATGATAAACATTTTGTTTCCAGTGCATCTTTGCAATTAAACAGGATTGTCGTGATCACCTTTGTACATATACCTTGACAACTTTTGAGACTATATCTGCATTACTCTCTTCATGAGTTTCGTCAGCTTAGGCACACATTGGCAGACATGAGACCGATGGTTCCCTCACACCATCAACAGCACTGGGCATCATCAGACTTTTTAGATTTTGCCATTTGGATAGGTGAAAAATGATTGTTTATGTCTTTTGTTTATTTTTCTTTTAGTTGGTCTGTTTTTTATTGGTTTGTATAAACTCTATAAATTAGGGAAATCAGTTTTTTATCATGTTTTGCAAATATCGTTCCCAGTTAATCTCTTGACTTCATTTATTTTCTTATTCTACAATGGTCTTTTACTTTTTGTGGGGTTAAATGTATCGCTTTTTTTCTCTTTTGTGACTTGGATTTTGTATCCTGTTTACAAAGACCTTTTCTCTTCTGTAAAATTACAAATAAATTTGCTCTTCTGGAACTTCATTTTTTCTTCCATTTTGGACATTTGACCTTTCCATTATTTATTTTGAAGTAAGGCATGAAATAAGTGTATACTTTTTTTTTGACAGTTCTCATACCATTTATTATTATAGTTCCTCTTTTTTTTTTTGCACGTTAAGTGGTATATATTATAACAGATATTAGGAAAATGCAAATTAAATCCACAATGAGATACTACATTATAACTATTAGAATGGCTAAATTGGTAAGACTGAGAAGCTCTAAGGTGAAATGTTCAATAAATCATATTTAAAACTTCTTATCTGTATTAAGTAAATATTATTTTGTTTAATATTTTTTCTAGTAATTTCTGACATTCTTTTTTTTTTCTTTTTTTTTTTTTTTATTATACTTTAAGTTTTAGGGTACATGTGCACATTGTGCAGGTTAGTTGCATATGTATACATGTGCCATGCTGGTGCGCTGCACCCACTAACTCGTCATCTAGCATTAGGTATATCTCCCAATGCTATCCCTCCCTCCTCCCCCCCCCCCACCCCACAACAGTCCCCAGAGTGTGATAATCCCCATCGCAAGAACAAAAAACCAAACACCACATATTCTCACTCATAGGTGGGAATTGAACAATGTAGTTCCTCTTTACTAATAATTTGAACCATCATCTTTATCATAAACAGATTTCTTGCTCTTTTTCTATCTATACCAAACTGATTTAATGATGTGTGGTTTCAAAATAGGTTTTAGTATCTCCCTCTCACATTCTCTTTAGGATTTTTGCAGGTGATTCCTTAAAATTTTTTTTCCCATAATCTCAAGAAAAATATTAGGATGATTTGAACCTACCTAAAACTTAACCTGTATCTTTTAATAAGCATTAAGCTTTTTTTTTTTTTTTCTGGAATGCTGGGATCGTGTGATCTGTGGGACATAATACTTTAACTTTTAATTCTTTATGAATCATCTTAGGAGGATGTCATGCACTGTGAGAATGTGCCATATCAAAGATTCAAAACAGAGGAAGTGTGTTTAGATAATCAAATCACAGCAAAATTGGTGATGAAAGTTAGTTTATGGTATTACATCACAGGCCACCTTGTAATAAGAAAAATGGCTGAAAGTAATTTTTTTGCAGCTATATCTTTACTAAATAATTCTGATAAGCTTAGAAGCTTGATTTTTTTTTTCAGTCCACAGAAAATTACCAGTGTAAAGAGGAGCTGTGATTACTGAAAGAAAAGAAACCAAAATGTAAGAAGCTGACCCAAGAAAGTGAAGGGCAAAGAGCCATATTTACCTTAAAGTTTCAGAGGCCTCAGGCAATAATTAATATGTATAAGCGTAACCTTGAGCTTCACGAAAAGTTTAAACTTGGTTACTTTTCTCTTATTTACAAAGTCAGAGACATGTATAACATATTTTAGGAAGATTTCAATTTGACATATAAAAAAGAATGAGCATTTTGATACTTAGGCCTAAAGTAAGTATCTGAAAAATACTGAAAAATGGAGGTATTAAAAAAAAATTGTAGGCCAGGCATGATGACTCATGTCTGTAATCCCAGCATTTTGGGAGGCCAAGGCAGGAGGATCTATCACTTGAGCCCAGGAGTTCAAGACCAGCCTGGGCAACATAGCAAGACTTCCATCTCAACCACAAAAAAATTGTAGGTAGTAAACACTTTAAACATAGTACAATAGACGCTCATTATGGCACTGTCCTTTAGGGATTTGGAATTGCATTATTGGTGAAACCATAGCATAGAGGCTAAATGTGTTGGCTTTGGAATTAGATCTTCCAGGTCTGGCCTTCTTACTAACTAGACACTTTGGGTGAATTAAGCACTCAGAACTTGAGTTTCTTCAATTGGTGAAAATGGGAATGATTGTAATACCTACATAATAAGTGTAAACTGTGTACCATTGTGCCTGGCATATGGTGAGTGCTAGTAAATATTAGCTGTTGTTACTAATCAGCATCCTCATAAATTTGTTTAGAAGCAAGATTACTTACAGAGCAACTAGTCCAGCTCCCTTATTTTATAGATAAGGAAAAATTAAGTGTGAAAGCCCTTGACCAGTATCATAGTGCTATTTGAGATTGAAATTTAAATTCAGTTTTCCTGAACTTGGATGAGGGTTGGTTGGTTGGTTTTCCGCTACACCATTGTGTTTGCTAATGAAGTCATCTTGTGCTAGCTGTTACCTCTAATAAATTATTCTTTTTGTCCCACAACATCTGCTTGGCAAATTTCTTCTTCTTCCTGAAGTTTTATATTCATGTCTGTTTTGTTCTGCATAGATTCCCTGACTGCTTGTGCAGTTTATTGTTTCTTGGTGACATCTAATATAGAACTTTTTTATTGTGTTTATGTTCTGTTGTGGTTTCTTAAATTTGAGAGCTTATGGGCTTCTGGCTTGACTAACAAGTTATTAGACTTGAATTTGAAAAACAGCGGCTTAAGAAACTTAAATCTTGTTCTGTGGGGTATGTCTTTAATTTTTGAACTGCTGAAATGAGTTTTGTCTTAATGACTGGTTAAGAAAAAACCAAGGTGCATTTATAAATATGGATCAGTTATTACCATTTAGTCACTTGAATAGTGGCTCACAAACTTGAGAATTCAGAGGCTCTTCACCGCCCTCTCCAGCCCCCTAAAAAAATGTCTTCAGATCTTTAAGCTACAGTGCTTATAGTGGGGCATTTTTCTGTTGACAGGGGTCATAGCACTTGAAGCTTCTTCCTGTGCTTGAGGAGTTCCCTACTTATATAGTATGAATCTTGATCAAAGGCAAGGTCTGGTGCTCACCGCAACAAAAGCCAAAAAGGGCAAATAAATTGCTTTCTCTTGCCCACACAGGAAAAGAGCTCATCCCAAACATGACTAATTGGATGCGTCTATCTAGAGCTGATACAAATGCTCAGGCATAATAAAAGATGTAGTGGCAGCAGTAAAACACCACTTTCCAAAAACAGCAGAAGTCGTTATGTGCCACTTGTAGCATCTCTTCTGTGCCCAGGTGGTTCTTGTGACAGATTTTGATTTCACAGACAGTCCCGGACTTAATTTTTTTTTTTGACGTTGTGATGGCGCAAAAGTGATACACATTCGGTAGAAACTGTACTTCAAATTTTGAATTTTGATCTTTCAAAATCAGAGCTTTCAAAGTCAAAATCATATCCCTGCTTAGGGATATGCATGATGGTACTCTCATGGTGCAGGGAGTCGCAGCTCCCAGTCAGCCACTCAATCATGAGGGTAAATAACTGGTACTCTGCTGTGTATTGTAATGCCAGCTGTTTTTGCCCAATGGTAGGCTAAGGTAAGTGTTCTGAGCACATTCAAGGCGGGCTGGGCTAAGCTGTGATGGCAGGTTAGGTTTATTAAATGCATTTTCAGTGTAACCCAATCATAAGTAGAGGAACACTTGTATTTCTTGCTTTTAAGCATCCTTATTTTCTGTCCATTTACTGAGCTTTGTTCTTCAATCCTCCTAGCAGTTCTGGGAGCTACTTTTAATATCTGTTAATGTATTACATGTCTATTAATCAGTCTGATTTGGTTTCTGTTGCTTGAAATTAAGAACCCTATATTAATTTTTACCTATTTATCTCACCTAATATTCTGTGGGTTTTTTGAAGGTAGCAATTATCTTTGTATCCTCAACAGTTATCACATTGCCTGTTATCTGCCATACAGTTTCGTTACATTTGTATTTAATTGGTATTTGCAGAAACTATCCCTTCCTTTGTTGTTTTCAAAGTTGGTTTACCATATACCACTTTGTATGTTAACAGATATTCTTAGTGTAAATGATGTTCTTTCATTTCCTCTCTTAGAAATAGCTCTAAATTTTCAAGTTCTTTGTTGTTTTAAACCCAATGAACTTTGTCCAACTTCCCACACTGTTTGTAGTGACAACAGTTGTATTAGTATAACAGCAACTTCCACTTGTAACCTCTCATGACTATCATTTTAGAATTTCAGTCAAGAATTGTTAACACTATACAGTCTCACTAAAAGTAAAGATAGTTTTGTGCATGCTTCCTTGTGAAAAATAAGAATCATCAGTACTTTTACCTTGGTATTAAGAAACAAATGTTAAAACCTATACTTAATGCCACATTACTTATAACAATATAAAAGCATATGGACCCTAAAACTTAAGTCCTTAGAAAATATTTTTTATTATTTATTATTTTGAAGTTCTCTATAAGAGATATTACACTTTCATTTTGGATTTCAGTAGACCTTGGTTGGATTCCCAGCCCTGTCTACTTACTAACCTTGACCATGTTATTTAATTTCATCAAACCTCAGTTTTGTATCTGTAAATAGGGATTGTGATCATACTCAATTCATGTTGTGTACAAGTTTTAAAAAATAATGTAAATGTAAAATTTGCAAAGCAGTGCTTAATACACTGAAATTCTGTAGTAAGTATTTGCTGTTTGTATTATTGTCTGTATAGATCTTAGAGGAGATTTAGAGAGGCCAATGCTTAATAGCAAGAGTTGGGAGACATTTTTTGTAAAGGGGCAGCTAGTAAATATTTTAGGCCTTGGCAGTCACACAGTCTCTATCATAACTATTCATCTCTGCTGTTGTGCAAAAGCAGTCATAGATGATACATCAATAAATGAGTCTGAGTTCCAATAAAACTTTATTTACAAAAACAGCATGCTGGCTTTGACCCATGAGCCGTAGTTTGCACATCTCTACATAACATTGAAGTTAGTAAAACTACTTTGTCTAAGTTTCACTTTATTCTCAAGTTTTTGAGATATAAAAAAATTAAAATGTATAATATAAAACTTATTTTGGGGGTCAGCATTTTCAAAAACATTATTCAGAAACCTTTATGATTCAAAGATGTTGGACTGGAAAAGCAAGGCATGGAAAGGTGCTTGTGGATAGAGAGAAGAGAGAGGGAGTTTGAATGAAATTCTCTAAAAGAAAAAACATAGAATTTCTATACTAAATTTGAACCTTAGGCAAGAGGCCTAGATTTCTGAAAATGAGGAATCATTACTTGTAATATACAAATAGGAACTAATTTAGATTCTTAAACTGAAAGTAGATTCTGCGAAATCTTTTCAGCTGCATGAGATCATCCTTCACCAAAAACGTTCCAAAATTTTCTTCCCAGCCCTAATGTGAGTCCTGTCCCTGGCTTGATTTCCAACTCCAGAAGTGAAAGAGAAGGCTGGTTAGCAGTTTTCACTGATTCATTCATAATTAATGCAGCAAATACCATTTGAGCACCTACAGTGTCAGCCACTGAGATGAGTTTTCTTTGGTAGGTTTAGTTAAAAGGGTTAGAAAACATACAGCAGATAAGATGGTTGTATGAGTTCTGAATACATTATTTCCCTTATTTAATACATGAAATATGGATAACACTTAGAAAGCAGCTATACAGTTTGTTAAGATAAAGTTATATTTGGTTCCTTTCTCCTCTCTTCCCTCCCTCCCCTCCAACTGTGGAGCCATGAATTAGAATCTTATAAATGAAGCTACTTTTTGATTGTTAGTCTTTTTTCCAAATTGACAATTTTTTCCAAATTGACATATTATAATGTTTTAAATGGATTTTCTTAATTTTGATAGTCTTTCTTTATATAAACACGTGTTTTGTTATTAAAATTTTAATTTCCCACAAGCTTTTAAAAAATACTTCACCATTTTCAATTAGAAAATTTCTAAGTGTAATTAATTGCTTCTAAACCTTCCAAAGAAGAAAAATGGTGTGTATTTAATAAGTAAATCAGCTGAAAACTAAAACTGAAATTTCTATAATTTGAATGACTGAAGTAGTCATTTTTGAAAGAAAAAAATGCCTAAGTTGAAGATTCCAAGTAAATGTATAGGTGGGATAAGAATACATAACAAATGTATTGTTATTCATTATTTAAAATGAGTTCATATTTGTATCATTGAAAGTTTGATGCATTTGGGAGGATGACGTCAGCAAGAGAAAGTTCATTTGGTGTGACGTTAACATTTCAGAAAATATGTCAAGTAAGAGCAGGTTGATGTTATACTTTCGTCCTTACAGACCTTCTTTCTTTCTATTGTGCCATCTGTCTGTTTTTCTGTATTGTAAAGTTCCAAATAAAGTATTAATGTATTATCACCTTTCTTGTTTGCTTTGCCGCCTCAGTGGTAGAGTTTACATATAAACCCATTGCTGTGTTGTAATTTATAATTGTGGTATTGTTTGACACACTGATATCAGTCACCAGTACAGTAATAGGTGATTCTTTTTTGCAAAGTTATATCCTAAATAAGGACTTTCAACCTGGGGGATTGGGTAGGGAGGAGGACAGAGAGAGAGTATTAGGAAAGGAGGGACTATATTATAACATTCATCTCAAATGGATCTGTCATTTTTTAAATATTAAACACTGCAGTCTTAAGGAATTCTGAATTCCCATTGGGGAAGGATAATACGTAACTGTAACTGAAATTATTGGGGACATCGACTCAACTATATAGAATTTTGTAAATTTAATACTTTTGCTGCTTTCTACTGTCAGGTGTCCAATATTTAGTTTACATGCTGTGGTACAAAGTGGTGACACATATGCTAATTTAGTCTACTGTTTGTTAGGTAGCTTTTGGGACACTGATCTCTTGTGGCAGTACAGTATGTACCTATACCTTGGAACTCAGTGGCAGCAATGCGTACATATCTTACAGATCAAACAAAGAGTATTATTTGTTTCTTTTCACCTGAAGAAAGGTCTAAAAACCATTCTCTGTAGGAGTCGGCCATTTCACTTAGAAATAGCATAAAGAGTACTATTTTATTGTACTGTTTATTATTCAAATAAACCTAATGCTATGTAATAGAGGCCTGTAAGAAGTACTAATCTAGTGAATAATCCCCACCAAGCCACACTGTGGAGGAGCATGTAAAAGATTTTGCTGTTGAAGAGAAAATCTGAAACTTCTAAAAACATACCGCTTATTTGTTAATATGTTTATGTTTCATATTAAAACCAGTTAGGAAAGTAAGGGAGAAAAAATTGAAAACAGCTGGGAAAAATCTAGTGAACAGTGGTAGTCTTTTAAACCATGTAATTTCATATTAATTTAACCACCTCCAGATTGGTTTTTCACAGATTTGGTTGTGTCCATAAGTAATATTCTTGCCATTAATAGAATACTTTAATATTTTAACATTTATTTTCAAAATGGTCTGCAATTCTAGTATTGAGTCCTTCTTTGCTCCATCAGTAATTTAGGAGATTTAGTATTGGTTTGGTTGTGTGTATGTGTTTTGTGTGTTATTTTTGTTCATTCATTCATTTTTTTTTCTTATGTTTACTTTGTGCTAACGCTTTTGGTATTTTGCTAATCCCAATTAATCTAATCTAATTAATTGCATTAGATTAATGCAATCTAATCCCATTGCACTGGGATTAGATAATGGGTTCTCTAAGGTTTTAGACTTCAGAATGTATTGAAGTTTTCTTTGTTCTGTTATAATTATATTTTGTTGATATTCAGTGAAATAGTAACGTACAATTTCCATAGAGTACAAAGTTTGATATACATTAACAATCTCATTAATTATTAATCATGCCTGCTGTGTCCTTACCTGCCAAAGACTAAGATGATTATGATAGTCTCTCTGTACAGTGCTATTTTTGTCAGTTGTTTTCTTGCCGTTCTTCAGATAATTCATAACTAGCTTTTACATTTTTTCATGTAAAATGAACATCTTTCCCATTTACTTTTTTTGCTTTGATTCTACTTTATCACTTTATCATGTACCAAGATTACTCTTCCTAGCTTTTTAGATGTATGTGCCTAGTATATTTTTGACCATTAAACAAATTTTTTTCACATTTTCATATTTTGCTTTTAGGTATCTCTCAGTAGCAGCTTCTGGTTGGAAATTTGTTTACTTTTCTTTTTGTTGTTGTTTAACAAAATTCAAGATTCTTTATCTTTAAATTTGATGTTAAGAGCCTAGCACATTGAACCTGTAATCCCAGCTACTGGGGAGGCTGGGTTGCTTTAGCCCAGGAGTTCAAATCCAGCCTGAACAAGGCAGTGAGACGTTGTCTCAAAAAAGAAAGAAAAAAAAAAAGGTATATATCTCAAACTCTCTCCAAATATCATTGCTATAGATAGTTTCTCTCTGTAGTCCTCTGGAATTCGGTGTTCTAAGGAAGCCACAAATATGAGACCAGTCTAATTTAATTTTTTTGGTGTTAATGTGATTTTGACTTTTTAATTTTGGGAGTCTTTTTGCTTTATCTAAAGAAATTCTAAAACTATTTTTGGGAGGGGGGGAATCAACTGAATTTTTGCCTACAATACAGTGAGTTCTTATAATCTATAGGCTCAGGTCTTTCCTGAGTTCAGAAAACTTTCTGTTCCTGTTCTGGTTATGTATCATTTATAAGTTAGAACTTTATACTCCTAATGCCAATCGTCTTTTTCTTTAAACATTTGTACTAGTTTATTACTTCGGTATTCTGGGAAAATTTCTTAAGTTTGTTCTCAAGTCTTTACTTAATTGAGTTTTCTTAATTTGAATAGTGTTTCCCAACTCTACTGACTTCGGTACAAATTTTAATTTTGCAATTGCAGTTTTAATTTCCTTGCTATATGTCACTTTCTCTGCAGCTTCCCTTTCCTATCAGCCTGCACCTCAGTTTGTTTACTGTGTGTGTTTGCCTGTTCTCTTCTTAAGACACCCTTACTTATTGAGCCCATGTCTTTTGGATTCCATTTTGATTACTCTGTAGATGTTTTCTAAAGTTAAGTTTCTTTTCTTTTTTTTTTAATTAAAAACCAAAAAAATATGGACTGTTTCATGAATTTGCGTGTCACTCTTGCAGAGAGGCCGTACTAATCTTCTGTATATCATTCCAATTTTAGTATATGTGCTGCCGAGGCAAACACTAAAGTTAAGTTTCTTATATTGAATCATTTCAGAGGTATGTATTTCCTTAGAGTTTTTTTTCTTTATTTTCTTTTTCTACTACATTTTAGAGGAAAGAATTTTCAATATATTTCTTTTGCTATATGATTTTTATACCCTACCTCCATATTGGTTTTCTTTGTTACCTATCCTTTAAAGGGGAAATACTATTCAGATTTAGGGTGTGCTAGCAGTTAGGATGTGAGGATTGCCTCTGACCACACTTAAAACCTGCTTATGTACTAGAAGAATCCTAGTGCTGGTGGTTTTGTTCACCCGATCTTTTATATTCTCTATTGCCTAAGGCATAACTTCATTACATTGTTTAAAAAAACATGAAATCATGAAGACTGGAAAAGAGAAAAATGTTTAAAGAAAAAAATGTTAGGCTTAGCCCAAGCTTAATTATCTCTTCATGGTAGCTTGATTAGACCCCTTACATCTCCTTTTCTGTATTCCCAAAACAAACTCATAGCCTGTACTGCAGCTTTAATCACATGATATAATTTAATCACATTATATGAATGGTTTACTTGTTGTCTTGCCTTTTATGGCTACAGATTCCTTGTGGGGAATGACTCCTTTTTCATCACTATCTCAGATGCTTGCCACAGTTCCCAAAACTTTATAAGCTATCAGTAAATGTTTCATGAATGATTGAGTAACCAAATTGATGTCTTTGGGAAAATATTAGAATAAACCATTTAATAAGCATAAAATACTAGAAGGAAAAAACAACTTGGCATTGTAAAGAGGAAAGTATACTATGTAAGTTTGATTTCATTCTGTTGTTGCAGTAAAGCAGGAGGCAATACACTTAGTTTATCTTGATCTTAAAAAAACAGATGTTCCATTAAAAAAAAAAACAAGCAGATGTTCCTCCTGAATAATACTGACAAACTAGAAAAATCTTCCCTTGCTTGTAGTACTGTTAAAAAAGCAAATAACTCAGTGGGGATAGCCAGGTGGCATATATTAAACTCTAGGGATATTTCCTATACAGCCAATAACATTGCTTTCAGAAATTAGATGTAAGACATGTTCTATTTAATATTTAATTTCTCTTCTCTGGATTAAAAATAGTTGATGGCACACTCACCAAATTTTCATGAGAATAATATCATCAGGTCGAATCAGTGAATTTCACCGTTTATGTTCTTCAGAGTCAGCTTAATCTAATTCTATACTTTACACTCTAATGTCTTGACCCACCCATGTATAGGTTTCAGTAGCAAAGCCAGGCATAGGGAATGATTGTTAGTGTTTACACAAAGTACATAATCAACCCATGAGTACTTTTCCGCCAATCTCCAAGGCAAAGGGTGTCTGTGACCAATTTTAGGGACATTAAAATACAGAAAAATGTGTGCTTAGGAATCAATGAAATAATGTAACTGTTATGTTCTATAAAATAAGAATTTTAGTGTTACAGGGTATTTGATATTTATTGCATGTCTAGAATTAGAATAAGTAAACTATGGTACATCCACTTGATAGGATATATGTATCTTTCAAGAATGATGTCTCGTGAAAGAATACATAGTGTGTTCACAACTTTTTAAAGCAATTATTTTCATAGAAAAAGATTAAACAGAATTATAGCAGAGTGGTAACAATGGTTGTATTTTGGATGGTAGGCCTTGCTAAAATATTTTTTAATTTCCAGATTTTATTTTATAAATATGTATGTGGTGGCAATGGAGTGGTTTATAACACTTATCAGGGGATCGGTTAGAAATCATGCTGTACTAATTTCCTTTCTTTGAAGTTTCTAGACTGTTATAAAGATAATCTGAAATACTTTAGTGAAATTTGAATGTTTCAGAGATATCCTTGAGGGAATGATGGGGAAGGATGATTGGATGAAAGTGTCATGAACTAGATCAGGGATCAGCAGATGGTAGGTCTCTCTGACCCATTAGTGACTCAAATTCAGGATAACAGCAAATCAATGAAAATAATTAGTTGTAGTTACAGTGTGTTGTGACTGTTAAACACAAGTAATAACCTAATGTAAAAATAAGAATTGCTTGTGCCATGTGTCTGCAAGAGATAGAACCATAACTAGTAAACAGTGAATTTTCCAGTACTGAGAGCAGGAATGGACTGATCAGCAAGGTTCTGAATTGCCTTTCATTAGAGATACTCAGTTATAGGTTGGGCAGACACAAGCAAGGATTAAAACATAGAATGGGTGGCTGAATTAGATGACATTCAGAGCCCCTTCCAACACTGAGATTGTATAACTTTCAAAGACCCTAATAAGGTTTTAAAAATACCACTTTGTGAAGTAGTAGCTGTTTGGTAGGCAACAGGTTGCACTGTGACAAAGCTGTTATAAGTGACTGTAGAAACTATTAAAATAAGACTGCTATGCACAAGTCACCCACAGACATTGTAGGCAGTATATAAACAAGTAAGACATTGTTCTTTCATTGTCCTTTCTTTAATGAAGTTTTTATTAAAGTATATAAATAACATACCTGATCGAATAGAGGTAAATGTAATGAAAGACATATAAACAAGAACTATGAGGATTAAAGGAAGGGAATTATATATCAAGAATATCAGGAAAATACCAATAGTATTTAATTTTTTTAGGTTGAAAAACCTGTCCAGTGCCCAGTCCTAAAATGCCACGTGTTTTAGTCCGTTTAGGGTTGTTACAAAGGAGTATCTGAGGCTGAGTACTTTATAAAGAACAAGGTTTATTTGGTTCATGATTCTGATTCTGTTGTCTAGGAAAGTTTAAGATTGGGCACCTGCATCTGTGAAGGGTCACAGGGTGCCTCCACTCATGGCAGAAAATGAAGGGGAGCCAGGTGTAGAGAGATCACATGGTGAGAGAGGAAGCAAGGGAGGGAGGAGGTGCCAGGCTCTTATTAACACCAGCTCTCACAAGAACTAATGGGATAAGAACTCACTTATCTCACACCCAGTGAGAACATTAATCTATTCTTCAGAGATCCCGCTCCCATGACCCAAACACCTCTCTTTAGGCCCGCACCTCTAATATTGGGATCAAATTTCAACATGAGATTTTCCTGGACACACATCAAAATTATAGCACTATGCTTTGACATTGGAATAAATGATATAATAATTAGGTTCTCCTCTGACATGGAACTCACCAACTTATTGATGTAAACTGGTCATGCACTGTCACTTTTTTTTTTCTTTCCAATTTTTTAACACTAAGAAGAATTCAGGTTAGGACCAAGGAAGACTCAAGAGAAGCTAATCTCGGGTTGCCAGAATGTAATCTTAAGACCTTTCTTGGGTTCCATTTGGTTTAGAATTTCACATAGACTTTCTCCTTTCCACTATAATCTAAATCCTCATCTTACTCTTAGAAGCACCAGAAGTCAACCCATCCTAAAGCATGTTATGGTTTCTATGGTGGTTCCAGATACAGTGTATGTATTTAATTTAAACTACTCACCAGAATATACTATGAAGTAGTAGTGTTTCATATGTATGTTATGTATATACATTATATATGTTATTTAGATTACATATATGGAATATACCATATTTAGAGAAAATAATAGCTTCAAAACAACTTAGTATGTTTTAATATAATACAATCTAGGTTCTGAATTTAATAACTGACAGACTTCATGTTGCAATGAAAAGAAAGAGTTTTAAGAGTAAAGGGAAGCTTTGTATTTGCAACATGGAGACCCTTGACCTCGGCAAAAATGGTTATGGTAATAGTGTTGAGGGTGGAAGCCAAATTAGAGTGGACGGTGAAACACTGGAGATAGCAAATACAGACAATCCTTTTGTAAAGTTTAGCCCTGGAAGGGAGGAAAGAGAACAGTAACTGAAGGGCAGATGTCAAGTCCAACAAGATGTTGCTGCTGTTTGCTTTTTTAGTGGAAGAGCTGTGAATGGCACATGCTGGTGAGAAGGAGCCAATAAAACAGGAAAGGTTGAAAACACAGTCAAGAAAAGAAAGAAACATGAAGTTTTCCCCAAAAAAAAGAAAGAAGGGACGATATACAGAACATAGGTGAGGGATGGCTTTTGATAGGATGAGAGGATGAGTCAGTTCCAAGAAGGTGTGATAGAAGTTCCTGAGGGAGATCATGTCCTCTGTATAAAGAAGGATATGGGCTCATCTGCTGAGAATGAAGGGGAAGGAGGAGACAGAAAAGTCTAAGGTCTATAATAAGTAGAAGAGGTTTAAAATAGTATCTGTGGAAAGTGGAAGAGCCAGAGGAAAAGGAAAACATGGTAACATTTCCATGTGAGCTAAGGAACGTGTTAATATTGTGTATCTCTCTTCTCTATCCCCAGAATTTGGGAAAGAAAATTAGGTTTTCATTTTTTTCTGTAACTGGTAATGTTTTATGAAGTTAGAATGAAGATTACAGAATAGGTATCTTTATCTCTGCTAATGTCACTAAGGCCTAAAGTATAGGCCGGAGGCAGGGAAGAAAGGAACTATATAGAGCACTATCTTCCTTTCCTATTTCATCACCACTATTGGACCTACCACCGGTGCATCAAGACTGCTGAAAACCTGGTGAAATTGTCATTCAGCACCCCCCTAACCATGGGATCTGCAGATAAAGACAGCTTTAATTCTTCCTTTTCGAAATGGATGCCTTTTATTTCTTTTCATGCCTGGTTGTACTGATTAGAACCGCTAGTGCAACATTGAAGTGGTAAGAACAGACATCCTTGTCTTATTCCTGATCTTAGGAGGAAAGCATTCAGTCTTTCACCAATTAAGTATGATCTTAAATGTAGGTTTTTTGTAGGCCAAGGAAGTTTCCTTCTTATCCTAGTTTGCTAAATTCTGATGACAAATGCATATTGGGTTTTTTTTTTTTTATAATCCATTGAGATGGTCAATCATATGGCTTTCTCTGTGTTAAAATGGTAAATTATATTCACTGACTTTTCGAATATTAAATCAACCTTATTCCTGGGATAAACCCCACTGGTCATGGTATATTATCCTTTTTACATAGTGTTGGATTACGTTTGCTAAAATTTTGTGTAAAATTTTTCCATCACTTGTCATGAGGAATATTGGCATACAGTATTTTCTTATAACATCTTTGTCTTGTTTTGGAATCAAAGTAATGCTGAACTCATAGAATGAGTTGAGATAACATCCCATCGCTTCCATTTTCGGGAAGAGTGGGTAGAATTGGTATTATTTCTTCCCTTAAATGTCTGGTAGAATTCACAGTGGTGCCATCTGGAGTCTGAAGGTTTCTTTGTGGGGAGGTAATCTGTTGTCCAATATTGGCACTTTGTATCTTCGCTCTTTTCCTGATGACGTTTGCTAGAGGCTTATCAGTTGTATTGATCTTGAAGAATCAGCTTGTGATTCCTCTCATTTTTCTGTTTTCTGTTTCTTTGATTTTTACCCTGATCTTTATTCTTTTCTCTTGCTTATTTTGGATTTAATTTTTTTTCTAGTTTCTTATGATGGAAATACAAAGATTATTCATTTGAAATCTTTCTATTTTTCCAGTACAGGCATTTAGTGCTATAAATTTCTCTATAAGTACTGCTTTGCTAAGGCCCTGCTGACAAGGATTTTTTTCTGTCAGTCACACAAAGCCTTTTCAGTCTCATCGTCTTTTTGTCTGCTAAAATAAGAATTGTAATGTAAATGTCTGAAGGAATAAAGGAGAAAATTTAAACTCACAACTCCATTTCATAGGCATTTTGCACTGGTATTAAGAGTGCAAGGGAGGATATAACATTTTTTATTTTTTGAGATGGAGTCTCGCTCTGTCACCCAGGCTGGAGTGCAGTGGCGCAATCTCGGCTTACTGCAAGCTCTGCCTCCCAGGTTCATGCCATTGTCCTGCCTCAGCCTCCCAAGTAGCTGGGACTACAGGTGCCCACCACCACGCCCAGCTAATTTGTTGTGTTTTTTAGTTGAGACGGGGTTTCACCGTGTTAGCAAGGATGGTCTCGATCTCCTGACCTCGTGATCCTCCCGCCTCGGCCTCCCAAAGTGCTAGGATTACAGGCGTGAGCCACCGTGCCCAGCCCTGAAGGATGTAACATTTTTGGTTCACAGAAGTATCTTTGACAAAGATCTTATTGATGATTTATTGCACTTATTTATTTGCTTTGTCTCACTCTAAAGACTCGTCCAGTTAATCCTGTCTAGCTAATATTAACAGAAAGGAAATGTTAATAATGGGGGGCAAACTAATTTTATCTGAATTGTTAAGCATTCTTTGCCTCAACAACATTTTTGTAGTTGTGAATAAAGACTAAGGTGGTATGCTAGTTCGCCCTTACTATTTAAATTTGATTTTGAATATAAAGCATGTTACAATAAATAATATCTTTAATTATTCATATTTCAACCATTATGCAGAAACCTGCCTTAATCCTATTTTGAATAATCTTTTGTCTAGTATAAGCCAGTACCAGGAATCCACAAAAATAATAGTGAACCTTTATTAAATATAATAGCCTTCATTAAACATTTGTTAAACAATGTGTCAGGCACTATGCTAAACACTGCATAGGTTATCTCTTCCAGTGAAACACTGAAACCCTGTGAAGTGTAGACATTTCTATTCCCATTTTACGGATAAGGAAACCAAAATTTAGAAAGTACCTGGTCTCTGGTCCCACAACTAAGTGGTAGAGTTGGAGTGCTAACCTGGTCTCCAGTGATTTTAGGCACATTATACATCCTTATATAGACATTATATATATACATTATATTACATATATACATTATACATTCCTTCTATATCCTTCTGATTTACAGGAGGCCCTGTTGTAATGCATGTATCACATATTAACTTAAGTAAACAATCATTTAGAAATTATTGCTTTGAATTATTGAAGTAGTCTTAACTTAGATTGTTTTATCATCTAATATTTCAGGTAGGAAAATGCTTTCTGATGAAACTCTTGATCCTCCAAAAAAATATATATTTGAAATACACATGTGGGCTGGAATTTGGAAACACTCTATAATTTAGTTCCCTTAATGCTTCACTGACACCATTGGTTGCTATGGTAGACAGTTGATATCACCCTTCTCTCAGAATGCTTAAAAATAAGTAAATTCATATTTGAGTATACCTATTACATACATAGATAATACTTATAGATAATAGCTAACCGTATTTCTGTTAATATTAGCTAGTGTGATATTTAAGTGCCTTACATGGATCATGTAGTTTAACCCCCACAACTCCATGAGCTGCAGGTACTGTCATCTCTGCACATAGAAAGTAAGTAACTTGCCCAAGATCTAATGGTGATGGAGCTCCTGTTCTTAACTCCCACATCATACTGTAGGAAAATATAAAGAAGAAAACATATAATTTCTACTCCCAAGGAATTTGCATTCTGTTGGGAAAGAAGGCATACACAAAGTTGTAAGGGTACCATATATTTAAATACTAACTGATTCCTGTGAGTTTTACGAGAAAGAGAGCTTGCCATTATCATGGAAAGTTTCATAGACAAAGTAAATCTTAAATTTGATTGAGGCTTGTAGGACCTATAGTATTTAAATTAATGGGAAGGAAGGAGGGAGCAGGCATAAGTGACAAAGGGGAAGGGGAGTTTGGAGGAGTTTGGAGTATGTGTGTTTGAAAGAATGGTTTATAGTGGCTGTAAAATGATAGGGCTCTGAACATCTTGATTCAGGGTATGGCTTGATGAGTTGACCAAACTATGCTAAGTGAATAATACAATTGTTGAGAAAATAAACTTTGTCTGAGCCAGGGTCTCACTCCTGTCACCCAGGCTGGAGTGTAGTGGCAGGGTCATGGCTCACTGCAGCCTCAACTTCCTGGGCTCAGGGGATCCTCCCACCTCACCTCCCAAGTAGCTGGACCACAGGAGCATGCCATCACGCCTGGCTAATTTTATATTTTTAGTAGAGATGGGGTTTTGCCATGTTTCCCAGGCTGGTCTTGAACTCCTAGGCTCAAGTGATGTACCAGTCTTGGCCTCCCAAAGTGCTGGGATTACAGGTGTGAGCCACCACACCCGGCTGAGAGAATATAGGATGTTTTGCTCCTCAGTAAAATCTGAACTCTCCTAAGAGGGAAGGGGCAAATAGCGAATTAGAAACAGCATGTTGGTACAGAAAGAGAATGGGTTTAAATCTCTACTCTGTTACTAACTGAACCACAGTAAAAAGTTATTTAACCTCTTCAGCTTTAGAGTTTTCATGTATTAGATGGAGGTTATTCTCTTCTTGGGGTAGTTTGAAGATTAGAAATAATGGGTGTATCACAGTGCCAGATGTATTGCAGCTGGTCCATAGCGAAGGTAGTCATCATTTTTAGTCTCTGTTAATCTTCAGTGAATGAAAATGACTTTTTTGGACTTAAGTTCATTTTTCTGGCACTATACCTCCATTCATCACCAGGATTGTCATGTTCTTCTGAAAGCCCTGAGTTCCATTTTTTGTAGCACTTGTATTTTGAAATTATATGTTTAATTATGTGATTATTAATATCTGCCCCCCAACCCCAGACGGTAAGCTTCATACAGTCAGGAGTCATGTCTGATTTTGCTGACCACTGTCTTCCTACTGTCTAGCACAGTGCCTGCTACACAATTGGGCTCTACTGAATGTTAAATGAAATAAATTCTTAATACCTAATACTGAAATTACATTGTGATATTGATGGCTGCCTACATCAAAGTGGGAATACTTTCTTTGAAGAATTAAAATACATGTAATATGAACTGTGTAAAATCTCAGTGCTTGAACTCACTAGTCTTCTGTGGTCACATATTGACACTATGCTGATTGAACTCCTTAGAAATGGAGGACAGTAATGTATTTCGTTATATTTATCATTATTGTATATTGTTTTCAGCTTAACTAATTGTGGCTTGAATTTCCATCATACTGTATGTTAACTCTTGTGCAGAATTTCATTTCAAGTTTTTGGTTATTTTATTTTGCAAGAAATGTTAATTGTTTCATGAAACTCTCACGGCTTTAAGAAAGTAAAAGTATCAGGTGCCTCATTTCACTTCTTCAGTCTTCCATTCATATAAATATTGTTTTCATTTGGTTTTCTTATCAGGGAGAAGATGTCAACCGGACACTAGAAGGTGGAAGGAAACCTCTTCATTATGCAGCAGATTGTGGGCAGCTTGAAATCCTGGAATTTCTGCTGCTGAAAGGAGCAGATATTAATGTACGTAGAGGACGTGATCATTCTTGAAAAAATTTTCTGTTAATATGCTATGGGTAATTGTTTTCTATAGATTATAAAATAGCTATTTGTAGAAACTTCATTCTAAATAAGAATACAGTCTGAAATTATGCCAAATTGCCTATAACTTAGATATACAGTGGTGGGATTTTTAAAAATAAGCCAAAAAAGCTGACTTTTTTAAGCTGACAAAAATTGAAGGTTAGTATGTTTCCCCTGTGGCTGTTGCTTTTCAAGTTCTAAAGCTTGGGGAGTTAGCACTATCTGTGGGTAACAAATGGCTATGATGTAATACAGCATAGGACTCTGCAGTCATAGGCTAAATCTAAAATGGATTATTGGACAAAGGTCAATGGGCAAGTGGTCAGATAAGCGCAGTCATCTCCCAACTTTAGCCTTTTGTAGCTTCTGTATTTCAGGGGATGCCATGCTACCCGGCCCTTTTACCTCCTCTTTGGCTGTGTTTTACCCCTGTTTTCCCTTACTGGACCACACTGGCATTTCTACAGTTGTGGGGAATCAAGGCTTAGAGAGGCTAAATAATAGTACCATAGTAAGTGGCAGAGCCAAGATTTGAGCTGAGGTCAAAGCCCTGCTCCCTATGCTCTACTACTATGACTCCTAAGGAAAGACATTGCTCGTGGGCTTGGGTCTCTGGTAGCTTTAAGAGACTAGACACTTGACTCTGTGGATTGATTGATTGATTGATTTTCTAGAAAGGCAAATAGGTAAATCTAGAAAGAGTTTTCTAGTTAAAACTAGAAAGTAGGAAGAAATGAAAAACAGATAAAGTTATCTCTGTTTATTATTTCATAGGCTCCAGATAAACATCATATTACTCCTCTTCTGTCTGCTGTCTATGAGGGTCATGTTTCCTGTGTGAAATTGCTTCTGTCAAAGGTGAGGTCAATTGCTAATAGTATTGCTTTTTCTATTACTGTGTTTAAGCCAAGTATTTGATTGTTAATTTATTTGAATTTTGTGTGGCAGCAGGGACAGAAAACTGGAAGCAATATACAAAATTGAAGTGTAGTGTTACTCAAAATAGCTGGCCCATAAACTGTTACCAGTTTGTGGTAGGTAAGGAGCTTGGGTGAATATAAATCAGCAGTCTTCTTTGTCAAGAAAATATTTTACACACACACACACAGAAACCAGCTTGAAATAACCATTGTACTTGATGATATAGAAGAATGTCATTTTGGACAGTAACACTTTGTGGACTGGCACCAGGTTCATACACCATGCTTTGAGTAGCACTGGTTTGAAATGTATATGTTTCATTTTCTGGAATACATACCGAGCAAAATGGTTAGAGGTAGTTTGCTGTTAAGTAAGGACTCTCCAAGTTATCTGGTTTCTTGATATGCTTGAGATAGTGGTAAATTTGGAGTTTTCCTACCTTTTTTGTCTTTGCTATTATAAGCCCTTAGATGGAGTTCAAAATCCAGACTCAGAAATTAACCATTTAGTTGCCGCCATTCTAGCTGTATTAGATGGATCCTACAGATGTTGGAAAGCAAGAAATCTTCAGAAAATATTACCAGTTACAGTATTATCACTAGTATTTAATCCCAGCCTTGTCATTTTATGACCATACTCTGGAAAGTGTTGTTTATAATATTTCATTTGGGATCTTAAGCCCTACTAAAAGAAGCAAGAGAAAAACAGAAATGAGTAGATGTATATAAAGCATTTTGCCACAGTGCCTGATACATAGTAAGCACTCAATAAGTAGTAGCTTTTATTATAACTAAGGCTGAAGAGGATTTTAATGCTTTGTAGTGTCAGCTTCAGTAAGATACGAAGAAAATTGGGAAAGAAGATAGCACATTTATCTCTTAACACTTTATTGACAACTTTGTAAAGATATGGTTCTAAAAGCAGTTAATTTGGGTCCTCTAAATAGAGCTAGGGTTTTTTCTATCCATAGCTTCATGTTAACCACAATTACTGGATTTCTTTAAATATGTTTGTTGTTGTTTGGGTTTGGGTTATATATCAAGAGCAATTTTTATACCTTACTGATAAGAATGATGCATTTGTCCAAAAGCCAAAATAAATGGAAATATTACTCTTTGCCGCTAGTGGATCCAGCATCTGTGATAGGGTGTGCTCGCAAAGATTTCCAGTCACTGTCTTTCTCTTTACTGTTCATCCCTCCCCAAGATCTGCGAAAGGATTACAAAGTACCTTTGAATACTGCTAGATAATTTCATCCCTGGGAAATATTTTTGCTTACTGTATCAAAAACAGATTTGCTGTTTATGAAAGATTTATATAATTTCAATATTGTATTAGTTAGGACTCTGTCTTGCAAGTAACTGAACCCAGCTCAGACAGGCTTAAACAGTAAAGAGATCTTATTAATTTATATAACTGTACAGTTGAGGCACAGCTTGACCCTGGATTTAAGACACATGACCATGATCTGATTTTTTTATTTTTATTTTTGGCCTGTCCCAGGTCTCTTCCTCAGCATTGGCTTTATTTCCATGGCTTCAGCCTATCTGCTAGCTCTCAAAAGAAATGGAGGACTCCCTCCTTACCCTTCGTTCCCGCCTTTTCCCTGACCTTTTTTTTACCCAGCCAAGGGTTTTGTTCTCTGAAAATAAAAACCTCCATGGGATCATTTTTTGCTTAGGTCCCTTGTCATTTACTAAATGAGCTGCCCTAAATGTACTCTTTCCTTCTAACCATATCTCAAACTGTAGATCAGAACAATTTTTCTTTGTGTTAGACCTCTCTGTCCTCCTAGGAAAAACAAAACAGGATATATTTTTTATTCTATAGAGAACCCAAACCATTGTTCTGTACTCCTTATTCCCAAAACATGAGGCTTCAGGTCATTGAGACCTTGTGGTTGTAAGTTTCCGTTGTTAAAGAGTTGAAAACATTAAATGAGTTCCTGAAAAGTTGGCTTGATTTGCATGTACATTAGGCCCTAAGATGTCATCCCAGAAGGTTCTCTGTGTGTGTACTGTGTTGCTAAATTATTGATTGTGAGTTGTCTTACTTTTAACTAGTTTGTTTTTTCTTTTGCTTATGCCCATTTTGTTCTTTTGTGTCTGAACCTTGACTTTTTTTAGCCAAATAAGTGACATTTGGAGATAGCTATGTTGGTAGCAGACCGTTTGTAACCATGTAGAGCTGTTGTTTTATATGAAAGAGATTTTCTTCTTTTTGAAATCAGCATAGTACATTTTAGTTCTGCTTTTTCAAAATTAATTACTTTGATTTTATTATTGCATAAGCTTCTTTAATGGATACCCTGTAGTTTTGTTAGGCAGATTTTTTTTGAAAATTGATTATACTCTTTCAAAAATTCTTAGTTGCTAAAATAGAGTTGTTCCAGTGCATCTTTTAAAAGTTATAATCAGTGTTTATATTAAGTCTAATTTGTTCTGCCTTTTATCAAAAGTAGAATTCTTATGGATTATTATGAATTCACTTGAAAAGACTTGGTTTAAGAACTTTCCAGATTCATTGACATTTCCAATACATTATCCAGTTGATTTATCCTTAGCATACGAAAAAAGGCAAAATAATAAACAGGGATTTAGAAACTCAGTATGATCACAACTAATAGGGGAGAAATCAGAAAAACAAACATGATTGCTAGAATATTTGAAATCAAACTTTATATGATATGCTGTATCATTTATAATTTATTATAAACCCAAATACTTAGGTATTATTATCTCTCTTTTATGGATAAGGAAACCATTTATCTCGGGGTGGTCTAACTGCTTGAAAGTCAAATACAATGTAATGGAATCAAGATTTGTTCCAAGATGTAGGATTCAGCAGCCTGTGTTCTTACTATTACTTGAAATTGCCTTTCAGAAGTACTGTCAGGTCAGTTAATGAGAAATGGAACATGTACATATCTGCAGGTAAAAAGACTTGTGGCCTCATTTTTAATTGGCAAGCTGGTAAATGAGAAAAATGTAGAGATCAACAGATGAGAGGCTTCCATTTCAAAGTTTAGGTGTGAGCACATTCTGTGGTGTTCTCTTTTTGCCCCCAGTGACAGAAAAGATGTTTTTAAAGTGAGTTGATCAGTATCTGCTTTGGACCAGAAGAATTGGATCCATCAAACAAGAAATGATAAGGAAACCTTGAAAGACAGAAAACAAGCAGGGTAGGGCCAAAGAAGAAATTCCCAAATAAGAGCAAGAGAGTATTGTTGCAAAAGGCAAGAGCTGATCCAAGGCCACGCCCAGAGGTGCCTAGTACCCCCAAGCAACAAATGGAGTGACAAGTTGGATGCACTTCAGGAAGAAGCAAATTAAACCCAAAAGGAAAGACTGAGATGCAAGAAGGGGAATGATAAGTAAGAAGTTAGTGTGAATTAGTATGTGAATAACTCTAAACAAATATTTAACACTGAAGTTTTTAAAAAATAAGCTAGAACCAAATAAGGTAAATAATATGAGATGATCAAAGCTTCTGGTATTTTCACCAAATCCAGAGTACCTGAGAAACATGGTAAAACTAGCAAGAAGAAACAAGGGAAAGGAGGCAGATAATTAATGCAGGCTCAAGAAGCATCCTTGAAGAGGTAGCAGCAGCAGAGGAGTGAGAGTGTGAAGAAGCTGATGTGAGTGTATGAGACAGACACTCATAATAGAAAAGTAGCAACTGACCAGTACAGCAGTCTGTGGAGAGGCCAAGCCCAATGCCTGTTTTTATCAAAGCAATAATAGGCAGCCTGTATAATCATGTGTCATTTAGAATTATAATTATCTCAGTGAAATAAGGTTCCCCTTTATTTGCCCTAAAAAATCTTAACCAGGAAATTTTTGGAATGAAAAGGATATTTAAAAGGTGGTATTAAAAAGTCCTTCAGTTCAAAAGTTGGCAAACTTTTTCCTAGGCATACCCTTTTTGCGAAGGCATGCCTTTGCAAACTACATGGTCACTGATGTAACATTGCCATAGACAATACATAAACGGATGGGCATGGCTGCATCCCAGTAAAACTTCATATACAAAAACAAATATCCAGGCCATGTTTGCCAACCCCTGCTCTAGCTCATAAATAGTTTGGAATTTATAAGGCACATCGTTTTAAAACCCTAACCCTCAGTGGTAAGATGATGCTTCCCTAAGTGCTACAAGGTGAGTGTGTATCCTTCTGGATGCTTTTATTAGACTATGCTAGCACTTATTTTTGAAAAGATTTTTTAATGTAGCCAAACAAGAGTTTATAGGACACTTATCTGGGATATTCACTGTTCATTACTAAACTGGTCTTTCTGATTAAAATCTTAAACACTTGAATAATAGCAAGGTTGCACAAACACATTAGAAGGGGGCTAAACATGAAATCATATTCTTGAATAGTATTAGCTGATGGACTTTCCTAAGTTCAGAGTTCATTTACAGTAGTCCCCCTTTTCTGCAGTTACCCATGGTCATGGTGAGTACATTACTAAGATACTTTGTGAGAGAGACACCACATTACCATAACTTTTATTACAGTTAACTTTTATTAGCATGTTATAGTTGTTCTATTTTATTATTATTATTTCTTCCTGTGCCTAATTTATAAATTAAACTTTATCATAGGTATGTGTGTATAGGAAAAAACATAGTGCAGTCATGTGCCATATAATGACGTTTCAGTCAACAGTGTGCTTATGGAGATGCTGGTGTAAACAAACCTACCTCACTGCTGGTCATACATAATGCTTGGTAATGACTGTGTTATATGTTTATGTATTTACTATACTATGCTTTTTATTCTTATTTTAGACTAGAGTTTCTTCTACTTATTAAAAAAAAAGTTAATGTAAAAGAACTTCAGGCATGTCCTTCAGGAGGTATTCTAGAAAAAGGCATTTTTATCATACGAGTTGACAGCTCCATGTATTCTCTTGCCCCTGAAAATCTTCCAATGGGACAAGATATGGAGGTGGAAAAAGTGATATTGATGATCCTGACCCTGTGTAGGTCTAGGTCTAGGCTCGTGTTTGTGTGTATGTTAGTTTTCAACAAAAAAGTTTTAAAAAATTTTTAATTAGATAAAAACTTACAGAATAAGAATATAAAAGAAAATATTTTTCTACAGCTGTGCAGTGTACTTGTGTTTTAAGCTAAGCTTTATTACAAAACAGTCAAAATGTTAAAGACATTTAAAAGTTTATAAAGTAAAAAAGTTACAGTGAGCTAAGGTTAATTTATTGCTGAAAAAAGAAAATTTTTCTTATAAATTTAGTGTAGCCTAAGTATACAGTGTTTGTAAAGTCTATAGTAGTGTGTAGTAATGTCCTAGGCCTTCACCTTCACTCACCACTCATCTCACTCAGAACAACCTCCAGTCCTGCAGGCTTCATTGATGATGAGTGCCCTATACAGGTGTACCATTTTTATCTTTTATACTGTATTTTTACCATACCTTTTCTATGTTTAGATACACAAATACTTACCATCGTGTTACAGCTGCCTATAATATTCAGTACAGTAACATACTGGATATAGGTTTGTAGCCTAGGAGCAATAGGCTATAACATATATCCTACGTGTGTAGTAGGCCATACCATCTAGGTTTATGTAAGGACACTCTATGATGTTCACACAATGATGAAATTCCCTTGTTAAGTGACATGTGGCTGTATATATTAGGGTTCATTACTGTCTGTGGTTTCAAGGCATCCATTGGAGGTCTTGAAATATGTCTCCTACAGATAAAAGGAGACTACTATATTTTTCACAGTTACATATAATTGGACATCTTAATATAGTTTTGACAATTCTGTAAGAGAAATAATAGTAGTTTGCCTGTAGTATTAATACACTATCATGTGGCACATTTATTTTCATTTTATTTTATTTATTTATTTTTTTGAGACAGAGTCTCCCTCTGTCCCCCAGGCTGGAGTGCAATGGCGTGATCTCGGCTCACAGGTTCAGGCACTTCTCCTGCCTCAGCCTCCCAAGTAGCTGGGATTACCACACTCAGCTAATTTTTATATTTTTAGTAGAGACGGGGGTTTTGCCATGTTGACCAGGCTGGTCTCAAACTCCTGACCTCAGGTGATCCGCCTGCCTCGGCCTCCCAAAGTGCTGGGATTACAGGCGCGAGCCACCACGCCTGGCCTCATGTTGCACATTTCTAATATTAACATAATACATATAATATTGAAGATTATATTTTCTATAATACTCATTAAAATTCCATATAATGTACATAATTCCTTATAATTTTAATAAAGAACTTTAAGAAGTTCAGTATTCCTAATCCTAAGGAATACTATTTCTAAATAATCAACTATGGGGTATTGTGGGGAAATATCCTAATTATTTACTTCTTTTATCAATCATTTAAAGATGTTATATTTGCTATAATTTAGAATTTAGACAGATAAGCTTTCAGTCATTTATGCTGGTGTATTTACACTCCATGCCTTACATGGTATATACTGCTATTAAAAATGACCTCTCAATCGCCTATAGAAATACGAATTCTTATAAATAAATAGAAAAAGTTATACCCCAGCATGAGAGAATCAGAATCCCATGAGTTGAGAATTCAATGAAAGTTTCAAAACATTGCAGTTTTATTCTTAGATTACAAAAATAATCTGACAGCATACTTAATTTGTTATTATAAGCTATCATTTTGTTACTAGTGATATTTAGCACACTGAGCTATACCTGAGAGGAGAAAGCCCAAAAGAACTGCTTTTTTGTTTTCCTTTTTTTCTCTGCTTCTGTGTCAAAAGAATTTATCTCCTCAGGAAGCCAACTCTAATCTTACAACAACAACTATATATAATATACCACTGATGGTTATGCAGCGCTAATTTTAGTGACTCAGCTGTTTCAGACCACTCTGTAAGTTAACTATTCCTGGCTTGAGAACAAAGGTATACTCAACTGCATTCTTATTTAAAGGAAGTCAAAATGTTTTATGTTTTATGTATAATTGCTATAGAGATTTAAAAATACTGAAATTCAGTCTGCTGAGGAAATAGAAAAAACCATCTTGTCTGGTAACATTCATGTTTTTGATAAATGTATTTTCTGTGCTTTTTCTTTTTAATCACGTAGCCAGTTAGTAAAACTTGAATATCCCTCTCAAGTATCAGCATTGTTGACTCCTCAGGGAAGTGTCTGTGGTGCAGAATTGCTACTTGAATTGGGAATCAAATGTGTAAGATATAAGGGCTGAAAGTTAGCCCTTTTTAGCATAAGCAAATTGGCGTGCCTGCAGGCAGAACAAATATTTACTTGAATTACTATTTGTTACTTGAATTACTACCATACCTCCAATAAAATCTGAATAGCTTCAGATATTCCCCCACTCACATTTTAGGATTATTTGGAACCCCAAAATTCTGTTCCATATAACATGGTCAAGTTGGGTTTCAAAAAAGTTTTAGGACTGGTCTTCCTCAAAGAGCTCAGCAGTGCCTTACTGAATTGTCTTATTTTTAAGAAACTGTGTCATAAAGGGCCTACCAGAGTGATATATCTACAAGATTTACCCCATAAATAACTGAAGAACCAATTGTTAGACTGTTTTGATAGGTTTCACAAATCTCATACACAAGTATGCCCACGGTGTAAGTTCATTGTCGTTAACTGTTTAGCTCTTTTAGACTACAGCACATCATTTTAGCTTCTGTTAGTGATCTGTGCTATGTGCTGGGGTGCCACACACCTACACACACACAAGTTTAGTTCTCAGTTCTGCTTAATAACTCTGGGTTTGAGCAAGTTTCTTAATATCTCAGCCTAAGCTTTCTCTTCTGTAACATAGGCCTGTATTTATCACATAGAGTTGATATGAGGATAAAATAGCTCACAGTTAAATGACATTTCCTATGTACAAGTACAGTTTTGAGGGCTTTGTGTATATTAACTTATTTAATCACCGTAGTAGTCTTATAAAATATTTTTTTAATCCATTTTACCACTGGGGAAACAGAGGCACAAAATGATTTAGGAAATTTGCCCAGCATCACACAACTAGCAAGAAGGGGAATTGGAATTCAAATCCAGTCAATTTTGCTCTAGAGCCTGTGTCTGTAACCATTACATTATACTGCCTCTCAGTATAGCCAAGTACTCAAGTGAGATAATGTGTATAAGCCACTCGCTGAAATGCCGAGCACATCATGAGTTCTCAGCAAGTACAAAGACTTTAGGATTGATGTGCTTCTCAGGAAAGGAAAGACTTGCTGTAGGAATGAGGGTTCCCTGAAGAAAATTAACTTTATGAGAAGAACTTTCTTTCAAGTGTGGACATACTTTTTTGTCTGAAACTTAGGATGTACCACCTTTTAAGTAATATAACAGCGGCCGGGCACAGTAGCTCACGCCTGTAATCCCAGCACTTTGGGAGGCCGAGGCGGGCGGATCACCTGAGGTCAGGAGTTCGAGACCAGCCTGGCCAACATGGTTAAACCCCATCTCTACTAAAAATGCAAAAAAAAAATTAGCCGGGCGTGGTGGCAGGTGCCTGTTATCTCAGCTACTCAGGAGGCTGAGGCAGGAGAATAGCTTGAACCCGGGAGGTGGAGTTTGTAGTGAGCTGAGATCATGCCATTGCACTCCAGCCTGGGCAACAAAAATGAAACTCCCGTCTCAAAAAAAAAAAAAAAAAAGTAATATAACAGCTCAATATGTGACTGTCCTTGAAGAGGAGTAATTTGAAGGCTCGTTTGTGCTTTAGCCCATCCTATTTCCATGATGAATTTTTCTCTGAAACCTTGAAATGATCTTTCTATTCATGTTAAATATGATTGCTATAGTGATATTAAAATCATATTTTTACTAGGGGTACCATAAGAACAAATCCAAGACCATTATATATGCAACTGAAAATGAACTATAGTTAACTGTGTTCAAATAAGGAATAAAACGAAACATAAAATGTCTCATTGCTCACATGTGTGTGAGTCTCATTTGTTAGTTTTTGTCATTTGAGTAAGTTTGAGCAGCTGCTTGGAAAACTTGAAGTACCTGCCTCTTTAGATTTTAATTGACATTTTAAGAATTGAATTTTTGGAAAAGTTAAAGAGATGAGACAACAGCATCAACACTTAACCCACTTGGTAAATTAAAGTTCTCAACAAATGCTTTGGTTCATATGACATTCCCCATTGTTGGAGAAGCAGAGTGGTGCAGATAGAGGAGCTTGGCAATGAAGTTAGTAAACCTAGATTTAAGGCCTGGTTCTGTAACTTCATAGCTAGTAAATCACTTGACATCTGAACTCAGTGGGTTTAATAGTATTCATACCCCAGGATTATTCTGAGAATCAAAGAAGGTAATGGTCTTTCCTATTTTTAGTACTTGCCACACTATTTATGAAATATATGAGAACTAGTCTCTGATTCTCCCTAATGCCCTAGAACAGTGGGCAACAAACATTTTCTATTAAGGGCCAGGTAGTAAACATTTTCTGTTAAGGGCCAGGTAGTAAACATTTGGGGCTTTCTGTGCCTTATGGTCTCCATTAAAGCTTCTCATCTCTGCCACTGTGATGCAAAAGCAGCCATAAGCAACATGTAAATGAATGAGCCTAGGTATGTTCCAGTAACATTTTATTTACCAAAGCTGTATCTGCCACTTAATAGAAACTCAGTAAAGATTCACAGAATGGACTTGTGAATTGAGTGTCTATGAAAAGATGCTGTGGTGTCAGAGTGTGCAACAGATGACAAGTCATATGTGTGCCATCCCACAGTTCTTTTATTTTCTGTAAGATACAAATAAGCTGCAGATATCTAAAGGTAATAAATTCCAAAATCTAGTCTTGTCCCTAACATTTTGGGGGGAGAGGCCATGGGTAATTTTCAACTAAATGTGGTATAGAATACAAAATTTGGAGTCAGATGGTTCTAGTTTTCGTATTTGTTGACTGACCTTGGGCAAGTTTCTTAACTGAGCTTGAGAGCCTGTCTACAAAATGGAGTTAACAATGTCCACTTCAGGGGACTGCTGTGAGAAACATGTGGTTACATATTTTTACTGTTACATTAAAAACTCAAAACTGCTACGAAAAATGTAAGGGAGGTAACAATCACTGTGTTTTGTATTATGTTAGACCTTATAGGTCTAGTAAAGACCAGAAATTGTCTTTACTCTGTCTCCTGTATCAATATGTAAATTAAATATGAAATTAAATGTGCTATGAAATCATCCTGCACCAGTAGATAAAATTGCAAAGTATGTATAATTGTAGGTATTTGAATAATTTTTAATGTCACTAAATACCAAATCCATTTTTAGTAGTTTCCGAAATTGAATCATATGTTTAAGTTCTATGGTAATATTTAAGTATATATTTAAACAGTGTAAGGTTTTCAGATTCTGAACATTTTCTCATAGTACCATGGAACTACAAACAGTTGCCTCAAATCATGAGATAATGGAGTTCTTTGTGAGTATAGTAGTTTCTCAAGACTGTTCTAAAATGCATATAAATTGATTCAAAATAATTGACAGTATTCTTTCTAATGATACAGTAGTACATACTTAGACAAGATAGTATTTTTAAAAAAATAATTTTTCCTTTTAATTTGGATGCTTGTGTTCACTAAGGGTAATATTTCTGTTACTATGACCCAGATGTGAATTTTTTTCATTTAATATTTATTGAGCATCTGCTGGCTACAAGGCATTATCCTAGGTATTAAAGCTATAGGGACAAATATAACAGGACCCCTTCCTTCATGGAGCTCAGCCTAATTTGGGGAAGACATACCTGTTAATGGTTAATTACAGACTGTGGTAAGTTCCCTAAGAAAGGTGGAGTTTAGCCATGAGTAACAAAAACCCTTACTACAATGATCTAAACGAGAAAGTCTGAAGATGTGCAGTCCAAGGCTAAGTGACTGGCTCCGCTGTGTATGTTGTTGATATCCCACACTGGGCACCCGCCCCACGCACCCGCCCCCCCCCCCCGCCCCCATTTTCCCCAATCCTTATGGTCACAAGATAACTACTGAACCGCCAGGCATTGTGTCTGTTGACAACAGGAAGAGGGGGGAAAGAGCTAAGGCCAAAATTAGGTCAGATAGTCACCTGTAGCTTTAAGGGAGTCTGAGGATTTCACTTATTTTCAACCTCTGTAGTAGAGGAAAGCAAAGAAGAACGGGTTGGAAGTGGGTTGTGTCAGATGCTGAGTGAGCTACAGTACTGACCTGTGATCTCCAGGGCACCAGCTGCCTGGGAAATCCCAGCAGGCTTCACAGAGAATCTAACAATTGAATGAGAGGTAATTGGGTGGTTCCAGGGAAAGAATAAAGAATGTCTTTGATGCTTTACGTTTTTCGAAGTCTTCATGAGACATTTAATATCAAAAGGAAGTACACACTGTATTCATTTAAATACTGGGGATATAGGAGTTAACAAGGTAAACAGATCCTCCGCTCTTGGACACCTCATTTTCTAGAGGGAAGGCAGAGTAACACCTCATTTTCTAGAGGGAAGGCAGAGTAAACAGGTATACCAATAAATGTAACTTAATTTCAGGTAGTAACAAGTACTGTGGGGGGAAAAAAAGCCTTTATAAGGGTAAAAAATAACTATTTTGGATAGAAAATTTCTTAAGGGTATTATATACTTTTCTCTTAAGCAGAGTAACAAGACATGATGATTTCCTTGAAGCCTTACCAGCATCCAACCCTCGGGGGTCTGTTGAAGTTTTGGTTAATTGTCCTTACACTAGCTAAGCTTTAGCCGGGCTCAGTCTTGGTTTCTTTCTTACTATAGTCATGTCAAGCTCTTGTCAGATGTTACTGTTGTTAGTGTGACCGTCTTCAGTAGGCCTTCTCTCCTTTCTGTTTTCTGTTTCTGATTTAATTTTGACTGAGAAGGTCTGTGTTTGAAATAAAAATTTCTGAGTGAGGACACCAGCATGCTTCTATGGAATGATGAAGAGCTTGAACTCTGTAAAGCTGTTTCAATGGTTTTTTAAAGTTTTATATTCACTTCCTGTCAGTTCAAATCAACATAAGGTTGCTAGAATCCTGACCTGATAAGTGTCTGTCATAAAATGTTAAACTAGAAACATTGCAAATATTCCTTGAATTGACTTTAATCCTCAACTGCAGTCTTAGTCCTTTCAGATATTTGTTTTGTATTTGATTCTAAATTGCTTTCTTTCCAAAGTGAATTGACCATTCAAAACCATGGTTGCTAAAGAAAATTTTCTGAAGTAATTGGTTATATTCCAAGGGGGAAGGGTATGTGTGTGTGTTTATCTGTGTGTATATGTAGATAGGTAAATCCATATGCATATGTAGAGATAACACACAGTTTGCCCTCCATAGCCATAGGTTTTGCATCCATGGATTCAACCACAGATCAAAAATAGATTCAGAAAAATAATAGCACAATAATTACAAATAATATAAATTAAAAAGCAATACAGTATAACAACTGGGTGACCCTTGAACAATGCAGGGGTTTAGGGTTGCCAACCCCTGCACAGTCAAAAATCCACATAGAATTTTTGACTCCCAAAAAACTAATAGCTTACTGTTCACCGGAAGCATATAGATGACATAAACAGACAGTCAACACATATTTTTTGTATGAGTTATATACTTCATTGTTACAGTAAAGTAAGCTGGAGAAAAGACTATTAAGAAAATCATTACAAAGACAAACTACATTTACTATTCATTAAGTGGAAGTAGGTTACCATAAAGACCTTTATCCTCATTTTCTTTGCTTCAAGTAGCTTGAGGAGGAGGAATTGGGGGTTGGTCTTGCTGTCTCAGAGGAGGAAGAGGTGGAAGGAGGGACAGGAGAGGCAGGCACACTCCATGTAACTTTTATTGAAAAATATCTGCTTATAATTGGACCTGCACAGTTCAAACCCATGTCGTTCAAGGGTCAAGTGTATTTATATAGTGTTTACGTTGTATTAGGTATTATAAGTAATCTATAGATAATTTAAAGTATACAAAAGTATATAAAGTGTGTATGTTATATGCAAATCCTAAGCCATTTTATATAAGGGATTTGGGTATCCAAGAGGGAGTTAGGAACCAATCCCCCTCACACACAGAGGGATGACTATATATGTAGTTGACTGTATTTATATTTGGTTCAAGAGAGAGAGAGAGGTTTTGTGTGTGTGTGTGTGTGTGTGTGTGTGTGTATCCAGTTAGCACTTGGAGATCTATATATATATAGAAGTGCTAATTTTTTGCCTGATTTTATTTGTAAATTTTTTAAATTTTGCATGGAAACAAAGCTGCTTGTTATTCTGTCAATTTATCAGTATAACTATAATCAGCATCTTCAAAACCTTGACAAAAGCCTCTTGTCAAGATAATGTCAGATAACCTCTGAGGAGTTTGAGAGTTTCATCCTTAAAATGTTACTAATCCAGTTTTCTTGGCCTATTTTTACATGCTAAGAACTGATAATATACAGGGGAATTAGGCTGTCTGAAGTAAGAAGTAGATAAAGGTGACAAGCAGGTAAAGATATGTTCTTGTTGTTTCATGTGGGTATATCTTATCTTTCCAGCTAGATTGTAAATTATTTATGGGTGGAGATAGCATGACTTGAAGTTTTTTTAAACATTCTGCATGTTTGACCTCACACTATCAAATAATACTTGATTATCTACAAGTGTGGCATTTGAAGATCAATAAATTACTTGCAATGCCTTAAAAACGTTTACTCCCTAGAATGACAAACAGCCTGTCTGTTTGGGTCACTTTAACTTGGCCATAGCAACCTTTTTCTCCTCCAGAAAACTTCAGAAAAATCAGCAGAATCATGCTGTAGGCAAATGAACCTAGTTCTGATTGTAATCAGATGTCAGCAATAAAGGGACTTCTATGTTGCAATTACCTGAAAATAAGTGGGTATGTTATATAGTGTGCTAGTAGGCAGGCAGCCTGTTCACAATGGAAATGCTTTGTTGATATATTCACAGCAGTCTGTCTTTAAATCTGCCAATTTAATACTATAATTATTTTATCAAGTTCCTTATATTTTTAGTTCCTATTTGTATCCGTTTTTTTTGTTTGTTTGAGACGGAGTCTCACTCTGTCACCCAGGCTGGAGTGCAGTGGCACAATCTAGGCTCACTGCAACCTCCGCCTCCTGGGTTCAAGCGATTCTTCTGCCTCAGCCTCCCCAGTAGCTGGGATTACAGGTGCCTGCCACCATGCCTGGCTAATTTTTGCATTTTTAGTACAGACGGGGTTTCGCCATGTTGACCAGGCTGGTCTTGAACTCCTGACCTCAGGTGATCTGCCCACCCTGGCCTCCCAAAGTGTTGACATTACAGGCGTGAGCCACTGTGCCCGGCCTGTATCAATAAACATGTATTGATTACCTCTTATTGGGCCTGTGCAAGGCCTTGGGATCGCAAAGACTAATAAGCCTTGTTCCTGCCCTCAACATAGTTAGTCTGGTAAAAGGAGACAAATATGTAAAACAATCAGTGCCTTGAAGCATTGTGGTTGCTGTGACAAGAGTTATATGCAATGTGTAAAGACCCGAAGGAAGAAGAGGGCAATTGTGGTCTTGGAAGTTAAGGGGATAGTGTGTTATGAATAAGAATGTCATTACAGCTCCAGGTACCACAATTGTAATTTCATAAAGCAGTTGACACTTGAGCTGAACCTTAGAAACTTAGTGTCTAAGAGTCCAGTAGAGAATTGGGGCACCATCCCAAGCAGAAGCAACAATGAGAAAAGTCACAGGGACAAGAAAGAAACCATGATGTATTAGAGTACAGTACGTTGTTTGGCGTAGCCACACAGTCAGGTAGAAAGGATTTAGCAAGGCCTATGACTAGAGAGGTAGGTAGTGAACAGATTATGCCTTTATGTGTCATGTTATTTATCTTTATTCTATTTCGTGAGAATGCCATTAAAGGCTTTTAGGTATATGAACAGTATGATCAGACTGGCATTTGAGAAAGAACACCCAAACATGTAGAGTCTGAATTAGAGTTGTGTAATAAAAAAGGCCGGGCGCAGTGGCTCACGCCTGTGATCCCAGCATTTTGGGACGCTAAGGTGGGCGGATCACAAGGTCAGGAGATCGAGGCCAGCCTGGCTAACACAGTGAAACCCTATCTCTACTAAAAATACAAAAAAATTTAGTCAGGCATGGTGGTATGCACCTGTAATCCCAGCTACTCGGGAGGCTGAGGCAGGAGAATTGCTTGAACCCAAGAGGCGGAGGTTGCAGTGAGCCGAGGTTGTGCCACTGCACTCCAGCCTGGGTGACAGAGCGAGACTCCATCTCAAAAAAAAAAAAAGAAAGAAATCATTGCATCCAAATGTTTATACCTGAACTAAAAAAGTGATGGTAGCAATGGAGAACCAAGGACAGATGGGAAATCTTAATAGTATGGTCTGAAGACTTAAGTAAACAAGAACTGCATACTGTCTCCACATCTTCTGGAAGATGGTAGTGTTCTTCACCTTGTTGGAGAATATTGAAAAAGGAGCAAGGTTTATAGGAAAAGATTACAGATTCATTTTGGGAGAGGTTGAATTCAAGGTATTTATGGAACTTAAAGTAGGTAAGTCTGAAAGCCAGTCCTCAGAATGAGGACAATAAAGGTTGGACATGGATGAGATGATTAGGAAGAGCACGTTGAGCAAGTTATAAAGAGTGTTAAAGACCTGAATCCTGTATAAAGGACAGCCAGAGAAAGTAAAGGAAGGCAGGGGAGAGTAGAAGGAGTTGGTGTGGGAGGGAGAGGCAGGCTAGACAGGAGAATGTGGAGATAATACTGTCTTGAGAGTTAGGACCATAATGAGTTAGGAATATCACTGTTCAGATACTATATATGTTGACTAGACTTGGCATTTACAGGACGTTAGTGACTTATTTCAAAGTGTTTTCAGAACAGTATAGGTCAGGTTGCAAATTGTCTGTCATGTCTGATTTTTCCTTGTGCTTTAGAAAGAAAACCCTAGGTTGTAGTTGTCCACATGGCAGCCTAGGTAATCCTTGTGTCTCAGCTTTCCTTGCAGTAATTATGGCTGTGTGTCTAACTAACTTTTAGGCTACTGGGATATGCACAAATGATGTGTGTCACTTCCAAATCATTACAAAATATGAAGCCACTTGCTGTGGACTTTTCTCCTTATCTAGAAGGCTAGAAGCAGCTGTAGGACGAGCCAGCTCCAGACATATGGGTGAGGAGTGTACCCATGGGAGATCAACAGAATGGAAGGAACTTAGGTCCTTAGATGACCTTAAGGACAGAGCCACCCTGCCAACCTATGTGCTTGGCACTAAGACTGTTTTATAAGCAAGAAATAAATTAACTTAGTTCAATTCATTGTGTTTTAGTTTCTCTCTGTGGTAGCAATTTACCTTAAGAGTAACAGATTGGTTCATGAATTAGTCTGTTCTTACACTGCTATAGAGAACTACCTGAGACTGAGTGATTTATGAAGAGAAGAGGTTTAATTCACTCACAGTTCCTCACGCTGTACAAGAGGCATGGCTGGGGAGGCCTCAGGAAACTTAACAATCCTGGCAGGAGGCAAAGGGGAAGCAGTCATATCTTCTCATGGTGGCAGGAGAGAGTGTGAAGGGGGAGGTGCTACACACTTTTAAGCAACCAGGTCTCATGAGAACTCTACTCTATCACAAGACAGCACAAGGGGGTGAGGGGTGGTGCCAAACCATTAGCACCCGTGATCCAGTCACCTCCCACCAGGCCCCACCTCCAACATTGGGAATTATAGTTTGACTTGAGATTTGGGTGGGGACACAGAGCCAAACCATTTTAATTCATTAGTTTGTGGGACTGGGGAAAACTCAGGCTGTTACTGTAAGTGTTACCTTCTGATTCAGTCATTTGTGAGGATTGCATAGGGTTGCAATATTGGAACAACAGAGAGAAAATGACTAGTCATATTAGTCTGCTAGGTGCCACCAAGAGCAGTATTTACCTAGAAATAATTTGAACATCACTTACTTAACTATAAGAATTGATAAAAACACAGTTTTTACAGACCAGAATATAAAAGTTAATCTTGACAAAATAGAAAAGCTGGCAAATTAGGAGGTGGAGGGAGTGATGGGAAGGTTGAGAAAGTATCTTATAAAATTACTTCATGAGAATTGATGGAACAAGAAATACAGGTTTAAATAAATATCGTTTACATTTATAAAGAACAAAATATTTTAAGTATAAGAAATTGAGAAGGTCTGGGGAAGGGTGGTAGTGGTGAGCTAAAGGCCTATGTATGTAGCAGGAAGTCGAAAGATAAAATCTAAAGTTATAGCTCAAATATCAGCATGAGTATATTATTTAAAGCTATGCAAATAATTAAAAACAATTAAAAAATGGTTTCTTCAAGGAAGGGATAGGGCCAAATATACTTAAATTCTTCAGTTACTTCAAAACTGGTTCATCTTTTTTTTTTTTTTTTTTTTTTTTGAGGCTGAGTGAGTCTTGCTCAGTTGCCCAAGCTGGAGTGCAGCATCACGATCTCATCTCAGCTCACTGCAACCTCCGCCTCCTGGGTTCAAGTGATTCTCATGCCTTAGCCTCCGAAGTAGCTAGGATTACAGGCGTGTGCCATCACATGAGGCTAATTTTTATGTTTTTAGTAGAGATGGGGTTTTGCCATGTTGGCCGGGCTGGTCTCTAACTCCTGGCCTCAGGTGATCCACCTGCCTAGGCCTCCCAGAGTGCTGGGATTACAGCTGTGAGCCACTGCGCCTGGCCCTAAATTTATTCTTCAGTATTGTATCCCTTTTGATGGTATTACAAATGAAATTTTTAAATTACATGTTTGAATTGTGAACCTTTTATCATTATGAAATGTCCCTCTTTGTCTCTAGTAATTTTTTTTATCTTAAGGCTTCTTTTGTCTGATATAAATATAGTCACTCTACTTCTAATTACTCAACTATTTTTAAAGAAGTATATATGTATATATATTTAGAATAGAAGAGTAGAAGGAAACACTAAGATGTTAACATTAGTTGTATCTAATGTATAGAATTACGAGTTTTCTGCGATAAGTTTGCATCATAATTAGGAAAAAGGTGACATATACATTTTAAAAATATTTTATCTAAATACTTCTGGTTGCAAATAGCAGAGATAGTCAACAAGCAGAAAAGGAATTTTTGAAAAGATGACTGGCCTAGTTGCAGAATCAACAGGAAAAGCTGGGCACCAGGTTGAGAAGAGATTGAGCTGTGGCAACTGCAGGGCTCTGGGTAGCAGGAACTTGTCAGCTTTTTCATCGAGGTGGTGCCCCAGAAATGAGTTCTAACTTCTTATATTCTCTTTTGATCTCTTCAATCAGGATTCAAAATCTAGGAGAGAGTATTCCGCTTTCAAATCTTTGAAATTTGGTGAGGAAAATAAGCATCTCGGTTTTATAATCCCAGGACTATAGAGGACCCTGGGAATGGTTAAGGGGAACAGAAATACAGTTACAATGAATATGATCTAGTATTTGGTAGCACAACAGGGCTACAGTAAATTGTTAACTGTTGTGAACAACTTACTGTTCACATTTGTTAACAATTTACTGTGTAATTTAAAATAAGTAAAAGAGCAGAATTAGAATGTTCTAACACAAAGAAATGATAAGGGCCCTGATTTGATCATTACATATTGTATGCCTGTATCAAAACATCACATACCCCATCTATATATATAACTGTTATGTACCCATAATAATTAAGAATTAAAATTTTAAAAAGCAAGAGGGGACAAATGATTCCCCAAGATGAAATTAGGGTGCTGCCATCAAATGGAGGGAAATAAACTCTGAGAGCTAAAAAGCAACAGAAGTTCACTATAATATGTAACTGTTAATGCAGAATTATAGTTGATAATGCTAGTCATAAAAGTAGCCATCAAAATGAATAAGAAATAACTTTTTTGAATACAGTTATCCCTTAACCATTGTGGCGGGACTCACAGCACTGAAGTTCTCACGCACTGACGTCTCTCCCACTTGACCCTGAATTCCATGTCTTCCATGAAGCAGTTAAATTCATTTAGAAAATGAGGAAATAGAGACTTTTATAATAATACTGAGGAGGACTTTGTGATCATTTAACACTTCCTAAAATGTCATCTCCTCCCTGGTTTACCTAATCAGCCTGTACTTCCTTGTCAAGACTCAGCTCAGGCATTTTACCTCATCCCGGAAGACTTTCTCCCTTAAAACGCCCTCCTGCCACATCCTGTTCTGATTATGGGCCACTCATCCCTGTTACTGTTCTCTTCCCATAGTGTTGTGTTGGCTGAGTTGTCTGACTCTCATACCAGCCAGACTGGCAGACTCTTGTCTTATTTTTCTTTGATTCTCCAGTCCTTTACACAGTATGCGCATATTAAACATTCAGTAAATATTTGTTGAGTGAATGGGTGGATTTGCCAGAGAAGAGGATAAGGCATCCCATCTAGAGCCCGCATGGATAAAGGCATGAAACACAGCAGGAACTGGTGAGAAATTCTGTAGGATTAGAGCATGGAGCGGTTAACTGGAGAAGAGACTGGTAAAGCTGACCAGCGTTAGCCTCTAAAGGACCATATGTGCCAAGTTTAAACAATTCTGTAGGTGTCAGGAACAAGCAGAAGAATGTGTGAGATTTGGCAAGGGGAGTGGGTCAGGACTCTAGAGAATGTGTGGTGAATAAATACTGGCTGGAGCTAGAGCTGGTAAACAGAACCCTCAGATGGTAGGATGTTGTCTCTGGGAGTTAAGAATCAGACCTGGTTTGGGAGCAGATTAACCTACCATGCACCTAGGCACTTTTCCAAGTGCTGGAGTACAGTGGTGAATTACTGCTCCCATGGAGCTTTCATCCAGAAAGGGTAGACAGATGAAACAACATACAGGCACAAAAGGGCACATACACACTCTCAAAACCAGAATGCCGCGTTGCAGATAAAATGTTCCAAGGCAGCACTCTCCAAGTTAAGCGTTCAGAGCAGTCTGGTGTCTGCACTGAATATTTCCCTACAATATCGCAGGGAACCTTCTTATAGTCCGCATCTCAGGCATTTACTGCGAAGTTTTTACAAGTAAAATGACGAATACAGTATTTGTTCTTGATGTATATAATACTGAATGCACTCTACAAAAAGTGTTTCAAATAAGAAAAAAATAATTTGTCACAGGAATACTTTAGCAAAGTGATTTACTTTTTCCCCGTTTCATACTGCACATAGGGATATTATTTTTAAAGCCTAATTAGATAAATATATCTAACTTGCTCAACGTGCTCTTCCTAATCATCTCATCCATGATAGTATAAATAAAAGCCAGTGATTGCCTGGGTTACAATTCTTAGTGCCTGAAAAATAATGTGGCATTTTTATAATTAATCCATAATGTTGCCAACTTGTTTGTTTTTCTGCAGTAGAATAGACTCCACTAGTAAAGGAATTTTTAATTCTTGATGTAAACATTAACCTGTGCCATGTGAGCTAGTCTTACATTCCCTTCCCCCAGTTGTGGGCTCATTTAATGAGCCCTTTCCTCTCTTTTCCAGGGTGCTGATAAGACTGTGAAAGGCCCAGATGGACTGACCGCCTTTGAAGCCACTGACAACCAGGCAATCAAAGCTCTTCTCCAGTGATGGATGGATGGACTGATAACTCCGGAAGAATGACTCTCCTGTGGCCTCACACTGCTGCCTGTCTGTCTGTCACTCTCTATCTGCCAGCTTCTTCAGCTAAATACTTTAAGAGGGGTGAGGGGAGAGAGAAATTCATAACAAATCCGACTACCAGAAAAAAAAAATTGTTTTGGAGGAGGGGCAAAAGGAACCATGATCAGGCTTTTACTGGGATTCCTGATCAAGTAAGCCTCTTCCCTTTCTAATAAAATATACACCTTATACCCAAGGGAGAGCAAAGACAAAATACACCAGTAACATTTGACCTTTTCAGCTCCCTAGCTAATTTATTAGATTGTGTTGAAGGTCTGATTCTACAAAGGCCAACTCTACATATTTGGTAGCCCTAACTGTCTGAGCAGTAGTGGCTGCTGTGATGTAAACTTAGGGTGCTGAGATAAGCAATTAGCTCTAGCCTTCTGCCTTAAGAATGCACTCTACTGGGGATTTCCTGGCATAGTTAAGAGCGCTGCCTATAAGGTTGGTGACCAAATCTTTCCTCGGTGACTTTAAGCTTTATGTGAAAGCTTAGTTAAGGTGAGGAGGGGCACACTCCTAAATTGCTGGATGACTGAACTTTGGATTTTCTCTCCCCTTTCACATGGATTTCATGTCTCTTTAGATAAAACTGACTAGTTTTATTTATAAAATCTTAAGTTTTGGAAGTCTAAAGGAGAAACCATTCCAGTATGCATATTTTTTTCTCCTCTAGATTCATACATTTATATAGCATTGAAACACTTTCAAACTCCTGCTGGTAGTAAAAGGGGATTTAAAAATAGAATCATAGCCATAAGCCTGTTAGTATCATATGAAGAGAGAACAGTTATCTTAGTACCTATGGATTTTCTTTATTTGCTGTTTGAATGGATTGACCTTGGTTATGTGTTGAGAATTAAGGAACATTCTTTGAAATGCCTCTCTCAGACCCATCTTGGAGGCTGATTACTTACTGCACCAAAGCTATCACTGGGGTGAGATTTACTGTTTGGACAAATTTAGCCCCATCCCTTCAAAAATACACTTGTAACCAGGTTTCCCAGAGTTGTTGATAGGCTTCTGCTGAACATATGCCAACCCACCTGCATAATATATTTTTGTTGCTTTTATAAATCATGCATTACATAAAGTGTGACAACTTCAAAATGTATTCTCTGTTCTTGGAATACAGTGCCCTAAAATGGTGTTCTTATGACCTGCAGAAAATATTTACACATATTTCCAAATATTTATTTCATGAGCAGTACAGCTAATTAAAATATATAAGCTTAAATTTTATATCTTACATTTAAAATATTAAGATTCCTTTGACTTGCCATCCATATAAGCTTGCTAAAAATATTAAGACCAAGTCATGCAATAATTGAATGTACCTCAAATTTTTAGGGGAGGGTGGGTTAGGGACTGATACTCAGATTGTGGATAATAATTGAATTGGTTTTTAAAGGCAACATAGCATTCTACAGCAGGGTTAATCTATTATCAAGAACAGTCACCCTGGTTAATAACAAGTTTTACTGATCAGTTGCTGGTTGGTTGGTTGGTTGGCATGTGGGTGTGTGGGTGTATAGGTGTGTGTGGGTGTGTGTGTGTATTTTTCCCCATGAGTCCTTTTTTTAATCCTGTGGCTTTTTCACTTACAACTAGCCTAACCCTGTAATTTTCCTACATCCAAGAAAACAATCACAAAGTAGTGGTTTAAATACTTTGTTGTATTTGGCTAATTTTGCTGTCTTAATGCAGCCTATTAAGAGTTGGGTTAAAAATCAGTAATCAGTACTTTATTACATCACTGAACTAAAATATGGAGACATCCTCATTGAAAATGGAGGGCACTCTATCAGTCTATAACTATCAACGTAGTGCAACAGGGTGTTTTGATACCTTTGTTTTCACCTCTTGACATAATGCTATTTAAAGGCTTGAATTTTTCCCTTTATATAATTTTCACCTTTACTTTCAAAGTGTTTTGTTGTAGTTGGCTATTGCAGAGAGTGCATTGTCCTATCATTCCTAAACCTGGTCTGCTTTCTACATTCATGGTATGGAAACCATGTGATTCTTTGTACAGTTTATCCTGATGTTGCTTGTAATGCAGTAGAGGCTATTTCGCCTTCGCTTTTCTTTCTCGACCTTTTTGTAAACCCTATAATTATGAAGCGATTGCTTGAGAAAATAACATATAAACATAGAATAGAATAGACTGACCAAGATGGTTCACAGTTTCTTTTTTTAACTAGGTTATTTATAATGTATTTCTGAACCACTTGGCAGACAAATTCACAACACTTAATGTTCATATTTTGAGTAAAGGAAGCTAAAACCATGTTTGCTTTCTGGTACTACATGCATTAGCGAAAGGTTAAGTAAGTTTTGTTCTCCACTGAAGTAATACTTAACATCTCAGAAAAAATTTTGCATGTTCTGTAGTTTTGTATTAAATCAGTCATTTCATATGCACTATATCAAGTACAAACAGGTAGTTTACCTGTTTATAGTAGTGTACTAACAAAGTCTCCCTTGCAGCTTCAGACTGTTATCTATAGGCTTATCGTTCAAATACAGCACTTGAATATCCCAAGTAGTTCTTCTACGCATAGCTCACCTTTCTAAACCCAGTTAAGCATGGAAGAGAGGTAGTAGGTAGGTGCAGTGTGTGGAAGCTGCAAACAAGTAGGCCTTTTATTCATTGATATCTTTTCCCAAGTACTGGATTTTAAATCTGTATGTATCTGTTTGATTTTTTTTTCTAATATTTCAGTTGAGCTGCTGTTTTCTTCCATGCAATATTGTATACTCAATTGTGTATAGAAGAAGCTGGTGAGAGTGCCCTCCTACATAAATAAGCAATTGCAGTGTTTTGCATGCAAAATATAAAAAATTTAAATTGTCCTGATTCTATTTTGTAAATGGAGAAACAATCATATCTTTCTAAGCGGTAATGGAGGAAGACTAGTGCTTTGTGCATTTTGATATATTTGAGTTCATTTTTTCCACAATGTCATACTTTTGACGCAGTTGGGTTTCTCATAAGTATCCTAGTTCATGTACATCCGAATGCTAAATAATACTGTGTTTTAAGTTTTGTGTTGCAAGAACAAATGGAATAAACTTGAATTGTGCTACAGCTAATGTGTCAGCAGCATTTTTCTCAGTTATTATCACCTTCCTTTTGTAGTCATCTCTACAACTATACCAGAAGCTTGATTGACTCAAACATTTAGTTAATCTTATCCCACTTCTAGAAAAAAATGAGTGGAGGGAAAATAAAACATAAAGATTTAATTGAAATAAACCTTACCAGTCTTTGAAAGGATTTGCTTTTGTGTCAGTCTCCTGACATTGTTTTACTGTAACTTCAGTAACGCTCCTGGTTGACGGGGAGCAGGGTGTAGCCAGCACATCCCAGATCGTCAGGATCTTCAGGGGGCTTGAAGAAAATGGAGTCGTGGTTAAACCTCTGATCCTTTCATTGCTCATCTAAGTTGCTCCACATTTCTTGGAGATCTGCATTTCCCAAACTCAACTACGAGCACTTTTTTAGAGTGTAATTTTCAGGATGAGTGATCACTTTGAACCTTAAAACTGAACAAAATTAAATACAAAATCAGTTTGATTGTGTTGTAATCTTGTTAGCACCAGAAGACTATTGCAGTTTACTTTTAGTGATAGAAAAAAAATATATATGTGCAGATACTAAGTTACAGCAAAAGCTGTATTTTAGAACTTTCACATTGTTGACTGAAGTATAAATGGGGACCATGTACGGCTTTAGGTGGAAGTGATTACAGAAATTTTTTTAAGTTCTCATTTTAAGAATTGGAATCTAGGACCGGCGCAGTGGCTCACGCCTGTAATCCCAGCACTTTGGGAGGCTGAGGCAAGGAAGATCACTTGAGCCCAGGAGTTCGAGACCAACCTGGGCAACAGAGGGAGACTGAGTCTCTACAAAAAATTAAAAAACAATTAGCTGGGTATGGTGGCAAGTGCCTGTAGACCCAGCTACTTGGGAGGCTGAGGTGGGAGGATTGCTTGAGACTGAGAGGTTTGAGGCTACAGTGAGTGAGCTGTGTTTGTGCCACTGCACTCCAGTCTAGGCGACAAAGCGAGACCCACTCTGAAAAAAAGAATTGGGGTCTGTAAAGAAAGTTTAAATCTGGTTAAATACATTTTAAAGGGAATAGAGTCCCCTTATATAATGATTGAAGAACAGACCAGCATATGTGGATGGAAGGCACACACCTGGTGGAAAGAAGGAGCTTAGAGGGAAATTAGTTTGCCATTAGAGAATAGCTGTCATAGGACTTTTCATGCAGCACAGTATACCAGACCACCATAAGATTTTTTTTTTTCTCTTTCTGTAGCATCAGTGATTCTCAAAATGTGGTCTCTACACCAACAGCATTGCCATAACCTGGAAGCTTGATAAAAATGCAAGCTTTTGGACGCTAGCCAAGACCTACTGAATCAAACTCGGGCTGGACCCAACAGTCTATGTTGTAACAAGCCCTCTAGGTGATTCTGATGCGTGCTGAAGTTTGAGGACCATTGAATAAGACCATAAGAGCAAGAAACAGTCAAATAGCCTATAAATAGATGCCATCAGGCATGACTTCCTAAAGAGAAAGTAAATGGAAGCCTTTAACATGTGAAATGTAGCAAAACTGGCCAAGTTTTGAAGCTCCAGATGTCCAGGAAAATCTTTAAAAATGAGTTTCAAAGGTATATTCTGGCCAAAAGAAGTCAGGGTGAAATGTAACAATGGTTCCAAAGGTGTAATACTGGTGAAAATGACCCTTAGTTATTCTTAGGAGGTTTTTCCGCCTTATGTCCCCAAAGCTGGATTCCTGAGACTCAAGCCTTACCCTTACCTTACCTTTCCTTGAATTCCAAAGTAAAGTGGAAGGTGGAAGCCAGGCACAGTGGCTCACGCCTGTAATCCCAGCACTATGGGAGGCCAAGGTGGGCAGATCACTTCAGGTCAGGAGTTTGAGACCAGCCTGGCCAACATGGGAAAACCCCATCTCTACCAATAATACAAAAATTAGTTGGGTGTGATGGCGCACGCAGCTCCTTGGGAGGGTGAGGCACAAGAATCGCTTGAACCCAGGAGGCAGAGGTTGCAGTGAGCCGAGATCGCACCACTGCACTCCAGCCTGGGCAACAGAATGAAACTGTCTCAGAAAAAAAAAAAAGTGGAGGGCTGGGAGAGACATGTAAAGAATTCTTGGGACCTATGACATGAACTGCAGTCTCATGCTTTTTATATGCAGGTCATTGTGGGGTGCAGGACTGGCAGGCAGAGCCACTCTGGGAGGAAGTCAAAGGCTGCTTTCTCAGCCCAATGCCCCGTTTGCTGTCACAGTGTGCTGTGAAGATGGATTCCCCACTGCAGTGGGTGTGCTGCTGGCTTGGAAACAGCAGCCTTGGGGTGGCCAGGTTCCCTGGAGTGGAGTGTCCCAATTTCTCTGCACAGTGGAGTGGCTTTTGCCCTCCGTTTTTCTTTATGGGTGGCCACTCATCCTATCCAACTAACTAGGTCCTGTGTCAGGTCAACGATCTTACCCAGATACCAGCCAGATCATCACACATCAGCCATGGGATATTTTTCTCCAAGGCTTTTACTTCCTTAAAATATGATTGCTGATTGAGAAGAGAGAATTTAACAACAGCTTTAATAGCACCTGGCCCTCAATAGACATTTCACTGTGTTTGTTCTGAATGATGACGTAAAACCATTATACAGTAAAATGTGAAAACAGCTTTGATTCAGTAAATCCTGCCCTAGAAAAGACTATTAGAAGAGCCATGAGGCTACCTGTGTCCATGTACCCAAATATTGACCATGGAGCCTCATAAGTACTACTGATATTGATTGCAAACTGAAATCAATGATGTGAAGACAAATATCACAGAGTCACAACAATTCACTGAGGAAATGCTGAGCGTGGGTCAAATGCAGGTCACTGTGAGACATCATGACACATACTCAGGCACAGCTATACATGACAAAGCAAAACAAAGCATTGTCTGGCCACTCCAGCAACTTCTATGATTCAGCAGCTGAAGCAGCAAGGATGGTCTTATTTCCACTGTTTTGATAGAACAGTGGATCACGTGTCTGGCAACACTCGTAGCAACAGCATCTTGTCACACAAAGGAAAATAATACATAGACAATTCCTAGCCACCAGATGTTGGTTTTGAGAATACTACTAGATAGACTTTTTTTAAATAAGCTATATTTTTCTTCTTTTTTTTTTTTTTTTTTTTTTGAGACAGAGTCTTGCTTTGTTACCCAGGCTGGAGTGCAGTGGTGCAATCTTGGCTCACTGCAACCTCCGCCTCCCGGGTTCATGCGATTCTCCCTGCCTCAGCCTCCTGAGTAGCTGGGATTACAGGCACCCACCATCACACCTGGCTAATTTTTGTATTTTTAGTAGAGACGGGGTTTTGCCATGTTGGCCAGGCTGGTCTCGAACTCCTGACCTCAGGTGATCCGCCCGCCTCGGCCTCCAAAAGTGCTGGGATTACAGGCGTGAGCCACCACGCCCATTTTTCTAAGGTTTTACTTACAAATCTGGAAGTGTCTTGTATACCTATATCCTCTTCCTAGTATCTAATAATGTTCTGTATGTTTATACACATCCCCCGTGGCAAGCTACCAAATCTAATTACGTCACTGCTACTCTGTGATTTGCTAGTCAAATTTCATTAGGCTTGAAAGTCTTCAGATCAAAACTAATTTATGGTAATTTTTCAGTTAATAGTTCATGAGATTAGACCACAACACTATGAACCTAGAAACTCTGTAATATAACATTCTTATTTAAAATTATCACTTAAGGGAGTTAGGGTTTTATGACATTTTGATGTTAGTTTCACCATTTTAACTGAACATTTACTATTATCTGGGGACCATTCTAAATATTTTATGTGAACTGACTCATTTGATCTTCCTAATAATCCTATGAGGTGGGAATATTGCCATCCCTATTTTTAGATGATCAAACTAAAATGAGAGGTTAAGTGACTTGCTTATGGTCACACAACTAGTTAGTGGTAAAGCCAGGCAGTCTGGATATAAAGTTTGTGCTTTCTACACTTATATTGCCTCTCCAACTCTCACTGAATCAACTAATTACATTTTATTCTATGAATACAGCTTTTTCTAAGACTCTTTAAAAGATGCTTGGAAAATATTATATGGACTTATGATTTTAAACAATTACAAATCTTACGCATTGATCTGGATGAAATCAGGTTCTACAAAGACAACATTTAATTTTCAAGTTTGAGAAGTAACAATACTTTAGTGTAATAAACAATTTTTTTGACAGTCTAGAAAATTGTGATATAATCAAGAATTGACAAACCATGGTCCCCAGGCCGAATCTGGCCCATTGCCTGTTTTTGTAAATAAAGTTTTATTGGAACGCAGCCATGCTCATTCACTTACATATTACCTATGACTGCTTCCAACACTTCAACAGCAAAGGTGAGCAGCTGCAACAGATGTAGTTCATGAAGCCCACAATATTTATTATCTGGCCCTTCACAGAAAAAGTTTGCCAACCCCAAGATATAGATGTTTAGAAGGCATAGGTTGAGAAATACTCCCAAGGATTGGCCAGCACCTCGTTACAGAGGGGTTAGCAAAATCATGAAAGAATGTAATGAGTTAGTTGAAGCAAATGAAAGGCCAAACCCATTAATAACACACCACTCTTTATGCCTGAAGTAGACTGTTACAATAATGGTCCCCAGTGAATCATGCCTATGGGTATCTGTGTCCTTACATAATCCCTTTGTATATTCACTCTTGATCTTGGCTGTGTGACTTGCTTGGCCCACCAAACATGAAGCCGGGAGAAGCTTGACAAGTGCTTCCTCATTAGAGCTTGCCTTCCTGGATCTTAGCATGGAACGAAGTCTGGAGTCACACTGCAGAAGAGGCCACATGAAGAACTGAGGTGTCCCAGCCAACAGCCCCAGCTAACCACCGGACATGTAAGTGGGGCCGTCCTGAACCATCTAGCCTCAGTCAATCCCCAGATAACTGCAGCAGCATGAGTGACCAGAAGGAGAACCAGCAGCTGAGCTCAGTCCAAACTGCAGACCATGAACAAATACAAAGAGGTGACTTTAAGCCACCAGATTTAGGCACAGTTTTTTTATGCAACACTTGACACAGTGCCCTAGCTGATGGATGTCTGATGAGAAATTAGGAGCATCACCTACAGACAGGAAAATATGTCTAAATATTAAAAATGACCCAAAAAATGATACCCATGAGATAACAAGCAAATACCATTAAGGACCCAGGATTTCCTTTTCTTTAAACTCTTGAAGGAAAGAAAAATAGATTAAATAACAAAAACCTTTGCCTTCCATCTAGGAATGGTTAGGTCCTGTAAATAACCAACTCTCGTGTTTCTCTCTGTGGAATCCTTTTTATCCCTATCTACCCAGACAGAATAGAGTCTCTCACATCCTTGTAGATTTTTCTTTCTGCCTGCTGGATGATTCAAAGGCTGGTAGGGATTTGCTGGTGATATGACTTGGCTGTGTCCCCACCCAAATCTCATCTTGAATTGTAGCTCCCATAATTCCCATGTGTTATGGGAGGGACCCAGTGGGAGATAATTGAATCATGGGGGCGGTTTCCATATTGTTCTCATGGTAGTGAATAAGTCTCATGAGATCTGATGATTTTATAAGGGGTTTCCCTTTTCACTTGACTCTCATTCTCTCTTGCCTGCCACCATGTAAGACGTGCCTTTCACCTTTCACCATGATGTAAGGCTTTCTCAGCCACATGGAACTGTGATTCCATTAAATCTCTTAATCTTTATAAATTACCCAGTCTCAGGTATGTCTTTATCAGCAGTATGAAAATGGACTAATATAGCTGGTATGAGCCAAGTAACTGACAAGCCAGTGACTTTAAGGCAAATTATTATAATAATGAGAAAAGGTTTTGGCTTAAATAGCAGTTGTGGGGTGCAAAGAGGGAGCAGGACATCGTGGAACAAAGCCAAGCCACGGTGCTGACATCCTCGCCAAGAGTCCCAGGCTAACCACAGGACAAGCCTGTTGGCCTTCCTGCTGGAGGAGGAGAAGGCAAGTGAGCCTTGTCCATGGCCAGCAAGGTGTGAGTATGCAGGTGGCGTCCCGAACAGTACAGCAGCACGGGGTCCCTAACACTTCATGCTTTCACTTCATATCAGCACTTCCTCTCTCAACCCAGACCCATGCAGTCATTTCAAAGCAGCTCCCTTGAGGTCCACACTAGCCCATGGTCACCCCAGAAGCTAACAATTGCCCCCAGGTACAGGACTGAGAAGGAAGAGAGAAGTTTAAGGGCAGGGAAAGGAGACGCATGATTTGTGGAACATAAATAATAAAGAGAACCAAAATTTCTACTATATACAGCTACAAAACAAACAGCTACAAAAAAATACAGCTACAAAACGAACTTGGGCCATTTCAGCTTGTAATGCATTTAATGGAGGTAGATGGTGAGGATAGTCAGCCTCTACATTGTAAGCTCATTCATTCAACAAATATTCAAGGCTGGGTGCAGTGGCTCACACCTGCAATCTCAGCACTTTGGGAGGCCAAGGCAGGTGGATCATTTGAGCCCGGGAGTTCAAGACCACCCTGGGCAACATGGTGAAGCCCAGTCTCTACAAAATAAAAGATAAAAAAAATTAGCCGGGCATGGTGGTGTGCACCTTTGGTCTCAGCTACATGGGAGGCCAAGCGGGGAGGATCGCTTGAGCCTGAGAGGCAGAGGTTGCAGTGAGCCAAGACTGCACCACGGCACTCCAGCCTGGGTAACAGACTGAGATTCTGTCTCGAAAAAAAAAAAGAGAGAGAGAAAGAGAAATATCCACGGAGTGTCTAAATGTGTGCCAGGCCCCGTGTGGGCACTATAGATGTTGCAATAAATACAGCATTTCTGACATGACTCCTGCCACGTAGGGCTTATTTCCTAGTAGGAGAGGGGAAAAAATATCTATTTGTAAATAAAATAATTACAAGTCATGATGTATGCTGGAAGGAAACAGACAAACTAGATGGGATGGCAGAGAGGAGCCACCTGCTCTTGGAGTGTAAGTGCCTACGTCTTACTCAGGTGTGTGCCTCTCACAGTGTTTACATTTGAATGCAATGTTGTAGCCTCAGAGAGCTAAGCTCCACGTGGTTAGATCTTTTCCCTATTTCAATTTATGGGGTTGCAACATTGACGCAGGCTGAGTGACAGAAGGGAAGGTGGCAGACAGCAGCAGCACTGGGACCAGAGGAAAGGTTAAGCAAGCCTTCCGGGAATGGCCTGCCCTTGCTAGTGCATCTCCTGCAGGGTGGCCTGAGAAGTGAGGTCCCCAGCCATCTCTCTGTGCTGTGGTGCACTCACTCATCAGGGGCCAGCAGCGGGTCCCCACCCTGATGGGTTCTACTCCAGAGCTCTCTAACTGGACTGCCCTCATGGGACCACATAGGAGACAGAAGCCCAGCTCTCCCAGGTCTCTGCAGCGACCTACTAATACTTCAGATCCAGGAAGAGAGCTGCACCTGCGTTTGGCAATCTTATGGAACAGGAACGTGGTCCCCAGGCTTTATCACACCAAGCAGCTGTGTTTTCCAATATCTCCTCGTCTCCCTAAGCACAGGGGTAATAGGGATTGGTTTTCATTTTTTTCTCACTCCTTCCTTTTCTTTTTGAATGTACCATTGCATAAATCCTGTAGTTCATCTTGTTCTATAGCTATGAGTTTAAATCTCGTTTCATGTCATTGTTAGCAATTCTTTCCATAATGGTAATAATCAATAAAAACCCTAGTTAAAACCTGGACAGCTGCCACCCCTTGACCACAGCCAGGGGAAAAAGTATTGCTGTGGTTTTTGATGGTGCTGAGGAGAACAAGGAATTCCTCTCTGAGGATAACCAAACCAAATGCAGAATGTTTTGGTTGTATGACCCAGGTAGGTTACCCTTTAAAAGTTTAAACTCCTTTATTTCAGAAAGTTGAAAAGGCATAACTTCAAAAGGAAGTGAAGTTTCACTCGTTAAAAATTAGGAAGTTTTTTTAAAAATCACATACCTGTGGCCCAGAACATTCTCATTTGATGAAATTTATTTCCATTTTCCTGAAATAGTCTTGATTTTTATTACGAGAGTCAAATACATTGCTTAATATGCCTGCTAAGTTACAAAGGATTAAACAAAGAGAAAGTATCTTTGTTTATTATTATTTTTCTCTTGCCACAGTTCTTTATTTGGGTTAAGGATTGCCTCGTGTTTCCTGACACATTTTTAGGGAAGGATTTTGTTTAGAGTTTTGCCACGTAGTGAATGAACTTGACAACCTTTTTGCCAAAAATCACATCTGTATTTTGCTCCCACTCTTTCCCTCTGAAGTTGTCTGCTTGTGAACGAGAAAGCACATGTATGCTTTCATAAGGCTGTGGGCTCATTATGTCAAAGGAGATGGTGTGGAAGCAGATTCCAAATACAGGATGCTGGGCCGCAGGAGGTGTGCTTGGGCCGGCCACCGAGGAGGAGCACTTCCTTCCTCCACACTGTGTTATGTTCTCCCCTGCACACATTGAGAGACATCAGTCCTTAGCACACAGACGAACTTGCATCCTGAAAGAACTTGTCCATGTTTCTTGTGCTCACAGTTGGCCAAGTTGTAAAGTGTTTCCCAGAGGCCCAGAGGCCCAGAGATAATTCTAACACCAGTAACTATACCTATATCTCTCTGTATTAGTCTGTTCTCACACTGCTATAACGATACTACCCAAGACTGGATAACTTATAAAGGAAAGAGGTTTAATTGACTCATAGTTCCACATGGCTGGGGAGGCCTCGGGAAACTTACAATCACAGTGGAAAGCGAAGGGGAAGCAAAGACCTTCACAAGGCGGCAGGAGAGAGAAAGAGGAACTGCCAAACCCTCATAAAACATCAGGTCGTGTGAGAACTTACTCCTTATCACAAAAACAGCATGGGGGAAACTGCCCACATGATGCAATCGCTTCCCACCTGGTCCCTCCCTCAACACATGGGGATTACAATTTGAGATGAGATTTGGGTGGGGACGCAAAGACAAACCATATCACCATCCAATGGAAATGAAATATAAAGATTCTCATTATCCCCTGCTTCCCTCTCCTGAGGATGCTTAATGGGTCTAATAAGGTATAAGTAAGACCACCCAGACCTCCACAGAATAATCAAGAGTTTGATGAGCAGCATCAGTGAGCCCGATTTCAACTAGACTTACTGTATTAGTCCGTTCTCATGCTGCTAATAAAGACATACCCAAGACTGGGTAATTTATAAAGGAAAGAGGTTTAATGAACTCACAGTTTCACTTGGCTGGGGAGGCCTCACAATCGTGGTGGAAGATGAAGGAAGAGCAAAGGGATGTCTTACATGGTGGCAGGCAATAGGGCATATGCAGGAGAATGCCCCTTTTTAAAACCATCAGATCTCGTGAGACCTATTCACTATCAGAAGAACAGCACGGGAAAAACCTGCCCCCATGATTCAGTTATCTCCCACCGGGTCCCTCTCATGACACATGGGAATTATGGGAGCTATAATTCAACATAAGATTTGGGTGGGGACCCAGCCAAACCATATCACTTACTAAAGGACTCAAGCATGTTTAAAGATAATCAGGCAAGAAGAAAGCGCTGAGAGCCCTGACATCACATCGATTTTGGAGCACAAAAAGAAAAGGTATGAAATTATTTCAAGATATTTACAGATGAGCAATCTATTTCAAGAAAGCAGTTGTGCTAAGTTTTAGGAGATCTAAAAGCACCCCATTTCCAATCCCAACAAATGAGGGTTTAAGGAGTGTGAAGGCATGAACAAGAATATCCTGGAGACAAGAATGTTAGGCCAGCCTGAAATCATCCTCCTGCATCCCAACTCCTAAGGCATTTTTATCTAATTCTTAAGGAGACAATCCCCACCAAAAAAGCCCATGGCACCCTCAACAAATGTGCATCATATTGTGACAGAAGTCTTGCCCCCACTGGAAAAAAGAAGTTGTGCACAACTAGAAGAGTTTCCAACACAGATGCTCTAAATCAAAACTAGAAATAGCAACCCAAATGCCAGATAGGGAAGCAGGCGACAACTCAAGGGCTCCTCACTGGGCTTAACTACCACCTCCAGGGGAAGATTCCTACATCCACATCTTTCTTGCAAACTCCCCATGCTTAGGCCCTTAACTCCAACTACCTTCTTTTTTTTTTTTTTTTTTTTTTTTTTTTTGAGGTGGAGTCTCACTCTGTCACCCAGGCTGGAGTGCAGTGGCACGATCTCCGCTCACTGCAACCTCTGCCTCCTGGGTTCAAGCGATTCTCCTGCCTCAGCCTCCTGAGTAGCTGGGACTACAGATGCATGTCACCATGCATGGCTAACCTTTTGTATTTTTGGCAGAGACGGGGTTTCACCCTGTTAGCCAGGATGATCTCTATCTCCCGACCTCCTGATCTGCCCACCTCAGCCTCCCAAAGTGCTGGGATTACAGGCGTGAGCCACCGCACACGGCTTCCTCCAACAACCTTCTACATCCAAAGCTAAACTTGCAATCTTCACAGCCCTCCTACTCACACAAAGGAAACATTTATTTCCTTCTAAATGTAATGCTTACTAAATTAATTAATTAAATGTACATCATAGTATCATTCTTTTAATCAGAGATTTAAAACCTGTATTCAACTGTGACTACTCTCTTAGTTTCACCTTCTCCTGCAGGCGTTTCTTTTATAACCCACTCCCACCATGGCCAACCTTACCTCTCCATTCACACTGCTGCCCTATTCCTAGCAGGAAGTCTTTCCCACTCAGTCATCAGCATACTCCATTCAGACTAATCTCACCAACATCCCACTTGCACCAACTTACCCTTGCTATGGGTTGAATTGTGTCCCCAAAAAAAGATGTGTTGAAGTCCTAAGCCCCAGTACCTCAAATGTGATCTTATTTGGAAATAGGGTCATTGCTGAAGTAATTAACAAGATGAGGTCATACTGGAGTAGGGTGAGCTCTTAATCCAATACGACTTGAGTTCTTATCAGAAGTCAATGTGAAGATAGGAAAGACACCATGTAAAGATGGAGGCAGAGACTGCAGCAATGCAACTGCAAGCCAAGGAATGTGAAGGATTGACGGCCACCACCAGAAGCTAGGAAGAGGCAAAGAAGGATTCCACCCAGAGTCTCAGTGAGCGTGGCCCTGCCAACACCTTGATTCCTGACTTCTGGCCTCCAGAACTGTGAGACAATACGGTTCCATTGTATTAAGCCACCCAGGTTGTGGTATTTTGTTATGGCAGCCCCAGAAAACTAACACATCCCGCTTCCTTTCTAAACCTTCAGGGACTGCCTATCCCCCATCATGTCACTTTCAATTCTTTGGCCTGGCTCTGGATGCCCTGCCCTCCCCCATCTCATCCCCTCTTCACAAATGCATCTCCCACTATTTCCTCATGACCTTCTCCAAACTCCAGCCTGCACTTGCCTCTCCCTTCTTCAAAGTCCTGCTGCCTCAGTCTCCACTAAAATGTCTTCCCACCATATCAAGTATGTTTCTTTCTGCCTTCCCTATCAATCAGTCCATACACCTTTTGAAAAATGGGCTATGAATTACTTTTATTTTCAATCTCCCCTGAGTACACAAATACTCTAAAAGTACTCACAGACGACTTGATCCAGTAGCTTTGTACAAACGTTGCCCTTGACCCGGAATACCTGGGTCAACAGCGAACTTCACGCCAGGGACCACTGTTCCAATCTTTGTGTCCCCAGTGCCTAGCTCAGTGTCTGGCATTTCATGGACATCCAATAAAGGTTTTTAATTCATTTAGTTTATTTTTAAAATCCAGTCCCTAGGCATAAGTTCTGGGTCCCTCCCAGGTAACACCATATCTGCCTTCTTTTAAAAAACTTGCTAATGAAAATCCTTCAAGTTATTCAGACAAAGTTTGCTGAAAAGGGGTTGGGGGAGAAATATTATTCTCTTCCTCTCACTAAGAAGTCATTAGGAGGTCCAGGCCCAGAGCCACAGGGAGCCTTATTAGTCCATATGACCCATCCAAAAGGAAAGCCCTCCTCCAAGTGAACAGCTTCCTATTTATTAATACATGACAGGGCTTGTCCTTCACCCCCATCATTACCTGTGCTTCCAGAGCCCTTTGAAAGCATAAATAAATGATAGCTGGCTGGTCTTCTTTCCCCAGCACTTTGTCAGTGCTGAGAATCCTGACAGCTTGCCAAGACATGATTTGCCACTACAAATGCCAAGTGTGAGAGCCCCTGTCCTCTCCTATTCATAGAGACACTTGATAATTCAAAGTGCCAGCTCCTTCCAACAGAGTCAGACAGACTAATGTGCTGTCACTAGTCTCCAGGAAAGAGAGCCACACAGTGTGCTTTTCAAATAGCCCAAGACTTAGCAGGGTGGAGGACCTTTGCTCAGCAGGTAAGCCATTCAGATCCTCAAGGTACCAGTGCCCAGAGAGCCTGCAGGGGCTGCAGCAGGACTCTGGGGCATCAGAATTCAGCAAGGGGAACAGAAGATGGTTAGCATTGTTCCAATTCTGTCATTTGTCCCTTTTCCTCCCACCTCACCTCTTCTTCCTCCATCTCCAAAGGTGGGAATGAGCCTCCCTGATAGAGGTATGGGTATTCCCTTGGTTTTCACCTGGACCCTCAGAATACAAATGCTCTGACCATCCACTGGATGTTGGAGGGTTGGGATGGGGAAAAGGGGTGCAGTGTGGGGGAATCCAACCTTGGAAGGTGGTCAGAAGCCAAAGAAGAAAGGAAGTATAGATTATCAGAAGTTTATAGTTGATCAAATGCACTTGAGAAAGACGAGAAGAGTAGAGATCAATTAAAGGACCAGAATTATAGCAGTAGGTCAAGTCTAGGACAGACTTTTACAGGGAAACTCATTTTGGAAAGTGGATATCGAGGCCTATGTGGGCTCAAAATAAGTAATTGAAGGATTCCCTAGATATTTTTGCCAATATTCTGTCCTCAGCAACTTTCTGACCCAAAATACTCATGCACTTTGCACATTCCCAAAAGAAAGAAGGAAAGAAGGCTACTCTCTGTGTGGGAAATGTAAAAAGGTGGGCTGAAGGGTATATTTCCCCTTAGGGAAGTGTGTAAGATAGAACAGTTGCGGATAATTACCCACTTCCTCTTTAATGTCCCCCTCCTTGCCCCCAAGGCCATGGCTGTCCTCAGCCCTGCACTGCTCCTCTCCTCCTTCACAGGGAACCTACTTCCACTTAGTGTTACATCATCACATCGTCCTATAATCCAGGCATGGTTGCATTTTAACAGGAGACTCCACAACTTTCTAGACTCAGCAGTCCATCTCTGAGGTAGCTGGAGTATATCAGGGTGACTTGGCTTTGATCACATAAGTTTATAGGAGACCCAGAATTCTAGGCACTGTATGACAGGTGGAAGCAAAAACAAAAACAAAAAAACTTAGAGGGGGAAAATGTTCCTTGATCAATGGCACCCCAGTGGCTATGAGCACACCCAGCACCCTGATCTTGGTTTCTGAACATCATTCTCCAGTAAAAGAACCAAGGCTCCTTGAAGGAGTGGTTAATTCTAGGTCTGGACAGGAAAACTGCAATGTGATCCTGGAGTATCTTGCGCCCAAAAGTAAGGAAATGCTCAAAAATGGATGAGACCCTCTTGAAAGGGCATAAAAACCAACCTGAAAGGGCTCATAAAGGCCAAAGGTAAAACAATTTTCACAATAAAATAAATAACAATAATCCTGAATTATAATACATAGTATTTAAAAAAATTAGGTTGGTGCAAAAGTAATTGTGGTTTTTGAATACATGTATCTATTATGATAGAAATAAGAAAACTGAGTAAGAAAATTAGCAATAAGACATAGCTCTTCCTTACAAAATAATTTCATTTAATAAATATAGAAGAAAGAAATATACAATCACCATTAAAACTCCACAGTAATGGCCATGCATGGTGGCTCACACCTGTAATCCCAGCACTTTGGGAGGCTGAGGTGGGGGTAGATCACTTGAGGTCAGGAATTTGAGACCAGCCTGTCCAACATGGTGAAACCTCATCTCTACTAAAAATACAAAAATTAGCTAGGTGTGGTGGCACACACGTGTAGTCCAAGCTACTCAGGAGGCTGAGGCACAAGACTTGTTTGAACCTGGGAGGCAGAGGTTGCAGTGAGCTGAGATTGTGCCACTGCACTCCAGCCTGGGCAAAAAAAAAAAAAAAAAAAAAAAAAAAAGGACGCCAAAATTCGTGGGCAAAAGTTTGAGGAAAAACAAAATATTTGCATAATCTCAAAGTATCTCCCTCATGATATTTATTGATTACAAAAGGAAACATAATAACTTTACAGTGGAAAAGACCTTCAGACATACCTTCACCCAGTGATCAAGGAAAAAGCACTGGCAATGAGACCTGTCAACATCATGTACCCCTGGCATAATGCTCTGAGAAAGACACATCACTTCTGAGATATTCTTGCCAAAAATACACAACTACAATCGAATCTTGAAAAACAGCAGACAAACCCAAATTGAAGGATAGTCTGCAGAACACCTGACCACTACTCTTCAAAAGTGTCAAGGCCATGAAAGATAAGGAAAGACCTAGGAGCTGTCACAGATTGAAGGAGATGAGGAGACATGACAGCCAAATGCAACATTGGAGCTGGATTGAATCCTGTGACAGACAAAGGACATGAATGGGAAAACAGGTCAATTCCAAAGAAAGTCTATAGTTGAGTTACTAATATTGTACCAATGATAATTTCTTGGTTTTGACCATTGTACTATGGTTCCAGAAGATGCTGTTCACATTAGGGCAGCCAGGTGAAAGGTATAGGAAAATGCTTTGTGCTGTTTTGGTTTTGGGGAATTTTTGGTTTTGTTTTCTTTTGTTTTTTGTTTTTTTTAAGTCTTGCTCTGTTGCCCGGGCTGGAGTGCAATAGCTCAATCTCAGCTCACTGCAACCTCTGCCTCCTGGTTCAAGTGATTCTTCTGCCTCAGCCTCCCAAGTAGCTGGGATTACAGGTACATGCCACCATGCCTGGCTCATTTTTGTATTTTTTGTAGAGATGGGGTTTCACCATGTTGGCCAGGCTGGTCTTGAACTCCTGACCTCAGGTGATCCACCCCCGCCTCGGCCTCCTAAAGTGCTGGGATTACAGGCATGAGCCACCACACCCAGCTGCTTTGTGCCGTTTTGCAACTTTTCTCAAAGTCTAAGATTATTCCAAAATAAAAAGTGTTTTTAAATGTCCCTTCATATCACATTCCCTGAAATAGTGGTGAGAGTAGAGAAATAAGTCATCAACAATGCTTTCATTTTGTCCCAGAAGTTGGGAAGATTCAAAGTAAAGAACAGATGTAAAAGCTGGTTTCATGGAGACAGATGTGGAATACAGGGTCTGCAACAAGACAGATGGGGGGCTGGCCTATTTCCAGGCATCCAGATCAGAGGCAGGCAAAGTGCCTTTATTTTAAGACTGTCAGCTGTTTCTGTCCACAAAAGAGAAAGAGAGAACTCGGCTTCAACACAAACAGCTCAATGGACATCTACCACTGGCCGCGCTCCCTCCCAGCTGGTGGATTCTGTGGCTCTGAAAGCTTTGTGGCTAATTATTGTAGGGATTAGCACCCAACAGTCTGGGCAGCCCAGATAATTCCTTTTATTTAGAAAACTCTGCCATAAAATGAATGGCTACCTCCCATCAACACTGCCCCACTTTCCCAGCTACCTTTAACCTTTTCTGTAAGCATTTTTGTTGTTTTTATTACACAAAAGTTTTGGTGAACATTTACATTTTTTCAGGCATAAATGAGCCCCAAAAGACAGAAAATAACTCTGATAAGAATGGAATACTAGCCACATGGTAGGCCTTCAATACAGAGTTTGCTGATTTGACTGGTGTGCCCTTTCTATGGACTCCTTCCAGGAAGCTTTTCTATGCTTAGACTGTGGTCTTTGTAGCCATAATCTCTCTTATGCACAGTGGCCAGGATATAATAGAAATGGTAGGGCTGAAGGGTAGCTGTAAAAGTTTCTAATGACGTCATTTTTATTGTAATGACTCCTCTATACAAGAAGCATAGTGAAACCTGGATGAAGAGTAAAAAGGAATAATAATAACAGATTCTGAGTGTTTACTATATGCCACGTAGGAAACCCTCCAAACAATGGTAGCAAGTGGGAACTATCATGATCTCCAGCTGTCAGTTGGCTGGTACATGCCACAGCCTAGCTGCAAACCCAGGCAACTGGACTGGAGTCTGTGTGCTTCACATCATGCTCTGATACTTTCTTCCCCATTCCTCTGTTCTGGTCCAGCTTTACTGTGGGACTTTGGGCAAATCTTGAACCTTCTCTGGACTCCTGATTACCAGCCTAAAATACAGGGATAATAATAATCCCATTTTTCCTACTTCAAAGAGTCATTACACAAGAGAACATTTACAAAAGTTGAACATACAGTAGATCACAAAAGAAGTTTCCTAAAATGTCAGAAACGCTATAGACAGATCACATTTTTGGCCATAATGCAATTAAGTCCAAAAGCAGCTATTAAAAGAGAGTTGAATTTTTTTAACTTAATGTGGCCATAAATAAGTCTGGGTTAAAAAAAATTAGGTGTCTTTAAAACAACGAATTGGTTTTTTAAAAACACAATATATGTCCACAAAATCTGATCCCTAAACTGCAGTGGGTGCAGCTGAGAAGCAGCCTATTTTTTTACTTTAGGACTCCCAAAGATCTGAACATTGTAGGAACCAGAAACTTATGGAAGTGAGGATGGAGAAAGGTCTGAAAATAAAAGGAGTGGTTGTGTTACAGGAAAGGGGTCCAGATCCAGACCCCCAAGAGAGGGTTCTTGAATCTTTTGCAAGAAAGAATTCAGAGCAGGTCCACAGTACAAAGCAAAAGCAAGTTTATTTAGAAAGTGAAGGAATAAAAGAATGGCTACTCCATAGGCAGAGCAGCCCCAAGGGCTGCTGCTTGCCCATTTTTGTGGTTAATTCTTGATGATATGCTAAACAAGGGGTGGATTATTCATGCCTCCCCTTTTTAGACCATATAGGGGAACTTCCTCACGTTGCCATGGCATTTGTAAACTGTCATGGTGCTGGTGGGAGTGTAGCAGTGAGGACGACCAGAAGTCACTCTCGTGGCCACCTTGGTTTTGGTGGGTTTTGGCCAGCTTCTTTACTACGGCCTGTTTTATCAGCAAGGTCTTTATGACCTGTATTTTGTGCCAACCTCCTATCTCATCCTGTGACTTAGAATACCTTAACTGTCTGGAAATGCAGCCTGGTAGGTCTCAGCCTCATTTTACCCAGCTCCTATTCAAGATGGAGTTGCTCTGGTTAAGCACTTTTGACAGTTGGAAATTCATCCTGGAAACACTTCGACCTCAAGGTGCCTTTCCCCTCTGTACAACCAGGTGACTGCTCCTCTCCCTCTCTCCAGAGGCAGCCTGGAAGTGTATTTTCTGGAACAAGTAAGGCAGAGGCCTCTGGGCCAGGGATCACCAGGCTTGAGTGAAGGTGTTAGTCACGCTGAAAACAGCAGATTCAGTAGAAACTTGTTCTAAAGGTTGAGCCCTCTCTCCTCCCAGCCTCTTCCTCTCACTGCCTCTCAAAACACCAGTAGACAGGTTTGTGTGCTTCAGGCAAGCCATTGAAAGAGGTTTCACTGGGGCATCTCAGTCTAAAGGTTCTGAAATCCAGGATTCCCTAAGGAAGTGGCCCAGCCAGAACTCACAGTGGCCCTCACATTCAGTAATTCCTACCTCAGGGCTTCCATTCACTTTTTTTTCCCCATTGTAGTAAAATATATAAAACATAAAATATGCCGTTTTAGCCATTTTTAAGTTTACAGTTCAGTGGCATTAAGTATATCCACAATGTTATATAACCATCACCACTATCTATTTCTGCAACTTTTTCATTACCCCAAACAGAAACTGTACCCATTAAGCAATCACTGCTTCATCTCTTCTCCCCCAAGCCCCTAGTAACTTCTGAATCTGCTTTCTGTCTCCATGAATCTGCTTTCTGTCTCCATGAATCTGCCTATTCTAGATACATCATGTAAGCAGAATCATACACTACTTTTCCTTTTGTGCCTAGCTTATTTCACTTAGCATAATGTTTTCCAGATTTATCTACACTGTAGCTGATATCAGACTTGCATTTCTGGCCAGGCACGGTGGCTGATGCCTATAATCCCAGCACTCTGGGAAGCCGAGAACGGTGAATCACTTGAGCTCAGGAGTTCAAGACCAGTCTGGACAACATGGTGGAAACCTGTATCTATAACAACAACAAAAATACAAAAATTAGCTAGGTGTAGAGGCACACCTCATGAGTAGTCCCAGCTACTCATGGGGCTGAGTTGGGAGGATTGCCTGAGCCCAGGAGTTCCAGCCTGGGCAACATAGTGAGACCCCCATCTCTACAAAAAAAAATTAGCTGGGCATGGTGGGGTGCACCTATAGTCCTAGCTACTCAAGAGGCTGAGGTGGGAGGATCGCTTGAGCCAGGGAGGTCGAGGTTGCCAAGAGCTATGATCACATCACTGCACTCCAGTCTGGGTGACAGACCCTGTTTCAAAAAAAATTTGCATTTCTTTGATGGCTAAATAATATTCCATTTTATATAGATAATATATTTTGTTTATCCATTCATCAGTTGATGGACATTTGAGTTGTCTCTACCTTTAGACTATTGTGAATAATGCTGTTATGAACATTGACATACAAATATCTGAGTCCCTGTCTTCAGTTATTTTGTATATTCTAATCTTTTTTTTTTTTTTTTTTTTTTTGAGATGGAGTCTCGCTCTGTCTTCCAGGCTAGAGTGCAATGGTGTGATCTCGGCTCACTGCAATCTCCACCTGCCTGGTTTAAGTGAGTCTCCCTGCCTCAGCCTCCTGAGTAGCTGAGATTATAGGCACCCACCACCACACCTGGCTAATTTTTGTATTTTTAGTAGAGATGGGGTTTCACCATGTTGGTCAGGCTGGTCTTGAACTCCTGACCTTAGGTGATCTGCCTGCCTCAGCCTCCCAAAGTGCTGGAATTACAGGTGTGAGCCACCACACCTGGCCCTAATCACTTTTTAATTCCTCACAGTCATGAAGTGACAGCAAAGGATCACCAGACACTTAAGGAAAGCATATTTTATATATATATATATATATATATATATATATATATATATATATATCCTAAGAAAGATACAAAGAAGATATTGTCTAGGAAATAAGAATACTATGCTCTAAAAAAGAATTTTCACAAAACAGAAAAATGAACAATTCTTAGAAAATAAATGTATAAGAGAAAAATTAAAAGCTCAGTAAATAAAAGTGTTAAAAGGTTGAGGAAAATCACCCAGAAAATAAAAAGTAAGACAAACAGATGAAAAACAGGAGGGAAAAGAGAAAAAAGTAGAGAAACTGAAGATGAGAGCTAGCATCTGAAGAAACAGGAGGGAAAAGAGAAAAAAGTAGAGAAACTGAAGATGAGAGCTAGCATCTGAAGAAACAGGAGCTCTGCAGATAACAGAGAAACAGAAAACAATAAGAACAGAAAATCATCATAAAATTAATATTAATAACAGAAAATAAATTATTATTATACTCCAGAAAATGTCCCAGAGCTGGTGCATATGAGAAATGGCTCACTGAGTCTACAGCACAAAGGCTGAAAGGAGGTCCACGCCAAGGCACCTCACCATGAAACTTCGGAGCCCTGAGAACAAGCAGAAGACCCTGCTGGCTTCCCGAGAGAGGAGAACAAAATTACTGATAAAGAGTCAGGGGTCCGGGTGACTTCTGACTTCTCCCCAGCAACTCTGGAAACTGGAAGACAGTGGAGCAATGTCTTCAAAATTCCTAGGGACGATGATTTCCAACCTAGAAATCTCTACTATTATTAAAGGCACTTGTACTCCATGAAGCCAAATGTGATATTTCACTGGAGCCACTTTTCTAATACTTCAGTCATTCCCATATTACCATCAGGATTTTTGCCATAACCGCAGAGCCCTTGTTTTTGTTTGTTTTGTTTGTTTTGTTTTGTTTTGTTTTTTGAGACAGGGTCTCGCTCTGTCACCCAGGCTAGAGTGCAGTGGCACGATCTCAGCTCACTGCAGCTTCTGCCCCTGGACTCAATCTATCCTCCCACCTCAGCCTTCCAAGTAGCTGGGACAGCCAGTGTGTGCCACCATGCCTGGCTATTTTTTTGTATTTTTAGTAGAGATGGGGTTTCGCCATCTTGTCCAGGCTGGTCTTGAAGTCCTGAGCTCAAGTGATCCATCTGTCTCAGCCTCCCAAAGTGCTGGGATTACAGGTGTGAGTCACTGTGCCCAGCCTATTATTTTTTAATATTTTTTCTTAAATTGAGTCACTGTTTTTAATTAAATAAATTATGGAATTTATTATGGAAAATCAGCTATTATTTGTGATCGATAAGAAGTAACTGAAAAGATAAAGTGAAAAAATAAATAAATAAAACAATGATCTCAAGTTCCTGGTGGCCCCTGCTGCTTCCCAAAACTCTGAGCTCACAGCCTGCTTTCTCTGTATTATGCAGGAAGATTAGCAAGGATAAGAGAGGTGTTAAAGACCAGCACTGCCTGATATGCCTTTTGATGTCATCAAAAAGATGGAATGAGATTTGAAAGGACTAATTGTGTGAGTCAACGTTACATAATGCCGCCTCAGTGCACCTCCTACACCCCCACACCCCCGGTCATTCCACCAGCTCCTCGGCTTGGAAACTCTGCACTGTAAGGACACACAGAGGCCATGTCCCACTCTCTAATGAGTCTTAGGGATAACATGGTGGCCTGTGCCTATGTAGAGAAAAGCACTAGGCAGCTGGAGACCTCACCAGGCCAACAACTAAGACCAGACATGAACACTAAACCCTGTTTTGATTTTTTAAACCTGCCCATCTCTGCTCTTCAAAGATGGGCAGGTTTAAAACCTTAAACCTTTCTGCAGAAGGGCAGGTTTCCTCTTGTGGGCCCAGAATGGGACTTACTTCAACCAATCCCCATCTGCATCTCCAAGTTTACGTCCATCATCCCAGTATGCCACCCCACAGTGTGGCCTCTGCAGGCCCTCTCCCTGCAGGGTTGGGTTACATGTAAATGGTAGCTTCATGGCCCTCTCTAGGGCTCTAGCAACATTTGTGGTTTTCCTCTGTGTTAACACAACCCCTGTGGCTGGCCTCCAGAAACCAAAGACTTGCTAGACCCTGGCCGAGATGTGCAACTTCATAAATATTAATCCTGCACGGAGTATATTCTCTGGTGAGACTAAGCCAGGTGTTAGACTCGAAGACTCTCTGTTGCTTGCATTGTGTGCCCTCCATGACTCACTCCAACAATGATACTGGTAAGAGCAAATTCTGGTGGCCAAGAGGCCAAGGAGGGCTTCCAGGAGATGTGGTCATGTTAAGACAACAAGAAACCAAAAAATTATTCCTGGCCTCATAATAATAACCGCCTCAGCTAAAGATTTAACTTGGAGACCTAAAAGGGGGTTGTCTTAGGGGTCTGTAATTTGGATTTTTTTTTCTGTTGGAGAAAAACGTTGGAGAACCCCAGGGCTCATACTTAGATAATCTCTTATCTTTTCTATTTACTCTCTCTCCCTTGTCACCTCATCCAGTCTCATGGTTTAAATAACATCTACATGCCAATGGTGCCCAAATTTATATCTTTATACCTGAACCTCTCACCTAAAATCCAGACTTAAATATTCGCCTGTTTAGTCAATATCTCCAGTTGGAATTTCAATAAACATCTCAAACTTGACATGTCCCAACCTGAGCTCCTGATCTTCCCCCCAAACCCTCCTTCTCCTCCAGTCTTGCCATCTCCATAAATAGCTACTCCTTATTTTCATGTATTTGCTCAGGCCAAAACCCCAGCAGCCATCCTTGACTTTTTCTCTCACACCAACCCCGTCTGATCCAGTAGCAAATCCTATCAGTTCTACCTCCAAAATGCATCTAGAAACACACCCTTCTCACCAGCCCACTGCCACCACCCTGATCCATTGCAGCCGCCTCTATTTCTGCCCTTGCCCCATTTGGTCTCTTTCAATGCAGCAGCCAGGGGGACACTGTAAGTTAGACCTTGTCACTCTCTGGCTTCTATATGACCTGTTCTTTGTTGCCTCTATGCCAACTTTTCCCACTGCTCGTTTCCTTTCTCTTGTGGCTCCAGCCACACAGCTTCCTGTTTGTGAACCAAGCCAGGCATGCTCCCACCTCAGGGCCTTTGCACCTGCCGTTCCCTTTTCCTGGAATGCTCTTCCCTCAGAGAGTCACATACTGGCTCCCTCACTTCGTTCAGGCCTTTACTCAAAGGTGATACATCAGCAAAGCCTTCCCTTGCCACATGTATGGGCTGAATTGCTGAATTGTGTCCCCTCCTCCAAACTCATATGTTGAATTCCTAACCTCCAGTGCTGCAGAAAGTCACTGTATTTAGAGACAGGGTCTTTAAAGAGGTAATTAAAGTTAATTACCTTAATTAATGAGGTCATATGGGTGGGCCCTACTCCATTATGGCTGGTGTCCCTAAAAGAAGAGATCATTAGCACCAGACAGGCCTAGAAGAAGGACCATGAGAAGACAGCCATCTACAAACCAAGGAGAGAAATCTCAAAAGAGACTGACCCTGTCTATACCTTGATTTCACATTCTGGCCTCTATAATTGTGAGGCAATGAATTTTGTTTGTTTGTTTGTTTGTTTGTTTGTTTTGTTTTTTGAGATGGAATTTTGCTCTTGTCGCCCAGGCTGGAATGCAATGGTGTGATCTCGGTTCACTGCAACCTCTACCTCCCAGGTTCAAGCGATTCTCCTGCCTCAGCCTCCCGAGTGACTGGGATTACAGGCTTGTGTCACCATGCCTGACTAATTTTGTATTTTTAGTAGAGACAGGGTTTCTCCATGTTGGTCAGGCTGGTCTCGAACTCCTGACCTCAAGTGATCTGCCCACCTTGGCCTCCCAAAGTGCTGGGATTACGGCGTGAGCCACCAAGCCCAGGGAATTTCTTTTTTTGATTATTTGTTTTTTGAGATGGAATTTCGCTCTTGTCGCTCAGGCCGGAGTGCAATAGCACGATCTCGGCTCACTGCAACCTCCGCCTCCCAGGTTCAAGTAATTCTCCTGCCTCAGCCTGGGGGCTACAGGCACGTGCCACCACACCCGGCTAAATTTGGATTTTTAGTAGAGACGAGATTTTACCATTTTGACCAGCCTGGTCTCAAACTCCTGACCACAGGTGATCCACCTGCCTCGGCCTCCCAAAGTGCTGGGATTACAGGCATGAGCCACCTCGCTCCTGGCAATGAATTTCTGTTGTTTCAGCCACCAGTCTGTGGTATTTTTTTATGGAAACATGAGCAGACTAATCCACCACCCCACATATACTTTCAAATGCCCTTACAACATTTTATATTCCTCTTCCCTGCTTTATTTTTTCTCTCCAGCATTTGTCTATCTTATTTATTTTTGTTCTGCCACCTAGACTGGAGTGCAGTTGCATGATTATAGCTTACTGCAGCCTCCAGCTTCTGGGCTCAAGTGATCCTCCTGCCTCAGCCTCCTGAGTAGCTGGGACTACAGGTGCATGCCACCAGACATGGCTAATTAAAAAAAAAAAAAAGTGTGTAGAGATAGGGTTTTGCAGTGTTACCCAGGTTGGTCTCAAACTTCTGGGCTCAAGTGATCCTCCCACCTCAGCCTCCCAAAGTGCAGGGATTGCAGGGGTGAGCCACTGCACCAGGCCCTGTCATTTTTAATATACTATCACATTTTCTTAATTAGTGTATTTTATGTTTTTGCCATTAGAATATGGTAACTCCAGGAAAGTGGAGATTTTTGGCTGTTTATTTCATTGCTGCATCCCCCAAATTCGAGCAAAACCTGGCACCTAGCAGGCATTCTGATGAATGTATTATCATTGCTCCCTGCACCCTGTGCCCGTAAGCTTGTGTTTGCCATGTGCACGCGTGTCTAGGCAGTGCTGGGCACCTTGGCCATGCATCATGCAAGGTGGGATAAACTTCACTTTCTAGAAGATGGGCCTTTTAGACTGAACATTAAAGTAGAAGACAGCAATGGCTTGGTGGGGAGGATGAGGCACATTTCATGCAAATAATTATTGACATAGAAATAACAGCTTGGGCTCTGGATTCTGATGGGAACAGGCAACGTCGACTGAGAGTTTGCTCCAATGTGTCATATGCTGGACTGCCATACACGACATTCTCTCATTTAATCCTCCCAATCGCCTAATGTGGGAAATACTACTACTACTACTACTACTACTACTAGTAGTAGTAGTAGTAGTAGTAGTAGTAGTAGTATTCCCTTTTACCCAGAAAGAGGCAGGCTCAGCAAGAAAAGGTAAATAGCAAATCCAAGGTCACATATCTAAGAAACAGCCAAGTCAAATACTAAACTGGAGCTCATTTGGGATCAAAGCCACTGTGCCTAACCACTACTCCAGAAAGATGAAACTTATCATTAAGGGGTCTTATCACAATCTGGGATAGTCAGACCCCTCCCTCTTTGGGCTGTCCTGGGGTATTCTGCTCTGATGAACTCTTTTGTTCTTCCCAACCCAATAAGGAGAAGCTGACTTCAACTCTGGGAACTGTGGCCTCCCATTCTGTCTTCCTCCCCAGCCTCTACTCTGAGCTCCAAGGCCAGGTGGCAGTGTTGATGCTGCCCATCCTCATCCACCAGCAGGCAAGGGCTGGGGCACCCTAGCCCTGAAGTCTAGAGCTGCCATCATGTCCCAAGAGTGTGCCAAGCACTCTGGGCCAACACCCAGCCCTGTGGAGTCTGGCTGGGGACCAGGAATAAATGCATTTATGGGACTTCACAGTGGCTCTGGAGGAGAAGGCCACTGCAGTCACTTTGAAACAGTGTTTGGTTGGCTAAACCCAAGTGTCATCATGAGGGGTGCCAATCATCAAAACAAAGGCAGCTTTTCAGAGCTAGTGAGGTCTGTCATTTGACACCTCCTATGTGCTGGTCAACGGTGAGAAGGAGCTGTGGCTCAGTGCAGGAAGCAATGCAGGAGCACCAAATGTGCATCATCTCCGCTGTCTCCTACAATTTAAAAGGAACTACGGTTTGGCGAGGGTCTATGATGTGCCTACAGTTTGGTGAGGGTCTATGATTTTCCTGTGCTTTGTCCACACCCTTCATCTTCAGAACCACGTGAGGTCGGAATTGATAGTCTCACTTTGCAAATGAGAAAACGTTGGCTCAGAGAGTTGCACATGGCAAGACTCAGCTTCAACCTGAGTGTTTCCCAAGCTCAGACATGAACCTTCCCCTACACAAATGGGCCTTATGGGAAGAGAAGAGTTATTTAATTCTGGGAGAAATGCATATCCCAGGAAAGTACAGTTGACCCTTGAACAGCATGTGTTTGAACTGTGCAGGTCCATTTTATATGCTGATTTCTTTCAATAAACATATTAGAAACATTTTTGGAGATTTGTGACAATGTTTTAAAACTTGCAAATGAACCATGTAGCCTAGAAATATCAAAAAACTAAGAAAAAGTTAAATATATTCATGAATATATATATAAAACATATATAGATATTAGTCTGTTTTATCATTTACTACCATAAAATAGATACAATCTATTATAAAAAGTAAAAATTATCAAAACATATGTATACACTTACATACTGTACATGGTATTCTTTGCAGTCAAGAGAAATGTAAACAAATGTAAAGATGCAGTATTTTTTCTTTTTTTTTTTTCTTTTAAACAGATATGAGGTCTCCCTATGTTGCCCAGGCTGGTCTCGAACTCCTGAGCTCAAGAGATCCTCCTGCCTCAGCCTCCTGAAGTGCTGTATTAAATCATAATTGCATAAAATTCACTGTGGTACATACTATACTACTGTAATAATTTTGTAACCACTTTCTCTGTTGCCATTGCAGTGAGCTCCAGTGCTGTGAATCTCTGCTTAAAGCACCATATGACATTCACCTGTAATCCCAGCACTTCGAAAGGCCAAGGCGGGAGGATCAATTGAGCAGCCTGGGCAACATAGGGAGACCTCATCTCTACAAAAAATAAAAATAAATTAGCCAGGTATGGTGGTGCATGCCTGGGGTCCCAGCCACTACTCAGGTGGTTGAGTTGAGAGGATTGCTTGAGCCAGGGAATTTGAGGCTGCAGCGAGTGGTGATCACACCACTGCACTCCAGCCTGGGTGACAGAGTGAGACCCTCTCTCTAAAAAAAAAAAAAAAAAAATCCACCATGTTACACTCATCATCTCCATGTGAGCAGTTCCTTCTATCAGTAGATTGCTGGTCACAGGCCACAGTGATCTTTTGTGGCTTTCATGTATATTTCATCATGTTTAGTGCAATCCCATAAACCTTGAATAACACGATGGGACCCATATGGAGTGCCACTACTGATGCTGGAAATGCTCCCAAGAAGCAGAAAAAAGTCATGACATTACAAGAAAAAGTTGCATTGCTTGATATGCACTGTAGATTGAGGTCTGAGGTCTGCAGCTGTGGTTGCCCCGACTTCAGACAGATGATTTGTCGTGTAAACAGACCATGTAAACTTACAGCGTCAATAAATACATTTCAGTACTGTAAATGTATTTTCTTTTCCTTACGATTTTCTAAATAACAATCTCTTTTCTTTAGCTTACTTTGTTGTCAGAATACCGTATATGATGCATATAACATACAAAATATCTGTTAATTGACTGTTTATGTTATCTGTAAGGCTTCCAGCCAACAGTAGGCTATTAGCAGTTAAGTTTTGGGGGCATCAGAAGTTATATGTGGATTTTCAACTGTGCAGGGGTTAGCAGCCCTAACCCCACATTGTTCAACGCTCAACTGTAATGTGTTTCAAACCAGACATGTCCACAGTGCAATCCAAGTTACCAAAATAGCAATAACAACAAGTTTCCTACCTAGAAAAAAGGAGTTTATGTTGGAGAGCTCTGACTCGGAGCAGAAGACTGGCTGGGTCGGGGGTGCAGAGGTGGAGCCCTGCCATCGTGTCAAGAAAACTTTCCCACCTAGAAAGCTGCTCCTATTATCTTCCCTGCACTCAACAGGTCTTTTTGTTGTTTTGTTTTGTTTTGCTTTTGTTTTTGTTTTTAAGGCTGTTTAAGACCTTTATGACTGCAAAAGTTGATGCAAAGTTCTGATGTTAGAATAACCTTTGTTCTGTTGAGGAATTGGGGAACCTGGTGCCTAACTGCTGCAGCTGCTGGTAGGATTTGGATCATTATAGGAATGAACACGCCTGGAGGAGATCGGAAGCAGTTACCAAAGTTGGACTTTCCCTATGTCATGAGCCTGGCTGTTTAGGCCTCTCCATGCCACCCACACACAGAATCACATTGGCATCTCAGTTAATGCTACGAACCAGAGCCTCCCATCTGTGAAATGGGAATAATATAGGAATCTCCAGATGGGAAGATCCTTTGGCAGCAACCTGGTTTGTCCCCTGCTCCAGGGGCCACCAATGCTCTCCACGTTCTTGCAGATGGTGTCCCAGCTCTTACATAAGCACTTCCTGGAATCTAAATATCCCACAGAGAAATTCTTCCTTCTGCCTGATTTCAATTCCTCCAGGGAAATTCCAGCTCATTTTGTTCTCCATAAAATAGAAAACCCTTTTCACAAAAGATTTGAGTATATTCAAACATTACAAAGTCAAGAAAGGAAGGTTTATAAAATATTCACACATAACCTTACCAGCCTACCTTTTCATTTTTCTTTATCCCCTTCCAAATATAAGCCATATGTATAAATATTTGCAACACTTATAATCCTAACGTAGACACCATTTTGTAGCGTTCCTCTTCTCATTAAAAAGCTTCTTCACACACAAGCTAATTTACATCTCCGTCATTCAGGCAAATCGTCCTCACTGCCATCCTTCCTGTACAGGTTATTCCAGGACTCCTCACCCATGCTCCGGAAAATGCAGAATGGGTGCTTTTGTGTGGGGGATGTGATGATAAACTTGATGTGACAACTTGACTGGCCACAGGGTGCCCAGATTAAGCATTGCTTCTGGGTGTGTCTGTGAGGGTGTTTCTGGATGGGATTAGCATTTGGATCAGTGGACTCCATAAAGCAGATTGCCCTCTCCTATGTGGATGGACGTTTTCCAATCTGTTGAGGGCCTGAATAGAACAAATGGTGGAGGGAGCAGGAATTCACCCCCTCTTTCTAGCCTCACTACTTGAGCTGGGACATATCATCTTCTCTCTGGACCTCAGACTGGGATCTATACCATCTGCTCCCCTTGTTCTCAGGCCTTCACGCCTGTACTGAATTACACCACTGTCTTTCCTGGGCCTCCAGCTTGCAGATGGCAGATGGCAGACTGTGGGACTTCTCAGCCTCCATAGTCCCATGAGCCAATTTCTCACGACAAATTTCCTTATATATATATATATAGATAAGGAAATATATATATATTTACTATATATATGGAAATATATATATATTTGCACTATATATGGAAATATATATTTCCTATATATAGGAAATATATGAATATATAAAATATACAAATATAAATGTCCTATATATAGGAAATTTATACTATATACAATTACAGGAAAAATTTAGGTATAGTATAAATTTGTTTATATATAGTATAAATTTATATTTTTATATAGTATTAAATTTATTTTTATATAGTATAAATATGTATTTCCTATATATAGTATATAAGTATATATTTACTATATATGTAAGGAAATATATATTTATTATGTATCTATAAGGAAATATATTTATTATATATCTATAAGGAAATACATAAATATATATTTATTATACCTATAAGGAAATATATATATATTCTTTTTTTTTTTTTTTTGAGATAGTGTCTCACTCTGTCGCCCAGGCTGGAGTGAAGTGGCACAATCTTTGCTCAATGCAACCTCTGCTTCCCAGATTCAAGTGATACTCCTGCCTCAGCCTCCTGAGTAGCTGGGATTACAGGCACCCGCCACACCCAGCTAACTTTTGTATTTTTAGTAGAGACGGAGTTTCACCATGTTGGCCAGGCTGGTCTCAAACTCCTGACCTCGTGATCTGCTCGCCTTGGCCTCCCAAAGTGCTGAGATTAGAGGCATCATCCACCATGCCTGGCCTGAAATATATATATTCTTATATAGAGAGGAAATATATATATTTCCTTACATATATAGTAAAATATATATACTGTATATAGGAAATATATATATTTACTATATATCTATAAGGAAATACCTATAATATATATTTACTATATATCTATAAGGAAATACCTATAAATATATATTTACTATATATCTATAAGGAAATACCTATAAATATATATTTACTATATATCTATAAGGAAATACCTATAAATATATATTTACTATATATCTATAAGGAAATACCTATAAATATATATTTACTATATATCTATAAGGAAATACCTATAAATATATATTTACTATATATCTATAAGGAAATACATACAAATATATATTTACTATATATCTATAAGGAAATACATACAAATATGTATTTACTATATATCTATAAGGAAAATATATAAATATATATTTACTATATATAAGGAACTATATATAAATATATTTTTACTATATATCTATAAGGAACTATATAAATATATATTTATATATCTATAAGGAAATATATATAAATATATCTTTACTGTATAAGGAAATATATATAAATATATCTTTACTGTATAAGGAAATACATATAAATATATCTTTACTGTATAAGGAAATATATGTAAATATATCTTTACTGTATAAGGAAATATATGTAAATATATCTTTACTGTATAAGGAAATATATAGTTTTACTATATATAAGGAAATTTTTTATATGTCATGAGAAATATATTCATATATATATACAAATATATATTTGACACACACAGAAATATATATTTGTATGTATATATGAATATATTTCTCATGACATATAAAACAATTTCCATATATAGTAAAAATACACACACACACACCCCCCGACACAATGTTTAATCTGGGCAACCCATGGTCAATGTGTATGTATATATATTCCATGTATGTGTGTGTGTGTGTATATATATATATATATATGTGTGTGTATATATATATAAACATATATATGTATGTATGTGATATGGTTTGGCTCTGTGTTCCCACCCAAATCTCATCTTGAATTGTAACTTCCAGGTGTTGAGGGAGGCACCTGGTGGGAGGTGATTGGATCATGGAGGCAGTTTCTCCCCTGCTGTTCTCATGATAAGTGAGTGAATTCTCATGAGATCTGACGGTGGGAGTTTTTTCCTATACTCTCACTTCTCTCTCCTGCTGCCTTGTGAAGAAGGTGCCAACTTCCCCTTCGGCCATGGTTGTAAGTTTCCTGAGACCTTCCCAGCCGTAGGGTACGGTGAGTCAATGAACCTCTTTCCTTTATAATTAACCAGTCTCAGGGAAGTTCTTTATAGCAGTGTGAACACAGACTAATACATTATGTATGCATATATGTGTGTGTGTGTGTGTGTGTGTGTGTGTGTATATATATTATATATATATATATATATGGAGTGTGTGTATACATACAAATATACTTTCATACATACATACATACGTGTGTGTGTCTGTATGCATTGTACTGGTTCTATTTCTCTGGAGAATTTTGATCCCAAATGAACTCCAGTTTAATATTTGACTTGGCTGTTTCTTAGATATGTGACCTTGGGTTTGCTCTTTACCTTCCCTCACTGAGCCTGGCTCTTTCTGGGGGCATGTGTCTGTCTACTAAGAAAATGGGATAATTGAGCCAGTTCACCTAGTCTTGTCATAGCTCTCTTGAGCCCAACAACATTCACTTACGAGATAGACACTTTGGGTTTGTCAATGATTTTTTACTTTTGGGCCTTTGTTCCTGCTCCTTGCCTCCTCATCAACCTAGATGTGGACCCATAATTCACCTGGTTAGTTTCTAGTATGCCCTGACCATGAACACTAGTGGCCACTTCATGCTGTCCTGGGAAGAAGACAAAGAACTTCAGGGCTATACACTATACTAGGATTCCTGCCCAGTCTTCACCAAAACATTCATATCAGCACTTGGCATCTGAACACCAAGCTTTGTCTTGATATTATAGATCTGCTAAGCTCTGGGTCTATTGACATTTTAACTTTGCTAAGGGCTGGGCCTCATCTGATGCTGGTGTCTCCCTTATGAGACAGAATATATTCAGAACATCTTCCTACTTGAAGTTCTTAGAATGAAACAGTACACACCTCATGGCCAAGGGATGAGATTATTCTCAGTATAACTCACTCACTACTCCAAACTTAAACCTATGACCTTCCATTATGCTTTCAATTGTGGTTAAACAAAAATAAAATATGAATGTCTCTCTGAACATATCCTGGGAACTAAATGATTTTTTTTTACAAAGGTAGGAAAATTAGGGTAGTAGTCATCAGAAATAGCAACAAGAGATGAATGCGTACCTGCAGGAAAGAAGTGCCAGCCCACAATTTAAAATTGATTTCAGGGAATGAGCCCAAAACTAAATAGGAGAGACTACACTGAAGGTAATATTAAGCCCTACCCCACTCCCAGACCTTCTTATATCTGGCACATGGAAAAGACTCTACCTCTCTACTTGGAATAATTCTTATTGGCAATCCAATGTCTGAGTGTCATTGCGTGCCCTTTTCCAAGCATACAGGAATGGTATGATGACTTCCTGGCAGAAGGCCCCGGAGAGTTGTCAGACATCCTGACAAATGGGAATCACTCCTATTCTCGGTGTTTGGTCACACATGTCAGTGCTAACCTTCTGCAATTTTCTGATGTTCATCCTAAATTTCCCCATAACCAGGCATAGAGCCAAGATAATGGGAAAGCATCCCTGCCCTTTGCTGTATAAGTCCTGTTCTTTTTAGAATAACATACAACGAGGCTTTTTCACCAAGGTGTGCTGGAGACAGCTCATCCCAGCTTGCAAGAGCTGACTGATAAATTTTCAGAAATTTTGTGAGCAGGTTAACATCATCTTGAGAGCTTGAAGTCAGCCATGATGAGATTATTTACACCACAAAAATTCGCAAATATTACAAATCAGCACTGGTGGTTAAGCATTTACCAGCACACTACCACTGGCTACTGAATCCCTGGAATTTTTTAGGTACTCAGAGAGGGTCAGAGCTCGACTTAATTCACTTTTTAATTCTCCCTAGGGAAAAAAAAAAAAAAAAAAAAACAGGAAAAACAGAAATAAAGAGCCCCTAAAATGTTGGGATTAGAGGGGATGCTAGAGGCCATCTAGTGAAAACACTGTGGACAAGAGAGGTGACAAGAACGTAATGCTAACGAGTATGGACAAAGAGAACGAGATCCAGAACCCTATTTCCAGCCACTGCTCTCTGCAACATCCCACACGGACTCTACAAAAACAACAGCAAAAGAGAATAATTGTTTTCACTCCACTGTCCCTGCAGTAAATTTTCCCATTTTAAAAATGAAATATTTGATTTATTTTTTTTTTTTTTTTTTTTTTTTTTTTTGAGATAGAGTCTTGTTCTGTCACCCAGCTAGAATGCAGTGGCGAGATCTTGGCTCCCTGCAACCTCTGCCTCCCAGGTTCAAGCAATTCTCGTGCCTCAGCCTCCTGAGTAGCTGGGACTACAGGTGTGTGCCACCACACCTGGCTAATTTTTTTATTTTTAGTAGAGACAGGGTTTCACCATGTCAAGCAATCTGCCCACCTCAGCCTCCAAAGTGCTAGGATTACAGGCGTGAGCCACCGCGACCGGCATGAAACATTTGATTTTCACCATGCATTTCCTCAACCTGAGAAGCAGGCAGCTCAATAATTTCCCATAGGTTTTACAGAAAAAGAGCCACTTCTTGCTTCTCTGAAGATTTCTAGGGAGGGAGTGAGAGCTGTTCTCAGCAAGGTGGATTATCTGCCTTCAGGTGACGGGACTATTGAGGTTTCTGGAGGCTTTAAGGGGTTTATGTGAAGGAGAAACCTCTGAGCTCAAGCAGCAGTGAATTCCGAGTACCTAAGATGCTGAGAAGTTAAGGTCCCTGCCTGTTTACTACAAGCTGACCGGGCACAGCTGTCCTTGGGCTCTGGTGTTGACACCCATGCCTGAGGGACAATGAGTGACCAGGCGGACTGAAGCCTGTAATGCACATCAGAATTCCTGCACCTGAGATTCCTAAATCTTCATCACCCTGGAAGGCTCTGGGAAACTGGGTAGGGAGTGGACTGTTAGTCCCATTTTGTGGTTTGTTCAGATAAGATACAACTTGTCCACGTTTATAAGAAAGGTAAGTTAAGCCAGCACTTTGAGAGGCCAAGGCAGGTGGATCGCTTGAGGTCAGGAGTTTGAGACAGCCTGGGCAACATGGCAAAACCTTGTGTCTACTAAAAACACAAAAATTAGCTGGGTGTGGTGGCACACGCCTGTAATTCCAGCTACTCAGGAGGCTGAGGCAGGAGAATCGCTTGAGCCCAGGAAGCAGATGTTGTAGTGAACCAAGATTGTCCCACTGCACTCCAGCCTGGGCAACAGAGTGAGACTCTATCTCAAAAGAGAGAGAAAGAGAGAGAAACTGAAAACTTCTGACCTTACAGATTTATTTAGGCAAAAAAAAAAAAAAACAAAAAACAAAAAAAAAACAAAGTTGAGAGCATCTCCCAGAATAACAGTGAAGTGTTAATGAGCTAATTAGCACTTGTGCATGGTTTGCTAATAGGTCCTATGGGAACAGAGAACCTTTGGTATGGAAAAGTTTATTCTTGACATAATTAGAGTATTAACTATTCAAAGGAAAAACTTAGATGTTGGATTATATGAGTGACTTTACTAAAAATTACAATGTATTCTATAAGAAAAAAATTTGAGTTAATTGAGTACATTTGAGTTAATCGAGTCTGAAATCCCTGATGTGCTTAGTTCCCATCCTAGAAGTGAATGTAACCACTGATCGTATGTTACTTTTTTTTTTTTTTTTTTTTTTTTTTTTTGAGACGGAGTCTCGCTCTTTCGCCCAGGCTGGAGTGCAGTGGCGCTATCTCGGCTCACTGCACGCTCCGCCTCCCGGGTTCACTCTATTCTCCTGCCTCAGCCTCCTGAGTAGCTGGGACCGGGCGCGGTGGCTCACGCCTGTAATCCCAGCACTTTGGGAGGCTGAGGCGGGCGGATCACGAGGTCAGGAGATCGAGACCATCCTGGCTAACACGGTGAAACCCTGTCTCTATTAAAAACGTATGTTACTTTAAACAGGAGTCAACAGTCATGCAGTGGCAGACACTTTTGAATGTGTCCATAGCATCTAGTAGGATGTAGCTAACTTCAGTAAAGCTAATTTTGATTTGTATTTATTGTGGCAAAAGGGAAACACTGTTGAGCTCTGAGGAGTCTGGATTGGTTTGCTGGCTCTTTTCAATTCCAGGTTTGATGAGTGCCTGCTGTATGTCAGGAAACAAGCCAGCTTCTCAAACTACAAGATGTATATGAGTCTCCCAGGGATCTGGCTGCTAAAATTCAGATTCCAGTTCACTAGATCTGGAGTGAGGTCTGAGCTTTGGCATTTCAAACAAACTCTCAGACAATGCCTGTGCTGCTGGCTCAAGGACTAAACTTTAAGCACCAAGGAGCTAAGCACTAGAAATAAAATGATGAACAAGACCACGTCTTCACATCATAGGAGCTTATCAACACATACGCAGGCGATTGCAATATGATGTTAGTGCTATGATAGAGGTACCAAAGGCACAGGATGCTGGGACACACACACACACAAAAGAGGCATCTAACAGCCGGGGAGGGAGGGGTCCCAAGGAAGTATTCCGGAGAGAAAAGCAGAAACCCATCAGGGATGGCCTTGTCTCTTTGGCTATAGAGTTTAGCATTTAATTGATAAGCAGGAAGGAAGTACTGAGGGTTACTGTTGAATGGTAGAGTATGGCTTGAGCTGCATTTAGAAAATCACTCTAGAGCTACTAATGGAGGTTGGAGGGAGACTTTCTTGATGCTTTCCTTATCAGGACCTGTTGATTCTACACCCAAATTCTCTTCCAATTCTATTAATATCACTTCTTGCCATCTCCTATGCTGCCCCCTTAAGCCCTGCCACCATCATTTCTTACTTGAATAATGTAATCATCTCCTAACTGGTTCCCCAACTTCTAATCTTGCTCCTACAACATATTTTCCATGCAGCAACCAGAGTGATCTGTTTTTAAGGTAGATCAAATCACATCCTTCTCCTGATGAAAACCCTTCAATGGCTCCCCAAGATACTCTAAATTTCCAAATCTATCCATAGCCTATAAAGCTCGACATGATCCTTCCTCCTCTTAAACTATTCTTCCCTTGAGACTGTCCAGCCACAACAGCCTAGTACCTGTTCTTTTTTATTTTATTTTGAGACGGAGTCTTGCTCTGTCACCCAGGCTGGAGTGCAGTGGCGCAATCTCGGCTCACTGCAAGCTCTACCTCCCGGGTTCACGCCATTCTCCTGCCTCAGCCTCCCAAGTAGCTGGGACTACAGGCGGCCACCACCACGTCTGGCTAATTTTTTGTATTTTAAATAGAGACAGGGTTTCACCGTGTTAGCCAGGATGGTCTCGATCTCCTAACCTCGTGATCCACCCACCTTGGCCTCCCAAAGTGCTGGGATTACAGGCATGAGCCACCACACCCCGCCAGTACCTGTTCTTTAAGTACATCAACGTGAACTTGCCTCAGAACCTGCCTCTACTTGCTGTTCTTCCTACCCACAATGCTCTTCCTTCAGATCTTCTAAGACTGGCTCTTTTTCATCATCATTCAGGTCTCTGCTGAGATGTTACCAGCTCAGACAACTCTACTCTGAATATCCAAATTTAATCCACCCCTTCAGTTACCTTCTATCCCATTATCTTGTCTTTCAATTGGTATCTGGAATTTTCTTGTTTAATGTGTTATTTAGACACTTATACACACACACACACACTCACCTATTATCACAGTATATGCTCAGTGACAGCAGAAACTGTCTCTTTTGTTCACTGCTATTTCCCTAACCCCCAGAACAATGCGTATGGTAGATGCTCTGTAAGTATTTGTTGAATGAATGGGTTTGTTGGAGGTAAGATGGGTGCCAGGGAAACCTAGTAGAAGCTTTAGAAGTCATCCATGCAAGAATAGAGAAAGTCTAAACTAGGGTTTTGGTAACAGAGATGGGGAGGTAATTGGTTGAGAAATATTTAGGAGGTAGCATCAATAGGACTTGGTAATTGAAAAAAGAGGGAGCATGTGAATGAAAGAAGAAATAAAGATGACTTCTCTCTTGCACATCTAATGAATAGTGGTGCTACTAAGTTAGATGGAGAATCCAAGTAGAAACTAATGAAATCAATTATGGATATGATACATTTGAGGTTCTTCTGGAACATCTAGATGGAGATGGATATATGGGTCTGGAGCTTGGAAGAGATGTCTGTACTTACATAAATTGGGAGTTGGTATCCAGCTAGTAATTGCTCAGAAAGAATACACATAAGAAGAAGATAAGTACACAACAGACAAAACCTCGAGGTACGCCAACAATTAGAAGATTGGTGAAGGAAGTGGAGCCCACAAAGGAATAGTCAAATAGAGATGAGGAGAACCAGAACATTTTTCGATGCGTCAGAGAAGCCAAGGGAACATAAAAGTTCGAAGGAGGCAGGAGTGATTAATGGTGTTAAATTTAGCAGAGAGATCAAGGAAGATAATGAACAGAAAGTGCCTATTGGATTTGGCAATTAGGTGCTCATAGGCTCCTAACATTCAGTAGAACTGTGTAGGCGGAAGTCAAATTTCAGAGTAATGAAGATGGAATTGGAGGTGAAGAGATTATTTTTAAAAAATTCTTTTTTGAGACAGAGTCTCGCTCTCTCACCCAGGCTGGAGTGCAGTGGCAAGATCTTGGCTCGCTGCAACCTCTGCCTCCTGGGTTCAAGCAATTCTCCTGCCTCAGCCTCCTGAGTAGCTGGGACTACAGGCATGTGCCACCACACCCGGCTAATTTTTGTATTTTTAGTAGAGACAGGGTTTCACCGTGTTAGCCAGGATGGTCTTGATCTCCTGACCTCAGGATCCACCCGCCTCGGCCTCCTAAAGTGGTAGGATTACAGGTGTGAGCCACCGCACCTGGCTGAAAAATAATTCTTTCAAGAAGTTTGAATGAGAATAGAAGGAGAAAGAACAGCAACTGAAGAAGTCATAATAAGGTTTTTGGGGGGGATTTTTTAATGATGGAAGTAACTCAATTACTGTATGTTTGTGCGCTAAGAATAAAAAGTCAGTAAAGACCAGGAGGTTGCATATAGGAGAGGAGAGATAAGTGATGGAGGAAGATCAAGAGAAATGGGAAAGGAGGATAGAGGATGGGACTTAGGACACAGTTGGTGGTATCAGCCTTCAGCAGAGACAGGGATACTTTATGCCCTGAGTTAAGAGAGAAAGAAAAGGTGAAGCAAGATAGGTAAATGACATTAAATAAATATAATGACTTCTAGTTTCTCAATAAAATAGGCAATAGGAAGGCAGTTTAGATTTTTTACCATAAGAAGCAACAGAACAAATGAGAGTCAAGAAGTCGTGTCCTGGCAGCCTGAGCATAGTGTCCTGGAATAAGCGGACTGGAGGCAGGAAGACCCAGGAGGAGTTTCTTCCAGCCAGGCATGACCAGCAATAAAGAAGAATCAAGACGACTCATAATGTTTCGGGGGAGGCAGAGTGCAGCACCTCATCACCCTCCCACTGGGGCATATACGCCAAACCTCAGAGATATTGTGGGTTTGGTTCCAGACCACTGCAATAAAGTTAATATTGCAATAAAATGAGTCACACAAATTTATTATTTTCCCAGTGCATATAAAACTTATGTTTATAATATACTGTAGTCTATTAAGCATGCAATAACATTATGGCTAAAAACTGACAATAGACATACTTTAATTTTTAAAATACTTTATTGCTAAAATATGCTAACGATCATCCGAGCCTTCAGCAAGTCATAGTCTTTTTGCTGGTGAGGGATCTTGCCTTGATATTGATGGCTGCTGACTGATCAGGGTGGTGATATTGACTGATTCAGGTTGCTGAAGGTAGGGGTGGCTGTAGCAATTTCTTAAGATAAGACAATAATGAAGTTTGCCACATCAGTGGACTCTTCACAAAAGATTTATCTACAGCATTCAATGTTGTTTGATAGGATTTTACCCACAGTAAAACTTCTTTCAAAATTGGAGTGAATCCTCTCAAACCCTCCACTGCCTTATCAAATAAGTGCATGTAATAATCTAAATCCTTTGTTGTCATTAAAATACTCATGGCATCTTCACCAGGAGTAGATTTTATCTGTAGAAACCACTTTCTTTGCTTATCCATAAAAAGCAACTCCTCATATGTTCACATTTGATCATGAGATTGCAGCAACTGAGTCACATCTTTGGGCTCCAATTCTAATTCCAGTTCTCCTGTTATTTCTACTACATCTGCAGTTACTTCCTCCACTGAAGTCTTGAACCCCTCAAAGTCATCCATGAGCATTGGAATCAACTTCTTCCAAACTCCTGCCAGTGTTGACATTTTGTCCTCCTCCCATGAATCATGAATGTTCTTAATGGCATCTGGTATGGTGAATCCTTTTCAGAAGGTTTTCGATTTCCTTTGCCCAGATCCATCAGAGGAATCACTATCTATAGCAGCTATAGCCTTATGAAATTTATTTCTTGAAGAGTAAGACTCAAAAATCAAAATTACTCTCCTTGATCCATGGGTTGCGGATTGGATGTTGTGTTAGCAGACACAAAGATGACATTCATCTCCTTGGACATCTCCACCGGAGCTCTTGGATGACTAGGTGCATTGTCAGTGAGCGTTGTCTGTAATATTTTGAAAGGAATTGTTTTTCTGAGCAGTAGTTCTCAACAGTGGGTTTAAAACATTCAGTAAGCCATGCTATAAACAGATGTGCTGTCACACAGGCTTTGTTGTTTTGTTTTAGAGCACAGGCAGAGTAGATTTAGCATGACCCTTAAGAACGCTGGGATTTTTCCAGATGGTAAATGAGCATTGGCTTCCACTTAAAGTCACCAGCTGCATTAGCCCCTAACAAGAGAGTCAACCTGTCCTTTGAAACTTTGAAGCCAGGCATTGACTTCTCTCTACCTATGAAAGTCCTAGATGACATCTTATTCCAACAGAAGGCTGTTTCATCTGCACTGAAAATCTGTTGTTTTGTGTAGCCACCATAATCAATTATCTTCTTTTTTGTTGTTACAATGCTCAAATTTACTTATTTATTTAAGGATTTTTGTTGGGTTTTTTTTTCCAACTTTTATTTTAGACATAGGGCATACATGTGCAGGTTTGTTACATGAATGGGTATATTGTACCCAGGAATCAGCATAGTACCCAATAGGTAGTTTTTCAGCCCATGCCCCCTTCTCTCCCTCCTGCCTCTAGTAGTCAGCAGTGTTTATTGTTTCCATGTTTATGTCCATGGGTGCTCAATGTTTAGCTACCACTTATAAGTGAGAATGTGTGGTATTTAGTTTTCTGTTCCTGGGTTAATTCACTTAGGATTATGGCCTCCAACTCCATCCGTGTTGCTGTAAAGGACATGATTTCATTCTTTTTTATGGCAGCACATCATCAGTTATCTTAGATTTTCTGGATGACTTGCTGCAGTTTTTATATCAGCACTTGCTGTCTCACCTGGCACTTTGATGTTATGGAAATGGCTACTTTCCTTAAACCTCATGAACCGACCTCTGCTAACTTCAACCCTTTGTTCTGCAACTTCCCCACCTCTCTTAGTCTTCATAGAATTGGAAAGAGAGAGTTTTGCTCTGGATTAGGTTTTGGCTTAAGGGAATGTTGTGGCTGGTTTGATCTTCTATCTACTAAAACTTTCCACGACAGCAATAATGCTGTTTTGCTTTCTTATCATTTGTGTATTCATTGGAATCGCACTTTTAATTTCCTTCAAAAGCTTTTCCTTTGCATTGAAAACTTGGCTAACTGTTTTGCACAAGAGGCCTAGCTTTCAACCTATTTCAGCTTTCAACATGCCTTTCTCACTAAGCTTAGTCATTTCTAGTTTTGATTTAAAGTGAGAGACCTGTGACTCTTTGTTTCACTTGAACACTTAGTGGTCATTTTAGGGTGATTGATTGGCCTAGTTTCAATATTGTTGTATCTCAGGAAATAGGGAGGCCCAAGGAGAGGGAGAGAGATGGGGGAACGGCTGGTCAGTGGAAGTGTCAGAACACACACAACATTGATCTGTTAAGTTGCCATCTTAAGTGTGTATGGTTCATGGTGCCCCAAAACAATTACAATAGTAACATCAAAGATCACTGGTCACTGATATAATAATAATGCAAAAGTTTGAAACGTTGTGAGAATTATCAGAATGTGACACAGAGACAAAGTGAGCACATGCTGTTGTAAAACTGGCATCAATAGACTTGCTCAATGCAGGGTTGCCACAAACCTCGAATTCGTATTAAAAAAAAAAACAATATCTGTAAAGCACAAAAAAAAAAAAAAGGTATGCCTGTACAGCATTATAACATGAAGACTTGAAATTCATACCAGACACAAAATAACCATTGACTTTACATCCTACCCTATCTGCTTCTTCCCTTATCTATTCAAATGTCTCTGAGTAGAGGTATGTGGAGAAAAGAGTTAATATGGCGGGGCGCAGTGGCTCACGCCTGTGATCCCAGCACTTTGGGAGGCCGGGGGGGTGGATCACGAGGTCAGGAGATTGAGACCATCCTGGCCAACATGGTGAAACCCCTTCTTTACTAAAAATACAAAAATTAGCTGGGTATGGTGGCACGTGCCTGTAATCCCAGCTACTCAGGAGGCTGAGGCACGAGAATCGCTTGAACCCAGGAGGCGGAGATTGCAGTGAGCCGAGATCGCGCCATTGCACTCCAGCCTGGCTACAGAGTGAGACTCCATGAAAAAAAAAAAAAGAACAAGGAAAAAAGAAAGAAAAGAAAAGAGTAGAGTTAACATATCTGACCTGAGACTGCTACCCTTGGAAAGGTCTGCTTGCAAGGTTGGTGTCTTGAAACTTGACACTCAAACAGTTCCTTAAATGATAAGGATGGTTTATAGTACCTGCCCGTGCAAATAATGTGGTTTATGCTAAACACCTGCTTTCCTTCTAGGAGCCTGGAATTTTGGTGTGAGCCATGCAATAGGCGCCTATGTGACCAGCCTCCAACAAAAAACCTCGGGAGTCTCCAGAACTCCCTGGGCAGAACATCACACACATGTTGCTGCATTTTCATTGATGGGTTAAGAGTGAGCTCTATGAGACCCCTCGTAGGAGGGAGAGAGAATAAGGAAATCCGGATGAGATTCCTCTAGAATCTGCATGGGGATTCCTTCAGGGCTGCCTCTTTTTCCCTTACAATTGGATGTGTACCCTTATTACATTATTTCAATAAATCTCAATTATACACTGAGCCCCGTGAGTGCTTCTAACACATCTCTGAACATGGGGGCTTTGTGGACCCGACACAGGGTCTGTCCCTGCCTCCCACTGTGGTGTCCCCTCCCACTTACTCTGCCAACAAATGCAATCCAGCTCCCATCCACACCACTTCACTGACACAGTGTTTACCATGGATGTCTCTGCCAAACAACATCACATGAGTTGTAAATGTCAGGGTACTGTAGCTACGTCACGCATATCAGAATGGCTTTCCAACCCTCTGGATCGTGTGCTTTCAGGTGTGATTCAAAACACGTCTCAATCAGTTTCTTCAGAAAACCAGACAGCCAGTACTGAAGATCAGGCCCACTACCTAAAGGCTAAAATGTAGCTGTCATGACTTCAATGAATGCTAGCTAATGGATCCAAACCCTACAACAGGAGCCAGCGGGCTGTAGCCAAAATCAGCCCAGTGCCTGTTCAAGTAAAGTTTTATTGGAACAGAGCCATGTCCATTTGTTACTTAGTGTCCATGGCTACTTAATCTCTACAACAACAAGGTTGAGTAGTTTCAAAGGAGAAGAGTCCCAATGGCCCCAAAGCCTAGAACGCTTACTAACTGGCCCTTTACAGAAAATGCTAGCTGACCTTGCCTTAGATGGACAGATTAAAGTTCTGCAGAATAAGAAGAGAAAAAGAGGATGAAAGAGACAGGCATTATTCATTCTACACGTTTGCCTCCACCTGGATTTTGAGCCTTATTTCCACATTTTCTGGGTTGTCTGGCTCAAAAAATGTAACCTTAAGAGAGGAAGTCACAGGAAATTAGAAGCCCTTTTCTCTGCTTGGTAAAAAGCTCTTGCTCAAACACTATGAACTGCCACATATTATTCATTCAGTAAATGTCTACAGAGCAGCAACTCCATGTGAGGCACTGTGCTGAGTAATCTGGCAAAGCACAGAGATAAACCAGACATGATACCTGCACTCCAGGGGCTCCCAATCCAGGATGTGAGCACTTTGCGGGCAGCAGCCATGGTCTGTTCATGCTCGTGCCCCTGGTGCAGAACTCTCAGTGTACCTGTACTAAGTAGGAGCCAATAACTGCGTGCTTCTCTCTGCACTGATGAAATGGGAAAGCCACAAGAGTGGCTCTTAACCTCTAGTCTTTTTTTTTGCTTTGCTTTTATTTTTTAAATTGACAAATAATAATTGCACATATCCATGGGGTACAGTGATGTATTAATACATGTAATGTATGGTGATAAGGTAAGGGTAATTAGTATATCACCTCAAACATTTATCATTTTTTTCTGTTGGAAACCTTTAGTATCTCTTGTAGCCACTGGAAAATATATACCATGTTATTGTTATTATTATTATTATTACTATTATTATTTGAGATGGAGTCTCACTCTGTCGCCCAGGCTGGAGTACAGGGGTGCGATCTCGTCTCACTGCAACCTCCGCCTCCCGGGTTCAAGCAATTCTCCTGCCTCAGCCTCCCGAGTAGCTGGGATTACAGGCATGTGTCACCACACCCGGCTGATTTTTATATTTTTAGTAAAGACTGGGTTTCACCATGTTGGCCAGGCTGGTTTCAAACTCCTGATCTCAGGTGATCCGCCCGCCTTGGCCTCCCAAAGTGCTGGGATTACAGGCGTGAGCCACTGTGCCTGGCCTCCTATGTTATTATTAACTCCAGTCATCCTACAGTGCTATAGAACACAGAACCCATTCCTCCCGTCTAGCTGTAATTTTGTATCCTTCAACAAATGTCTCCCTATCTCTCCTTTCCCAACCCTCCCCAGTCTCTGGTATCCTCTGTTCTACTTTTTCTTCTGTGGGATCCCCTTTTTTTAGCTTCCACATATGAGTGAGAACATGGGTCTAACCTCTAGCCTTAACCTAGGTCAGTTATTCAAAATCCATTGTATACAAACATATCCTCAGGTTGAATAAGATGTGTTTTTAAAAAAGTTTTCAACTTTTGTATTATTTATTTTATTTTATTTTATTTTGAGATAAGAGTCTTGCTCTGTAGCCCAGGCTAGAGGGCAGTAGTGTGATCTTGGCTCACTTTAACCTCCGCCTTCCAGGTTCAAGCAACTCTCCTGCCTCAGCCTCCCAAGTAGCTGGGCCTACAGACATGTGCCACCACACCCAGCTAATTTTTTGTATTTTTGTAGAGACGGGGTCTCACTATATTGGCCAGGCTGGTCTCAAACTCCTGACCTCAAATGATCTGCCTGCCTTGGCCTCCCAAAGTGCTGGGATTACAGACATGAGCCACCACGCCTGGCCTCAACTTTTATTTTAGATACAAGAAGTCACATGTAGATTTGTTACATGAGAACATTGTGTGATACTGAGATCTGGAGTATAGATCCATCACCCTAATAGTGAGCATAGTACCTGATAGGCAGTTTTTTTACCCCTCACCACTCTGCCTTCACCCTCTAGTACTATACAGTATCAATTGTTCCCACATTTTTATGTCTATGTGTGCTCAATAGTTAGCTCCCATTCATAAGTGAGAACATGTGGTATTTGGTTTTCTGTTCCTGCATTAATTTGTTCAGGATTATGACTCCAGCTTCAACCATGTTGCTGCAAAAGACATGATCTCATTCTTTTTTATGGCTGCATTATATTCCATGGTGTATATGCACCACATTTTTTTTATCCAGTCTACCATTGATGGGCACCCGGGTTGATTCCATGTCTTTGCTATTGTGAATAGTGCAGCAATGAACATACAAGTCCATTTGTCTTTTTGGTAGAATGATTTGTTTTCTTTGGGGTATATACTCAGTATTGGGATTGCTAGGTCAAATGGTAGCTCTGTTTTAAGTTCTTTGAGAAATCTCCAGACTGTTTCCACAGTGGCTGAACTAATTTACATTCCCACCAACAGTATAGAAGTAGTGCCTTTTCTCCACAGCCTCACCAGCATCTATTATTTTTTGACTTTTTAATAATAGCCATTCTGACCAGCATGGGATGGTATCTCATTGTGGTTTTGATTTGCATTTCTTTGATGATTAGTGATGATGAGCATTTTTTATATATTTGTTGACAGCTTGTATGTCTTCTTTTGAGAAGTAACTGTTCATGTCCTTCGTCCATTTTTTAATGGGATTATTTGGTGTTCGCTTGTTGATTTGTTTATGCTCCCTATAGATTCTGGATATTAGGCCTTTGTTGGATGCATAGTTTGTGAATATTTTCTCCCATTCTGTAAGTTGTCTGTTTACTCTGTTGATGGTTTCTTTTGCTGTGCAGAAAGAAGCTTTTTACTTTAATTAGGTCCCACTTGTATTTTTGTTTTTGTTGCAATTGCATTGGGGGACTTAGCCAAAAATTCTTTGCCAAGGCCAATGTCAAGAAGAATATTTCCTAGGTTGTCCTCCAGGATTTCTATAATTTGAGTCTTACATTTTGAGGGTTTTGTCTTTGTTTTTGTTGTTGTTTTTAAAAAGGGCTCTCGCTATGTTGCCCTAGATGGTCTCAAACTCCTGGGCTCAAGCAGTCCTCCCACCTCAGTCTCCCAAATTGCTGGGATTACAGGTGTAAGCCACCAAGCCGGGCCTGAGTTAATTTTTGTATATGGTGAAAGACAGGGTTCCAGCCTTAATCTTCTGCATATGGCTAGCCAGTTATTCCAGCACCATTTATTGAAAAGGGAGTCCTTTGACCATTCCTTGTTTTTGCTGGCCTTGTCAAAGATTAGATGGTCATAGGTATGGCTTTATTTCTGAGTTTTCTATTCTGTTCCATTGGCCTATGTGTTTTTGTAACAGTACAAAGCTGTTTTGGGTACTGTGGCTTTAGGGTATTCTTTGAAGTTAGGTAGTGTGATGCCTCTGGCTTTGTTTTTTTAGCTTAGGATTGCTTTGGCTATTTGGGCTCTTTTTTGGTTCCATATGAATTTTAGAATAGTTTTTTCTAATTCTGTGAGAAATCACATTGATAGTTTGATAGGAGTAGCATTGAATCTGAAAATTGTTTTGGGCAATGTGGCCATTCTTATGATATTGATTCTTTCAATCCATGAGCAAGGAATATTTTTTCCATTTATTTGTGTCATCTCTGATTTCTTTTAGCAGACAAAGCTTTCAGTAAGATGCAACATTCCCTCATGACAAAAAAAAACCTCAACAGGCAAGGCATTGAAGGAACGTACCTCAAAATCGTAAGAGCCATCTATGACAAACCCACAGCCAACATCATACTGAATGGGCAAAAGCTCAAACCATTCCCTTTGAGAACTGGAAGAAGACAAGGATGCCCAGTCTCACCACTCCTATCCAACATAGTACTAGAAGTCCTAGCCAGAGCAATCAGGCAAGAGAAAGAAATAAAAGGCATCCAAATAGGAAAAGAAGTCAAACTATCTTTGCTCATGATATGATTCTATACCTAGAAAATCCTAAAGACTGCCAAAGGGCTCATCGAATTGATAAACAACTTTAATAAAATCTCAAGATACAAAATCAATTTAAAAGATCAGCATTTCTACACACCAGCAATATCCAGGCTGAGAGTGAAATCAAGAACACAATCCCACTTACAATAGCCACAAAGAAAATGAAGTGCCTGGGAATACGGCTAAACAAGGAGGTGAAAGGTCTCTACAAGAAGAAATACAAAACACTGCTGAATAAGATGTCTTATACATAGGTCCTTTTAAAAATACGTTTAATCAGTTTGATTACTAAATGTACTTCCATTTAAAAGCACTACTGAATGCCAAGTACTATGGACTGAATATTTGTGTCCTCCCAAAATTCCTATGTTGTAGGCCTAACCCCTAGAGTGATGGTATTGGAGATGGGGCCTTTGGAAAGTAATTAGGGTTAGATGATGCCACGAGGGCAGGGCCTTGGTCTGATGAGATTAGCACCCTTCTAAGAGGAGACACTGTGTGTTCACTCCTTCGCCCAAAGCCCTCTCTCTTCTCTCTCTCTCTCTGTACCTCTGTATGCACACAAAGAGGAGAAGTCATCATGTGAAGACACAATGAGATCATTGCCACCTACAACCCAGGAAGAAGGCCTCCACCTGAACCCAACCATGCTGACACCCTGATCTCAGACTTCCAGCCCACAAAACTCTGAGAAATAAATCCCTGTTGTTTAAGTCATGCAACCTATGGTATTTTGTTATGGCAGTATTATTTACAGTCCTCAGGGACAGCAGAAAAGTGGGAATTTTAAAGTTGTGATTTATCTACATATTTGATTTTATATACTTGCTGTACTATCATTTATTTGAGTCATTAGCAATTTAGAAAGCTTTGTATAGCATTGTTGTAAATAATGATTTATTGAACACCAATTTTGATTCTGAAAGGAAAGAATTCTAATTTTAAAATATAAAGAAAGAAGAAAGGAACACAATTGGATATACAGAGCTTATAAAATACAGCTCATAAAACTGCTGGTCTTTAAGTTTCTGGGATGTGAGAGAGTCAAAAGTGTATATCAAGTACTACTTTCTCTCATTTCTTGTTAGTTTATAGAAAATGTAATTCCTAAAGCTCTACTAGAACAGGTAAGATTAAGTCAAACTTGCCTAAGATCCAAATATCCTTGAATACCTTCTATAAATCTTCCAGAATAGTTTTCTTTGGAAGAGAGGGATTATCTAGGTCAGAAAAATTAATTTAATCCTCAAAAAATTTAAATGTATTCCATCACCTAAACAGCATATCTGGATTTGGCAAAATGCCTCCTTATCTTGCTAGGGATTCAGTCCATAGAGACAAAATAAAAAATGATTCATACCCATAAGCATTCAGGAGCTGCAGAGAGCTACCACCACAGTAAATCAGTGAAATGTCTATTTCCCACAGCTGGAATGTTATGTCAATGTGAGAAATAAAGCCTTGGCCCCTGGAAATCACTTATTTCTTCTCATCTGAATAATACCAGCTCTGTCCAGGGCTCAGCTTTGTACCTGCCTGGGGAATATGATGCAAATCCCTGGGAGGAAATTTTCCCCACTCCAAGAATCATCTCCAGCCACAGAATGATCCCTGGGGTTTCACTCTTGGAGAGCCTTGGTGATCTGGGCTGGAAGAGATGGAAAGGAGAACAGGTCTGGTCACTCATATGGGCTGGAATCTCCTTGAGAGCTGCCCCCTGACAGCCCATGGCATCTTTGGGCAGCTCTGACTCAAACATTGCCATCTTCATACTGGGCAAAAAAAGTCCCTGTACTTTTCACCCATTGTTCCTATTTCTTCCTCTTGGCACCATGCTATTGAAGAGGTCTTCCCCTTTCCTAAAAGGCATTCCACTTGAGAGTGGAAGGTAGACCTCCCTCTGCTCTTCACTCTTCCCTGAACCAAATGTATCCCATTATGTCTAGGTGCCTCTTAAAGAGAGAAGCCCAGAACTACATGTAAAGACCCCAGGAAGCCTGATCCCCATGGAGTCAGATTGGGATTTACACCTCCTCCTTGGTATGTGTTCATATTAATGAAGCCTGAAATTATACAGCTTCTTAAGGCAGTCACATTGTACCATTAATTCTTTTTACAATTTGCATAGAATAACCTAACCCAATTAAATGTATGATTACATTAAGAAGCAATTCCTTTAGCGTGCAAAGGCCCCTAGAAGAGTTTGCACATAACCTTATAGAGAGAAGCCTGCTTCTGAATTGATTTCTCAAACCTATTTTCCCCTGTCAGCCTTCTGACAGTCAGGTACCAAGACAGCACTTGATCTGCGGGAAGAAGAGGTAGATTTTGTGAGAAATGGGGAAGTCAGGTCTATGGGATACCACACAGGACAGAATGAAGGGAAGGAAAGAAACGACACAAAAATAGGAGGTGGGATGGTGTCAAAGGAAAGCTTTTCTATAGCTTTTCCAGGGTTTAAAATTGCCTGAGCCAGCAAATCCACTCTTTACCCTTTTCCTTGCAGTGAATTTTCTAAGAGCAGAAACGCAGTCACGCAGTCAGCCTTCTCAGATGGAAAAGGGATTGTTCCCATTGGTGTGTTCAGCAACTTCAAATTTCACCCCCTATTCTGGCAGGTTCTAAGCCACTCTATTGTCCCTTTAAGGCTTTTAAAAATGATCTTTACTTTTCCCCTAATCAACCTAGTCATAAACAGCTGCATGACTCCTTAGCCAAGCAATTAATCATGGCAGGGATGGGCATGGCGGGGAGGATGGACAAACCAGAAAAACTGCCTAAGTAGCCTGAACAGCAGCTGTTGCATCACAGACTCCCAGCATTACAGAGTTAGAAGAACATCTGAGTCGCCAAACCACTGACTTTGCATGTTTTTCACGGAACACTAGAAAGACAAGGTGCAGTGAGGTGGGGCGACTTTGCTAGAGTCTGGCAACTAGCTGAATAATCAGAGAAAGGAGGGAAGGAAACGAATATATTCTGAGCACCTCCAGGCACAGGCTGGGTGCTTTCCATGTATTTAACTCTCACACTAACCTTGTGAATATGCATTGTAGTATTCTTTGTATAGGTGTGCTCACAAAAGTTAAGCCCACAGACCTTGTCCAAGGTCACACAGTTAATGGGTACATGAATGAGATTTGAACCACCTCAAAGCCCATCATATTTCAATCTTACTACACAGCCCCCTTAAAGCCACGAGAAATGCATCTGCAGTCATTTGTTCCATTTGCTTCTTGGTTTGTTAAACTTTAACGCCACACGCTGAAACCCACAGATGCAACTATATAATCCTATAGCAATGAGAAATATAAAGAGGCAATGTTAGGAAAAGTCTCCATATCAACAATGTTATAGAGCCTGCAAATAAGTTTGCCTCTCCAAGCTAAACAGTCACCATGGAGTGAGCAGCAAGAGAAAACCAAGAGTTCCATATCATGTCTAGGAGCATCTTTTAACACGTTTGCAAACAAATATATCACTGTGGGTTTGTTGCCCAACTTACATCTCATTTCTGTGCACAGAAAAGATGCAACTTAGCCATGTTTGCTTGGCCAGGTGAAGCCTGGAGGTGTAGGTCACATGGGTGGAAAAACACAAAGAGCCAGAGTGAGCTAAGTTTGGAGAGACGCTGGTATCAGTAGACTAGGGGGTGTTTCATCCCCCAGTGAAAACATGGCTGACAGCCCTCCCCAAGGACAGTCTGGAAAGCACAGGTCAGTAGAGAAGCCTCAGGCGAATTAGTAACTATGAAGCAGTAACCAGTTGATTCTAAATACTTATCCCTACAAGGAAAAAAAAAAAAGCAATTTAGTCAGGCCTTTGACACTTACCGATTTCTAGGGCAAATTTAATGGTACATCTGTCTCCTTGTGATTCTTCCTTACTGAAAAACACTAGGATCTCAAACAGTATGCTCACACTATGATATACCCCCTAGCTCACCTGACAATAGACAAACTATGCAAGAAGAAAAAAACTAGAAATCATAGATTCAAAAATAAGATAAATGTCTCTATGGAGCTGTTGCAATGCAAAGTGATCAGGGCTGAGGACAGAAGATACAGGCTACGAAGCCCAAAAGCAGGAGGGGTGGCAAATGGCTCCGTCTCTCAAAGGAAGGTGTCTCAGTCTCCTTGGGCTGCTGTAACAAAATACCATATAGGTAGCTTAAACATGTATCTCTTCACAGCTATGAAGACTGAAAGTCCCAGATCAAGTCTGGCAGGGGTCAGTGTCTGGTAAGGGCTCTTCCTCTGGCTTGCACACAGCCGCCTTCTGTACCATGTCATCACATGGCCTTTCCTATGCACTCATGCCGGGGTTGAAAGAGAGAACACAAGCTCTCTGCTGTCTCTTTTTATAAGGGCCCCACCATTATGACCTCAATTAATCTTAACTACAAATATAGCCATACTAGGGGTTAGGGCTTCAACATATGAATTTTGGAGGGACACAAACATTCAGCCTATAACAGAAAAAAAATGACCTGTGCTTCACTGTTGGAATCAGGGGCAAGAAGAGGACTTGGGTTCCAGGCTCATGAAAAAAGGCCAAGAAACAAAGGTACCAATCTGCTGCCTGAGATGAAACTAGAGCCTCATGATCAGGAATTAAGCCACTGGTTTGTATCATGCCCAATATTTCCATGGAGTGGGAACCCCAAAATACCATCCTAAGACTTCAACCTGGACTAAGAGCCTGAGAGGTCAGATGAAGGCAGGAGCAAAATCATAAAACTCTAGATATGAAAGCAAAGCGAGCAGAAATAAATACAAACCCTCATTGAAGACGACCCCGTAGGCATCTTAATGAAGATTCTTATTTGTTGCCGCCACTGCTGCTTCCAATCATCTTGAGAAGGGTGATTAGGTAGTGTATTGATTTTCACCCTTATTTTAGAATATGTGCATTTTAATGTTATAATTTATCTTTAAGTCCTTAAACTGCATCCTACAAGTTTTGATCTGTCATATGTTCATTATGATCCAGTTCCATTGTCATTTTCTTTGCTACAGGAATTATTTGTGAGAGTATTTTTGATCTCCAAACATAAGAGATTTTGAGTCTTTTTCTGTTGTCTTTTTTTTTTTTTTTTTTGCTCAATTTATGCTGGATTGCAGAGCATGTTCTATATGATCTCAATCCTTTTAAATATGCTGAGACTTCTTTTAAGGCCCAAGGTAGTCTTAAAAAACAACAGCTCCTATGTTTGAAAACTTAAAATGTACTCTTAAATCAGGCATACGTTGAAGACATAATAATGAAATCATAAAATCTTTTCATATAAACTGCAATGAAAATATTGTATATAAAAACTTCTGAGTGCAGTGTAGGTTGTACTTAGAGAGCAATTCAGAACTTTAAGTACATTCATCAAGATCAAAGCAAATAAGAAAAAGATTGAAAATTAAAAATTAACTCAAAGAGTTAGTAAAAGAATGAGAGAAGAAAGTAAATAAGAACAGAGAATATTAAAATAGAAAATTTCTGAGTGCAGTGTAGGTTGTACTTAGAGAGCAATTTAGAACTTTAAGTACATGCATCCAGATTGAAACAAATAAGAAAAAGATTGAAAATTAAAAATTAAAGAGCAAGTAAAAGAAGGAGAGAAGAAAGTAAATGACAGAGAATATTAAAATAGAGAACAAAGAGACAATTGAGAAGATAAACAATCTAAAAACTGTTCTTTAAAATAAGAAAAATCTCTATCAAAAATGATTTTTAAAAAATTCTGTTTTTTGTAATCCAGCATATAAACAGAACCAAAGACAAAAACCACATGATTATCTCAATAGATGCAGAAAAGGCCTTTGACAAAATTCAACAACCCTTCATGCTAAAAACTCTCAATAAATTAGGGATTGATGGGACGTATCTCAAAATAATAAGAGCTATCTATGACAGACTCACAGCCAATATCATACTGAATGGGCAAAAACTGGAAGCATTCCCTTTGAAAACTGGCACAAGACAGGGATGCCCTCTCTCACCACTCCTATTCAACATAGTGTTGGAAGTTCTGGCCAGGGCAATTAGGCAGGAGAAGGAAATAAAGGGTATTCAACTAGGAAAAGAGGAAGTCAAATTGTCCCTGTTTGCAGACGACATGATTGTATATCTAGAAAACCCCATTGTCTCAGCCCAAAATCTCCTTAAGCTCATAAGCAACTTCAGCAAAGTCTCATGATAGAAAATCAATGTACAAAAATCACAAGCATTCTTACACACCAATAACAGACAAACAGAGAGCCAAATCATGAGTGAACTCTCATTCACAATTGCTTCAAAGAGAATAAAATACCTAGGAATCCAACTTACAAGGGATGTGAAGGACCTCTTCAAGGAGAACTACAAACCAACTTACAAGGGATGTGAAGGACCTCTTCAAGGAGAACTACAAACCACTGCTCAAGGAAATAAAAGAAGATACAAACAAATGGAAGAACATTCCATGCTCATGTGTAGAAAGAATCAATATCATGAAAATGGCCATACTGCCCAAGGTAATTTATAGTTTCAATGCCATCCCCATCAAGGTACCATGACTTTCTTCACAGAATTGGAAAAAACTACCTTAAAGTTCATATGGAACCAAAAAAGAGCCCGCATTGCCAAGTCAATCCTAAGCCAAAAGAACAAAGCTGGAGGCATCACACTACCTGACTTCAAACTACACTACAAGGCTACAGTAACTAAAACAGCATGGTACTGGTACCAAAACAGAGATATAGACCAATGGAACAGAACAGAGCCCTCAGAAATAATGCCACATATCTACAACTATCTGATCTTTGACAAACCTGACAAAAACAAAAAATGGGGGAAGGATTCCTCATTTAATAAATGGTGCTGGGAAAACTGGCTAGCCATATGTAGAAAGCTGAAACTGGATCCCTTCCTTACACCTTATACAAAAATTAATTCAAGATGGATTAAAGACTTAAATGTTAGATGTAAAACCATAAAAACCCTAGAAGAAAACCTAGGCAATACCATTCAGGACATAGGCACGGGCAAGGACTTCATGTCTAAAACACGAAAAGCAATGGCAACAAAAGCCAAAATTGGCAAATGAGATCTAATTAAACTAAACAGCTTCTGCACAGCAAAAGAAACTACCATCAGAGTGAACAGGCAACCTACAGAATGGGAGAAAATTTTGCAATCTACTCATCTGACAAAGGGCTAATATCCAGAATCTACAATGAACTCAAACAAATTTACAAGAAAAAAACAAACAACCCCATCAACAAGTGGGCGAAGGATACGAACAGACACTTCTCAAAAGAAGACATTTATGCAGCCAAAAGACACATGAAAAAGTGCTCATCATCACTGGCCATCAGAGAAATGCAAATCAAAACCACAATGAGATACCATCTTACACCAGTTAGAATGGTGATCATTAAAAAGTCAGGAAACAACAGGTGCTGGAGAGGATGTGGAGAAATAGGAACACTTTTACACTGTTGGTGGGACTGTAAACTAGTTCAACCATTGTGGAAGTCAGTGTGGCGATTCCTCAGGGATCTAGAACTAGAAATACCCTTTGACCCAGCAATCTCATTACTGGGTATATACCCAAAGGATTATAAATCATGCTGCTATAAAGACACATGCACATGTATGTTTATTGCGGCACTATTCACAACAGCAAAGACTTGGAACCAACACAAATGTCCAACAGTGATAGACTGGATTAAGAAAATGTGGCACATATACACCATGGAATACTATGCAGCCAGAAAAAATGATGAGTTCATGTCCTTTGTAGGGACATGGATGAAGCTGGAAACCATCATTCTCAGCAAACTATCACAAGGACAAAAAACCAAACACCGTATGTTCTCACTCATAGGTGGGAATTGAACAATAAGAACACATGGACACAGGAAGGGGGACATCACACACCGGGGCCTGTTGTGGGGTGGGGGGAGCGGGGAGGGATTGCATTAGGAGATATACCTAATGTTAATGACGAGTTAATGGGTGCAGCACACCAACATGGCACATGTATACATATGTAACAAACCTGCACGTTGTGGACATGTACCCTAACACTTAAAGCATAATTTAAAAAAAATTCTGTTTTTAAAAAATAAATAAAAAATAAAAATAGGGAGAAATAACAAAAATAGAGAAAAAAGCACACAAAACTAAGGCTAGAGTATAGATTTTTTAAATCATAAGAAGATGTTATATAAATTTTAATACAAATAAATTTGAAGGGTAGGATAAAATAATTTTCTAAAGAAAAAAGAATAACAAAATTGATTCAAGAATAAAGATAAGCCAGACACAGTGGCTCACACCTGTAATCCCAGCACTTCATGAGGCCAAGGCAGGAGGATCCCTTGAACCCAGGAGTTTGAGACCAGCCTGGGCAACATAGGGAGTCTCCATCTCTACAAATAATGAAAAATTAGCCAGGCATGGTGGTACATGCCTGGAGTCCCAGTTACTTGGGAGGCTGAGGTGGGAGGATTGCTTGAGCCTGGGAGGTCAAGGCTGCAGTGAGCCATGATGGCAGCCACTGCACTCCAGCCTGGACAACAGAGCAAGACCCTGTCTCAAAACAATTTTTTAAATAAATATAAATCTTAGCCAGGAGTGGTGGCACACATTTATAGTCCCAGCTACATAGAAGGCTAAGGCAAGAGAATTGCTTGAGCCCAGGAGTTTGAAGCTGCGGTGAGCTATGACCATACCACTACACTCCAGCCTGAGCAACAGAGCAAAATCTCATCTTAGCAAAATAGAAAAGAGAGATAATAAAGATAAATCCTGACAAAAATCAATAATTGTTAAATAAATTGCATTAGTAACCAAAAGTTTCCCCATAACCCTCAATTCCTGAAAGAAAAAAAAAGACCCCAGGCCCATATGGTTTTACAGGCAAGTTTACCTACCTTGAGGTCAAATAATGTCTGTCTTACACAAGTTGTATCAGAGAGTAGAAAAAGACAAAAATCTATTATATTGTTTTGATCCAAAATATTGTAAGAAATTAAAGGCCATACTCATTTATAATTATGTGCACAAAAATATAAGGAAAATGAAGTTTATAAATGTCAATATAAAATAAAAGACCACCAATCAAATTTAATTCATCAGTTTATCCTAGTTATACAAGAATATTTCAATATGAGAAAATGAAGTTACATAATAAAATATACTTAACACTGATGAATGAAAAAACAATATGATTAAAAAGCATAGCATTTAACACATATTTATGAAAAAATAAAGTCCCTTTACAAATTAGGAATAAAAGAAAATATCCTTAATATCAAGTACATAGCAAAAGTGTATTCATTTCTTAGGGCAGCTGTGCCAAATTACCACAAACTGAGTGGCTTAAAGCAACAGAAATTTATTCTCACAATTCTGAAAGCTAGAAGTTTGAATCAAGGTGTCAGAAGAACCAGCTTTCTCTGGGGTCTCTAGGCGAGGTGTCTTCCTCGCCTCTTCCTCCCTTCTGGTGGCTGCCAGCACTTGTTGGCTTTCCTTGGCTTGTAGATGCGTCACTGCAAGCTTTGCCTCCATAGTTATGTGGTGTTCTTCCTTTGTGTGTGTGCCTGTGTCCAAATCTCTCTCTTATAAGGACATCTGTCATTGGATTAGAACCCACCCTAACCCAATATGGCCTAATCTTAACTTGATTACATCTGCAAAGACCATATTTCCAAATAAAGTCACATTCACAGGTATCCAGAGTTAGGACTTCAACGTATCTTTTGGGGGAGCACTATTCAAACCACAACAGAAAGCCTACAGCAAACGTCATATTTAGTGGTAAAATATTAGAGACATTTCCATTAAAGTCAGGAATAGCACAATAATCCCATTATTATTTCTGCCATTTAATATTTTCTGTAGGTTCTAGCTAATGTAATAAAGCATTCTTAAAAAGTATTCTTAAGAGAAACAAGAGGAGTAAGAACTGAAAGCAGAGAGAAAACCATCTTTGTTTGCAGATGTTAAGATTATCCACATAGAATATAAAAAAGAATCTATATATATGCTATTTAATAAAAAATTCAGTAAGATGTTGGATGCAAGAGCAACACAGAAAAATCAATAGCCTTTTGGTAGATACACAAATAACAAATTAGAAAATATTCATCCAAAAAAGGATTCCCTATACAACGGCCCTAAAAATGGTAAGAATCTCAGGGGATGGGGAAGGAGAAATCTAACAAAATATGTGTAAAACCTACTGGGAGAAAAATTATGATGCATTGTTAGCAAACATAAAACTCCTAATTAAACAGAGTGTTATATAGCATGTTCATTGACGTGAAGACTCAATATCTTAAAGATGCCAATTCAAGCCAATACAATTCAGTCAAAATCACAATAGGCTTTTTAACTAAATTTGACAAGTCGATCCTAAAATTTATAAGAAAACACAAAGGGCCAGGAGAGTTAAGATTGTTTGAAGAACAGAGTTGGGAAGATTTATCTTATCAAATAAGAGACTTAGAAAATTATAGCAATTAAGACGGTATGGCATTAACACAGAGAAAGAAACAGACTGATAGAGCAAAATAAGTTAAGTGCAGACACAGACCTTGATATATGATAGTTGTGGCTTTACCAATCCACAAGGAGAAGACTCACTAATCAACAGGAGTTGGGACAGTTAGTTGTCCAAATTATACCTTATACCATTCACAAAAATCAACTTCAGCTGAGTTAAAAATCTAACTGTGAAAAACAAAACTTCAAAACTTTCAGAAGAAAACATTATATTGTGTCTTTAGAATTTAGAGATAAACAAGACACACAAAATGAACAATTAAGATTAAAAGGCATTCAATTAATGACAAAATGCAGTGATTTGATAAGCTGTACACTAAAAGAAGATACTTGTGTCACAAATAACTAGAATATATAAAGAATTCCTAATTATCAATAGATAATAGAAAATGTATATTTTAAAACATGGAGTAAGTCAAAACAACAAAATAATATACCGCAGTTAAAATGAATAAACTAGAGCTTTATCTATCAACATTGATAGATCTTAAAAATATAATATTTAGTTAAAAAAAAAGCAAGTTACCATATGAAGGAGCATATAATTTTAAAATAGGTAAAAAAAAGTATATGTTATTCATGGTTACACATCTATAGAAACACGCATTAAAATTATAAACACCACACTGAAGATAGTGGCTACCTCTAACAGGAGGGAGAACTCGGGAATGATTATCTAAGCTGGGTGTTTCTAATGTGTCTAATGTATTTTGTTTCTTTAAAAAACTCTTATTTACCTAAAATAACATGTTCTATCTATATATGCATAGAAACGTATCTGAGGGGAAGTTGGCTCAAATGGGTAGTGGATTTGGGGTGAGTTTTGCCTTCATAATAACTGTATGTTCTTCTTGAAACTTCTTGAGAAGTATATTACAGACAAAATGAAAAATATATTGCCATTTTTTTAGTTATCTTCCATCATATTGCCAATAAACAGAAAGATCTATAATATCTAGGTTGGTTGCTCACACTCTTTTATTGGTAGTATAAATTGGTGCAATTTTTCTGGAAGGCAATCTGGTAATAAACATAAAATTTTTAAATATACAAACTCCTTGATCTATTAATTTCACTTCTAGAATTTGTCACAAGGAATAATAAAACAAGTACAAAGAGATGAGTATAAAATAATATTTGCTGCAGGTTGTCCATAAATTAAAAAAAAAAAGAACTTTTAATTTCTAGACAATGGTTTCAGAATTAAGAGCTGAAAATTGTTTTCTTCCAGTTATATAAATATGGTACATCCATACAGTGGAATGCTACACAGCCATTAGACATGAACCTGGGTCTCTGCATCTATGGACATGGGAACATATTATTAAGTGGGAGAAGGCTATGAAGCAATAAATATGATATTGTATGTATTAAGCTTCTTCAGGTTGTAAGCAAGAAGAACTGATTCTAGCTAGCATAAACAGAAAGATAAAAGAAGGAAGAGGAAAAAGTCAAGGCAAGGTAGATGGATTTACTAGGAAGATACTATGCTATTTCTTGGATTAGCATTGAAGAACAAATGAAATAACTAAGAATGAGGAAAGGGAAGAAACCAGAATAGCTTCAGTGACCATTGCACAAAAAAAATTTCCAAATTTTTTGGGAGAATTGATCTAGATTGGTCTAGACTGGATCAAATGTCTACCAAAACCAATTATCTTTGGCTCATCAAACAACATAAACATGATTCTGAAGACCCACCCAACTTTGATTATTGAGATGTTCCCAAAATAAGAAAATTATTGTGCAGGTACCCAAGAGGTATTTATTACCAGTATGATCTCAGTTTTGTAATATAATGTGTGTGGGTGTATGTGGGTGTGCATGTCATGATGATGGAGTAACGAATGATGCTCACTTACTTTCGCACTTTTCTGTTTGTCTTTTTTTTTTTTCAATGAACATGTATTACTTTTATGATTTTTTTTTCTTTCTTTGTTTCCCTTTTTTTCCTTCCTTCCCCTTTTTCTTTCCTTCCTTTCCCTCCCCCACCCTCTCTCCCTCTCCCTTCCTTTTTTAGAGACAGGGTCCCACTACATTGCCCAGACTGGTCTGAAACTTTTAGCCTCAAATGATCCTCCCACCTCAGCCTCATAAAGCATTGGGGTTACAGGTGTGAGCCACTGTACCAGGCCTACTTTTATAATTTTTTTTTTTTTTTTTTTGAGACAGAGTCTCGCTCAGTCACCCAGGCTGGAGTGCAGTGGCGCTATCTCGGCTCAGTGCAAGTTCCGCCTCCCGAGTTCACGCCATTCTCCTTCCTCAGCCTCCCGAGTAGCTGGGACTACAGGCACCCACCACCATGCCAGGCTAATTTTTTTGTATTTTTAGTAGAGACAGGGTTTCACCGTGTTATCCAGGATGGTCTTGATCTCCTGACCTCATGATCCGCCGCCTCAACCTCCCAAAGTGCTGGGATTACAGGCATAAGCCACTGCGCCCGGTCTATAATTTTTAAAAAAGCAATTTTCATGTTGGGAGAAAACCTGTCACTTTAGAATATGCTAAGATATATTTTGAGGCCCTAGATAGACCTGACAGCCAGAGGGTGTAAAGTTTTCATCAAATACTCCTAAGAACTGAAAGTAACCACTAGCCCCGCCTCTGTCTCAGCTGTCTTCCCACCTCGGCTTCTCCATCACTCACCCAAATTTGTTCCTTCATATAAGAACAAAAAAGAATTGGCCAGACACATTGGCTCACACCTGTAATCCCAGAACTTTGGGAGGCCAAGGTGGGAGGATTACTTGAGCCCAGGAGTTTGAGACCAGCCTAGGCAACATAGTGAGACTCCAACTCTACTAAAAGAATAAATCGGCCAGGCGCGGTGGCTCATGCCTGTAATCCCAGCATTTTGGGAGGCCGAGGCAGGTGGATCATGAAGTCAGGAGTTCCAGACCAGCCTGGCCAACATGGTGAAATCCCGTCTCTGCTAAAAATACAAAAAAGTTAGCCAGGTGTGGTGGTGGGCACCTGTAATTCCAGCTACTCGGGAGGCTGAGGCAGAGAATTGCTTGAACCTGGGAGGCGGAGGTTGCAATGAGCCGAGATCGTGCCTCTGCACTCCAGCCTGGGCAAAAGAGCGAGACTCTGTCTCAAAAAAAAAAAAAGAGGAAGAAGAAGAAGAAAACAGCCAGGCATCATGGCACATGCCTGTAGTCTCAGCTATTCATGAGGCTGAAGCAGGAAGATGGCTTGAATCCAGGAGTTCAACACTGCAGTGCGCTATGGTCAAGCCACTGCACTCCAACCTGGGCAACAGTGAGAGAAGAGGTGATTATCCTATAAAATACACAGTAACTCAGGACAGTACAGCCAAACCCTCCCAACAGAAGAAAACAGTTTTCAGCCATCAGTCATCATCTGGTAATGTAATATTTTGCAAAAGCTGGAATCTTGACTGAGTTTGTGTCTTTCTCTGCTTAACTGATTCCCAGAAGATAGTTTTTGGATGCTGTTTTCTCTTTCTCTTTTCTGGTATATGTATGGGTTACAGGAATGTAGAAATTATTTTAAAATCTTTTAAGCATCTCTTGTGCCCCCTCCTCTATCTGTTCTGGGCATTTACAATGCATCCCATGAAAGAATATTCATTTGACAAATGTTGCTCAACACCTTCATAAGACAGAGCAGCTCAGACTTTGGCATCAGGATACCTTTAAATCTTGACTTTGCTTTACATGTTGCATATCTGAAAGACGTCCTGTGAGTGTTCTGAGCCTTTGTTTCCTAATCCGCAAAATGCGAACACCCCACACCTCACAGGTTGTTGAGAGGAATAACTGAGAAGATGGGTGTGATCGCTTTTATCTAATCCACACAAATTAGAGTTAACATGTCTACTTGCCCTCTAGATTTTTAGTAAATTGAGGAAAGGAATTATAGCTTCTTCATCTTTGTATCCCCAAGGCCCCGGACAATGCATGGTGATGATGAGGAGGAGGGGGAAGCAGGGAGACGGAAAGAGGATGGAAAAAATGACTGCCATTTGTACCAGGTGCTGTACTAAATGAATACTTTCATCAAAGCCTCTGACTTGTCTGTGTCCTCAACTGTACCCAGGTTCAAGGGATTCTCCTGCCTCAGCCTCTAGAGTAGCTGGGATTACAGGCATGCGCCACCATGCCCTGCTAATTTTCGTATTTTATGTTATTTTATTTATTTTTTGAGACAGAGTCTCGCTCTGTCGCCCAGGCTGGACTGCAGTGGTGCGATCACAGCTCGCTGCAAGCTCTGCCTCCCAGGTTCACACCATTCTCCTGCCTCAGCCTCCCAAGTAGCTGGGACTACAGGCACCCGCCAAGCCCGGCTTATTTTTTGTATTTTTAGTTGAGACGGGGTTTCACCCTGGATGAATTCATTCAGCCAGGATGGTCTCCATCTCCTGACCTTGTGATCCGCCCATCTTGGCCTCCCAAAATGCTGGGATTACAGGCATGAGCCATGGCACCCGGCCAAGGCATTCTTCTTAATAGAAACAAAAGGTAGTGGGAAGTCAGATGTTAATATTGAGCCATTGAAAAAACTGAAGCAAAAAGCTAAGTGCTCACCCATCCTCAAGTCAATGGTAAAATGTCATTCTGTGCTCCATTTCCAGTTCCTAGCCAGTTTCCAACCAAGTGAAAAGACAACAGAAAGTCCCTGGGGTGAGATGAGGAGCAAAGAGAAAGCTGCTATGGCCTAGGACCAGCATAAGAACAAAAGAGACTATTTGCCGACCTTGGAGCACAGAGCTTCATTGCAAGGATAAGAGACTTTCCAAAATGGGAATGGAAAATTACAACCTGGGAATCCCACATTTTATCTAAAAAACCAAGGAGTGATTTGCTCTGTCAGGAGAACTCCCAAGAAGTGAATGGAGAGCACCTGTCTGGGGCCTCCCAAAGGTGTCTGTTCTCAAAGGCACCTTCTGAGCCCAGAGGGTGCTTGGTGATCACCATGGGTGTCAGTAGCACTTTCACTTTCCTCTCTTGATCAACAAATAGAGAAGAACTGCTTTGTTCCTCAGATGAACCCATTTCTGCAATTCCAGCATGTGCTCAAGCTGTCCAAAGTTATTGTATCAGAATGCAAGTCACATTTTACTCCAAGGCTGGGGCTACTTTCTTCTTACTGATGATAACAACAAAACAAAGCAAAAAAACAAGGATCGGAGAAAGTTACCAAGATCTTGTAAGTTTGTGCATGGTTTAACTGAGTCCCCCAAGAAGTATGCAATGCCTAATCTCCAGTGCAACAGTGTGGGGAGGTGGGGCCTAATGAGAGGTGATTAGGCCATGAAGCCTCCACCCTCATGAAGGAATTAATGCTATTATTGTGGGAGTGCATTCATTATAAAAAAGGTGAGTTCAGGCCAGGTGTGGTGTAATCCCAGCACTTTGGGAGGCCGAGGTGGGCGAATCACCTGAGGTCAGGAGTTTGAGACCAGCCTGCCCAACATGGCAAAACCCTGTCTCTACTAAAAATACAAAAAATTAGCCGGACATGGTGGTGGGTGCCTGTAATCCCAGCTACTCAGGAGACTAAGGCAGGAGAAACGCATGGATCCAGGAGGTAGAGGTTGCAGTAAGCTGAGATCATGCCACTGCACTCCAGCCTGGGTGACAAGAGTGAAACTCCATCTAAAAAAAAAAAAAAAAAAAAAAATGAGTTCAGTCCCCTTTCATCTCTCTCTCTTGCCCTCTTAGCATTTCCACCATCTGCATTCCTCCATGGGATGATGCAGCAAGAAGGTCCTTGGCAGATGCTGGCCCTTTGATCTTGGGCTTCCCAGCCTCCAGAATGATGAGGCAATAAATTTCTGCTCATTTTAAATTACCCAGTCTTGGGTATTCTATTATAGTGGCACAAATAATCTAAGACAGTTTGCTTTATGGAAAAGAAACTCATTTGCTAAGAAAATGAAGGGGACTGGGTAGAATTAAGTACTGCTAATGAAATTTAGGATCAAGAGTGCCTGCAGGTGCAATTCCTGCTCAGAACAATTAGCATCCCATTGATCAGGATGGTATCTCTTTGTCACAGATCAAACGCCAATGCCAGCAGCTCCTTCACAGATCTGTGCCAGTGTCACACTGCACTCAGGGGACTCTTTGTCAGCTGGTCTAACAAATGGTAAAACAACCCCAAATAAGGACAAACATTAAATCAAAGACCGCCAAGGGGTCTTCCTGTGGTTCTGGAAAACTGTTTTGCAGCTCCATTCTGCATCGTGGCCAGGATGAGCCACTGGGTATAAAGGACTATGCATCAGGGCTGGGACTAGGCTGAGGCAAGGTTTTTGCCTCAGACACAACATTTAAGAGGGCACCAAAAAACTCAGCCATCAAGATGACTGATACTGTAATTCAATATTTTTTAAAAGTCAAAATGAATGCAAAACAATCATGATAACAAAATGCCAACATTTTGAAGAAAGACAGGATCAATACTACTGATTTTTCTTGTTGCCTAAGGTTCCAATGTGGCTCAGTACACCACTGTTACTGATCCTGTCTTTCTTTACAATGTTGGGCATTTTCCTCATCATAGATTATTTTGCATTGATTTTAGGTTTTATAAATAGTGCCTTAAAATGTTATTTATCTTGATTTCCAAAATTGTGGGTGCCCCATTATATTCTAGGCCTGAGGCAAGTGTCTCACTTTCCCCCATATCTTTGTGTTCCTCTCTTTCCACCATGTTCTTTCCTTTGACAGCCCCACCTCATTTACATTTCTTTTAGACTCTTATCTCTCCTCCATTGTGTCTTTACAGAGGAAAGAGACCCAGAAGCTGGCATCCCTGTATAGTCAAAGTCATGCTTCTGCTTGCAAACCTTCCTGACGTTCCCTGGGCTCATGGCTTCCTATTTTCTAGGCTTGTTTTATATGCCAGCTCCCTTTTGCTCTAATCCTGTCCTCACCTGGATCCTTTCAGCCTGTGACCCCACATTACCTTCAGCAGGAGGCCCTGACAGCTCCTGGGCTAGCTGTTTTTTTTTTCCTCTTCTGGAGGAATTAATTCCTCGTGATCCCCTGAGCTGTAATCTCATCAGGCTGGAATAACTTGACACTCCCATTTGTCTGAAACAGAAGTCGTTTGTCTTCCAAACCTCAGGGCTGGGGTTGTTGTGAATTCCACCCACTGGGCTCCTCTTAGAGGACTGTGGCCACTTCACCAGCTGCTCTGGCCTGCCTCTGAAGATTCCATTAACCAGCAGGAGAGGAAGAGCCTCCTGAGCTGAGTGAGTGAGCCCTGCAGGTGAGGAGGAGACTGGGGAGACCCAGGACACTGCTCTGGCTGAGAGCTTCCCTCCACCTGCAAGGGGAATCTGGCTCATATGTGCTGGCCCAGGGGCCAGGACAGAGCTCTGGACAGGATGCCAGCTAGCACAGAGGGGCCTTCAAAGCCCTGCAAACTCCACGGGAGGTGCCACTGTCAAGCAAGGACACTGGGTCTTGAGTGACTGGCCTCTCTATAGCTGCACGTGATACTGCCATTAGAAGCCTCACAGCACTGTGTTACAGTCCGTGGAGCATCAAGTGAGGTGTAAGAAAAACTGGGGCCAAGTCCAGCCCTGCCTATTAGCAACTGTGCAACCTCGGGCCCTTTAGGTCTCACCAGCCTGATCTCCACAACGGAAATAATAACCAGAGGATGGCTACGACAGTAAAATGAGCCAATTATTGCAGAAATGTTTGAAAACTCTATAGCACCAAAAAATTTGACATTTTATTTTGATAGTTTCTAACCAAAAGTCATTACGAGGCACTTTTCTGCATGAAACACAAAGAAAAGAGCTTGCCTCCTTATGATACATAAGGTCTTAGCCCCGGACTTATGCTGCAGTGGTGGAGATGCCACAGGAAGCACAAAGATGTAAGGACCCAGCCCTGTTTATTACACCCTTTTGCTTGCTGAGTAAGGAGAGGTCTGAGCCACATGGCAGGAGAAACACCATGATCCAGCATGCCTTGGGGGAGCTGTAGGGTGGGGGCATACAACAGGAACAAGGTCAAACCAGCATCTCTTCCAGACTCACCCCCATAGAAGAGAAGGGGGTTCGAGAGCATCTTGAATAGAGAACAGGATGAAGGCCCAGTGAGTAGTGGTTCCATGGAGCTAAAGATGACCAGAAAGTTCCCATGTGGCAGGGAGCTGTAGCACATGAGAGCATATAAATCTGCAGTACCTGTGACCAAATGTCATAGATATTATTTCTTTTTTGGCTACTTAGCAATTGAATCCCACTGGAGCACATTTCCTTCTGCTCCTAAGTAGAAAGCAGATCTCTTCCCACTAGAGATCCTGAAAAAAGCCAAATAGTATTTTCCCCAGCCTCCCTTGCAGCTATGCCCAGGCAAAGGGCTGAGACTCATGCATTCTGGACAATCAGGCCTTAGGAAAGTCCTTCAGGTCTCCACACACAAAGAAAAGAGGCAGAGCATCCCTAGGGCATCACGACAGCAGCCATGGCAGCAGCTTTGAATGTCTAGGAGTAGGGACATTAAGTGCCCTGGGACAGCAGCAGAGGTGGTACAAACAGAGGTGTCCAGCGTCCAGCAATGGCAAGAGCAATTGCAGGGGCCTCACCAGGCTGTTTTTTTTGGAATGTGATTTGGGTTTTAGTCCTAGTTGATGCCTAGTTTCTTGTTCATGCCTGATTTCCAAACCTGGTTCTATGGCCTTCTGTTATGGACGGAACATTTGTGTTCCCCCCAGATTCATATGTTGGAGCCCTAACCCCTCATATGATGGTATTTGGAGGTGGGGCCTTTGAGAGGTAATAGATTAGGGCGTGAAGGTGGGGTCCTGATATGGTTTGGCTGTGTGCCCACCCAAATCTCATCTTAAATTGTAGCTCCCATAATTCCCACATGTTGTGGAAGGGACCCAGTGGGAGATAACAGAATCAGAAGGGTGGTTTCCTCCATACTGTTCTCATGGTAGTGAATAAGTCTCACGAGATCTGATGGTTTTATAAGAAGAAACCCCTTTTGCTTGGTTCTCATTCTATGCCTTGCCTGCCACCATGTAAGACATATCTTTCACCTTCCACCATGATTGTGAGGCCTTCCCAGCCACGTGGATCTGTGAATCCATTAAACCACTTTTTCTTTATAAATTACCCAGTCTCAGGTATGTCTTTATCAACAGCATGAAAACAGACTAATACAGGCCCTCATGATGGGATTAGTGCCTTATGAGAAGAGGAAGATGGAGAGTCTCTCTCTCTCTCTCTCTCTATCTATCTTCCTCTCTCCTCCCCTCTTCTCTCCTCTCCACAAGCACACACCAAGGAAAGGCCATATGAGCACACAGTGACAAGGCAGCTGTGTCTACAAACGAGGAAGAGAGCCCTCGCCAAGGACCAAATCTGACAGCACCTGGATCTTGGACTTCCCAGCCTCCAGAACTGTAAGAAATAAATATCTGTGGTTTAAGCCACCCAGTCTATGGTGTTTTGTTACAACAGCCTAAGCTAAGATACCTTCCTAGGGTTTCCTTAATCTAGTTACTCTCCATTCAATAAATCTCTTTACTATTTACATAAGCAGAGGTAGTATCTGTTGTTTGCCTGGAAGAATTCTGGGTGACACATCAAGTCAAAAAAGTATCACAAACCCACATTCCTGACCCCTGACATGTATCTCTAGGACACCCTGGCCTTTGGGTACCAACACAGGTTTTCAGGGTCCCTGGAGCAGTGGCTTGGGGCATTGTTACAAGGAATGTGCTCTACTGCTGGAATTACACATGGCAAGGTGTGAATCTCCCTGCAGGGGAGGAATAAAATAACAAATATCAACTCCATGTCAGAAGTTCAAAAAATCACATAGCCAGGTGTGGTGGCTAGTGCCTGTAATCCCAACATTTTGGCAGGCTGAGGTGGGTGGATCACTTGAGCTCAGGAGTTTGAGACCAGCCTGAAGAAAATAGTGAAATCCTGTCTCTACAGAAAAATATAAAAATTAACCAGATGTGGTAGCGCATGCTTGGAATACCAGCTACTCGGGAGGCTGAGGTGGGAGGATCTCTTGAGCCTGGGAGGTGGAGGTTGCAGTGAGCCAAGATCATGCCACTGCACTCCAGCCTGGCTGATAGAGCAAAACTCTGTCTCAAAAAAAAAAAAAAAAAAAATCGCACAATTTGGTTTTATGTTTCAATGGACTTTATCTTAATAAAATAATTCTATATGGTGACTTTGGCCATAAACTAGATAACTTTTACAAGTTAAAATGGACCCCTGGTACATGCTACCTTAGTGAATAAATGAGAACTTGGCTTGCTAATTTAGGAGGGCTCCCAACTTCTGAATTAGAAAATTGCTAAAAACTTCTGGCCATTGAACGGAAGGAAGTTTCAGAAGAAAAGACCTGGTCCCAAGCTAGCCAGCTCCTCAGTGCTACTCATAGTCATAGTAACACCCAGTGGGTAGGTAAACTCATCCTGTTCATCACCTCTCAACCTCACTGCACACAGTGTGGACTAATGAAAATGGCATCGTTTATTTTGAGAAAATAGCATTAAATCAATATATAGTCACAGAATTCTGAAACTGGAGACAGTAGTGTGCTCATAAACACTTAACAACCAGGCTGGGTGTGGTGACTCATGCCTGGAATCCCAGCACTTTGGGAGGCTGAAGCAGGCAGATCCCTTGAGCCCAGGAGTTCAAGAACAGCCTGGGAAACATAGGGAGACCCTGTCTCTATAAAAAATTTAAAAAAAAAACAGCTCTCAAAGGAAAAAAAATGAAGGTATGCACATCTATTTGTAAGATTATAAATTTACTGATACAAGGGATGGGTGACACAATTTACAAATAATAATAAAATACATGATAATCTTTACTGGAGATCCCATAGGATCAATTGATTCTCTCAGAATGCTTTCATTGATTTTTGCTGAAGCCTTGTATCTTTTACTAAACAATGGCTGCAATTTAACCATGATTTGACAAATGGAGTTGCATCTCACGGTTAACTCTTTACATCTGATGAGAGGTACTGATGACGGCAGTGGCAGCCTGTCTGAAGCAGCCACTGCCATGACGCCGGCTGCAATGGGGTACAGGAGAAGGCCATGGGTCCTCAGGTGCAGATGCTGAGGTGGGCAGTCCCCAGAGCCCATCCCTGGGAGTCCTCCTGAACCCACCGCCCTGGGAACCTGCCCCTGGGAGCTGCTGCCATGGGGCCAGGCTGAGCAACCCACCAGTGGGAGAGCAGTCAGTCAGGCACAGAGTAGCTGGCAGAGAGGGGCCCCGAGGCAGAGCTGGGCCCGGGGCAGTGCCCTACTTGCACGTGGAGCATGGGATCAGACTTGAAATGTGGAGCTGGGGCCATACTTCAGGGGCCCAGAATGGGAAGTGGGAGAGGTGCCCACTTTAAGGACCTGGCCAGTGACATGGCCACCACACCCACCCCACTGACAGTTCCAAGTCCCTGCACCTCAGGAAGAGGCTCTGCATGGGTCCGCCTGAGGCTACATCCCCAGGATCCGTCCCTCATTGAGGTGACCGCTGAGCCTGATGCTCCCAATGACCGGATCTGGGGCCCAAGATCCACTCCCAGTGGTGCCTCCCTGGGCAGGCAGGGCCACAAGCTGGGCAAAGGGGAGCCCCAGGCCATCCCTGAGCACCAGGGCCACAGGAAAAACTCACAGCAGCATCGCCTCTGGCCTGGACGCTGGCCCAGGCCCAGAGAGGACCTGGAAACCCCACCCCAGGCTGCAAGGAGGTATAGCCAGGGCTGCATGCTCCATGAGCTGGCAGGAGCCAGGGAAAAGTGGGAGCCTCACCCCTTCTAAGTTGGCAGGGCAAGAGCTCCCCAGGTGCAGCTGCAGCCACCCTGCCATGACTGCAGACCCAAACATCTCTACACTCTTAGGGACCTAGGAAGGTCCTCCTGCCCCCCACAGGCTCAAAAGTTTCTGCTCCCACTGCCTGGCTTCTCTCCACTGTCAGTGCCCACTCCAATCTCAAAGCAAAGTAGGGGCCAAGCCCAGGTGCTGTAGCAGCCCAGCTGGGTGTACACATGCCAGGGCAGCACTGACACACCACCCCCTACTGCTGAAGCCCCCTCTGGACTTTAGGCACCAATAAGCATGGAAGGGAGGCTAAGGGAGAGCTGAGGACAGCCAGGCTCTGGCCTGCAGGAGCCCCTTGGCATGAACAGCCTGGATGCCATGAGCAGTGGCAGGAGGCAGACAGCTCCTGAGTGGAAGGGGGTGGGTCTCTGGTGAAGACCCACTTTCAAGCCAAGGAGGGCCTGAACCCTGGGGGCTGGGCTGCCAGTCCCACAAACCAGAGGGGAACTTGTGGTGCTTTTCCCAGGGCCCGCCCATGGCCACCCATGGATCAATCAGCATGCACTTCCTCCCCTCTGAGGCCCATAAAAACCTCAGATTCAGCTGGACTCGAAGAGAGGACAGAGAGATGATGGATAGCCAGCTGCCGAGAGGAGCTACCCTCTCCACTGAGAGCTGAACACTCACTGGGACACCCTGGCTATGAAGAGGAGCTACCCACTGTGGGTCTCCTCTGAGCTGTTCTATTGTTCAGTAAAGCTCCTCTTCATCTTGCTCACCCTCCACTTTTCTGTGTACCTCATTCTTCCTGGACACAGGACAAGAACTCAGGATCCATCTAATGGCAGAGCTAAAAGAGCTGTAACACAGACAGAGCTGAAATATGCCCTTTGCTCACCACTTTGTAGGCAACAAGAAGGAGAGAAGAGAGAAGGAGAGAAGAGCTGCAGCCCTTCAGGGATCCCAGACCTAGGAGATCCCTGAGCAACCCTTTTTAGGGCTCTGTGGTTCCTGGCATCTCCAAGCTTCCAGGTGCCACCACATTCCCTGGTGTCAGCCATGGAAGTTGCTTAAAGTATGCCTGGTCTAGCTGCAGCCTTGCAGGGAGCCGGTGCCCATGCCAGCACCTGGAGCTGCCTGCCCCAATGTAGTTGGTATGTCTGGCTGTACGCAGTGGCCAGACCCCACGCTCACTTAAACACCCCTCACTGCTCCTGCCTGGCTCACCCTTGGCAGGTGCAGGATCCAGGCCAGTAGCATGAGCTGAGCGCAACCTGCCAGGCTGAGCGGGTGTTACAAGCCCAGCAGGCCAGAGCAAAACTTGGGCAAAGGTGCCACTGGCAACAGAAGTTTCTGGCTGGCAAAGCAACACCCCAAGGATCCAGTAACAGTGATAACCCCACTCTTGTACAAATTATGTTCACTGAACTGAATCTTCTTTCAGCTTCAGCACTGGTCATGACACATTTTTAAGTTTAATCTGAATGATTCACATTTTCCCCTTTACTTGTTTAAGTCTAGATGGCCAACAAAACAATAAATCAAGCACTGATTTGTAGTATTTGCCAATTCTGTGGTGCACATACTCCTACCATGGTCAGTTTCAAGCCACCAGCGTGAAGTCACCAACCACATAGTTGATAAGAGGTATACCGTAGCACAACATTGCATAGTATTTCCACCATATAGACACAAGAGATGTAAAAATCCTCTAAAGCAGAAATAAAATGTAGGGAAATAATTCAGCAGGAATGTGTTTTGAGTATCTATGACCTTTGTAATAAATATATTTAATTATAAATTTATCTAATTTTTAATAATGGCTATATTTAACAAACAGCTTGGAAAATTCCTAAAAACTCATCATCTCTCGCATGCTGTGTGAGCTCACTCCAGCACGCCAGTGGATGGAGGAGACCGGGAAAGAGAGAGTGAGTCACATCTCCTTCTCCATGTAAACAAAACATGTGGAGGTGAGAGGTATGGATGGTGGAGATTTGGATCAGGCAATATCACCACCCCACAAAGATATCCTGTGCACTCCCCGTGTATAACTAGGTAACAAAACTGCACATTCTGCATATGTACCCCAGAACTTTAATTAACAAAAAAAGAAAAAAAAAGATATCCTGTACACTCCCAAGTACTCACTATGGATATTAAAAAGCATGAAGTCGAAATTCTAGTGTGTGCCTGGCATAAAGCTCTCCATCTCCTCACTGTCTGTGGACTGACCTATTTTCAGACCCCCCAAAATGCTGATTTATTCTCCAGTTGTCGACTCTGGCTACTGGTTGCACAGACCTCACTCTATCCCTACAGACACACCCTGGCTTTGACAGCATTTCCCATAACTCTGCAGGTCTTGAAAGAATGACACAGCTGAGGATCATTTTGAAGACAATTAAGGCTAATGAGCTGACTCAGCAAAGGCAGCCTAAAGGCAGGAAATGGCTTTGGCTGGAGGATTAGTTTTGCCTTGGTAGAGACCAGTGAGGAAGTAAAATGAGAGAAGATCTGATTTACTAGCAAAAACAAGGATTTGCTTGACCGAGTCTTGACCTTGGCTGAATAAGACGGTGTATGTCCACTGAGGCTGTGGGGAATCAGGTGTTTTTCTATACAGCCAGTAGGAGTGTAAATTGTTACAGCCTCTATGGGTGGCAATTTGACATTAAATCTCACAGATTTAAATGCACATTCCCTTTGACTCAGTTGCTGAAAGATTCATTACAGCATCATTTGTTTAATAATAACACTGAATTAGAGGCAAACTCTAAGTCTGTTAGTAGGTGGCTTGCCAAATTTATAAATGACAATAAATCTGGCAAATGAATACTATTAAACCACTAAGAAAAATGGCAGCTCTTTATTACCCATTGTTGAATAACCTCAGAGATACACTGTTAAGAGAAAAAAGCAAGGAGAAGAACACTGTGTATAGTATGCAACCATGTGTATATTTTAAATAATAGATTTATATCCTTAAACATGCATAATATATCTTTGAAAAGATATACAGAGAAACTGGTCACAGTTTCCATCCAAAGAAAAAAAACTGATGGAGGCCAAGACTGGAGAAAGACTTTCTTACAGACATATCCCTTTAAGACATTTTAACTTTGTATCACATATTAGCTCTTTTTAAATATAAAATAAAAATTATTTTCAAAAGAGCAACAGCAACTACACTTGGTTATTAGAGACCAATGGGAGAAGTAAGGTGGTCTATACCAAGCCATGGTTGTTAATTGAAATCCTGAGCCACTTTGAGTTTATCTCTAGTCAAATTTTAAATGAGCTCCTTCACTCTAGTTTGCATGGAACTGTCCTACTTTTAGCACGGAAATGCTCCTGTCCTGGGAAACCCTTCAGTGCAGGCAAACTGGGATGGTTGGTGAATCAGCATCAAATATAATACACGGTGCTGTTTCTTCTAAAGCCAGATGTGAAATAAGAAGAAATATAGGCCAGGCACAGTGGCTCATGCCTGTATTTCCAGCATTTTGGAGGCCAAGGGAGGAGGATCACTTCAATTCAGGAGTTTGAGACCGGCCTGGGCAACATGGTGAGACCCCATCTCTACAAAAGAATAAAAAAATCAGCCAGGCATGGTGGCATGTGCCTGTAGTCCCACCTACTTGGGAGGCTGAGGCGGGAGGATGGCTTGAGCCCAGGAGATCAAGGCTTCAATGAGCCATGATCACACCACTGTGCTCTAGCCTGGATGACAGAGTGAGAACCTGTCTTGAAAAGAAAAGGAGGAAAAAGAACAAGAAAAAGACACATAGATCTCCTAAAACCTTGCAGATAGGGATGCTAGGAGGATATTTTGTATTCTATCTTTGATCCCCATTCCTGACACAGAGCTCCTTAGTACCTCCAAGTTGAGGTATAGGCGGTATTTAGGAGCTGTGTGTCAGGACTATGGATCAATAGGAGTAACTGGAGCATCTTTGGCTCAAATGAGGTGACTCTTGGTGGGGCTTTTGGATGGGGGCTGCTGCCCAGGAAGACCAAGCCATGACTAGAAGCTTGGAACTTTCAACCTCATCCCCCTGTTCTCCAGAGAAGGAAGAGGGGCTGGAAATGATGTTAATAATTGATAATGCCTACATGATAGAGCCCCATAAAAACCCCTAAACTATGGAGTTCTGAGAGCTTCCGAGCTGCCTAACACATCCACATGGGGGTGCACCCCAAATCTACAGAGACAGAAGCCCCTGGCCCTTCAGGAGCTCAGGACCCTTCCAGACCTCATGCTATGTATCTGTTCATCTGTATCCTTTTACAAATCCTTTATTAATATAATAAACTGGTAAACATGTTTCCCTAACTTCTAAAAGCCTTCCTAGCAAACTAAGCAAACCCAAGAAGGGGATGGTGGAAACCCCAAATTATAGCTCATTAGTCACAAGTATAGGTGATACGTGACAACCTACTACTTGTAATTGACATCTAAAGGGGGTACAGGCTTGTGGGACTGAGCCCTTAACCTGTGGGATCTGACTCCAACTCCATGTAGGCAGAGTCAGAATTTATTGAATTATAGGACACCCAACTGGTATCCAGAGAGTTGAAGAATTGCATTGTGTGGAAAAAACCCACACATCTGGTCATAGAAGTGTTATATGTTGAGTGTGAGAGTAGCAAACGCCTTTGGTTTTTCCCATCTCTTACACCAGGATTTATGGGTCCATAAATCAAGAGGTAGAAATGGGAGTGGCACAACCAAATATCACTCCTAGTGACTCACTGGCAGAAGTTTTGCCTTCTATTCCCATGATTTTATGCTCTGCTGGCCTAGAGATCTTATTTCCAGAGGGAGGAATTCTTCTACCAGGAGACACACAATGATTCCATTGAACTGGAAGTTAAGACTGCTGCCCAGACACTTTGGGCTCCTCATGCCTCTGAAGCAAGAGGCAAAAAAGGGAGTTATAGGAGTTACGGTGCTGGCAGGGGTGATTGCTCCTGACTACCAAGGGGAAATTGGACTACAGCTCCACAACTGAGGTAAGGAAGAGTGTGGCTGGAATACAGGAGACCCCTTAGGGCATCTCTTAGTATTATCATGCCCTGTGATTAGGTCGATGGAAATCCTAATCCAGGCAGGACTGCTAAAGGCCAGATCCTTCAGGAATGAGGATTTGGGTCACTCCACCAGGTAAAGAACCAAGCCAGTTGAAGTGCTTGCTGAACACAAGGGGAATATAGAGTGGGCAGAGGAAGAAAGTAGTTATAAATACCAGTTATGATCACGTGACAAGTTACAGACTGAGGACTGTAATTGTCATGCATGTCCTCTGCATGTTGCTTGAATCCATTTGTGTCTGTGTATCTCTTTTTTCCTTTTATTCCCTTACCATATAACATAAGATATATTGATTTTATATCATAGTATTTAAGTATTATTAATTTTACATCATAGTAGTCATGCACCACATAACATTTCAGTCAATGACGAACCTCATATACGATGGTAGTCTCAGAAGATTATAATGAAACTAAAAATTTCTTATCGCCTAGTGACACCGTAGCTGTTCTAACAGCCAAGTGCAATGCATTATTCATGTGTTTGTGGTGATACTGGTGTAAACAGCCTACTGTGCTGCCAACTGTATAAAAATAAAAACAAAGATAAACAGCTGGGATCTAATTAAACTAAAGAGCTTTTGCCAGTAAAAGGAACAGTCAGCAGAGTAAACAGACAACCCACCACAAAGTGGGAGAAAATCTTCACAATCTATACATCTGACAAAAGACTAATATCCAGAATCCACAACAAACTGAAATCAGTAAGAAAAAAACAAGCAATCCCATCAAAAAGTGGGCTAAGGACATGAATAGACAATTCTCAAAAGAAGATATACAAATGACCCACAAACATGAAAAAATGCTCAACATCACTAATGATCAGGGAAATGCAAATCAAAACCACAATGTGATACTACCCTACTCCTGCAAGAATGGCCATAATCAAACAAACAAAAAACAGTAGATGTTGGCACGGATGCAGCAATCAGGGAACACTTCTGCACTGCTGGTGGGAATGTAAACTAGTACAGCCACTATGGAAAACAATGTGGAGACTCCTTAAAGAACTAAAAATAGAAGTACCGTTTGATCCAGCAGTCCCACTACTGGATATCTACTCAGAGGAAAAGAAGTCATTATCTGAAAGAGATACTTGTACATGCATGTTTATAGCAGCATGATTTACAATTGCAAAATCATGGAACCAACCCAAATGCCCATCAATCAATGAGTGGATAAAGAAACTGTGGTATATATATACACAATGGAATACTACGCAGCCATAAAAGGGAATGAATTAACAACATTTGCAGTGACCTGTATGAGACAGGAGACTATTATTCTAAGTGAAGTAACTCAGGAATGGAAAACCAAATATTGTATGTTCTCACTGATATGTGGGAGCTAAGCTATGAGGACACAAAGGCATAAGAATGATACAATAGACTGTGGGGACTTGCGGGGAAGAGTGGGAGTGGGGCGAGGGATAAAAGACTACAACTGTGGTACAGTGTATTCTGCTTGGGTGATGGGAGCACCAAAATCTCAGAAATCACCACTAAAGAACTTACTCATGTAACCAAATACCACCTGTACCCCAATAATTTATGGAAAAATAAAATTTAAAAAACAAAACATATAGCACATATAATTATGTACAATATATAAGACTTAATACTAAACAACTATAAACAACTATGTTAGTGGTTTATGTATTTATTATACTATATTTTTATCTTTATTTTAGAGTATACTCCTTCTATTTATATTTTTTAAAAAAGTTAACTATTAAACAGCCTCAGGTAGGTCCTTCAGGAGGTATTCCAGAAGGCATTATCATCAGAGGAGATGACAGCTCCACGCATGTTATTGCCCCTGAAGACCCTCCAGTGGGACAAGATGTGAAGGTGGAAGACAATGATATTGATCCCGACTTTGTGGAGGCCTAGTCTAGGGTGTATATTTGTGTCTTCATTTTTAACAAAAAAAGTTTTAAAAGTTAAAAAAATTGTAATATTAAAAAAAAAAAGCTTATCGAATAACAATGTAAAGAAAAAAAATCAGCCTGGGCAACACAGTGAGACCTTATCTCTAAAAATTTTTTCAAATTAGCTGGGCATGGTGATACACACCTGCATCCTAGCTACTTAGGAGGCTGAGGCAGGAGGATTGCATGAGGCCAGGAGTTTGAGACTACAGTGAGATACAATTGTGCCACTGCACTCCAGCCTGGGAGACAAAGCGAGACCCTATCTCTAAATAAAAAAGAAAAAAAAGAAAGAAAATATTTTTGTACAACTGTACAAGGCATGTTTTAAGCTAAGTGTTAAAGAGTCCAAAAGTTTTTAAATTTAAAAGTTTATAAAGTAAAAAGATTACAGTAAGCTAAGGTTAATATAGAAGAAAAAAATGTTTTTCTAAAGTATAGTGTAGATGAAGCATACAGTATTTACAAAGTTGTGGTATTATACAGTAATGTTCTAGAGCTTCATATTCCCTGACCACTTACTCAATGGCTCACCCAGAGCAACTTCCTGCCCTGAAAGCTTCATTCTTGGGAAGTGCCCTACATAGGTGTACCATTTTTAAATCTTTTATGCCAGTTCCTCCTTGTACCTTTGGTAGAATTCGGCTGTGAATCCATCTGGTCCTGGACTCTTTTTGGTTGGTAAGCTATAGATTATTGCCACAATTTCAGAGCCTGTTATTGGTCTATTCAGAGAGTCAACTTCTTCCTGGTTTAGTCTTGGGAGGGTGTATGTGTTGAGGAATTTATCCATTTCTTCTAGATTTTCTAGTTTATTTGCATAGAGGTGTTTTTAGTATTCTCTGATGGTAGTTTGTATTTCTGTGGGATCCTCCCTAACTCATTTTATGAGGCCAGCATCATCCTGATACCAAAGCCAGGCAGAGACACAACCAAAAAAGAGAATTTTAGACCAATATCCTTGATGAACATTGATGCAAAAATCCTCAATAAAATACTGGCAAACCGAGTCCAGCAGCACATCAAAAAGCTTATCCACCATGATCAAGTGGGCTTCATCCCTGGGATGCAAGGCTGGTTCAATATACGCAAATCAATAAATGGAATCCAGCATATAAACAGAACCAAAGACAAAAACCACATGATTATCTCAATAGATGCAGAAAAGGCCTTTGACAAAATTCAACAATCCTTCATGCTAAAAACTCTCAATAAATTAGGTATTCATAGGACGTATCTCAAAATAATAAGAGCTATCTATGACAAACCCACAGCCAATATCATACTGAATGGGCAAAAACTGGAAGCATTCCCTTTGAAAACTGGCACAAGACAGGGATGCCCTCTCTCACCACTCCTATTCAACATAGTGTTGGAAGTTCTGGCCAGGGCAATTAGGCAGGAGAAGGAAATAAAGGGTATTCAATTAGGAAAAGAGGAAGTCAGATTGTCCCTGTTTGCAGACGACATGATTGTATACCTAGAAAACCCCATTGTCTCAGCCCAAAAATCTCCTTAAGCTCATAAGCAACTTCAGCAAAGTCTCAGGATACAAAAGCAATGTACAAAAATCACAAGCATTCTTATACACCAACAACAGACAAACAGAGAGCCAAATCATGAGTGAACTCCCATTCACAATTGCTTCAAAGAGAATAAAATACCTAGGAATCCAACTTACAAGGGATGTGAAGGACCTCTTCAAGGAGAACTACAAACCACAGCTCAATGAAATAAAAGAGGATACAAAGAAATGGAAGAACATTCCATGCTCATGGGTAGGAAGAATCAATATCGTGAAAATGGCCATACTGCCCAAGGTAATTTATAGATTCAATGCCATCCTCATCAAGCTACCAATGACTTTCTTCACAGAATTGGAAAAAACTACTTTAAAGTTCATACGGAACCAAAAAAGAGCCCGCATTGCCAAGTCAATCCTAAGCCAAAAGAACAAAGCTGGAGGCATCACACTACCTGACTTCAAACTATACTACAAGGCTACAGTAACCAAAACAGCATGGTACTGGTACCAAAACAGAGATATAGATCAATGGAACAGAACAGAGCCCTCAGAAATAACACCACATATCTACAACTATCTGATCTTTGACAAACCTGACAAAAACAAGCAGTGGGGAAAGGATTCCCTATTTAACAAATGGTGCTGGGAAAACTGGCTAGCCATATGTAGAAAGCTGAAACTGGATCCCTTCCTTACACCTTATACAAAAATTAATTCAAGATGGATTAAAGACTTAAACGTTAGACCTAAAACCATCAAAACCCTAGAAGAAAACCTAGGCATTACCATTCAGGACATAGACATAGGCAAGGACTTCATGTCTAAAACACCAAAAGCAATGGCACCAAAAGCAATGGCAACAAAAGCCAAAATTGACAAATGGGATCTAATTAAACTAAAGAGCTTCTGCACAGCAAAAGAAACTACCATCAGAGTGACAGGCAACCTACAAAATGGGAGAAAATTTTCACAACCTACTCATCTGACAAAGGGCTAATATCCAGAATCTACAATGAACTCAAACAAATTTACAAGAAAAAAAAACAACCCCATCAAAAAGTGGGCAAAGGACATGAACAGACACTTCTCAAAAGAAGACATTTATGCAGCCAAAAAACACATGAAAAAATGCTCATCATCACTGGCCATCAGAGAAATGCAAATCAAAACCACAATGAGATACCATCTCACACCAGTTAGAATGGCAATCATTAAAAAGTCAGGAAACAACAGGTGCTGGAGAGGATGTGGAGAAATAAGAACACTTTTACACTGTTGGTGGGACTGTAAACTAATTCAACCCTTGTGGAAGTCAGTGTGGCGATTCCTCAGGGATCTAGAACTAGAAATACCATTTGACCCAGCCATCCCATTATTGGGTATATACCCAAAGGACTATAAATCATGCTGCTATAAAGACACATGCACACATATGTTTATTGCAGCACTATTCACAATAGCAAAGACTTGGAACCAAGCCAAATGTCCAACAATGATAGACTGGATTAAGAAAATGTGGCACATACACACCATGGAATACTCTGCGCCATAAAAAATGATGAGTTCATGTCCTTTGTAGGGACATGGATGAAATTGGAAATCATCATTCTCAGTAAACTATCGCAAGAACAAAAAATCAAACACTGCATATTCTCACTTATAGGTGGGAATTGAACAATGAGAACACATGGACACAGGAAGGGGAACATCACACTCTGGGGACTGTTGTGGGGTGGGGGGAGGGGGGAGGGATAGCTTTAGGAGATATACCTAATGCTAAATGACGAGTTAATGGGTGCAGCACACCAGCATGGCACATGTATACATATGTAACAAACCTGCACATTGTGCACATGTACCCTAAAACTTAAAGTATAATAATAAAAGACAAAAAAAGAAAATGTGGCACATATATACCATGGAATACTATGCAGCCATAAAAAAGGATGAGTTCATGTCCTTTATAGGGACATGAATGAAGCTGGAAACCATCATTCTGAGCAAACTATCTCAAGGACAGAAAACCAAACACCGCATGTTCTCACTCATAGGTGGGAATTGAACAATGAGAACCCTTGGACACAGGGTGGGGAACATCACACACCAGGGCCTGTCATGGGGTGGGGGAAGTGGGGAGGGATAGCATTTGGAGAAATACCTAATGTAAATGATGAGTTAATGGGTGCAGCACACCAACATGGCACATGTATACATATGTAACAAACCTGCATGTTGTGCACATGTACCCTAGAAATTTAAGTATAATAAAAAAAATTGTTGAAGGTAAACAAAAAAAAATCTTTTATGCCATATTTTTACTGTACTATTTCTATATTTAGAAATATTTAGAAACACAAATACTTTTCACTGGGTTACAGTTGCCTACAGTATTCAATACAATAACCTGACGCACAGGTTTGTAGCCTAGGAGCAGTAGGCTGTCCCAGAGCCTAGGTGTGTAGTAATCTATAGCATCTAGGTTTGTGTAAGTACACTCTATGATGCTCACACATGATGAAGTCACCTCACACATTTCTCAGAATGCATCTCCATTGTTAAGTGACACATGACTCTAAGTTACAGGATATAGGGAGGGGAGGAAACATCACACGAGGACTTTTCCTCCTCTTCTGGGGAAGGGGTTAGTGCATTTTCAGTTGTACACAGGATGGGTGTGTATCATGTTAGATGGAATGATGGCCTTTGATATTGTCTTTATTTGGGTATTAAGTATGGTTTAAGGAGATGCGATGGATGCCAAGTTGACAAGGGGTGGACTTATGATGGTTAATTTTATGTGTCAGCTTGGCTGGGCCAACAGCGCCCAGATTAAACATTATTTCTAGGTGTGTCTGTGAGGGGGTTCCGGGATGAGGTTACTGTTTGAATGTGTGAACTCAATAAAGCAAATGGGCCTTCCCCACGGTGGGTGGGAGTCATCCAATCTGTTAAGGGCCAAAATAGGACAAAAGGCAGAGGAAAGAGAAATTTGCCCCTATTGCTTCCTGCCCACCTGCCTGAGCTGGGACATCCTTCTCCTGCCCTTGCACCAGGATGCACACCATCTGCCCCTTGGCTCTCAGGCCTAAGGTCTTAGACGGCATTACACCACTGGCTGTCCTGGGTCTCCAGCTTGCAGGTGGCAGATATAGGAATTCATAGTCTCCATAATCAAGCCAATTCACAATAAGTCTCATATATGCATATCCTCTTGTCTCTGCTTCTCATGAGAACCCTGGCTATTACAGTTAGTCATGCTATTCCTGTCACCAAACCCATGTGGTACCTTCAGGTGAGCTCACTCTCATGGGCTCCTTCTTCCTGTCCCCCAGTGGTGCCTCCCACTGGCCAAATCCACCCAGACGCCAGAGGGCAGGGAGCTCTTGGCTGTAGTTCCAGCAGGCCGGCCTCCTGAGCACAGCACAGGGGAAAAGAGCAGAGAGCGGCCCTGGAGGGACCCAAAGTAGACATCCTGGGGCCCCACCTTCTAAAGAGTTCTTCCTTTGGTGACTTGGCTCAAGAGCAATAAGTGAGGACGATGAGACAGGGGATCTGGCCTCAACTCCACATTCCGCTACCTTCTATCCATCCTTTCCATTGTCTGGGCCTCAATTTTCTCATTTGTAAAATGAAGAGGGGGAAAGTGGGTGCCTGTCACCACCTTGGGTGCCTAACTCACTCACCTCCTAGGCTCTTGGAGAGGGGTTCACTACCCAGCCAGCCATGACACAAGATCTCACATACCTGCACAGTGGTCTCTGAAGAAAAGACAGAAAGCCTCTCGACTCTCAGCGCAGACTGATTTCACAGATCCGAGCTGTAAGTTTCTACCCAGAAAGCTACCTGGTCTATTTCAGGATCCAGGTGAAAGTTGTCTTCCCTTAAAGTAGCATTTCTCCACATAGGGAATTAGCTCATAATGTCAATCATGGGCCCCACCACCACAGATTCTAATTCAAGATATCTGTTGTAGGAATTCCATGCAGGTTCTCCTTGTACCACACTTTGAAACCTACTGACTTAATGGACAATGGGTTGCATCATACACTTACATAATAGTGTAAGAATTTGTATGTTCATTTCCTCCTTAATGAAAACAAGCTATTATTCTGTAATGGTTATTTTTTAAAAACAATACTAAGAGTTTTGGACATTCAATCCAGTTAATGCACTGCAGCATAGAACTGCTTGCTAAGTAGTAAAATTGCTTTTCAAAACATGATCAAACATCAGTCTAATCAGCCAGGTGTTAGGCTCTCAATCACAAGCCTCAAAACACATAATCAAGTATCAGTAAGCAGGTGTTTTAAGTGAAGATTGAGATAAACAGTTGCCTTTGTGGTTACTGAGGAGGTTTTGCAACATTAAAATGGAGCACCTCGCACTCAAGCAAGCCAACTTCAGAAGCTTCTCAGCTGAACAAATCCGGGCAATAATTAGCACAGGACATTTTAAGCAGATCGCAGTTTAAAAGCTTTGAATCTTACTGAGGAAATCTGTTTTGTTTCCTTTATTCCCAACTGTCTTCAAGATTTTGCCCTGATAGATACTGACTCTGAAAAAAGTCACTAGACCACATTTCACTTTTTTCAGATGGAAGATTTTGATCCCTTTGAAGAAAATTGCGTTCAGATCATATACATACATTCAATATCACAATGCCAGGGTCCCACCCCACTGATCTTTCCAATGTGACAAGACTAGGACTGGGAGTTCTGAAGTAAAACCCAAGTTCCGCTTTAGAAATTACTTTTCACTCTCCCAAGTATTCAAAATGGCTTCTCAGTGGCCCAGTAAATAATACCACATAACTCCATGAAAAATCACTGAAAGATCGAGGGGACAACGTAAGGTGACCATCCTCAGCAGAAGTGCTCATTTTAAGAGTCAATATTAATAATGTAATAACAGAATCGGTCCAATGGGATTGAGCTCTATCAGTCACAAAATGTAACAAAATGAGGAGTTGCTTTCAGTTGCAGTGGACCTCCAGCTTTCAAGTCACATAACCTGAGCACACCCAGATGAACCAAGCCTGCCCAATTCGTGACCCTGTAGGTGGCCAGAGTGAAAACATCAACCACATATGGAACCTAAGAACTCAGATTGAAGAAGGAGGATCAAATTAAGAAGAGAAGGGCACCCTGTTTTGCTGCATTACAGACTTAAAAGGCAAGGACACCTCACCACCTCTTTGCATGGCCCAATCAGATCATGCCTCGTTGCATTTTCCTATGTCTCTGATTGTTATTCCCTGTGTGTAAAACCTGCTCTCAGGCCCCAGCTTGGGGAGACGAATTTAAGTGTTGCCTCCAATTTCCTTGCCAGTTGACCTTGCAATAAAGCTTTTTCTTTTCTCAAAAGCCTGTGCCATAGTATTGGCTTCTATGCACGTTAAGAGGAAAGCCCATGGCTCAGTAACAATAAGACTGGCCTGTCATTTAGGTTTATTCGAGTTCATCCACATGATTTATCTTAGCGAATGCTAAGAAGGGTTCCCTGCTTAAAACTGTAGCTCATAAATTTCTACTAATTTCCTTTGATTGTGAATAGCAGTTTAGTTTTGAGAAAATTTGGTTTTGGGGGGGTTTTTTGTTGTTTTTGTTTTTTTGAGATAGGGTCTCACTCTGTCGCCCAGACTGGAGTGTGGCGGCGCTATCTTGGCTCACTGCAACATCCGCCTCCCAGGCTCAAGCAATTCTCCTGCCTCAGCCTCCCAAGTAGCTGGGATTACAGGTGTGCAGCACCTGGCTAATTTTTTTTGTATTTTTAGTAGAGACGGGGTTTGACCATGTTGGCCAGGCTGGTCTTGAACTCCTCAAATGATCCACGCACCTCAGCCTCCCAAAGTGCTGGGATTACAGGCGTGAGCCACCACGCCTGGCCTTGAGAGAATTTCTCATGCTTCACTTTCTATTTCTCTTCCCTCTCCCCCGGCCTTGTATTGCCATCAAAATATTAGTTTCCATTCTTGTAATTTTATCTCTCTAGTTAAAGGAGCTGTTATAGCATTTGCTCATACATGATACCAACTAAACAGAGTCCCAGTTGCCCTTGCCATTCAATAGATATAGAGGTTTGTGACATAGAAAAATTTCATTCTCGGGCGGGCGCAGTGGCTCACACCTGTAATCCCAGCACTTTGGAAGGCCGAGGCGGGCGGATCACGAGGTCAGGAGATAGAGACCATCCTGGCTAACACGGTGAAACCCTGTCTTTACTAAAAAATACAAAAAATTAGCCGGGCGTGGTCGTGGGCGCCTGTAGTCCCAGCTACTCGGGAGGCTGAGGCAGGAGAATGGCGTGAACCCGGGAGGCAGAACTTGCATTGAGCCAAGATCGTGCCACTGCACTCCAGCCTGAGTGACAGAGCGAGACTCCGTCTCAAAAAAAAAGAAAAAGAAAAATTTCATTCTCAATTGTGCATATCAGTGTTCTCCTCTGAAGCAAAATTGAGAGAGTCTAACCATAACTGAACAAACCAGAGGTTCTGAGATTGTGGCTTCTGAAAATGAATAAGCCCAAAGAACTTCATTCTTCCCTGTGACCAGTCCCTGAAACCTGTCAGTAATTGCAGAACCACATTAGGACTTCTCTTTCGTATCATCTTCCTCTTTTGAGCTGTGGGATTCAGCTGGGTGCTGCTTAGTGTGTAGTTAGGGCTTTTATGTCTCAGGACATTCAAACCTGAAGTTTGAGTCTATTTGCAAAGATAAAAATTTTCCACTGTAACCCAGGGAGTCTGACTATCTTTGGGCTTTTCTGATCTTCCTTTGTCATGTAACACCCTTCTTTCTTTGGTCTTTGTACATCTCATCTTTTCTCTCCCGCCAGCCCAGGAAAAATTAATCTAGACTTTTCCTGATGCAGAGGGAACTCAGCCCTTTCAGCAGCCTACACCATTGGAGTGGGTTTTACAACCTTCAGCTGGGCTGAAAATTCCCTCAGAATTTCATCATACAAATGATTCAGAACAATTCAATCAAGAGTTTTCCTCTTCACTGTGCTTCAGGAAACCTCTGACCTCTTATTTCATGGAGAAAATAGAAATCCTCAGATGGAAGCTCTATCCATTTTCTGCCTGCCTCCTCTAATCTAAAAATTGCTTTCTACCATCCCTTCTGCCCCAGTGGAATATAGGCCCCTCCTTCCCTCTTGGCCAATTCCTTCACCAATTTTCAGACCTCAACTTCATCAGTCTCCATCTCCTGCATCTTCAGCTTCCCCCTCTTTATTGGTGCTGGCTCATCACCATTTGCATATAACAGAATGTTAAGTAAGAAGCTGAGACCAAGGCACCAAAACGTAATAACTGCTGCATTCCAAAGGGTGTTTTCACACCTGCTAGACCAGGTGTGAAATTTCAGAACAGCACAACCAAGAACCAGTATTATGACTTAAATTCTCTCATTCACATGGAGGACAAAAAGGGTCCAAGGAGAGGGGACTGAGAGAGGATTTTTGAGCAGAGCCACTGGCATGCTGTGTGTCTTATCCCCAAAGGACGGAAGGATGAAAGGGATGTCTGCCCTCACCTCAAGCTGGTGAGAAAGCTTTAATGGGGCCACTTGGCAAGATTAATATGTGCCCCCTGCAGCTGGGGGGCTGGAGGGACTGGGATCTAGACCGTGCCTGAGAAGATCAGAGCAGCCTGTGGCTCGAGGGTAGAGGATAGAGTCTAGGAAGTTCTCTCACTCCCAGGGAGCAAATGTAAGAATCTTGATCAGGGAGAGGCTACCTGAAAGAGGGGACCCCAGCAGTCAGGGGCTCTGGGTGATTCTGGTGGGTAGAGCTTGAGGGCAGGACTGAGGGAGGATCAAGTGTAACAGGCCAGCTAGGAAGGTGCAGTTTGAAGGGCTCACTAGGCAAATCTTCAAGGAATCCATGAAATGTACAGAGATAGTTGGCTATAAGCATCTGCTGGCCCAGAGAAGGCAAAGCCATCTTGCTACAGAGCCAGCTTCACCTGCATCCCTCCTGCTGTTCTGACCCTGGTGGGAGAAGCACAGTTAACAAGCCCAGACTGAGAAGAAAGGTGAGGTTGAGGGAGAGAGGAGGACCCTGAGAGCCCCAGCATTACAGCAAGAGGCCCGCTGGGGAGAGGAGAGAAGAGGTAACATTAAACCAAGTTCCAATTGATTATTATCTTGGAGTAGACTTAATTAATTTAGAATTAATTAGACTTAATTCTAAATTAATTAGTTGAGACTGCAATTGTGACCTAATGTGATTCCAAACTTTTTTTTACATAAGAGGAGCCACAGAAATGACAGTGTCTTGAGCAGATGAAAGGGAAAATGGAAGACAAAAAGTAAGACTGCTTTGCAGAAAACAGACCAGGAGTGCTGGAGTTCCAGACTTCCTCTTACACATAGAGTAAGCCTTCCATTGCTGGACTCTATGTCCACTTCTAGCTTTGTCTGATCCTTTTCCTCACCCTCATGCAAGACTATTAAAGGAATTTTCCATGCTCCCTGCCACTACTTGATCATCGTCCATTTAGGTTAAGCCACAGCCACCTCACTTCCACCCCTGACATCTCTGGAAAAGGTTATTGACATCTATTTACTTTCTTCTTTTTTTAATATACATATATAATTGGGTTTGTTTTCATATGATGAAAGCAAATATGCTTATCACAGAAAATTTTTTAAAAGTTCAGGCAGCTAAAATGAACATTTAAAAAATAAAATTAATAAACTCATCCACACCAAGTCAACCATGGTTAGCAGGTTGATGTAGGCCTAGATAACCTTCTGTGCATATCTGTATGTGTAGATAGCAAGAGAAAGAGATGCACAGAGAATACACACACACACCACACACACATCAACGTGTGAGTTAGAATTCTTCATTATTGCAGAATGCAAATTTGAATGAATTTGAATTCATATATACACATATATGTACTACTTAAAATATATACATATATAAATTTTATGCATATTTTCATAGGTATTTAGTAGGTTTAAACAGGTATCTCACTAAAAAACAATACAGGATTACAGGAGATTCAGATGGTTTATTTACACAGGTGTATTCCTTATCCAGTACTACCATTTTTTTTTTTTTTTTGGCATAGTGAGCTTGTAGAATGTTATAGTCCACAGCTGCTTTCTTTTCTTTACTCAGTATTTTTCTGCTTTGTTTTATCTTTGCATATCTTACATAAATCAACAGTAGCTTGTGTTTTCTGCTGCTTCTGTGTCATCCAAAGATTTATAAAAGATTGTCTCCCATTAAGGAAGGGGTTCTGTGACAACTTGATGCATCCATTTATGTGTCAGGAAACAGTGGAACTAAAGGATGTAATATTTACTTAATTATTTATCAAATAATAAGACACCATTTATCATCTAATTGCATGTATTGTGATATTAAGATATGAAGGGACAATGGTGAAAATTCTAGGCAGATGACTTCGACATCTGCCTAGAATTTTACACTCATAATATATTTTACACTCATAATTATGTTAATTCTACCTTTGCCAAAATGCCAATATGTTTTGTATAATTTATATTACCAGCATAATGTACATTACCAAGCATATTTAGAAATGTCACTATGTTTGAAACGAAAGCTAAACAATACAAAAAGATACAAAATAGGAACTGAAAATCCCCCACAATCCTACCTCCTGGAGAAGATAACACTGAATAATTTTGTATAAGCCTTTCAGAGCTTTTTCTAAGCACATATAACCATATCTACCAATATATGATTTTATTTAGTGGTTTTTACAAAATAAGGTCCTATTATACAGACTGTTCTGCAACTTGATTTTCTTAACAACACCATGTATGATTTTTCAAATCAGGACATACAGATTGATATCATTTCTTTAAAGAGTTGCATATTCTTTTATCACATGTTAGGGCCTACAATTTATTTAGGTAACTTCTGTGGCATAATATTTGTGTTATTTTGGAGTTTTTATCATTACCAACAACGCAGTATTTTGCACATCTTGTACCTATGTCTTTGAACAGTTATTTAATGTAGGCTGAATAGTTCAAAGTAGTCTTGCTTAGTCAAAGAATAAGCATGTTTAAATTTCAATGGTACCAAATTATATTCTAAGAAGACCGTGCCAATTTACTCTTCCTCACCTTCTGCAGCAACAGATCTTATCAATCTTTTAATCTTTGCCAATCTGCTGGTTAAAAAATAAACTTATTTCATCTCTCAATTTACAAAATTTCCTTGGCTAATGGCAATATTAACTCTATAATGCTGATCACAAATAATTTTTCCCAGTTTTCTTTTGTCTTCTTCAATCTACAGGTTTGACCCAACAAGAGGTTCAACTTTTCACATAGTCAAGTGTATCTATCTATTCCTTGTGGTGTCTGCTTTTAATATCTTGCTGTGCAAGCCTTTTTACCACACCATGGTTGCAAAAACTTTACACATATTTTCTTCTAGTATTTTTATAATTTCACTTCTACATCAAATTGTTACTTCAGGGCCAGAAAAACAAAACAAAACAAAACAAAAAAGCAGACATGGTAGCTCACACCTGTAATCTCAGCACTTTGGGAGGCAGAGGCGGGCGAATCACCTGAGGTCAGGAGTTTGAGACCAGTCTGGCCAACATGGTGAAACCCCATCTCTACTAAAAATACAAAAACTAGCTGGGCGTGGTGGTGGGTGCCTGAAATTCCAGCTACTTGGGAGGCTTAGGGAGGAGAATCGCTTGAACCCAGGGGGCAGAGGTTATAGTGAGCCAAGATCACACCACTGCACTCCAGCCGGGCAGCAGGGTGAGACTCCATCTCAAAAATAAAAATAAAAATAAAAATAAATTGTTACTTCATGGAGTATATATTTTGGTAGAAAAAGTGAAATAAGAATCCAACAGGCTCATACCCTGCATACTATTTTATAATCTTTTTCACATAACGCATTGTGATCATATTTCCATGTTAATAAATAGATTTCTATGATATTACTTTATACTGATTCCAAATTTAATTAACCCTCTATTATTGGATAAATAGGTTGCTTACAACTACTTCAAACAGCACTGTGATAATCATGATCATGACTAAACCTTCATCCATTACCTTAACGATGCCCCTAATATGCATTTCAAACTTTTTATATCTTCTCTAAAGTCCAGACCTTGCCCAGTCTTCTCATCACAGTGAACTGTACTTTCTCCCATACTTTGCTCAAACCAAAACCTTAGAAATAATCTTTTATTTCTTACTTTCCCTCAACCTTCAACCCAATCCATCAGAAAAATCCCATCAGCTCTACCTCATTGCCCACTTACATCCCATTCTTCTCACACTATCTACTCTATGCTATTGCCATTCTCGCCTGATGACTGCCATCGCCTCCCAGTTCCTACTCTTGACCACTACAATCCAGCTTCCAGACGGCAACCATAGTATCATTTTAGAATGTACATCAGATCAAGTCATTTCCCTGCTTAAAACTCTCTAATGGCTTTCTATGGTGCTTCAGGAAGTAAAATGTAAAAAGCCCTTACTACGTCCTAGAAGGCCTCTGTCATCTGGGACCTACCTCTCTGACACAGGTTCCACCATTCAGTTCCTTGCTTACTGATTCTCAGACACTGACCTCCTTTCTATTTCTTAAACGGGCCAAGCTTGTTCCTAATTTACTGAAGGGTCTCTCGCCCTTGGCACTAATGACATGTTGGGTCCAATAATTCTTCATCATGGGGGGCTGTCCAGTGCACTGTAGGACATTTAGCGGCATTCCTGGTCTCTACCCACTAGATGCCAGTAGCACATCCCTGGTTGTGACATCAGAAAATGTCACTAGACATTGCCAAATGTTCCCTGGAGGACAAAATTGCCCCTGATTGAGAACCACTGAGGTAGGACCTTTGCACAAGCTGTTTCCTGTACCTGGAACGTTCTTGTCACCTGGATCTTTATTGCAAATGTGTTTTCCTGATATTCAAGACTTGGATCAAATGTCACCTCCTCAGAGAGGCCTCCTCTGTCATCCCCACCCACTAACAATCACCTACAGTCACATCACCCTGTTCTATTTTCATAAATGCTCTTATCACTGCCTAGAATAACCTTGTCCAGCGATTGGTTTACTTGTTTGCTGTTTGTCTCCCCTAGTAGGATGTCAGCTTCAGGCCAACAGTAATGTCTGGCATGGATGAGCAGATGTTCAGGAAGTATTTGTTCATTGAAAAAAAAAATGAATTCCCAAAAGTGGAAATCAAATATCTCTTTGTTGCTAAATCTAGTGGATACTTTAAAGTTATTGTATTAATTCTCTCCAGCATTTGCCACTCAATCCCATTGGCTCCTGTGACCCTGTGTTCTCCTAGCAGACCCCACCTCTTGGGCTCTCTTTTCCAGTTTCCTTCCTCTTCTTCCTTGGCCCATCCCTGACACTCTGCTCTTCAGAGAGTTCCAGCCTAGTGCCTCTTCCAATGCCACATCATCTAACAAGGTGACCTCAGCCACTCCTGTGATTCATCAATTACTATTTTCTCATGATTCTTCAGATGCAAGTAGCCACTGGGATGTCCCACAGGCCCCTTGAGTTCAATATTTCCAACCCAAACTCATCACTTCTACTAACCCCAAGTCACAACTTCAACAACCCTTCTGGGATGGTTAATTTTATATGTCAACTTGATTGTGCCACTGGGTGCTCATATTAAACATTGTTTCTAGGGGTGTCTGTAGGCATGTTTCTAGATGAGATTAGCATTTGAATAGGTGGACTCAGTAAAGAAGATTGCCCTCCCCAATGTGGGAGCTCATCATCCAATCCATTGAGAGCCTGAAAGAGAGCAAAAGGAACAGGAAGGAGTAATATGTCCCTTTTGCTTCCTGCCTGCCTGCTTGAACTGAGACCTCTCACCTCATCTTCTCCTGCCCTTGGACTAGGATTATACCATCAGCTCCTCTGGTTCTCAGGTCTTTGGACTTAGACTGGAATTACATCGCCAGCTTTCCTGGGTCTCCAGATGATGGCAGATTGTAGGACTTCTCAGCCTCCATAATCAACTAAGTCAATTCCTCATAATAAATCTCTCTATAAATATGTATCTTGGTTCTGTTTCTCCAGAGAACCCTAATATATCCTTTCATCATACAGAGCCTAGCCTCCTGCTCATGAAGCATCTAGTTCCCCTACTGGACTGCGGCAAACCCTCCCAACAGTCTCTGTGTCATGGCCCTGCGCCTACACGACACATGTTCCTCACTCTTCTGCTGGAAACTCTCAATGGCTTCCCATTGCCCCAAGTCAAAGGTCCAGATTCCTCCCCATGCCCTCCTAGATCCTCTGTCTCTCCCACCACACCAACACTCAACTATGCTCTCCCTCACTTCTGGGAAGACAAAGGCCCTTCTTCCCTTATCTGAAACACTCTTGCCTCCACCTCTCTGTGCCAGAATTCAGATAACATTAGAAGCTTCAGGAGCAGGAGGGTAGGTTCTGTCTGATGAGAGGGCGTATTAGGGTTCTCCAGAGAAACAGAACCAAGATCTATATTTATAGAGAGATTTATTATGAGGAATTGACTCTGTGGATTATGGAGGCTGAGAAGTCCCACAGTCTACCATCTGGAGGAACATTTTGGTTTGGATCTGATTCTCATAAGGTTTTGAACCTCCTTTTAAAACAGTCAAGGCTGCAGACTCTTTCCTCCATTGCCTGTCCCCAAATAGTCTTTGCTTCAAACACAACTCGAGATAGCTCTTTGAAATCACTCATGGAGTTTTCTACTCTACCCTTTGACTTCCCAGGCCCCAATCCTAGTTTCTCTATTCCTCCCTCTACTCTGCACCACCTGAGATATACAAACAACTTTTTGAGGGTCTGGGGTTTGCATTTCCCAGCCAAGACTTTAGTTCAATATTTACATTTTGCTGCCTCTGGATACATCTGGTAACAGTGACTATATATATTGGCAGTCCCCAAGTTGTGCAGAAGACATTCAGAGACAACATAATAGATTATCAAGAATAAATGAAGAAAATGCAATTTATTATAAATAACATATAATTAATAGGTTACATATTAAACAAGCATACAAAAGGAATGCAAACTGCCATCTGCTGCAGAGATGTCACTGTTCAGCCTCTGTGATCAATCTACAGCTTGATGGTCACTTTCCTGTCAGTGCCTGGCATCAGCTTGACATTCTGTGTGGTATCATTTGGATCTGTGTCCCCAGCAAATTTCATGTCAAATTTTAATCCCCAATGTTGAAGGTGGGGCCTGGCCTGGTGGGAGGTGATTGGATCATGGAGGTGGATTTCTCGTGAATGGTTTAGCACTATGCCCTCTTAGTGCTATTCTCGTGATAGTTAGTGAGTTCTCACGAGATCTGGTTGTTTAAAAGTGCGTAGCACCTCCACCTTCTCTAATCTCTTCTTCCAGCGCTGGCCATGTAAGACGCCTCACTCCCCCTTTGCCTTCCACCATGATTGAAAGTTTCTTGAGACCTCCCCAAAAGCAGATGTTGCCATGCTTTCTGTAGAGCCTGCAAAACCAGTTAAACCTCTTTTCTTATAAATTAGTCTCAGAGGTCAGGAGTTCAAGACCAGCCTTGCCAACATGGTGAAACCCCCATCTGTACTAAAAATACAAAAATTAGCTGGGAGTGGCAGCAGGCATCTGTAGTCCCAGTTACTCGGGAGGCTGAGGCAGAAGAATCACCTGAACCTGGGAGGCAGAGGTTGCAGTGAGCTGAGATTGTGCCACTGCACTCCAACCTGGGCAACAGAGTGAGACTCTGTATCAAAAAAAAAAAAAAAAAAAAAAAAGAGTAGTTATTTCTGAAGAGAGAAGGGCAAACGGGAGGAAGCTTATTTCAGTTCACCATACAATCAACTGCCAGACTTCAGGTGCCTGCCATGGTGGACAGCGCTGGATTTGCCCAAGTTCATGGAGGCTGATTTCCTGAGGAATCAGGTGGTGTGGCCTGGGTACAAATTTGGACCCCTGAAAGAAAGAGATGGGAGGGGCTCCTTGGGGTGTAACTGGTTCCTGGGAGACGTCCCACATGACAGAAACCACCCAGCTTGCCGTATTTTCTTGTGAACCTGTGGCCTCCTTGGGAGCTCCCGCCTTGTATATGCCTCCCTCCTTCCTGCCTGCAGTACCTGTTTCCTTCAGTTTTGCTTCTCTGGTCTCCCTGCTCCTAGCACAAGTATTAGCACAATAAGCTTTTCTCCAGCTCTTTTTTCTAGGGAGCCTACACTAAGACAATATACTTCCAAGTTCTCTGACCTCTTTACAATGATAATGTATTTAGATAACACGTGTGTAAGGATAAAACAAGAATAAGAGAGCTAAGGAGTTTGGTTTACCATAAAGAGCAGCACAAATGTCACAATTATTCAAGGTGTTTTTCTGGAAGGATGCCTGGGTAGGGGAACTGCTTTCATCATTAGTTTCCTGATATCCCCAGGGGACTGTGGGAACCGGATGCTTCTGTGTTTGACAATGTGGAAGGTAACGTCTGCACGGCTTTCTTCTGGGTCCCTCTGCCCCTCACAGGCCAGCTGGGTCAGATACTCCCGGCATTATCACACTCTCCAAAACCTCAGAACCAGCTCCCTTTGCCACCTCCTTCTTCCTTCTCTGCTCATGAAAATGGTGCACGTGCGTGCATGTGTGTGCATGCGTGTGTGTATTTAATATTTAGATAGTTTCCGATTATTTTAACCGAGGGCTCAAAAAAGCAGCCCCAAGGAGCACCGCCAGAATTCCTCTCTTCTTAACAGTCAAGAGCATCTTGAGCTCTTTCTGAGATGAGGGAAAGGACAGGAGAGGTGGAAAGCTGAGCTGGAAGTTCAGCAGGGCCTAATGGCCTCCCCACTTCCTCCCAATTTAAATGCCCTAGAAACAGAAGATGCTGAAGGTGAAGATCTCCAGATTACACAGAGTGGGGATAGGAAAGGTTGCTTTAAAAAGTCAATGAATGAACAAATTCATAGACTTAGTGGCTGAAAGGCATTGTGTTTTGCAGGGTTACACTTCAAGTACAAAAAGTCTTGCCAGTTCTTTGCTCTCCTCCTGCCTCAGAGAATCATGGCTGTGTGCTGACTTGGAAGGGCGGGGCAGTGTGGAGTCCTGATTTGTCTTGGCTAAGTGTGTTGCGTACAATCAAAGGAAAACGTTTTACCTTCAGGGAGGTGCCTGTGCACTCTTTGTAAGCAATCCAAACGGGAGAATAGAGTCTTTCTTGGTCAATGTTTGCTTTGTCCTAGAAAATTGCCCTTTATTCTGACTCAGGAATTGTTTGAAAAGGTAGAACAAAACAATAGGCTGTGGGCCACAGAGACCTGGCTTTTAGGTGAAAGAAGATTTGGTCTCTCTTAGACAAGAATCCTGCGAGTCAAATATCCTCTAATTGGATAGGCTGGCTGTAGGAATTGCACTGGGGAATTCGTCCAAGGGGAGACTTTAGCCAAGAGAAGTTTAACTAAGAAAAAGCCTGTGGTTTTTGATGTACAACTTAGTGGTCCGGATGAGCTGCTCTGAAATGGAGCATCTTTTCTTAAAGCCAGCCCTGATTGCAGTTTAAGAATGGAGTAAATGGGGGCTCTGGGATGCCCCCTCCATCAGGATCAGAAAAAGAAGCCCACTGGCCCTTCCTTTTGTCTGACATGACCCTGTTCCTGCTGACAACACTGGCAAGGTCAAAGCTTTCCTGGGCATGGTCCCACCTGCTCAGAAATTCTAAGTTTTTGAACTCTAAACAAGCCCAACAAAGAGTAGGATGTTCTGTAACAATATTTGAGAGTCTTCCTACTTTTTTGGAGAATTCTTTTGGAAACTTGAAAAGTGCTCTCCCAGGCCAGGCGCTGTAACCCCAGCACTTTGGGAGGCCGAGGTGGGCGGATCTCCTGAGGTCAAGAGTTCAAGCCCAGCCTGGCCAATATGGCAACGAAACCCCGTCTCTACTACAAATATGAAAACTAGCCAGGCATGCTGGCGCACCTGTAATCCCAGCTACTCGGGAGGCTGAGGCGGGAGAATCACTTGAACTGGAGAGGCGGAGGTTGCAGTGATCAGAGATCATGCCACTGCACTCCAGCCTGGGTGACAGAGTAGGACTCCATCTCAAAATAAAGAAAAAGTGCTCTCCCAGAAAGCTGTTCCTTCAAATCTCTCCTATCTTCAATTCCAAGGTCACCCTTGTCCTGCTGATGTCTGACTTCCCTGCCCCTCCCCACTCAGCCTTAAATGTTGTGCCCATCACCTGCAGCCTCCACTTATCAAACCCCGGAGCCAGGGCTGACCAAGGCAGGTAAGAGACTTGGAGCCTCGGGCCACCAAGAGATGGAACCTGGAACAGATTGTGCTGCCACCGATCCTTGGTGCCTGCAGAGGAGCCTGAACATCCTCATATCCACTAGGTCTTCACCTTCTGCCAACACCTGCCCCACAGCTGGGTGTCCCCCAATGCCTCCTCTGGGAGAATGGAGCTGACTGTATCCCCTGGTCAGAGCCTGGGGGCTTTTTCTAACTGAACACATTATCTAGACCCCCCAAATCACTCCCTACTGCCTGGGACTGCCTGTCGCCCTGTCCATCCTCCATGCAAGCCCCGTGGACAGCCACCCGTGCTGCACCACGCTAGGTACTCTATAGCTCAGAGGTTCTCAATCTTCGGTGTACACAGGGATACTTGGGAGCTTGTTAAAAATGAGAAGTCCTATCTCCACCACTGGAGATGCTGATTCAACTGCCTACCCATCCACTGATCCCCAACCCTGGGGGATGTTGTGGAAAAGCTCTGGGATCCCAGCCTGTATAACCCTGCAGGGGTGAACCGACCCCCAGGCCAAGCCCTCTATGGCTCCAGTACCTTCCCTGTGCTCCCTGCCAACCTCACCTCTTCATGTCCCAGCCTGTTTTGCAGCCAGTTCCACCAAGCCATGACATCATCTATAACTTATCCACATTTGTTCCCTTGCATCCAAAGCATCCTTCAGATGCAAGACACGTGTTCTCTCTCAATTCAATGAGACTGTCTATTGCACTCCAACTTCTGATCTCAATGTATGTATAGGCTCCTACATACAGTGGGATGTTGATACATTCTGTATCTAATAGAAAATTATTCAGCCTTAAGGCAATACCTTTAAAGATCTTGCCAATTACTACATGGATGAAACTGATGACATTATGCTAAGTGAAATAAGCCACACACAGAAAGCTACTGTATGATCTCACTAATATGCAGAATATTTTTTAAAAGTCAACTAAATAGAGAGAGAACAGTGGTTACTGGAGGAAGGGAGGAGGAGGAAGTGGGGAAAAGTAGGTCAAAGAGTGCCAAGTTGCAGTTGTGTAGGATGAATAAGCCTAGAGGTCTGATGCACAGCAGGAGGACTGTGGTTCATAACATTGTACGATCTACTGAAAATTTGCTAAGTGGTACATTTGATGTGCTCTTACTACATACACACAAAAGGTAACTACGGATGGCAATGGATATGCACCTTTGTTTGACTGTCGTAATCATATCACTATGTATATGTGTACCGAAACATCATGTTGTACACCTTAAATATAGGCAACAAAGGATAAATTAAAAATAAATAAATAATAAATAATTAAATTCTATATCTGTCAGTGACAAGAAGCTAATTTAAGGGATATACATTATTAAAGAGAAATATGGGTTGATATTTCAAGCATGATAAATGTTTAATGAACTGTCGTCACACAAAAATGAACAAATGGGTGAACCTAAGAAGGTAGAATATAATGAAATCATTTTACATTTGTCCCATGTGGTCTATCTTTATCCTTGTCACAGTACAGCAGAAAACATTTTGATCTGACACCAGAAGGAACTTTCCATCCACAGCTTTATTTCAGATAAAGCCTGCAGAACCGGAACCCCATCTTGTGGGCAGAGAACTATGTATATAGCACACCCTCTTTACCCTGTACCCACCCTGGCACCAACACTGTGCCAGTCCAATTCTGCTCCTCCTTCTTGGTGGTGGTGGGAGTGGTCCAGATTTTTCTTTAGGCTTGCCTCCCTCAGTCTCTCATCCCCTGCTGTGCCCCCTCTCCTGGTCTGTCATCTTTATTCACAAGACACAACATTAGGGCGTCTATTAGCATAGAGAACGACAGCGAGAAATACAGTATGTAGAACAAGCCTTCTGCTTTCTCCTTTCTCTGCAATTATCACTCAACTGCCTCAGTAAACAACAAAATTGTTCTCCACACACATCATTACCACTTACAAGATTAAAATAGTCTGGAGGTCAGGAAGGCGAACACAGGTTAGTTTGAGTTTTTGAAACGAATTGCTCTCCCTGGCTAAGCTTTCCCTAACCCCTTCTTTCCTGGGGAAATTAAGGATAAGAGGCCAGCCTGTCAAGCTAGCAGTTCCCTCCTTACATGGGAAAAGATTTGAGAGAGAGACAGAATGAGAAAAAGACAGTTCATTGCAGCCTCGGGCTGGGCTGGGGGACACAGGCTGGGAAGCTGGGCTCACATTCAAGGTCTCTGCACTCTCAGCCACACCTTCCTGGGCTTCGGCACCCTCTTGGACCCCTGAGGCTTTAGTGCATCCTCCACAGGCATGCAGATGCTGGATTCTACCTGCAAGAGCCACCGACCAGGTCCAAAATAGGGAGTCCTCGGTGAGCAGCTTCCCCATTTATCTCTCCAGATTGTAGTCTTTTTTTTGAGATGGAGTCTTGCTCTGTCGCCCAGGCTGGAGTGCAGTGGCATGATCTCAGCTCACTGCAACCTCCACCTCCTGGGTTCAAGCAATTCTCCTGCCTCAGACTCCTACAAGTAGCTGGGATTACAGGTGCCTGCCACCAAGCCCAGTTAATTTTTGTATTTTTAGTAGAGACGGGGTTTCACCATGTTGGCCAAGCTGGTCTCAAACTCCTGAACTCAGGTGATCTACCCACCTTGGCCTCCCAAGGTGCTGGGATTACAGGCATGAGCCCCTGCACCCAGCCGTAGTCTTGATTTTATTATCCACCCAACCCCTGACAAGGTGGGCATAAGCTTTGCATACCACCAGGTCAGTATAATTAATGGCCAGACCCAACAGGCTAGAGCCAAAAGCATCCTTACAGACCACAGCCCGTGCTGCACTCCAGGGGCTCTGGGTGTGCTGTGCTCCTTGGGAACAATGCCCTGGAGCGGGGTCACACCACGGAAGCCTCCAATGCCACGGACATGGCCTGCTGGCCTTGTTAGCTGCTGATCTCTGACAATGGGCTCTCCCTCCAGATGAAGAGACATTTTCTATGACCTTGAAATGTGTCCTGAAAGGATGAGAATCAGTCATGAATGAACAGATTTAGCCATTGTTCTATACCTGGCATAAAGGTGACAGGGTGGATAAACTCAAATGACTCCCAGGACCAGAAAGTTAACACATGTGTGAGCTCTGGTGAACTAGAGACACACCCAGCTGAAGGCCTTCAAACGCAAGTTTAGAAAATGTGCTAGCCAAACAAAAGACAGCTGAAGACCAGGTTCGGCCTCCTGGCATCCAGTCTGTGATCCCTGGACTAGGAAAAAAAAAATAGGAAAAGCAAGAGATGAGAATAAACAAAGGCAAAGTGTTTTATTCTTCTACTGACTAGCAGCCACATCCTCTCTCTGCTCTGAAGTGTCTTCCAGACTTTGAAAAATGATCCCCATCAAAGGAACATGTTTCCAGGATGTTTTTCTAGGAATCAGAATGCCCTCCACCAGCCAGCCCCTCTCTCTTCTAAGCTCCTTTGGGACCAGAGACGTCTTATGAAATGTCTAGCCGACATTAGAAGGAAATCTGCCGCCGCAGCCTGGAGGGTTTTCTTCTATTGAAACTAGTTGGCATCGGCCATAACAAAAACCGCATGAGTTTGGAGTTATTTACTTGGTGTTGTAACGGCAGCGTGGACCAGCCCAGTCTTCTGGTATTCTGTCCTGATGCCTGGCAAAGACGGAAATGAGGAGACACACGATGACCGCGTCCCAAGTGGTGTTCTGTGTCTGTGCCTGCTAAAGGCGCTAACAAAGAAGCCAGCCTTTGCCTCACACCATCATCACCGGTCCCCTCTGAGATGTAGGGCACAGGGTGAGGGGATGATGAGTTAGGTATCAATCACATCCAATTAGGTTGGAAGTAAATGGGGCCCTAAGCACAGGGTGCACCCAGCTGGAATGATTCCTGCAGCTGCTCCCAGCAAAGATATTGCTCTTCCATAGAGACTCCTAACAGGCTTATGGCGGCAGGTCAGGGCAGGGTGCGGGGAGAGGGGGCAGGTGGGAGAAGTAGCAACAGGGGTTGGAGGCCAGGAAGGGAAGGGAGCGGACTGTCAGGCCTTAGGGACTTGGATCACATGTGAGTTCCATATGGTCTGGTCCAGTAAAAATCATTAAAACAATGGTTGTGAGGATTTGGGATCTAATTAAATAATAGATTATAGTTAATTGATTTACTAATGTTTTCTTCTGATGTCAATCAAAGGCATCTTTTCTGTTTCTTTTCCTTGTATTTTTGAAAAGTAGGAAAACTCCAAGGACAGGGGAACAAGAAGGAGGATAGTTCCCTCGTGTGTGCATTTGAGATTCAGTTTGAGAATCTGTTAGAAAACACTGGGAAACTGAAAGCTACGAGGAGGGAGGGAAAGGGCAGATGGAATCAGTCGGTAAATATCTAACGCCACGAGCTCCCTCGTGCCTCCCACACCATCATCCGGCTGCCCTGGCTCCCAGAACCCTGGTGGGCACAGTTGGAAACCACCGTGGCACCTGCCAGGTCACCAGCCCACCAGACGCCCCCCATCCCACCATGGCTCCTGCACCTCTGCCCCAGACCCTGGCAGACACTCAGTGTCCCCCTGGTCCCCTGAGGGGGTGGCTGCCTGACCAACAGCCTGCACTTTCCCAAGGTTGCCCTTCATGGCCACCCACGGGAGCTACAGCCTCCATAGTACACAGCACAAGTTAAGTATGTTGAATATCACCCCCAGGAAAAGGGCTAAAATAGGAATGAGTTGGCCTAAGGAGACTTCATAATAGAAACATAAAAAGGCCACGGTTAATAAATGTATATGGAGACTATTGGGGGGAAATGTAAGAATTGACATGAAATTGATGTGATTGGAAAGGCATCAGCTACAAAAAAGCCAGAGAAGAGACAAATATTTTCTTGATCAGATAAAGGGTGAGATTGATAAAGTTTAGATGATATGAGCTACCTTAGCCCAGAAATGCCTATCAGTCCAACCTTGAGACAACTTCCCAGCATTTTTGTGGCTTAAAAACAACAAAGAGAGATAATCTCATTTCACTCAGCACCTCGAAAGAACTCTCTGGTGACATGGTAATATGAAACTCACAAATCAAATGCCTCGGGGTAAGTCAGCCTCCTTCACTTTACTGACAAAGTTCTATCATCTGTAAGAGGAAGAAGAATTTCTAACCTGAGTCAACCAATTTAAAATCAGTGATCAGTGGGCTGGTCTGTGTGCTTGAGGATGGCACATAATTTTTTTCTTGTTTGGCAGTATACAAGGACACAAAAAAGTTCCAGGGGAGGTAAGGTTGTCCTGTTAAACCATAAGATTGATGCAAGAAAGACCACAGTAGCGAGCCAAAGTCTCCAGAAAAAGACAGAATGACTCCCAAATCTATAAGACTGAACTGAACGTATGAACAGATGAAGCTAGATCATGCCATCAGAAAAGAAGTTGGCACATTTCAAGTTCATCAGAGCTCGTGGGCCCTATATCCCATATTTGGCCATGATTCTTCAGTCTCTTACAACTTGAGGCTGTTAAACCATCTAATTAGTGCACCTCGTTCCGATTCCAAGCTCCTCACCAAACAATCTTCTATTGACAATTGGCATGAAGATTGTTCTATAGGAAGAGATAGGTGAGAGCCATTACAATGTATTTTATCTGCATGATAGTTGCATTTTTCAATATCTGATTTGATCCACAAGCATATACATTTGTTTAGAGCAAATTTTCTCAAGCATTGGATCTGCTGTCATGATCCTGGCTGGATCAGGCTTTGAACCATAAAGCTAGGGGTAAACCCTTGACCTTGAGGAGACCTTCAATACCATTATCATTGGAGTCAGGGAGCTTCCCTGGATACAACTCACTCTAGACCTTCAACTCACATCTGTAACTCCCACTTGAGTTCTTTGTTTTCTAGACGTGTGTTGTGTGTTGGGCTGCTTTGAGCCTCATCTCCCTAGGTGATTTTCCTAGGGACAAACAGCTTGCACCATGACTCCGGACACTAAGCCTCACTGGGGGTCTCTGTAGCTCTTCATGACTGCTCAGGATCCCGTTAATAACCAGATCCTGCTGCCTGCCAGTGTCTGCCACGTTCCTGTGTCAAGAGGACATACTTTGTAAGATGTCTACCTACGGGTTATTTTTTTCTCTTTGGTCAGTCACCCGGTCACTCTGAAGATTAAACGCATAACCCAGGTTTCTGCACCCCCAGCTGTGGTCAACTGAGTGAAAACAACTCTAGTGCAGATGCCTTGAATATCCCTGACTTCCAACCATCTTATATGGGGCAGAGTCCCAGACAGACAGTGATGGCCTCCAAAGTTAACAGAGTGTTGTCAGCCCCTTTTTCTCTCCAATCAGGCTCTTACGTGCTCACCTGGATGGCAAGTTATCCAGGGATGTGAACAAGTGCTTTCTTTCAGCCTACTACTCATGTCAGTATCCCCAGTGCTTAAGAGGGTGCCTGGTACATAGCAGGGGCTCAGTAAGTGATTTGGAGTGAGTGAATGAATGAATGCAGGCAGTGTTTCTTTACCTTGCCTCTGCCTCAAAGTCATTCACAAGCACAACATGTCCTGGGAGTAACAGCTCTCATGACACAAAGGGATTCTCAGTGGTATGGGAGGGAGAGAGGAAGTCAGTTGCAAATCAAAATATCTAGGGCCTTAAGTTTAATAACCCTCTCCCCCTCCCCCAACACACACACATGCACACATCGCAGGAGATCCTAAAATGGCCACACTGACCCTTTGGAAAGAGACTAAAAGGAAACACTTGTTGGCTTCCTCCATAGAGGCATCCCGCCCACCTTGAACAAAACCAGGCAGAGCCTGGGGAGCAACCAGAGAAGGAGCGTGCCGACTCTCCAAGGCTCTGCTCCTTCTCATCCACCCACACGCAAGGAGCCTCACTCACTCACGGCACCGGGTGTTTGCCATTTCCTGTATGGAAAATGGTTACTGTAATTTTGTTTTCAAAGAAATAAGCCTCCCAGTCAAACACGCCATGCCAAAGGAGAAGCCAGGCTCGCGAGAGCCCACTACAGGGCTCTGCATGGAGCGGCATTTCCTTCTTGCCAGAGACAGTGCCTGTCTGCTCCTCCTCCTTGTGGTAGAAGCCCACAGCTGCCCGGCCTTGGGAATCCAGGCTGAGCCCCCAGGTTACTCCCACTACGGCTCTAGGGACATGGAGGTACACTGAGAGCCTTTGGGGTCCCAAAAGATGGAGACAAAAGAAGGTCAATTTTGAAGTGAAATTCCCTGGAAAGGAATCCAAGAGGAGGCTCCAGGAGCTCTGCCCCCTAGGTACAGTGAATACCTAGAGCAAGGAACTGTCAAATGCCAAATCAGGACCAAGGACCCACTGGCCTATGTCCCCACTGTCCTTAATCTCCAGCCTCTGGGATCCCCAAGGCCCCCTGGATGTGGGAATGGCTGGCATGTCCCAACCTCAAGCTGTCCTCTCTCGCACCTGTCACCACAGCAACACCCATGAAGCAGCAGCAATGTGCCCCGAAAGCATGGCACAAAGCTGAGGTGAGACAGGAGGAGGGAAGGCAGTTGTGGGGGTTCTCTCACGTTTGGCATTTAGTCCAAACACCTGGGTGACATCCTAATCCCTGCTGCTTCTCTGAGCTCTGTAAAGTCCAGGCCATTATTTTCCTAGGGACAAACACCTTGCACCGTGACTCCGGACACTAAGCCTCACTGGGAGTCTCTGTAGCCCTGCGTGACTGCTCAGGCTCCCGTTAATAACCAGATCCTGCTGCCTGCCAGTGTCTGCCACGTTCCTGCGCCAAGAGGAGTAGAGGAAGACCCTGTTCCCCAAGCACATCAGCGAGGCTCTGACCCACCACTTGTAACAGGCTGCCTGGACTTGCAAATCCATGAGAGGAGCAGCCACTAGTCATGGAGTGCTCACCACACACCAGGCCCAGTGCTAAATGCTCAAAGCGTCCTCTCCCTTGGATGTCGAGACTCTCATTATGCCCTTTTTATAAGTGAGACTTTGAAGGATTGAGCCTGTACTCTCACAATGACCTTCACCCCTCTGTCAAGTAGAGGCAATTTATAAAACTAGGATTTGGAACTAAGTTTGTTGCTACAGAGGGAGTTTTATCACACATATAGAAATACAAGAACCCCTTGAGCAGGCCTCCCTGCATCCCTCACTGCATCTAACTAATTAAATCAACATTTTCAACAGCCTCCCTGCGCCTGGCACCACCTTGACCTTCGTTAGCATCTCCCCGGGTGCTGGTGTTCAACATTTGCCATCAGAACAGTAGTGGTCTGAGGACCCGGTGCTGCCGGACACTGGGTCTCAGCCTGACCTTTGAGAACAGATGACTGTTTACTCACTGACTCCCCACCAGACACAGGAGACGGGACTCCCTAAGACGCTTGTTTACAGGCAGTGAGAATACCCCCAAAGCAAAGCTAAAAAGGGATCTGTCTTCAAGGACGCTGGAGCCCTCCTTTTTTTTTTAAGGAAGAAAATAAAAATGTGCTAAAAAGTGCTGAGAGGATTGAATTATAACGCATCAGAAGGAAAAGAGAATCTGCAGTTGTCCTTACGCTCGTCAGCCTGTTCGGTAATGAGTGGGGAAGTGAGAAGAGGAAAGCAACTGGAAGAACTCCACACGACCCACAGAAACCTGGCCCTTTGCAAATGCTGAGCTGGGCCTCCTTCTCTCAGGGTGCTGTAGAGCAGAGGCTCTCAGTGAGATCCCTGGACCCACAGCAGCAGCATCAGTAGGGAGCTTGTTAGAAATGCACATTCTCAGGCCTCATCCTAAGCCATACTCAATCAGAAACAGGGTGGCCGGCCTTGCAGCCTGTGGTTGCTCACTTGAGAACCTCTGTTGTAGGGGAAAAGAAGTACCTGGGATATATTTACAGCTTCTTTACTCTTGCTGGAGCTGCAACACAGCTGCAAAGCCAAGAGCACAAGCCAAGGAGAGCCTATGCCATTGGTGCAGATCATGACTGGGTCAGCATGTTGAATCCCAACTTCTTGAGTCATCTCCAAGGTGAATGTGTTGCTTCCCCAACCCAATTTGCTCCAACCTTTTAAAAGTCAGTTTTCTGGCCACACTCTGCCTCTTGCTCCCTTGCCAGGCAGATGGGAAGTAGGATTCCCCAAGAGGATCAGGAACAATCTCGTCGGACTAAATTCAGCCAATCTTCATCAAATGCCTAAAACTACCTTTGGATCTTCACAGGACCTTGAAAAACACTGGCTCCTGTTCCTTTGTCTTACTTCTTGCATCTTCCCAGAGCACAGCACAGCCTGACTCAATTCTTCTGACATAAATATGAATCATAGACTCTCCATAAGTATCAGCCCTGATAGGGACACAATCTCTCCCGGTGAGAGATGTCCCATAGCATCATTTTGTCCAATCATCCATTTCCACTGATGGCTCAGAAATCACATCCATGCCTTGTTATTGAAATGTACAGTTTGACATTGTTTTAGTACAAAGACAAAGCCACACTGTAAAAGCATGTATTCGGCAAATCATTGGTCAGCACAGACATCGGTATACCCAGGACTCCCTGCGATACAGCAGGAGGGGAGAGCCATTCTCTGTGGGTGATTTGCCTATTTTCTCTTTAAGGGATAAGAGAGAAGTTCTGGCTTAAGGGCCCCCAATTTAAATGTATGTCACCATCATCTCACTGTTAAATCAGCTGTCAGCAACCACTCTCAGACTATGTGAAGTCACATTCTTTGACAAAGCTTACATAGAAATGGTGACCTTGTGACTCTAGGGAGCCAACGACATAGAGAGGCGCCCACAGTGGGGCCTATGAGCAGCTGCTGATGACCAGATTCTACCTGTGGCTGAGATTCAAGGAGGTCAGTGAGATTGGCTCTGTCTCCAGTGATGGGACTGTCCATGTGGTGGAGGAAGGCTTAACTGGCAAGTTCACTGGGGGTGGGAGTGACACCGATACAACCTCTGCCGGCCTTGCTCTTTCCCCCAGCAACTAGGAGCCACTCATTTTCCTCTGCAAAGAAGGAACTGAGCAGGTGGCTCATTTGCCTAACTCGGAGTCCTCTGAATTCTCCAGATGCAGGCCGTCTGCCATTCTTCTGCACAGGGGACGGCCACAGGGTCTGGAAGCAAATTACCTTTAATGAGCCTAGAAGGATCCCTTCTGGGACCAGCCTGCTCTCCATATGCCAGACCCCTGCTACATCGAGTTCTCTTTCTTCTCCACCCCCAGAAGCACCTCCTTTTGTGCCTCATTTAAAGAGTCTGAAAGGCAAATGGCTTCTGGACCTCTTCTACCTCATATCCTGCACTCATTAACGGAGACAAAGAGGGACTAGGGGAAAAGTCACCAAATACAAAACACACTTTTAATGGGAAACCAAATATCGTATGTTCTGACTTCTAAGTGGGAGCTAAGCTATGAGGACGCAAAGACTTAAGAGTGATATAATGGACTATGGGGACTTGGTGGGGGACAGGTTGGGAGAGGGGTGAGGGATAAAAGACTATATATATGGGGTATGGTATACACTGCTCGGGTGACAGGTGCATAAAATCTCAGAAATCACCACTAAAGAACATTTCCATGCAACCAAAAACCACCTGTACCCCAAAAACTATTGAAATAAAAAACTAATTTTAAAAAACTATATTTTTTGTTTTCTGTTTAATAGTCACTCACGCCTGGGCACAAGCATTTAGCAAGCTGGGCTAGCCTCCACACAAAAGGACAATAGAACCTGATTGAAATAAACATTTATTTATTCAATAAATATTTATAAAACACATCTTTAAGGCATTATGCTAGGAGTCCCAAAGTAAACTAATGCTGAGCAAAACTAACATAGCCCTTTCCTCACTGAACTTCAGTGCAGAGAGCAGACAGGCATTCAACAAGAACATCAACAAATGTATGTGTGATTTCAATGCACGCTAAGTGCCAGGGAGAAACAAAGCACAGTGATGGAGCCAAGAGGAGGAGATCACTCAGGGAAGGCCTTGCTGAGGAGGAAACATTTAAGGCAAATCCTGAATTATAAAAATAGGCCAGCCATGCAAGCATTCAGGAGGAAAAGTGTCCCATGCAGAGGGAACAATGTGTCAGAAGACCAGGTATGAGAAGTGTTGCATGAATTTAAGGAATACAAAGCAGCCAGAGTGGCCCAAGCGACATGAGTGAGATGGGGGGGAATAGAACAAGATGGAATTGGAAAGGTGGGCACGGACTGGATCAGGGGAGATGGGGTTGGGAAGGTGGGCAGGGCCTGGATAAGGGAGGACCCTGATAGCCATACTATGAGATCTGGACTTTTTTCCAACATGTAATGGAACACCATTGAAGAGTTTTAAGAAGGAGCATCATATGGTATAATTTATCTTTTTTAAAAAATATCTAGGCTACTCTGAGGAGAAAAAATAAACTGAAGGAACTGGAGAGAAAGCAGGAGACAAGTAAGCAGCTGGTGTGGTCGTCCTGCTGAGAAATGTTGCTGTCTGGAATTCTGCATTAGCAGCAGAGATGGAAGGGAGTGGATGTATTTGAGATATCTGGGTGACATGGAAGAGGAAGAAATCAAAGACCATACAAGATTTCTGACCGGGACAATTAGATGAATGAGGGTCCCAGTAGAGATGGGGCTGAGCACTCTGATGACAAAGGCTGTGCCTGTTGAGAAACAGAGGCAGGGGTCAGGCATAGAGAGGGCTGCTCTAAGCATGCCTGTGCGGAGTCAGTCCATGTGCTGACGCCCACCAGCAGTGCCCCAAACGTTCCTTCCTCATTGCTGGCCATTAGCCAGAACATGGCAGGGAACTCGCAACTCCACATCTCCTGGCTTCAGCAGCTCTAGCAAAACAAAACCAACTTTCTGCTTTCAACATTTGGTGTTGAAACACAAACAGAAACATCTCAAAAAACACCATTCAATTGGGTTTCCCATTATTCACACAGATTTGGTTGCCTTCTTGCTCATGATAGCCCGAGAACTAGCAGTAGGCCAGGCTTCTATATGGAGTTACTTGTTGACTAAGGAAATGAGAAGATCTACAGCCTTCAAGAACCCTGGTAATCCCAGACATAAGGTTTCTACATCTGCTCTCCCTGGTTCCACTTTATGAACCATCCCTCATTCCCATCTCTAAAATGCATGAGCCCTTAACTTGGACACAATTGTGAATATCATGGTGCCCAAAAAGACATGTAGTCTGACTTACATAATAAACCCAAGAATTCAACCAAGCTTTATTACTTCTCTCACAGCAGGTATAAATCTTTAAATTTTTATTGTACTTGTCTGTCTGTGTGTTACCTCTTCTACTAAATGCTTTGAAGGCAGGGTCTTCGGCACGGTCTGGGACTCTGTAAAACTTGCTCGGGCTTGCTCATTGGAGGGAGAGGCTTAATAGACAGTTTCTGATGATGATGTCACAAATCTCCAATGCCACTGTCAATTGGGAAGTTTAATTCAGATCTGTCCTTGGAGGTGAGCTTAAGTGGAAAAAATTGTAGGATCTCCAAGGTATCATCCATCCCAGCCAAAACAGCATTTCCTGTTCACAACTACCTAACAAAAGTACCAGATATAAAATCATGAAGTCAAGGAGGTGCAGTAAGGAGTGCAGGAGCAGGCTCTGTGTCATGCTTCCTGGGCCCAAATCCCAGCACTGTCTCTTACTAGCTTTGTGAACTTAGCAACTTACTTGATTTCTTTGGACCTAGTTTTTTTTGTTGTTGTTTTTTGTTTTTTTAATCTTTAAAATGGTGATAATGTTAGGATTATTATGAGGATTGAATGAGATAATAGGTGTAATCAGCTTACAACAGTGCTCAAGAAGTGATCATGGGGCCAGGCACAGTGGCTCACACCTGTAATCCCAACACTTTAGGAGGCCAAGGCAGGTGGATCACTTGAGGCCAGGAGTTCGAGACCAGCCTGGCCAACATTGTGAAACCCCGTCTCTACTTAAAAAAAAAAATAGCTGGATGTGGTGCTGCACACCTGTAGTCCCAGATACTCAGGAGGCTGAGGCAGGAGAATCGCTTGAACCCAGGAGGCAGAGGTTGCAGTGAGCCAAGATCGTGCCACTACACTCTAGCCTGGGCAACAGAGCGAGACTGTCTCAAAAAAAAAAAAAAGAAAAAGTGATAATGGTGATGATGATGGTGATGGTAAGAGTGATGGTGAGGATGGTGGATGATAAAAACCTTGCTCATGGGGAGCTGGAACCAAGCTGAGATGCTTCCAGAGAGTCGCTGAGCCTGTGGAGTGCTTTGGGCAGGTTTTGAGTGGGGAGACCTAATGAGAATGGAATGATTTATGGCAACACAGGACTTTATGAGCAGTGCTTTGCAGAAGCCATCTAACCACAGCTGTAACTCATGTTGGCCCAAAAGATATCACAGAACATGGAGCAACAATAACTTCCACTATTTCCTTCATTCTCTGATGCCAGAAACAAATGTGACCATGAGGCAGCTCATCCCTATAGCCTTTCTGCCATCCTTGGTTAATGCCCTGCTCCCTGCCTTGTCTCTCTGCCTCTTTTAGATCCATTTACAGAAGATGACTTTTAGATGCTACTCCTGTATTCCTCAAGATAATGAGGAAATGCCTAATTACATATTAACCTACCAAAACAAAAGACTAATTAGATGGCCAGGCCATTAATAACACTAGCATGAGAATACAGACCAAGAGCATTATCCAAAACCCTGTTTCTCAGAGGAAAAAGAAGAGGAGAGGCTGGAGCATAAATTCTGGGCTTCCACAGAGCCCCAGTTGGAGGGTTCTTGCATTGTCTTCTAGCAGACACCTTAGCTGGAGGGAGGACACTGTCACTACTGCCTGTCATGCTTGTCCCTGCCACTGGCCATTTGATCGATCCTGTCTCATCCCCTTCTTGACTCCTGGGGAAGACTCCTGATCCCTTGCTTTGTTTAAACACCCCTCATCCACTTTTAAGATATCAGAGCAGGAACAATGCATGAATCCATTTACTTCAATCCCCCTCTTCCAACTGAACAAGAGTTTGCTCCTAACCTACAAATGCTCTTTGACAGAACTAGACTTTACTCCTCCATCAAAACCCTCTTGCCATCAGCCAGCAATCCCTAGACAATTCCAGACAGAGAATAAGGGAGAAGAAACCTTCCCAAGTGGCCTCCTGTCCAGGCAACTCTGAAACAAAGCAAAAGGTGTGGATTTGATGAGAGATCACAGATTCCAAAGCTGAGTTAAGAGTGTAAATGCCAGCCACCCTCTATGAGCAGCTGTTCCCTGTCCCATGCAAGGTATGACAGAGAGATGTGCCCCATGACACTGGCCAACTACGGCTGCAAGACATCCCAACTCAAGGAGCAACCTCAGCCAGGGAAAGTGTAAACTCCACTCATAAGAAATTGGCGGAATGAAGCTTGCAAGGAGGGGAATCCACGAGACCTGTCAGAAGCTGCTCCTCGGTGTAGCACGCTCCACCTTACACACACACACACACACACACACACACACACACCATTCACAAACCCAGACACATGTACTGACTTTCTATATGCACATGATGTCAAGGACTCAGCATTAGAAAAGCCTGTGTTTTGGGCTGCTTTTCCAGTAGAATCCGGGAATTATATCTTGAGGATATTTTATATAGCTAATGCAAATTCAAGTACATGCATTTTGAGTAGGAGGAGGGACAGGGAAAAAGAGAAGAAATTGCAGGGTAATTTGTCCTCCAGTCTACTACGGAATCATGAGCTCCACTGTCAGCCTCAGTTCCCGTGGGTCCTTTACAACGTGAGCGGCTCATAATGCTGACGTAAAGCGACCACTGTCTTGGCTTGCCTGGGACTTTGGTGTTTCCCAGGATGCAGAACTTTCAGTGCTAAAACCAAGACGGTTTCAGGCAACTGGGACAGCTGGTAACCTAATCACAGTCTGTAATTCCTGTGTTTAAAGATCCTTTTCTATATTTAATATGCTGTGGGGCCGGGTGCAGTGGCTCATGCCTGTAATCCCGGAACTTTGGGCGGCCAAGGCAGGCGGATCACTTGAGGTCAGGAGTTCAAGACAAGCCTGGCCAACATGGTAAAACCCTGACTCTGCTAAAATTATATATATACAAAACCTCCGTGGTGGCGCACACCTGTAGTCCCAGCTACTCAGGAGGCTAAGGCAGGAGGATGGCTTGAACCCAGGAGGTGGAGGTTACAGTGAGCCAAGATCATGCCACTGCACTCCAGCCTGGGCAACAGAGCAAGACTCATTCATATTACACACTGGATATTACTTTCTGCATTAGACATTCATGACACATAATTTAGCACAGGATTTTATATGTTCAAGGGTTTTATGGTAACATCAGAGATTTTTCAAAGACGGTTTTGAATCTGAGACTTTTCCCTTACCTGTTGACTTTGAAGCCCACATAAGAAGTTCACCATAGAGGGACTGGGCCACTGAAAAGCCAAGGCTCAGAGTGAAATCCCAGGCACAGAAGAGTCTCACTTTGTGGGACGCCAACAGGGCCATGCACACAGCCAATGTCATGAGTGGCCCAGATTCAAATGCTAATGGCTCTCCCCAGCCAAGGGAGCTGCCTGTCCAGCTGCCAGCTGAGCTGTCGGCAAGGGGGACTCTCTGTGAGGTTCTAGGTACATTACCGGTCCCCTCTGTGTTCTCAGCATCTCATAGCTTAAAAAGTTTTAAAAACACGTGGCCAGGCACAGTGGCTCATGCCTGTAATCCCAGTGATTTGCAAGGTGGGGTGATTGCTTGAGGCCAGAAGTTTGAGACCAGCTCTTGGCAACATAGTGAGACCTCATCTCTACAAAAAAAAAAACTATTAAAAAATAAAACATTTTTAAAAGACCACACTTTATGGCAAACACTGAGTTATTTGATGTGGAAATCTTTTTACAATATGAATGTGATGTCATTCATATTGTAAAAAGCGTGATATTGCCACAGTCCCATCCCTCTGCCTGCATCTCCTCCCCAAACCCCCAACCACTGGGGCTAACCAGGGAGAGCAGGCCAGTGGTCTGCACCCGCAAAAGGAGAATTGGAGTCTATAAATGGACATAAGGCCTGGGTGGGCAGGCTCGCTCCGTTCCAGACCCAGAGCCCCTGCCTATCTTGGGAAGGGGAGCTCTATGAGAAATCAGCTATCACAGAGCAAGTCCAAGGTGAAATAGTTTATGATGATGCAAAGTCACAGGCTGATGCTGGTGTGTGGAGGTGGCAGTAGCTGAGCTGCATTTTGAAGACTGGGTAGGATAAGGATTAGCACATGGGACAGGAGAGGGGAAGGGATTCGAGGCAGGGCAACAGTGTGACCAACCTCAGGGACAACAAACATTTCTCAAGTGCCTACTCTGTGCGAGGGGGCTGTGATAGAGGCTGGGGTGAAGGGAAGGGCCAGGCACTGTGTCTCCCTGGAAGCTGCTAAGTGCTCTACTCCTTGGCTTCTCTTGTCTCTTCCTCCCACTTCTCTGCATCTCAACCACTCCCCTGCATCTCAACCACTCCCATCCTTGATGTCAGCTTCATCTCATCACTGATGGCTTCAGACCCTCCAATGATTCTCTTTGTCGTTTTTAGACCAAATGTGAGCTCAGCATTGTGCTACAGTGCCTGGCCAGCTGCAGTCTCCACACCTTCCCATACACTTTGCTCACACTTCTCAGAAACCACCTGCACCCCGGTGGGTGCCTTTAATGACTGAAATGCAGAGAAGCAGGAGGAAAGAAAGCAGTAGTGGAAATGCTGGGCTCAGCACCTCAGGGAATTGCTATTAGGACTCGGCTCTGCAGCTGCTTAGCCCTAGGGTCTTGGGCAGGTCACTAACCTCTTGGGCCCTCGTCTCCTCATTCAGAGGGGAGAAGTGTGCTCTTATTGGGCACTGACTCAGCTCAATACGCAGGACATATTGTTTGTGTTGCTTCATTTAATCCCCACAAGGCCTTGGGAAGTAAACCTTCATGCATCTATTTTACTGTAGACCAGGGAGTTGAACCACTTAATCTCCAAAGGCCCTTTCAATTCTAAGATTTATGATTCCATAAAAGAGTTTAATTCTGAGGCTCAGTAACAGAAAGAGGGCAAGAATGTTTCCTGTATTAGTTATCTACAGCTGCATAATGAGTTACTCCAAAACTTCCCAGCTTGAAACAACAAATGGTAATTATCTCCATTTTCCATGGGGCAGGACCCAGAGTGCCTTACTTAGCTGGGTGGTTCTGTCTCGGGGTCTCACAGAAAGTGGCAGTCACTATATCAGCTGGGGCCACAGTGCTACAGAGCTGCAGGATCCACTTCTCAGCTCAGTCACATGGTTTCAGGCCAGTCTCCGGGTCTCACTGGGTGTTGGCTGGAGGCCTCAGTAACTGCCCATGTGAGCTTCTCCCAAGGGCTGCTCACAGCATTTTCCCAGAGTGAGGGATCCAAGGGAAAGAAAGAACTTGAGAAGTCCCAACGCCTTTTATGACCTAGTCACTGTCACACATTATCACTTGCACCTTATTGTATTCATTACAAGTGACTCACATAGTCAAAGGGTGGGGAATTCAGTTCTACCTCCTAAGGAGATCAAGAAATTTGTGTCATCTCTTTAAAACAATCATACTCTCCCATTCCAAGGGGAAGACAATGAGCAAAGATAAATCCAAGGGACAAACATCCTTAACTACGGGAGGAAATAGGTCTAGAACATGGGCTTTGAAATCAAACCACCTTGGGTTTGAATCCTGGTCCCTGGTCGCTTGAAGAAGATACAACCTTGGGCAAATCCCGTTACCTCCATGAGTTTTAATATTAGTGTCCTCATCTGTAAAATCATGACAATAATAACTTCTTTGTATAGTTATTATATATAGCAAATGCAATCTTCTGTAAAGCTAACAGACATGAATAAACAGCATGAAGTAGTAGCTGTACAATATGCCTCTTGTTTCACCATAATCTGTGCACATCTCTAGCAACGATAGGAAGTTACTGGATTAGAAGAATGTGAAGCATTAGAAGAAATATGGATACCTTTAGGGGAGGGGTCATGAGCCCAGGAAATCGAAAGTGTGATCAGGAGACACCTTAATTTTTTGTTGGTGGTAGCCACTGCGGCTGTGAAAGCAAGAGGGTTCAATATCTTTTTGTTGTTGTTGTTGTTGTATTCTTTGTGTCCATTGTAATTATATTTGTGTTATTTACATATCGCCATTTCAGCTGCTGTTGCAACAAACTACCACACACTCAGCAGATTAAAATAACACAAAGCTATTATTTCAAAGTTTCTGTAGGTCAGAAGTCCAATATGGGTCCCACTGGACTAAAAGCAAGGTGAATACAGTAGGGCCACATTCCTTAGTGGCCACTGAGGAATACAATTCCAAACCTATGCAGGTTGTTAGACAAATAAATTCATCTCCTTGCAGTTATAGGACTGAGGTCCCTCTTTCCTTGCTGGCTGGGAGGCAGGACTGCCTTCAGCTCTTAGAGGCCTTTCTCAGGTCCTTGCACATGGGTACCTACAGCTCAGAACAGGCAACAGCACGTGAAATACTTCTCACACTTGGAATCTCTCTGACTTCCTCTTCTGCTGCATCTCTTCTCCTGTTTTCTTCCTTTGCACCTCTCTGGCTGAAGCCAGAGAAAGTTCTCCACTTTTAAGGGCTTGTGTGATTACACTGGGCCCACTCAGATAATTCACGAGAATGTCTCTATTTTAAGGTTGATAATCTTATTTACATCTGCAAAGTCCCCTTTGTCACATAACCCAACCTATTCATTCAGAGGTTCTAGATATTAGGGCATGGACATCTTCAGAGGCAACTACTCAGCCCAGCACTGGTGGTAAATGGCTTCCCTGCTGTGCAATAGAACCACCCACATCGTCAATAGGATATAACAACCGAGAGTCCAAACCAGACGGTTTAGATTTGGGGATGGGTCCCCAGACCCTGAGAACTGGCAAGAACACATGAGGCTCCTAGTGTTAGAGAGAAAGGTCTAGCCCGTAAGTGAACCAGGCAGAAATTCTAGATTAGGGCAACTAGATAGAAAACCACCATCTGGGCCGGGCGCAGTGGTTCATGCCTGTAATCCCAGCACTTTGGGAGGCCAAGGCAGGCGCATCACCTGAGGTCAGGAGTTTGAGACCAGCCTGGCCAACATGGTGAAACTCTGTCTCTACTAAAAACACAAAACTAACCAGGCATGGTGGCGCACGCCTGTAATCCCAGCTGCTCGGGAGGCTGAGGCAGGAGAATCTCTTGACCTGGGCGGTGGAGGTTGCAGTGAGCCAAGATCACACCATTGCACTCCAGCCTGGGCAACAAGAGCAAAATTCCCTCACAAAAAAAAAAAGAAAAGAAAAGAAAGAAAAAAAGAAGAAAGAAACAAAGAAAAGAAAAGAAACACCTCCTGGAATTAGCACCAGGGAGATGCACGGTTCGTACCACAAGGCAGAAACCCAGTTACTCTACCCATAAGGTCAAAGCTGCCTAGAGCAAGAGTGGCTAGGTGGTGGGTGGGTCTGCTGGGCTCTTGAATTAAGCATCCTCAGAATTTCCTGACTGAGAATAGGGTGGCCTGAACCTGTGGACTGCCTGTCAGTGTTTCCAACTGGACAAATTTTAATTTGAAGGGAGAGAGCTGGGTAAGCCCTCACAGCCCTCTTTCTGCAAGCTCCCAGTAGGGACTGGGGTGGAAGAGGCATAATTCACAAATAGCCTCATCTTAGCAATGTTGCCCTTCTACATGTATTCAACTACCAAGAGATGGGAAAGTCCTCTAGTTAGTTACTCAAGGTATCCATTTGCTTTCTTCATCTTTGATGTGTGTGTATTTCTGTGTGTGTCCTTCATTTTTAAAGCTAACCCACTCATTTCCTTTATGTCCCTGGACATGATGAGATGCTCATTACACTGCTCTATGTTGTAAAGGTGAAAAATGTGGAGTCCATAAGCCAATGAACATAGCCAAGGCAGCAGAGCCCTCCCTAGACCATGTCACCTTGGTGCAATCATTTTGAGTAACACAACTCAAGACAGTGACAGGAAGGTATAGGAGGTGATAGAGTCAATCTCCAGCCTGCACAGAAAAAGATTCAAGAGAAATCCTGTCTTCTAGCACCCTCTCCTCTGTCTCCAAGACAGAGGGGAGAAAAATCTTTTGGCTTCCTCAAAACTCCAGTGCTCATTCTCTTCCATTCTGTCCACCTGCCTGCACCCTGCCCCCAGGCTGTTTCTGTCTGGCTACCCTCTCCTCACCAGCAGTTTCGCTGCTGAAGGTTGCATTGGTTACTCTTACGTGTCAACTTCACTACACCATGCGGTACCCACATTAAACTGGATGCGTCTGTGAAACTATTTCTGGATAAGATTAGCATTTGAGGCCGGGTGTGGTCATGTCTCACGCCTGTAATCCCAGCACTTTGGGAGACCGAGGAGGGCAGATTGCTTGAGGTCAGGAGTTTGAGACCAGCCTGGGCAACATGGTGAAACCCCGTCTCTACTAAAAATAGAAAAATTAGCCGGGCGTGGTGGCATGTGCCTGTAGTCCCAGCTACTCAAGAGGCTGAGGCAGGAGAATCACTTGAACCCAGGAGGAAGAGGTTGCAGAGAGCCGAGATCGAGCCGCTGCACTCCAGCCTGGGTGACAGAGCAAGACTCTGTGTCAAAAAAAAAAAAAAAGAAAAAAGATTAGCACATTTGAATTGGCAAACTCAGTAAAGTAGATAGCCCTCTCCAATGTGGAAGAGCGTCATCTAATTTGTGGAGGGGTTAAGTAGAACAAAAAGGCAGAGGAAGGAGAAATTTGTCCCTTTTGCTACCTGCCTGAGTGTTTGAGCTGGAGCATTGGTTTCCTCCTGCCCTCAGACTGAGATTTACACCATCCACTCCTCTGGTTCTCAGATCTTCAGACTCAGATTGGAATTACATCACCAGCTTTCCCAGGTCTCCAGCTTGCAAAGAGCAGATCATGGGATGTCTCAGCCTCCATAATCACTGAGTCAGTCCCTCATCATGAGCCTCTTCATGTTTATTCTGTTTACATCCTGTTTATTCTATTTCTCTGAAGAATCCTGGCTAGTACACTGGTCCACATGTTGACTCTCTGTTTCAATGATAACAATTTCTCTAGATGTTTATTTCAACTAGATTTTTCCAAACAGGAGAATTATAGGTCAGAGGGGGATACCCTTGCAGTATGCAATGATCCGGACCCCAATGCCTTCAGGATGGTCTGTAGAACCCTAGTGTGAGATGCACTGAGCAATCATTTCAAGATGTAGCTCCAGTTCCCCACGAGTAAGAGCCTTTCCGGTGACTCCCCTCAGCCTGAGGAAATGCAAGAGGTGGAGGTGAAGAGAAATGCCACCCACAGCCCCTGAGCCCTGTGGCAGCAGCTGAACAGGCTGGCGAGGTTTGCAGATGCAAGTCTGTGACAAAACCCTCGCTCTGCTCCGGTCCATCATGTGTTGAGGCACCAGCGGCTGTGACTCTGTCCAAGCCTGAGGTCCTTGCCATGTCGCCTGCAGTCTGCTGTGTGACCTCTGGCAGGTCATGTTGCCTCTAGAGCTCAGTGTCTTCAACCATGAACTGGGGGATTTGGATTAGATCGGGGTCTTCCAGACCAGTGAACCTCCAGTCCTGGCATGCTACTCCCTGCCCCAGTCCTCAACAAAATGTTTGACCTTCGAAGGCCTGAGGAAAAGAAGTGAATTTTACGTCTAAACTCACAAACACAGTGGAAAGGCTTGCCTCTCTATCCCACTCTATCTTTTTTCCAACTTAGGCTCTGTATTCATCTTAGTAACTTAATGGACCATAACACTACGGTGTCTAATATTGCCAACCCCAACAGACCGTTCGCTGCTCTAAAACGATAGGAGAGTTCTAACCATTTTGTATCCCCACAGCACTGACCAAAGTATAGGGTTGTGCTTTTCAAATTAAATGAAGATACAGATGCCAGGGCCTCATCCCAGACTGACTGACTGAAAATCTCAGAGTAGGAAACTGTATTTTTCAAAAGCTTCCCCAGTGATTCCAATGAGAAGCCTGCTTTAGAAATCACTGGTTGGCCAGGTGCAGTGGCTCATGCCTGTAATCCCAGTATTTTGGAAGGCTGAGGCAGGTAGATCACCGGAGGTTAGGAGTTTGAGAGCAGCCTAGTAAATATGGTGAAACCCCATCTCTATTAAAAATACAAAAAATTAGCCAGGCATGGTGGCGGGCACCTGTAATCCCAGATACTTGGGAGGCTGAGGCAGGAGAATCACTGGAACCCAGGAGGCAGAGGTTGCAGTGAGCCGAGATCATGCCACTGCACTCCAGCCTAGGCAACAAGAGTAAAACTCCATCTCAAAAAAAAAAAAAAAAAAATTAGCCGGGCGTGGTGGCACATGCCTATAATTCCAGCTACTCAGGAGGCTGAGGCAGGGAGAATTGCTTGAACTGGGAGGCAGAGGTTGCAGTGAGCCAAGATCGCACTCCAGCCTGGGCACCAGAGCAAGACTCCATATTAAAAAAAAAAAAAGAAAGAAAGAAACCACTGGTTAAGCAGAGCCACAGAGCCACAGTAGGTGCTCAATTTGTTGAATGCACATTGAAATCTACCTGGTTGGTAGACCGAGTTAGAAAACAAAAGGGAAATGCACGCTCTCTCTGTGTTAAAATTACTAAACCATCTAGCTGTCTTGACCTCAGGAGCAAAGCCTCATCTGTCTTCCTGTCTTCCTCATTATCAGGTTGGGTTTTGTTTGTTTTTTTTTTTTTTTCTAGAATGGCTGTATTTGCCCTTCTTAACCACTCAGTTAAGAACATGATCATGCCAAATTCCTTCACCAGCTTTAAAGTACAGAGAAAGGGGCTCTGCTATTAAGGATGCCAGACCAGCCTAAGGATAGGAAGATACAGCATCTGGGCGCAGTGGCTCACGCCTGTAATCCCAGCACTTTGGGAGACCAAGGACGGCAGATTGCTTGAGGTCAGGAGTTTGAGACCAGCCTGGGCAACATGGTGAAACCCCGTCTCTACTAAAAATAGAAAAATTAGCCGGGCGTGGTGGCACGTGCCTGTAGTCCCAGCTACTCAGAAGGCTGAGGCTGGAGAACTGCTTGAACCGGGGAGGCAGAGGTTGCAGTGAGCTGAGATTGTGCCACTGCACTCCAGCCTGGGTGACAGAGCGAGACTCTGTCTCAAAATAAATAAGTAAATAGGAAGATATAGCAATCTGTGCCCTTGGTCAGTCAAATATTTTATGATACACATTTTCTAGGTTCATTTCAAGTCCAGAATGCGCTGACATGATGGGGAAGGGGAGGATTAAAATGCACAAGCGAGAAGAAAGGAGGGACAGAATTCTTCTGGGCCTTTTTCTAATCTGTGCTTTTCCTGAGCCTATGCTGGAGAAGGGAGCCGTCCTTGGCTCCGTGCCCTTGGCCTGCTAATGTCGACAATAGTTCCCGTGATCCAGACAAGTCTTGCAGTTTATAACACAGGCAAGAGATATGATATTGCAGCCACTTTGGCTCTATTCTCTCTCCACGACAGGCATGTGATTGCTGCACAAAGGAGGGAGAAATGCAGCCATCGGCTGCAGAGACAGAGAGGAGGCCGGGAGGAAAGGGTGAGTCTTTGGTTGTGATGAAGACATTTTAAATCGGGAGAGTGAGACATAAATGTCAGAGCAGCTCTCCTCTTCATGGCCTGAAAATCTGCAACAGCAAACAAGAAATGGTTCGGCGGTGGAAGGAGGTTAATGGGCCACGGCTCTATGCCCAGGCCTAGCTGGGTGGCCCTGAGCCATCACAGGGTCCTTCACCAAGGGAGGGGAGAAATTCTGAACTTGGGCCATATAAGAAGGGCCAACAGCATGGATAGCTTTAATACAGTCAGGATTCCTCCAACTTTAGTATGCCAGAATCATCTAGAGATCTTGTTAAGAACTTAGATTCCTGGGCCCCACCACCCACGGTGGTCTTTGACCTACCACCAGACATGACCCAAAGCTCTGGAGTTCCAGTGGGCGGGGAGAAGCTGGAGTCTTCTTTCTGCTGTTTACCCATCATTATAAAATGCCACAGAGTCCACTTCTTGGCCTCCTAGCAGGCTTGCCAGCCAAGGCTTGCTTGCCCCTTAACTAACAGTGGGATAATGAATCTCCAGCAGGGCTGAGTTGCCCCAGAAACTTAAGTTCTTGTTAAGTCTGCACTGGCAGGAGCTGTGTTCTCGTTTGGAAATAGTTGGCCGGCCTGGGCTAGTTCATGGGGAAATTCAGCCCTGGGTTTGCATCAGGAAAGCGGCTGATACTTGAGAACTCACTGAAAATGTGACCAGGATTAGATTACTCCCTTTGAGCTGGTCAGGTCAGATTTCCAGATGCAGCGGAGGCCATTTGGGGACAAGCCTTCCAATGGCCTACCTGATCACAGGCAGTGTTCTACTTTAGACCATCACACTGCCCTGCAAAGAAAGAAAGAGCGTGCGTATCTCTGTGTGTGAGTAGGGGTGCGAGTGTGGGTACTCAGGAGTATAGGCCTGAGGCACACTGTGTGCTGAGGTGTACAGCAGCCATGGATCTCAACGGAAGCACATGTGTAGGGCTCTGTGCAGGTCACTGCTTGTTTTATTCTTCCTTTTGGGGAAGAAAAAACCTTCCTACTTTCTCAGCATTGACCAAGCATCTCCTCTATTTTAAGCACCATGGGAGACATAAAGGCCCTGATATATCAGAATTTACAGCCTAGCTAGAGAATTTTGCAACAGAGGGCTGCATTTTACTCTATTTCTTTCTAATCCATTTCCAATCTATTTTACTCCAATCTTAATCTATTTCATCCACTCAGACAGTGCCCAGACCACCCCCCTTTTAGCCATATTTTTTCAACAGCTATTATGTGCCCAGTATTGTGCCAGGTGCTGGGGGTATACAAAAGAAGCCTACTAAGTAATTAGGGAGCCAAGTATATCTTGTATAAAACCAACAGGAAAAGAAAATGAAACAAATTTATGATGCCAATAATATGTATGAAACCCAAAGACCTTTCTCCCCAGCCACAGTTTTTCTCAAATTAGAGTAATGAATACTGTATTCAAAGAAAAAATTTTCAGGAACCTTCCAGTTTCACTTAAAAATTGTCATGTTACTCGAATGTGTATAAATATGAAACCTGGAATAATTTTTTAATTTACAAATAAATACCAAATAAAATTTATAAATTACTTACTCAAAAAAAAAGCCTTCTGAAAAAAATCAATATTCAAATTAACATTAATTTAATGATACTGTTTTGCTGCAACAAAATTGTTAGTCTTGGATTTAATAGTAGGAAAAGCCTCAGGTCTTTCTTTAATTCGTGTTGTAGTTTGGCTTTTATAATACTAATTCAGAGAGGGCCTGTTCATATAAAAGAACTGCTCAAAGTTATATTCATGGTTTCAAGGCTTTGTCTGCTAGTTCAGAATAATCAGACCTCATACTTATACTTAACCAAAACTTCCCCACATGTAATCCTCAAATGCCTATTTCAGTGATTGATCTTCTGATAACACCATGAAGCTGTCTCATTCCGTTGAAGATAAGATTAACATTATGACACTCTTCCATCTGCTTTAAATTTAATCTCATCATTACCTGTATTAGAAGAAAAACTATTCATTATAAATTTACTTATTTACTTATTTATTTAGAGACGGAGTCTCGCTCTGTAGCCTAGGCTGGAGTGCCATGGCGTGATCTCGGCTCACTGCAATCTCCACCACCCGGGTCCCGGTTTAAGCAATTCTCCTGCCTCAGCCTCTCGAGTAGCTGGGATTACAGGCATGTGCCACCATGCCCAGCTAATTTTTGTATTTTTAGTAGAGACGGGGTTTCACCATGTTGGCCAGGCTGATCTTGAACTCCTGACCTCATGATCCACCCTCCTTGCCCTCCCAAAGTGCTGGGATTACAGGCATGAGCCACCTCGCCTGGCCTCCTATATTTATTTTTAATGAACTGCAAGTTGCAAAGTACAGTCGAGCCACACAGTGTATCTATTTGTACGTGAAACTGCAATGGTGCAGATCCTTTGGTGTTCAGCATCCCGGCACCACAGTAAGCTACGAGATGACAAAGTTCTACCTCATCTCCTTATCTGAAACTCCAAAGCTTCATCCGTGCAGCCACTGTGATTTCTTGTCTTTTACCTGGTACAAATGGGATTTGGGCACAAAAGTACAAATGCAAGCACAAAAATATTATGACAAATTTTGGTTAAAGAATGGCTAGTCAGAAGATCTTAGATTAACAGTTTTAGATTTTCACTGAAGTAAAATCATAAAGCTAAAAATTAAAGAAACTGCAACTCCCTGTGAATGCTGAGCTGCATTCATAACCCTCCATTCTGACCATCCATCTCCCCACTTTCTCCATGCCAGGCCACGCAGGGCTACGTCTCACAAGAACTGGGTCAGTTAAAAGAATGAACTCAACGTCTACATGAGGGAAAGGGATAAAGCTGAGCACCAAGTAAATAGGACTTTCCCAGGCTCCAAAAGGAGAGCATCTAAAATATGAGTACCTCCACATAGGTGCCCCTGAATTGTACCCCTTCATTACCCACCTGGAACCCTTGACCCAGAATTCCTGTATCTCTCCTCAGACCATTGCCTTTCATCAAAACTCCCAAACTGGAATCTCTATTTGCCTTTGGGAAAAACAAACTGTTCACCAAAAGGGACCTCGGTGTCTACCATCATCTTCCTTCTCCCCTTAATTCACTTCCCAAGTCTAAATCACTTCGTCTGGAGGAGACTCTCGGGAATTCTAGATAATTGTGACAGCCATTGCTATGGTTTGAATGTTTGTGTCCCCTCCATAATTCGTATTCAAACATGCAACACTGTTAAGAGATGGGGCCTTGAGGAGGTGATTAGGCCATGAGGGCTCTGCCCTCGTGAGTGGATTAGTGTCTTATAAAAGGGCTGGAGGGGGTAGGCGAGGTGGCTCACACCTGTAATCCCAGCACTTTGGGAGGCAGAAGTGGGTGCATCACCTGAGGTCAGGAGTTCAAGACCAGCCTGACCAACATCATGAAACCCCATCTCTACAAAAATACAAAAAATTGGCCAGGCATGGTGGCAGGCACCAGTAATCCCAACTACTCAGGAGGCTGAGGCAGGAGAATTGCTTGAACCTGGGAGGTGGAGATTGCAGTGAGCCAAGATCGTGCCACTGCACTTCAGCCTGTGCAACAAGAGCGAAATTCCATCTAAAAAAAATTAAAAATTAAATAAAATAAAAGGACTGGAGGGGTTGGCTTAGCCCTTTCTGTCCTTTCCATCTTGTGAGGACATAGCATTTATCTTCTCCAGGGGACAAAGCAACAAGGCACCATCTAGGAAGAGACTGGGCGCTTATCAGACACCACACTTGCCAGCCCCTTGATCCTGGACTTCCCAGACTCTGGAACTATGAGAAATAAATTCCTGGCCTTCATAAATTACCAAGTCTCAGGTGTTTTGTTATAGTAGCACAAACTGCCTAAGATAAGCATTAACACACCAAATCCCACAGAGCAGTCCAGTGGGAACCGCTTTGGAATTCCTACTTTCCCAGTGGGTAAGAGGGATCTCCTAGGCCAGACTGCCTTTGTGATCTCTCACCTGAATGGGTTATGGGCAGGATTGTCCCTTAACTGTTGGACCTGTTGGAATAGGCCAATTCACACACATGCACGCAGGTACACGCACACAGACACACACATGTGCACAAACATTAATTCTCAGGAGCAGTAGCTTCTGCTAGGAAGGAAATATTTTTCTAACTTTCATAATTTTTGAGGTGTCATCTCTATCCATCCGTGAGGTTAGAGAATCATATTATTATACAGAATAGTGTTTACTTCCTTTCCTTATTCTTCTTTAGGCTTGCAGAATGAGAAAAAGACCACATATGCCTTAAGAACCCTTCCCTGAGGTACAAGGGAGGTTTTGTATCGATCATTCTTTGGTTTTTCTTAGAGACAGGGTCTCACTCTGTTGCCCAGGCTGGAGTGCAGTGGCACAATCATGGTTCACTGCAGCCTCCAACTCCTAGACTCAATGAATCCTCTCACCTCAGCTTCCCATATAACTGGGACTACAACCATGTGCCATCAAGCCTGGATAATTTTTTTATTTTTTATGGAGATGGGGTTTCACTATGTTGCCCAGGCTGGTCTTGAACTTGTGGCCTCAAGCATCCCTCTCCCTGAGGCTTCCAAAGCACTGGGATTACAGATGTGAGCCACCATGCCTGACCTCAATTGATTAGTCTATTGATGATTCATGTAAATTCTCCACCAATGGCTTTCGCCCACTGGAGAATGACCCAGTATTATAGGTCATCAAAATGGGCAAACATCAACATCTTCTAGAGTTACTAAGGAGGCTTTATGGACAAGGTGAGGTCTGAGTTGAAACTTGAAGGATACGTAGGCTCTCCACAGGTCTGGTGCAGAGCTGAGGTGGGGGAGGTAGGGAGGGACACAAGAGCAAGGTACCTGCACAGGGAAAAGCACAGAGCCTGTTACGGCCACAGAAAATAGTGGAAGATGGCCTGAATAGCCAAGATGAGCTAGATTATAAGGTTTCTAAAATACCAGAATGAGTTTAGGCTTAGCCCAAAAGGCCATGGGGAACCATTATACACCCTTGAGCAGAGAAGGAAAAGTTTGGAAGTGAATTGGGATTTGGGGCAAATAAATCTGGCAGTAGTGGGCAGGATGGATTGGACTGGAAACAAGTTAAAGAGTTCTTTTCCATTATTAATATGATTGTAGTAATCCAAGTGATGAAGTTCCGATTGTTGGACTGTAGTGCCATGTGGGCAGGTGTTGTGTCACACATGACAAGCCCAAAGTCTACAAGTGTGCCCCACATGCAGAAGGTGTTTACTTCTTCAACTAAATAAATAAAATATAGTTTAGTTACCAGGAGTCAATCATGGAGCCCAAGTGAGGATTACAAACATCCATCCCCATATCCAGATAGATCCCACTCCCACACATACATCTGGCTCAAGCAGCTATGATCTTTTGTGCTCTTTTAATAAAAATGGGTCATCAGACTCTCTGAGCACTTTGCCAATCTACTCCTACTAGCCTACAGAGAGGTGAAGAAAGAACTTAATCACCCCCAGAATCTCAGGGGTAAGAAACCTTCTATGGTCCTCCCATTCTTTTCCACTATAAGTTATCTATTGCCGCAACATTGTTCCATAACAGACAACCACAAAACCTCAGTGGAACACAACAATAAAGATGTATGTTTGCTCATGAGCCTGTGGATTGGCTGGGTTATCCTATTGATCTGAGCAGGCTCACACTCACATGTCTGGCAGGTCAGCTAGGGGTCAGCTGGTCTAAGACTACCTCAAGCTAGAATGACTCAGCTCTGTTCCATATGATCCCTCATCCTCCAGGAGGATAGCCCAGGCTTGTTCTCATAAGGTGGCAGGAGTTGATGACAAAGAGAGAAGCAAACAAGCCCAAATTTGTATCCAGTTTGCTCTTGTCCCATTGACCACAGTAAGTCCCAGAGTCAGAGTAGGCAGGGACCGCAAGGTTACAGGGCAAAAGGCATAGGTATAGAGAGACCATTGGTGTGGGATATGAATGACATCAATTTGTCACAGTGCCTGAAAGAGAAAAGATTGAAATTCCAAGAACAGATCAAAGCCTAGGACTGAGGAAGGAACTCTCCAAGGTAGAATTAGGAAAGTAAGAACAGAATTAGTCTCCAGAGAAGTGAACCTTTGGTTTCAAAAGAAATGGTGAGTCACAGACTGGCCCCATGGCTTATTCTGACCTTTTCTACTCCTGTGAGTGCTGTGATTTTGGGCAATGAATGGCTGAAAGCCCTGGCTTTTTTGCTCTCCACGGCAAGCAATCACAAATACTTTTGTTTTCCCTACCAACGAGATCTTTCCCTTCTGCATTCAAATATGATCTGCTCACCTTAAATAAACTCTCACTTGACTTCTTGGGCCTCTCCAGCTCTAGAAATACTTAAAACGTAAGGAAGAAAAAGAATAGATGGGAAGCAAGAAATCCTGGTGTCGTAACATGATCGTTCCCTTGAAGTTAGCACAGTGAGATTTCAGCTGGGGGCAGGAGGACTTGATCAGGACCAGCCGGGATGAGGTGAGGCAGGATCAACCTACCCATGTCATTGGCAAAGTCTGCAAAGGCTAGACTATGAGGCCATCATGTTTCTTGTTCCTCCTGGCTCTGAAATGTGGACTAATCTAACATGCACAGGATGTCTGCAGCCTCCTCACAACTTAACAAAGAGACAGGAGGGCTAGTTCACAAAACCCCCAAGAGTCCACTTCCCAAGACGGTTCCTACTGAATGGAGGGTGCGGTGCTGAGAGCAGAGTTGGGAGGTTTAGGAAGGGCTCTTCATTTCTCAGCGAGGCAGAGAAACAACCTGGAGTGCAATCACCCGGAGCAAAGGACTTGGGGAACAGCACGATAAATGTCCAGGTGCCAAGAATAGTTGGCAACAAGGACAGCAGGAGCCAAGCACGTGGAAGTGGTCTCCCGGGCACACTGCCAGAGCAGGGCTGCACTCAGAAACAGGACAAAGAGCCTGAGGGACCACAATCAGCGGAAAACCCAGCAGACAATACCAGAGGTGATGGCTGGAGGGACCTCTAGCCAGGCCATAGGGCAAGTGGCCTCTAAGACCATTGTTCCAGTCTGGGTTAGAGGGTGAAAGCTGGCATCTGTGACCAAAATGGGCCAAAGGAAAAGGCTAGGCTTTGAGCTGGGGCACTCAGATATGGTGAACTGCCAGAGAAGATGGGTATTCCAGAGCCAGCAAGTTAGCCAGGGCTGGGAGAAGACAGGGCACCTAAAGTAGATTGGTCAGTGCCTGAATCTGTGCCAAGTTGGAAGAGGGACAGGGACTGTGTCTGTAATTTACAGAACTGGTGATGTATAGCAAACGACCTGTAGGGATGAGGGGCACGGCGGGGCGGGGGTTAGGGGAGAGGCGGCCCGTGAATTCAGATGCAGGGTCCTACAGAGGAATTTGGACACCCAGCTTTGTCTCCCATTGGGAGACTAAGGACTCTTTGGCCACTTATGTGAACACAGAGATCAGTTCTAATTTCCTCTCTGTCTGTGAACAGAAGACTCACCAGCAACGGGGTTTGCAGTTGGCTTAGTCTTTTCTCCTACCCTTCCCCTCCCCAGGAATGGAAATAATTAGTGTTAACTCGTATATTCACAGAAATGCATTTATAAGGCATCAAGCCAATGATTTTGACCTTAATATTGCTCAGCTCACACCAATTGCACCAATGCGATCGATCACAACATGCAAAGAGAGTTCAGGGGTTAGCAAGTGTTCCAATTGTCTTCTCCTAAGAAGAGAGCGCCATCTTGTGTACAAACACTGAGTTCAGGATATGCTGAACCATTTTTTTGAGTTTTAGTTCACCAGAACTGAATCTGTGACCTCGTGTTTACTTTCCAGAGTTTCCTGAAACGTTGCATTATGAGAAACATGAAGATGTCCCTGAGCGTGTTAAGCTGTTGCCAGCCACGATTGTTATACTAAAGATGTACCTGGTCCGCGGAGGACATCTTTCAGCCTAGTTTTTGAAGACCTGTTACTTCTCTTCCTCAATTTTGAGTTTAATAGATGCAGAAAGACTTCCTACCTGAAATTCCACCTTTAAAGCATGTCTATGAAACAAAGGTTTTCTACCAGCTCTTCCATCCAAGTTTGAAACCTCCTGCTGAGCTTTTCTTCCCAATGTGTGGGGCCAGCCACGGTGTTGCTACCCGGGAGGGAGTGGTCTCGATGGGTAGCATTTGCTGATTTCCCTGATGCAAACTCTCGCATGGTGGCTGATTTCAAGGACTAGCGAGACCTCATTGCTGAAGAGCTGGGAAAAGCTGCCCCCGTCAGCTCTCCACAGCCAGTACAAGCTGGCTCCCGCCTACGCAGGAGACCCACGGATTATGCCCATCTTTGGGAAATGGCTCAGTTCATTGCTCAGAGATAAGGAACTGCTCAAAAGAGAGAGAATGCTGATAGGAACAGGCCAGATGTGGGGACGCAAAGACATATAATGTACCAGACAATGCCAGGAGGGTGGATATGAAGCAAAGAAAAGACATCTTCTCAAAATAAATAAATAAAAAGACATCTTCTCTCCCTTTTACAAAGACACAAAATCCCAGAGTCTTGAATGCTGTGTCCCAGAAGGGTCCATTTTCAATGGCACAATAATACATGGAAGAGGCTTAAAACTGTGCCTAACATTTCGTGCTCTATACGTTGTCTTAGTTGTTGTTAAAACTCAACTTTCTGGGATGCCTCAACTGGCCACGTATCTTGATAAATTCATTATTTTCTTCAATTATGCTGTAAGAAGAATACTTGTATCTTCTTCAGCCTCCAACAGACATTCCTTCACCATCTACGGAAAGACCCTGAATATTTTCACTGGAAAAGGGCCAGTAGTGAAATTGGCAAACACTCCTTCAACCAGGACAATGCTTCTGGGGAAATGACATTTATTGAGCACCTACTACATGCCAGGCAACTACAAAAGATCTCATTTCACCCTCACAGCAACTCTGTAAAGGAGGCGCTATTGCTGTCCTTTTATAAATAAGGAAACTGGGGCTCTGAGATGTTAAGGGAGTTGTCTAGGACTATATGGTGAGATAGTAACATAGCTGGGGTGACTCAAATCAGAATCTCTCAGGCTCAAAGCACGTTCCTCTCTCTATGTGTCCACACTGCCCTTGATTGAGAGAAGGCAGAGCTCAAAGGTGGCATTTTCATCAGGTTGTGAATCCACTTTCATGTCATATCACTGTGTGAATGGGACTCCCGCATTTGCACAGTGTACAGCCTGTGAACCCTTACCTTACATGGCTGTGTGCATATTTCTTGCCCCTCTTCTCTGTTACCTATACCCCATGGCCATTTTCTCTTCCCCAGACTACACCCCAATGCAGAAACAAAGGTCCAAAGAAAACACTCACTTCCACTTCAGTGAAACACAAATACTTTTCTCCTCAGAGGGTTGAGGAAGGAGAGAGAAAAGATGGTGGCCACTGAAAACAGGAGTGGAGGATGGTCTGGATTCCAGAAGGATGAGGAGCACCCTAAGCAGAAGAAAGAAGGTTCCTCTGTCAGAGAAGTCCAGCAAGGAGGGTGAGCTGCCCCCACAGAAGCCTCTGCCAAGTTCTCCTGTAGACAACGTCCCGGACACGTGTACGTCCCCCTAACCTTCGGGTCAGGAACCTGGGTAAGGGACCGCGAAGGAAAGCTGAGTCCCTGACTGAGTGATAACTGAGCGGAAATCAGTGGGGACATTTCCCTGTGGGCAGCAACAAGTAGTGATGGGGTTCCATGCTGTCCCTGGCCACAGGGAGATGTGCTGTGGGTAAACTACGTACCATAAAGGCAGTACAAGCGGTCCTGGGGATGAAAAAATACCATCTGAAATAGCTGCCACCAAAATTCCTCTTTGAGAGGAAACTCCTTTGTTGGAAGGGTTACTTGGGAAGTACTAGGGTTAAATAGTGAGCCCTTGAGGGGCATGGGTGTGGTGGGCACAAGGTCTGTGAGGAGAGCATGGCCTGGGCTTCCCGTGGTTGGTATGGAGGCAGGGTGGATGGGTGGGAGGAAAGAGGTGAAAAGAAAGACAGGAAGGTGAAGGGGGGTGTCAGCGAGGTAACGGGAAGCTGCCTAGAGAGGCGGAATGCCCCTCTCTGCAAGGAAACATACTCAACCCCCGGCTGTGACTGGGGTGAATGGGACTTTCTGGCGACTTCAGAAGCAGCTGTGGTCACATCTGGGTGGCTGTGATGTGGGACAGAGACTACCTGCAAAGACTTGGGGTCCTGGAGGCTGCAGTGACCCTGACTACATCAGCCCCTCTCTATCCCCAGAGTGGGAAGAAACTGTAGGTTCAAGCCAAGTTTAGCTATTTACTGTGACCTTGGTAGGTCCCTGCTGATAGCTGGCTTATGTAAAATTCAGACAATGAGCAGAGAAAACATAAATTCCAGCACAGGCGAATTTGGAAAATGCTGTATAGAGCAAATCGTGTTGACTTAGCATTTGTGCTTAGCCGAGAAGGTGCTGCCCTGCACGTGCTCAGAGCCCCTCTCCCATTTCACCAACTAGACAAGCCACTCCGCCATCCTGCAGAGAAGCTAAGAGAGGGAAGGGCAGGTTGCTCTCCCATGCTTCTGAACATGTGGAAGAGGCAAGGGAGAAACATGGGGTGAGGAAGAGAGAAAGACTTTCCCTATCCGAAGAGCAAACCAGTCTGTGTATGTTTGCCTCCAGTCAAACAGCTTCTAAATACTGAAGAGTGCCAGAGGACTATTTATTTTGCCACTTACAAGCGATCAGAAAAAAACCTTTTATTTACATTGTGGAGGCTCAAGGACCCTGAACTTATTCTTAGGCTATTAAAATAATTTTACTATTTTGGCAACGTCTAAATGCAAGTAATTTAAGACACCCCTCTGCCTAAGGCTAACAAAATCATTGTGGTATAACTATTAGTTTGGTGCTAAAAGTAATTGTGGTTTTTGCCATTAAAAGTATTTGTAGAACAAACCAATTACTCTTGCACCAACTTAATAGCATTGGATCCACTAACCTGGAAACACCACACCAGAGAGGTGCCTGACTGCAAGGAGAGCACATGGTTGGCACATGCCAAATGTTTGTGGAAGAAGCTGGGGAGTCCCCAGCAGCTGAGATGGATGGTGATCATCAACTTCCGAAGTGTTAAAGAAAACTGAAGGGTTCTGGCCAGGCGTGGTGGTTCACACCTGTAATCCCAGCACTTTGGGAGGCTGAGGTAGGCGGATCACCTGAGGTCAGGAGTTCTAGACCAGCCTGGACAACATGGCAAAACTCCATCTCTACTAAAAATACAAAAATTAGCCGGGTGTGGTGGTGCATGCCTGTGGTCCCAGCTGCTCGGGAGGCTGAGGCCAAAGACTCATTTGAACCCAGTAGGTGGAGCTTGCAGTGAGTTTAGATTACACCACTGCACTCCAGTCTGGGCAACAGAGTGAGATTCTGCCAAAGAAAGAAAGAAAGAAAGAAAGAAAGAAAGAAAGAAAGAAAGAAAGAAAGAAAGAAAGAAAGAAAGAAAGAAAGAAAGAAAGAAAGAAAGGAAGGAAGGAAGGAAGGAAGGAAGGAAGGAAGGAAGGAAGGAAGGAAGGAAGGAAGAAAACTGCAGGGTTTTGAAGGCAGGTGGCACTGTCCTGTAGGAGACTGAGGGTGGAACTTGTCCTTGAAAGCTCCCCTAACCTACTGAAAGTGGAATGAAGGGCTTGGATCCAAGCCTTTCAGAGGCAGCCAAGATCTTCCCAGTCCCCACGATGGGTTTCTTTGGTATGCTTGTTTGCTTTTCTTTGATTCTGATGTTCAAAGGAAATAGGGTGTGTTGATGTTTTAGGTGAACAGTGTGCTTTCTGGGTGACCTAATTTATCTAGCAGTGGAATGAAAAGGAAGAGAATGGGCAGAAAGAATCAAAGCCCATGGCCTACCTCAATAGAAAACGTGTGAGTTTTTCATATAATGTTATATGAACATGAATCTGCCATTCTGCTGTGCTGTGTCTTCCATCTGTTACTTTCTAAACTGTGGACAAGAAAAATACAACTGGCGTGAAGAATGAATGTTGCACAGGGTAGGGATGAGGGGTTGGTACATAGGAAGAGAATATGCTTGACACAGAAAAGAACTAACCATATACCTTATCTCATTTAATCCTCACAACAACCAGAAGGGCAACTAGTACATAAACAAATAAAAGCAAAACAAAGCAAAACAGGCCCAGAGAGAAAAGTCCCATCACTGGGAAGACCTAAGATTTGGGTCCAGGCCCGTCCAATGCCAGAGTCCTTTCTCTTTCTAATGCCTCGTGAAGGCAGTGATGACTCTGAAAATTACAAAACAGTCCTCCCTTGTTCAGGAGTTCCTGGTGTATCTACTTCAGACCAAATGCACTTATTCCTGGGAATTATTCAAGGTCTCGTCTTTTTTAGAATAGGTACAATATGGATGAGATCTTTTTAGCTAGCCTGCTTAGAGCAATCTAACTCTTAGGTCATACTCTTTCCAATATAGTAATAGACAAGGTGTTTAAGGGGATTTTGATCTTAAGAAGGTTAAATTTCCACATCTAAGTAGCTGTGGTATGTTGGAACAAGGGGGTTGTTTTGCCTTCTAAAACAGTCCAAAGCTGAGAAAGCAGATTACTGAGGCCCTGCAAGTTGACACATGCCTCTGAGTCCAGAAGTTGGAAAAAAGCAAGCAAAGAAGTGAGCCAGAGAGAAGAGTGTTAGACTGCCCCTTATTTTCACTTCATCTGACTTGGATTAGTCTTTAATTGAAGTCTCTGCTGAGATTCTGTCTGCGCCAGTCTGAAACAGCCTGTACACTAGTCAGCCATTCAACTGTTCTCTTTATAAATGCCATTTTCCCCTGTATTTGCTGAATTTTCATTCTTCATTCAAATGTTTGGGTGTCTGCATGTTTAATGAACACAGATGCCAGGGTTCTCTCAGAGCCAAATATTTGGATTACAAAACATTGAGGATATCCACATAGTTGGCTTCTCATTCACATATGTGACATTGTGTACAGACAGTTAAGTTTTAATAATAAAGTCTAAGAATGGATAGGGCTGGCTGTTCGTAGGGGAAAATAGTGCTGCACCTAAATCAGTGTGTATTTTTAGAGCTAGTGAACATTTTTATGAGGCTGAAGTTTTACTTGGTCTCAGGTCTGCCATCACAGAGGGCCAAAGTAGGCCCGGCCATGTGGCCAGGGTGAGACCACAGCTTCTGGGGCCAAGTTGAACTCAAATTTTACCTGACGCAGCCAAGAACAGGAAGACCCAAGGCAAGTAAAACTATGTTCTAAGGAGTTTTTTGGACCAGGCTAGAGAATCCAAATTCTACTGTCGGAAACAAAGCCAAAGGGGGTAAGGAATCAAGTGTAATCAAAGATCAAAAGAATGAGGAAAGAGACCCAAGATCATTTCTATGAATGGAGCTGAAGTGATGAGCCTTGATGTGACCAGAGTCAGGCCAGGTGTTGGTCTGAGGGTGTGGATTTGGAAAGGATCAATTTGCAGGGCATGGATTTTCTGGGCCTGTTCAGGGGACTTACCTGGCACTGTGATTTGAATATCTTGTCCCCTCCAAAAGTCGTGTTGAAATTTAATCATCAATGTGGCGGTCTTGAGAGGCAGGGCCTTTAAGAGGTGATTGGGTCATGAGGGCTCTGTCCTCATTAATTAATTGATCCATTAAAGGATTAATGGATTGATTAATGGCCTAACATGGGAGAGGAACCAGTGGCTCTATAAGAAGAGGGAGGGAGACCTGAGCTAGCACACTCAGACCCCTCCCCATGTGATGTCCTGTGCCACCTCAGGACTCTTCAGAGTCCCCACCAGAAAGAAGATTCTCACCAGGTGCAGCCCCTTGACTTTGGACTTCTCAGCCTCCAAAACTGTAAGAAATAAATTCCTTTTCTTTATAAATCGCTCTGTTTCCAGTATTCTGTTACAAGCAACAGGAAAAGGACTAAGACACCTGGTCACAGAGCATGACAGCTGACAAGACTGCTGCAGGCCAGTTGCAGGCTGACAAGGACAAATGGTTTCCTTTGGTGTCATCCAGGCCAATGCATCAATTGATGTCTTGTCTAATAGATGAAAAAGGTATGAAAAAATAAATCAATGCCCAAGAACATAACCTCCATTAACTTGCAGTTCTTGGAGGAGGGAAGGAAACATAGTCTGGTCTGGAGATAGTGTAACTAATAGTTAAAATCATGGATCTCAGATTCAGATGGACCAGGATTGAAACTACAGCTCTGCAACTTGGTGTTTGGAGAGAGGAAACTAACCTCTCTGAATCCTCAGGTGTCCCATCTGTAAAACGAGCATAACGATGGCATCTACTGCACTGGAATGTGATGAAGCTTGAAGGGCATGAAAATAGCTAGTGTTTATTGAGTCCCTACAGGGCTGTGCTCTTACAGGTATTATCACATGCTTGACAAATAGCAAGAACTCAAACGTCAGCTATAATAACTGCCTACATTCTAAAACATTAACAAAGGAAATATAGTACAAATAGTTCCAACCAAGCAACACAAAAGTATAGTTTTTAAACTGAAATCATTATCCATGAAATGTTAACAAAACATCTTTATAAAGGCTATGTTTGAGGAACAGTGCTGGATGCTATAGGAAATGCAAAGTTAAACCAGGCACGGTCTCTGCTCTTCAGGAGCTTCTAGTCTACGAAGGAAGATAAACACAAAATTAACTGGTTGCTACCATGTATGAGAATATATGTATGCTAAAATCAAGATACAAGTAGTACATTGGGAGCAAGAGGGGGAAAGGTTTTTTGTATCTGGATGAGAAAACCGAACTTCATGGAGGAGAGGAAGGAAGAGTGTGGCAGACCCTGATAGTGAGCTCTCCCAGTAGCCAGTCCCAGCTCCTTTCCCTCCTTTCCCTTTCCCTCTTCCAACCAAATACTCACTTTCCCAGCCTCCCTTGCAGCTAGCGGGGGATAGCCATGTGATACAAGGCTACACATGACACTTAAGAGGAAGATTATTGGAGCTTCAGAAAAGGGTTTTACTATTTGATAAAAAGGAAAGTCATCAATAATGACAGGTTTGCCCTTCTTCCTACTTTGAACATGGACACAATGCCTAGAACTGTAACACTTTATAACCATATTGCAACAAGCCAACTTGCCAAGATGACAGAGAAGACAGATCGAAAGGGTCTGGGTCTCTGATGCCAGGGCTGAGCTGCTGCAGCAGCCTGAAGAGCTCACCTCTGGAATTGTTGTTATGGGTGTGATTTTCCCTAAGTCAGTGCTGGTTCCGTGTGATGTTACTTGCGGCTGAATGCCTTCCTAACAGATGCAGAGGATACAGAGCAAAAGCACAAAGGTGGGAAAACACAGGACACTTTCAAGGAAAAGCAAATGCACTCCGAGTTTTTGGAGCATAAGAAGCCAAGAGGGAACATAGAAAACAAGGCTGGAAACGTAGGCTGGGGCCTTGCATAGCATGGTAAGATTTGGCAGTGGGGGAGCTGACAAGGTTTTTTGTGTAGGAGAATGATGTGAGAAGAACTGCAGTTCTAGAAGATTAAACTGGGTGGTTTGGCTTGGAAGGTAGGGGTGCTGGAAGCTGGGAGAGCCTTTGGTTAGCATGCTATCTCAAGCATTCATGGAGAATGTGGGGAGAGGCTGGCCATGGGTGGTGGAAGTGGGAAAGGAGGAGATGAAGGTGCAGAGTGATTTCCCTTTGAACTTTTCCTCAATCACAGAGAAGTTCAGCTCTCGAAGCAGAGCTTGAAAGGGGCCTTTTTATGGATTAGCTATATTCCACACCAAAAAGTGCTCTTACAACTCACTATTTCTCTTAATATACAAAAATGCTCTGAACTTGGCCAGTTACTGTATCCCAGCACGTGCAAAGTGACTTGTCAGGGCCATCCTCTCACTAATGCATCCGTTTACCACGTGGAAATGATCTGCGGTGTGACAAGGAAGCTGGCAGTCAGGCACATCTGTGCATGTGGCCCTCAAGACATATTTGCTAAAGGGCAGGGCGTGGTGACTCACACCTGTCATCCCAGCACTTTGGGAGGCTGAGGCGGGTGGATCACTTGAGGTCAGGAGTTTGAGACCAGCCTGGCCACCGTGGTGAAACCCCGTCTCTACTAAGAATACAAAAATTGGCTGGGTGTGGTGGCACACACCTGTAATCCCAGCTACTCAGGAGGCAGAGGAAGGAGAATTGCTTGAGCTCAGGAGGCAGAGGTTGCAGTGAGCCGAGATCACACCACTGCACTCCAGCCTGGGCAACAGAGCAACACTCCATCTCAAAAAAAAAAAAAATGTATATTTTAAAATGGCAATTTTATAAGTTTTACCTCAATTTTTTTAAAGTGCTGGGAGCAAGAAAGAGGGAAAAGAAAATAAAGGGGACCCTCTACAAAGGCATCTGAGGAAGTAGCATAGTGTGGCGAAAGACCAAGACTGAGAACACTCTGACTCTGTCACAACCACACGTGACTTCAGGCAACTCATCTCCCCAGCACAGCCTCGTTTTCTCATCTATGAACCTGAAAGGGCTTAGAGCAGCCAGCTCCGAATAGACCCTATATAGATATTAGTTATTGCTGTGAATTTATTATTAAGTTTATGAATAGATATGTTCTTCTCTAATGACCTTCCCAGATGCATCCTGGCTTTTAAATCACTGGCTCAATCATCACCAACTTCCAAGACAAAATGAAGTGTCAGAGAGGCCCGAAGAGCCTGCTGTTCTAATAAATATTCTCTGTTGAGTGCAGGGAGGGAAAAGGTTCAGCAGAGCCAGCCTTTAGTGAGTCGAGGGGGCGGATGCCATACATGCTTCTGACCAAGGGTGTTAGAAAAATATGGTTTTTACTTCACCACCCTGCAAAGCTAATAAATAACCTACTATGTATGATTCAATATGACAATGGATATAAATATGTGTTGTAAATTCTAAGGCTGTCTATCCCAAGGTAAAAGATGATTTGTAGCCATCCCAGCATTGAAGAGGCAGGAACTGGCTGAGCACGCTGGCTCTGATGAAAACAGCTCCATCCCTGCTGGGAGCACCCGAGGTGAGGGCGGGTGACAGGAGGAAGTTGCAAGACTACTTTCTCTCTTTCTTCAGTTCAGCCCAGAAGGGCTGCAGGCAGCAGTGGCCTCACAGGACACAGCTCCAGCCTCATCTACCAGGCTGTGATCTCCAGGACACAATAGGGCTGTGATGTGACACTGCTCCACCATCCAAAGACCAAAGTACAACGCTCCTCTCCTGCTTCTCTAGGCCATGCTGCAGGGAAGGAATCCAGCTCCCCTGAGGGCAGGGCCAAGCAACACTCACTAGCAGCCCTGCAGTGTTGAGCTGGATGGGAGGCTCCCCTGGGACAATGAGGGTGCCATCTTTTCTTGCCTGCCAATGGTTTGCTGGCCCTGGGACTTCTGTGCACAAGGAAGGGAAATGCACAGATTCATCTAGGTGCGTTTACCTCAACCCCGTGCGTTCTGATACTGCCTACATAGACTTTGCCTTGACCACAAAACACTCATACTAAAAAGAAAAAAAAAAAAAAAAAAAACCAACCCAGGCACTATCATCTGAGGTCCACTCTGCCTGCTTGATCTTCCACCTTCTATAATGGCAAAAATGTGTATGTCTATTGCACTCTCAAACACTTATTAGTATCTACTGTGTTCACCAGCACTTCTCAGCACAGTGGGAGGTTCATAATAACCAGAAGGCATGTTCTCTGCCCTTAAGGACTTCATTTGTTCATTCATCTACTCACTTTGTTTCTGAGCCATCTATTATGTGCTAGCAGCATGAAGTCAACAGAGGAAGGAAAAGTGTTCATACCTAAACCAGAGAATAATCTCAAACAGACATAGCATGTGGGTAAATCATGACAATTGCTGACACAGATGTAAGTTTAGCAACTTGAGCTCATCCTTTTACATGAATTCAGGTACATGAGAATTCAAAGGAACTCAGGTCACCACTGAGTCAAGTGGGCCCTACCTGGTGACTGGCTGCATCAGAATCTCTTGGAGACTTTCCTAAAAATACAGGTTCCTGGGTCTGGGAAATCTGTATTTCTGAAGCTCCCTGGAAATTGCTGACTTGCAGCCAGGTTTAAATACATCCAGTCCAAGTTCTTATTTAAGAGGTGAGGAAGCCACCGTCCAGGGAAGTGAAGTGACTTCCCAAAGGTCACTCAGCACCCTAGAGACTGTGTTGGGACCAGTCTAGATCAGTGGTTTCTAATCCTGGCAGGACATCTGAGTCATTCGCTGGGCCCCAACCCAGACCCACTGATTTAGGATTTCTAATAGAAGAGGCCTGAGCAACGTGGATTTATAAGTACTTCATGAGCTCTTAAAATTCTGATATGTGGCCATCATTGAAGGCTCCTGACCAAGTCTTCTGGTTCTTTTCATCCTCGCACGTGAGGCACCAGATCCTGGCTGAGAATCGGGAGTCATGCATCTGCTGTTTGAGAGGGCCGCCACCAGCGGAGCTTCCCATCAGTTTTGGTGATTTCACAACCGTGGCTCTCCCTCTCTTGAGAAATAAGGTGTCTGCAAAATCAGAAGGCTTCATCATTGCATATTTTGGGGTCTAGTACATTGCCTCTGTTACACGTTGCAACGAGAACACGGTACCCAGAAAGTTAACACAGTTAGGAAAGGGCAAGATATAACCGCTATGTTCCACTTCACCAGCCTACAATGCAAAAGAAAGTCACTTTCTTATAACGCCTCTAACCCCCCAGCTGCCCAAGTTAGTAAGAAGTCAAGGCCTACTTCCAGAACTCCCTTCCAAAAAATATTTCAAGAAACCTCAGGGTTGCATATGCAGACCAAAGGGCAGCTCAGGCTGCTCTCACCACATGGCAGCCAGGGACACAAGCTTTCCTGCTAAAAGCAGATCAGACTTCAAAGGACCATTTGTGTAAAGTTAACAGGCCATCTCTGGAGTCACTGCCACGGATGGGATTGTAATTCAACAATGTGAAGCTTTCACAACACTTGTGGATGATAAATGTCCCTTGGGGCAATCTTCCTGAGACTAAGCCAATGTCACCTACACTAAAAACCTGTTGAGGGAGAGACCCCCCTTTCTGGATGGCCACTGCAAGTATCTTAAAATTCTCAGCAGCTGTGATCTCCAGGGCACCGTATCTGCTCTCACTCCCTCGAATTCGCTCTTTGATGTTGAGCCGGCTTGAACAGGCCTTGAACTTGTGTGGCCATCTAACACTTGCGATGCTTCAGCAGCAACACTTCTATCACATACAGAATTTAAGATTCTGAACACACTCCTAGTTGTCACATGAACCCACATTAACCCAAGACTTCTGACAATGGTGTCATCCTCTTGTCACAGCTGCAAATTTCTTTGGTTTCATTAGCCACTTTTCCTTGTCTCCTTGTTACTTGGCAAGCATTTCATGTGTCACTTGATCTACTCTTTGTCCTTCTAATCATCCTTCCTGTCTAGTGATAATAGTGAGAATTCACTAAATGTCAGCAAACACACAGTAAACTAATAAGCAGTATGGCTGCTATGAAAGGACCTTGTATGACATCCACTAATGCCACTTGTGCAGGGTGGGAAGAGAAGGAACACTTTGACTCTAGCATGGGGCTCTGTGGGTTGGAAGTCTGGAGGTAGAGAGCTTCTGTGCACTACTCAGTCTGCCCAAAAGCCCTGTTCTCCATCCTTGATGCCTCTGCTCCTAAATGATGCTACTTCCAATCCAGGAGCCCAGGAGCCCAAAATAGATCCATTTATCCTGGGAGTCACAGGTAGGGTAATGGAGGCTCCATCCCATAGACATAAAGACAGCCCAAGGTGCAGTGCCACCAAGGACTATACAAAGGCCCGTCATCCCCCAGTGGGGTCCACAGCCATGGTACGTCCTGTGAAAGGGGGAAAGATACTGTGCTTCAAGTGTTACAGTTCTTAATAACCCACTCTTCCCATGCATATCCACAGGAAGACAGACAGACAGACAGACACACACACACATACACATACACACACACACACACACACACACACACACACAGAGCCATTTTATACCCAAAGTCACATTCATGGCTCTAGGATAGACAGGTCAAGGATAGTTCCAGAATCAGCCAAACACCGTGGCCCTCTCTAAACCCTGGGCCAGACTCCCATCCTATGGTGACTTCTCCCTCAGAGCCTCCTGTGCTCCTCTCCTGCCCTCTGGCATCTGCTGGGCCAATTCCATTTATAACATATGTTGTAACAACATTCCACTTTATCCAGAAAGTTTTAAGGTCTCAATGCAGTCCCTCCCTAGAGACACCTGTGTTCCTTATGCAAATGCGCCCCAACTCTCTCCATCACAGCCAACTTGCTTGACATGTGTATTACCAATGAGCCATTCTATGAACTTGCCCAGAACAAGACAAGAGAAAGTAGTTAGGGACATAAAAATTGGAAAGGAAGAAGTCATCACTATTTAAAAATTCTATGATGATACACCAGAAAACTCAAGAAAACTGACAGGAAACCTATAGTAAACAATAAGAATATTTAATAACATAGCAGGCTACAGAATTAATAAACAAAGTAATTACCAGTCAGAAGATATAATAAGGGAGAAAGCCTCCATTTATAATAGGAACCAGAGAGAAAGAAGATAAAATAAACTTAACCCAAAAATTCCACAGCTATAGGAAACAAACTTGAAAACAGTTCTGAAGGAAAAAAGAAATAAGATTTGAACAAATAGATGAACTGTGTTGTGATATATCAATACTCTCTAAAGAAATTCACAAATTAAACATTATACCAATATAACTACCAATAGACTTCTCATTTTCTGGAGCTAGACAAGATAATTCTAAAGTCCTCCAAGAGGAATCAAGTAGGAAAATTCTGAAAAGCAAGAGCAAAGAGTGATATTAATGTACACTGTTGGCTGGGTGCAGTGGCTCATGCCTGTAGTCCCAAAACTTTGGGAGACCAAAGTGGGAGGATCGCTTGAAGCCAGGGGTTCAAGACAAGCCTGGGCAACATAGCAAGACTTAAGCTCTATCAAAAATTAAATAAAACTAGCTGGACATGGTGGTGTGTGCCTACACTCCCAGCTACTTGGGAGACTGATGTGGGAGGATCACTTGAGCCCAGAAGTTCAAGGCTGCAGTAAGCTATGATTATGCCACTGCCCTCCAGCCGAGGCAACAGAGTAAGATCTTGTCTCTTTAAAAAAAAAAAATGCTGTTAAGCCTCAAATTGTTAAATTATGTGGCACTAGACTATAAATCATCAGACAGACTAATGTAACAACATAGAAAACACAGAAATATTCTCAATTACATAAAGATTTGATATATGATAAGTTTGGGAACTCGGTGGGAGAAACATGAACTTTTCAATGAATGGTGCTATTACAACTGGATACACTTTCTGGAAAATGTTTTTAAACCATACCTTATGCCATACACCAGGATAATTTTCAAACGGAACGAGAATTTAAATGTAATGACCAAGAAAGCAACCTACCAGAAAACATGGAGAATTCTTTTATAAGCTCAGAATGGGTAAGACCCTCCCTGAATGATTCAAAATCCAGATGTCGTGAAATAAAAGATATAAAAATTGTACACCATAAAAATTAAAACATCTGCATGGATAAAAATAAAACAGTCAAATGACATATTACAGACAAAGAGAAATGACAAATTGAAAAATATTTGCAACTCACATCCCATTATACGAAAAATTCTTACAAATTGACAAGAAAAAGGCCAAAGACGCAAATAAAACTGGACAAAGGAGAGCCCACCAAAAGGAAATACAAATGTTCTACCTCTGTCATAATAAAAGATGCAAATTAAAGCCAATGAGATGCCAATTTCCCACTTAACAAGTTGGCAAGAATACAAAAGTTTAGTAAGGCAGAAGCCTGTAACTTATGGCTAGTGGGAGTGTAAACTGATACAAACTGTTTGGAAGCAATTTGGCAAAATTTATTAAATCAGAAAGGCATGTTCCTTTTGGCCCAAGAATTCCACTTCCAGGAATTTATCCTACCGTTATTTTTTTAACATGTGCAAAGTGACCTACCTACAATGTTATCCAGAAGTATTGTACACAAGAGCGAAAGACTGTAATCAGCTTAGGTGTACATCAAGAAGACACCGATTTTAAAAACTGTGGCACAGCCACAAAATAGAATGCTATGCAGCTCTAAAAAGGAATGAACAAACTTATCAAGAACTAATGTAGAAATGTCTTCAAGATACGATGTCAAGAGAAAAAAGTAAGGTACAAGAGAGTGTGTAGAGAACACTGCTAGTTGTTTTTTAAAAGTTGGAAGAGGAAAGAATATAGATTCATATTTGTTTGTACCCACTTTAAAAATACCTCTTGATTGGGAGGCCGAGGTGGGTGGATCATGAGGCCAGGAGTTCAAGACCAGCCTGGCCAACATGGTGAAATGCCATCTCTACAAAAGATACAAAGAATTAGCTGGGCGTGGTGGCACCTGCCTATAATCCCAGCTACTCAGGAGGCTGGGGCAGGAGAATCACTTGGACCTGGGAGGCGGAGGGTGCAGTGAGCCGAGATCGCGCCACTGCACTCCAACCTGGGTGACAGGGTGAGACTCTGTCTCAAAAAAATAAATAAATAAAATAAATACCTCTTGAAGTATACCCCCAAAACACTACATAATACTGTGTTTCTGCTATACGAATAGAAACTGGAAAAACTGGAAACAGGTTTATGAAGCAGCCATTTTACTATATCCATGTATAGTTTTCACTTTTGAATTGTGCAAGTATTACCTATTTTTAAAAGCAAATGGTAATTTTTTAAAAGAATATGGTAAAAAAAAAAAAAAAAAAAAAAGAGAGAGAGAGAGATTAAATGATGTTTCCCTTGCTTAACACAAGCTGTTAAAGCCACTCGTAGAAAACATCATAACATGAACTAGGCTGCTCTAAGCACGTCATGTAGGGGCCACTGTCTGGCATTCTACCCTCTCAACCCATGAGGCCCCTACTCCTAGGAGAGAAACAAGGAACTGTCAGCTCACAGTCCCTGCTTTGCAGCCCCACACCAACCAGCCATGAACTGGGAAAAAAAAAAAAAAAAAAGCAAAATTAGCCAGGCCCAAGAAAGTCTTTCTTTGGGAAACTAAAGCTAGTTTCCCAAACTGCATAGTAAACTTTGAATAAGTTTGTGCAAACTCAATATTATGAAGATACAACTATATAATTTGCAACTATATTTTAAGATTTTAAAAAAGTCCTTTTGGAAAAAGAACACAAATGACAAATGCACCTGACATCTCTCACTGGGTTCTCCATAATTTGTACTTTTAAATGTGATGCTGGTGTACTACAGTCTCTTAGAAGCAACATTTTAACTTCGTGGGTGCTCCACTACTTGTGAGCTTACTATTGGACATGGTATGGTTAGTTCTTATGTCTGAGATACCGCAAACATAGGCAAATGTAGGAATGAATATCTATGACAACCGTGGCTATTTAAGCCATTGAAGCAACAAAACATCTTGACCTGGGCTGTCACTCTCTGGGTTAAAATGAAGAAGTTGAGGCATCTGTCTAGTCCTTCACGGATGCCTACTGTTGATCTACCCTACTCTATAGACTTGTGTGCCACTTCTTCCTTCTCCTACTCCTACTCCTTCTTTCTTCTTCTTTTCTTTCTCTTCCTCCTCTTCCTCCATCCTCTCTTCTTCTTCCTCCTCCTCTTCTTTTTCTCCTCCTCCTCCTTCCTTCTAGCTAAGCTACTGCTGTGGTTTTTTCTATATTCCCAGCCAGGTTTCCTAAGGTACCAGAGACAAAGGAGAGAGCAAAGGAGGGGCTGGGAAGGCTGGAGTCTTCTTCCACCTTCCTCCCCACTCCATAGCACTATTTTGCCTTCCTCACCTGCCTAAGCCCTATTCATTCTTAAGATTCAAGAAAGTTGTCACCTCTTTCAAGAAGCCTTCTCTGACTCCTCTCTACAGCATTGAGTGCCTGTCATTATGTTCCTTCATAATTTCCTGTGCCTGTTATCAAAGCATTAATCACCCTGTACTATCATTGTCTTCTGCGTGTCCACTTTCTCCTAAACTGTAAGCTCTTGAAGGCTAGGGGTGCACTTCATTCATGTGAATCCTTAAAGACTAGAATGTATCACCTGGCACAAAGTAGGTGCTCAGCAAACATTCAACACATAAAGGATGAGGTGGGAGAGAGGAAATCTGACCAACCAATGCTTAGGAGGCAACAGGGTGCAAATGTTTCCTTCTGCCATCAGCCAACGCAGGAGGCTAATTAGGGAAGCCTAGGAAGTGCTTGGACTGTCCATGAGATGTGAGTTCTGCTAGCAAATCTTTAAGTGGATCATCTTAACCATCCGGTCCACGGACAGTTAGGCATGACCAGGAGGAGAACAATCGCACGCCCTGTTTTCCCATAAAGCACCTGAGACATAGAACCTGTGCCCACAGGGGCTGAAGGAGCTCGGAGGCAAGCGAGTGCAATGTGACTCTTGGGGGGCCTCTCTGGAAAGCTGAGTCTCAAAGAAAGGAAGTTCAAGAGCTGGTTTGTTACAGAAGTAGTGGGAAGAGGGGACAGGACTAACGGCAAGGTGGCTAGGACCAGCCCATTACAGGGGTAGAAATGAGCCTCTCTCTTCCCCTACCACCTTTCTTCTCCTTCCCCGCTACCACTATCCTGAGACTACGAGGCTGTAAGCTAGAGGCGAAAGATTGTGCAATAAAGCCCAAATTATGATAATGGTAGTGAGAATACAGCAGGAGAAGGAGGAAGACCAAGCAGACCTGAGTCAGGGAGGGAGGAATTGCGTGAGCAGAGGTGGAGAATTCAGATCCTCTCCGGACTAGAACAGAAAGTACAGACCATGAGTAACCGCAAAACAATAGGGTTGAATGGGTAGAGAGCCATCGAGGGGAGAACAGAGGTGGCAATGGGGAGGTATTTTGTGTTCTTAAGTAAGGACATAACAAAAGCAGTGTTTTGATAAGAACAACTTGACAGAGAGATGCAGGGTGGTTAGAGCAAAGCCTCTTAGGAGGCTGATAGACTGATCAAGGATTCTCCACGAAAGCTGTTACAGTGGTGGGGGTTAGAATAAGAGTTAAAGCAAGTGTTTCATTTTTAAGGAAGAAATCATTACTGCCTGGAGGACAGATTAGATATAAGGTGTGACGTGTAAGGAAGAGTTATCATAGAGGATTCCAAAGTTTCTGTGACTTGACTGAAAAACCAGAAGTTCCCTTGGTGGGAACTGGGTAATAGAGGAAGAAAGCTGGGATTTGGGATGGGAAGATAATTAAGGAGCTTAATTAATGAGATTAGTGAGACTGTAGGGAGAAGCACATTAAGGCGAAGGCAGAATCATCTACAGGAAACACCCTCATGTGGTTCTTTACTTGGAGGAAGGAACCTCACATGACTGTCTTTAACATCAACCATACCGGACTCCCTGACAACATGAGTACAGCATGCTGTCATATTTTAACTCAATGATGACTTTTATATTATGTGATTTTTTTTTTTTTGAGATGGAGTCTCGCTCTGTCGCCCAGGCTGGAGGGCAGTGCCGCGATCTTGGCTCACTGCAACCTCTACCTCCCAGGTTCAAGCAATTCTCCTGCCTCAGCCTCCCAAGTAGCTGGGATTATAGGCACGTGTCACCATGCTCGGCTAATTTTTATATTTTTAGTAGAGACAGGGTTTCACCATGTTGGCCAGGCTGGTCTCGATCTCCTGACCTCAGGTGATCCGCCCACCTCAGCCACCCAAAGTGCTAGGATTACAGGCGTGAGCCACTGTGCCCAGCCTATATTATGTGATTTTTAAGACCATTGCATATAAACTCAGAAAAAGTTTGAAAGTTCACTGCTACTTTAGTGCTCACTATTTTTGGACTCACAGCATCACCGGGCGTTATTAACATCCCTGACTCACAAGCTCCGAATGAGCCTCTCTCAGGCAGTTCCCTACTCACCAATTTGCAAGCAGGTCCGTGTTTGCATTTTGGCCCTCCCATAATTATGTGTGTATTTGTTTGTACATCTCACATCATACCACTGTTAGGACCTTGACCTTTGATTGAATACGGTTTCAATCAGGTGCCCAAACTTCATAGAAATTACATCTTTTCTTAGTCAACTTTTCATGGAAGACCAGTGCTTTCAAATTGCCTTACTCGGAAGGAAAAAGCAGCTCAGGCTAGAAATATTCTTCCAGAAATACACTCCCTGTCCCAAACCAAGTCAACATGGAGAAGTCATCCTCGCTCCTACCCTTCAATATTCCACCAGAACAGGGGATGGGAAAGGAGGGAAGTGGGGGATGGTGAGGCGGAAGAGACCAGGCAGACCTGCCAGGGAAGACAGCCTTGGCAAGGAAGGAAGGGGGACAGCCACCAGAGCTCCATGTGACTCCACTCAATGGGGAGCAGAAGCAGCTGCAGCCCACATGACACATGATCCCTGCCAATCTTCCCGTGGCTACGGAACGGACGGGACCAGGTTTCCTAACATTCGCTCTGATTGTACCCAAATGTTCCCTGGTACACCTCTCACATCACGTCCTAGATTTTGAAATTTAAAAATCGTATCATGTCAGTATAATGTAGATGCAAGATAAAAGAACCCTGGGGCCCAGGCGCGGAGGCTCATGCCTGTAATCCCAGCACTTTGGGAGGCCAAGGCGGGTGGATCACCTGAGGTCAGGAGTTCAAGACTGGCCTGGCCAACATGGTGAAACCCCATATCTACTAAAAATACAAAAAATTAGCCAGGTGTGGTGGCGGGTGCCTGTAATCCCAGCAACTTGGGCGGCTGAGGTGGGAGAATCACTTGAACCCCAGAGGCAGAGGTTGCAGTGAGCCGAGATGGCTCCACTGCCCTCCAGCCTGAGTGACAGAGCGACACTGACTCAAAAAAAAAAAAAGAAAGAAAGAAAGAAAGAAAAAGAAAAAAGAACCCTGGAATCAGGGTGATTGGTTTACACGAGACTAAATTCATGTGAAGCCACCAAATTTGCGAGTTAGGGGTCCATACATTTTCTCTGCCTAAAATATGGCCCAGCTCAATCCTGGAGCCCAGCATTGGACTGAGAATGAAGATAGAGACTATGAGCCGGCCCCGACTGTTGGGATGGGAGAGTTCAGACAGCCAGGCTGGTCTTTGTGGAGTTATTTTTGGTAACTTCCCAGGTGAAACAAGGAACATGGGTGGAACTGAGCCTCCCTGAGGATGCCTGGGGTCCTGATCCAGGTCCAATCATCTCCGAAAAAGGCAGCTAAGGGTCCTCTTGCCCAAAGTGCATCCAGCAGCCTACCTTATATAATGTGTCTCTTAGGAGGCTTCCCCCAAGTATCTTAGCATCTATTTATGTATCCCTGAATAAAACCCTATTTGGTTTTGCACATTTGCAAACTTTATATAAACAGAGTCACTGGGTTTACATTAGTTTGCAAATTGCTTCTTCTACTCAACATTGTTGCTGAGATTTTTTTTTTCCAGGTTAATGCATGAACTGTAATTCATTTATTTTTCACTGTATGTAGCACAATGTATGTGTTCATTTTCTCCTGGGTGGACATTTGTGTTGTTCCCAGTTTTTCTGTTATTAGCAACAATTCTGCTATGAAAATTCTCGTGCATCTCTCCTGGTGCTCATTTGGAGAGTTTCTCTGGGGTATAATAGTGAAATGTCTGGGTCATGCAGTTATTTTGCAGCTTTCACTTTTCTAGATAATGCCCATTTTTTCCCAAAAGTAATTTTACAAATTTACACTTCCACTAGTAGTACTTTGCTCCTCACCTTTGGTATTGTCTGAATTATTGATTTTTGCCAGTTAGGTGGTATAAAATAGCATCTCTGCTTTGTTTTAATTTGCATTCTCCCAATTAATAATAAAGTTGAACATTTCTTCATATGCCTTTATTCATTTGTGTTTCCTCTTCTATAATGTTCCTATTCATAACTGTCTTCTCTATTTGCATATCATGTGCTCTTTTTCTTAACAATTTTTATATTCTGGGTAATGATCTTTTTTGTTCATCTGTGATACAAATATCTTCTCCCTCTTTGGAGCTTTAAATTTTCACTCTTTTTATAGGGTCTTGTGGTAGTTCTTAATTAAAGTAGCAACATTTATCAGTCTTTTCCTGGATGGCTTGTATGCTTGTGTCATGTTTAAGAAATCCTTCCTTACCTTGAGGTCTTAAAGATGGTCTGTTTTTTCCAAAAGGCTTAAAGTGTATTTTGCCTTTGCCTTTTGAGTCCTTAATCAGTCTAGAATTAATTTTTGCGCTTGGAGTGCTATAGGACTGCAGTTTCATTTCTTTCCCATGTGGATAATTATCACATAGTCTAGCACTTCCCCACTTTTCTTAATGCTTTTTTTGTCATCTATCCAGTTTCCAAATATGCTTAGGTCTGTACCTCCCTCTCTATTTTGTTCCAATGGTCTTTTTGTCTATCCTCGCACTAATACCCTACTGTCGTAAATACTATTGCTTTATAATGAGACTTAATAGCTTGTAGGCAAATCCCTGCATTGTGTCCTTTTTTCTTCTAGACTGTGTTGGCTATTCTTGGACCTTTGCTCTTCCACATAAATGTTAGAATCAGCGTGCCAACTACCATGAAACCCATGTTGGTATTTTTATTGGAAATACTTTAAATCTGGAGCACAAAGTTGGAAAAATGGACACAATTTCCAAGACTGTGAACTCTCCATTTATTTATGTCCTCTTTACAGACTTTCAATAAAGTTGGACAAGTTTACCGGTGTAGATTTTACACATTTTTATTAGATTGATTCCTAGGTACCTTACATTTTTATTGCTGTTGTAAATGATAGGTTTGTCTAATTACATTTTCCAAATGTTACTGGTGTATAAAAATGCAATTGACTTGTTTATATTGGGCTTATAGTTGACAAACTTGCCAAACTCTCATTAACTCTAACAAATTATCTATATTTCTATGCAAAAATCATATCATCTATGAATAACAAGTTTTGTGTCTTCTTTTCTAATGCTTGTACCTTGTAAACCTTTTTTTTTTTTTTGCTTTATTATAGATTAAGAAGGGTGAAAGCAGAAGCCCTTGACTTTCTTTTTTAAATTTTTAACTTCTTTCTAATCTTATTTTTTTATTGAGGTAAAATGTGCATGTGAAATTTATCATCTTTATCATTTTTAAGTGTACAGTTCAGTGGTAATAAATTTATATTCTCAGCTGAGCAAGGTGGCTCATGCCTGTAATCCCAGCACTTTGAGAGTCTGAGGCAGGTGGATCACTTGAGGTCAGGAGTTCCAGACCAGCCTGACCAACATGGTGAAACCCTGTCTCTACTAAAAATATAAAAATTAGATGGCTGTGGTGGCACGTGCCTGTAATCCCAGCTACTCGGGAGGCTGAGGCAGAAGAATCTCATGAACTCGGGAGGTGGAGGTTGCAGTGAGCCAAGATTGCACCACTACACTCCAGCCTGGGGCAACAGAGCAAGACTCCATCTATAAATAAATAAATAAATAAATAAATATTCTTTTTCCCCCCCCATTTTATCTCCCTGCCCTCCTCTTCCCAGCCTCTGGTAACCACCAATCTATACTTTATCTTCATGAGATCCACTTTTTTAGCTCCTGCATATGAGTGAGAACATGCAATATTTGTCTTTCTGTGCTTGATTTATTTCACTTAATATAATGTCCTCCAGTTCCATCCATATTGATGCAAATGAGAGGATTTCATGCTTGGTTATGGCTGAATAATATTCCATTGTGTGTGTATATATATATTTGTATCTCCACATTTTCTTTATCCACTCATCCATTAATGGGCACTTAGGTTGATTCCATATCTTGGCTATTATGAATAGTGCTGCTATAAACATGGGAGTGCCGATATCTCTTCAATATATTGATTTCCTTTCTTTTGGATATATACCCAGTAGTGGATTTGATGGTTGTTCTAATTTTGGCTTTTTGAGAAACCTCTATTCAGTTTTCCATAGTGGCTGTACTAATTTACATATTTACCAACAGTGTTCCTCTTTCTCCACATCCTCACCAGTATCTGTTATTCCATCTTTTTTCTAAAAGCCATTTTAACTGGGGTGAGATGATATCTCTTCGTGGTTTTTATTTCATTTCTCCAATGATTAGTGATGTTGAGCATTTTTTCACATACCTGTTTGGTCATTGGTATGTCTTCTTTAGAGAAATGTCTGTTCAGATCTTTTGCCCATTTTAAAATCCGATTATTTGGGTTTTTTTTTTTTTGGCAATTGGGTTGTTTGAGCTCCTCATATGTTCTCGTTATGAACCCCTTGTCAGATGGACAGTTTGCAAATATTTTCCCATGTTCTCTGGGTTGTCTCTTTACTTTGTTGATTGTTTACTTTTCTGTGCAGAAGCACTGTAGCTTGATGTAGTCCTAAGTGTCTCTTTTTATTTTGGTTGCCTGTGCTTTTGATGTCTTACACACACAAAAATCTTTCCCCAGATCAATGTCCTGGAGCGTTTCTCCAATGTATTCTTCTAGTGGTTCCATGGTTCAGGTCTTAAAGTCTTAAATCCATTTTGATTTTTGGGTATGGTAAGAGACAGGGGTCTAGTGTCATTCTTCTGCATATAGTCATGCAGTTTCCCAGCCACATTTATTGAAAAGACTGTCCTTTCACCACTGCATGTTCTTGGTGCCTTTGTTGAAAATGAGTTGGCTGTAAATGCATGGATTTATATTTGGATTCTCTTTTCTGTTCCATTAGCCTATGTGTCTGTTTTTATGCCAGTGCCACACTGTTTTGATTACTAGAGCTTTGTAGTATATTTTGAAGTCAGGTAGCGTGATACCTCCAGCTTTGCTCTTTTTGCTCAGGATTGTTTTGGCTATTTGGGGTCTTTTGTAGGAACTCTTGTCTTATTCCTGTTTTTTCTATTTCATCATTAAGTATAGTGTTTGTTATAAGTTATTGTATGTATATAGATGTCCTTTACCACGTTCAGTTTTTTTAATTCCTGGTTTTCTAAAAGTCCTTTTCATAAATTGATATTTTATTGAACAGTTTTCTGCTTTTTTTGAGAGAAGGCCATGTGGATTTTTTCATTTGACTTGTGAATATGGTCAAGTATATCAGATTTCAAGTGGTGAATCAGTCTTCCATTTCTAGGATAAGCCTCTTTCCAGTGTAGTCATGATTGGTTGTCTTTTATATGTAAATATTATTTGTTCAGTTTGCTAATATTTTGTTTAGGATGTTCACATCTAGGTTCTTGAGTACGATCAGCCTATAATTTTCCTTTCTCATATTGTACCTATTTGCTTTTGGTATGGAAATTTTTTTACTAGCTTCATCAACACAGTTGGGAAGCATTTCCTCTACTCTATTCTCTGCATGGGCTTGTGTAATATATTAGTAACCTGTTTCTTCAAGTCTGATAAAACCTTCTTCTAAAACTATTTAGGCTGGCAATTTCTTAATGGAAAGATTAGTTATACTAGTCACGTATTTAATGATTATGGAACTATTCAAATTCTCTTTTAATTTTAAAACAGCTTTAATAAATAAATCAGCTTTAATATTTTCCTGTTAATTTTTCTATTTCTCCTGTTTCTGCTTTATTGGCATAAATTTGTTTACAGTAGTCTTTTATGATTGTTATACTCTCTGCTGCATCTGCTACCTGCTCCTTTTTTTATTCCTAATATTGACTTTCTGTCTTCTCTCTTTAGATCTTTATCAATATTGACAGAAGTTTATTAATGTTATTACTCATATCAAAGAACTAATTCTTTGTATTAATCATTTTTATTTTATATTTTAGCCTATATTTGTTTACTATTTCATTAGTTTCTCCTCAAGTCTTTATTGTTTTCCTTATTCTATTTTCTTTGGGTTATTTTAATGTTCTCTTACTAACATCTTAGATGCTCAGTTCCTTGACTTTTAGCCATTCTTATTTTATAATATAAGCATTTAAGGCTATAAATTTCCCCCCAAATGCCATTCTAGTTGCATCTCACAAATTTAGATACGTAGTATTTTATTATTTTACAAATAAAAGTATTTTATTTTATGCAAAACAACATATAGTCCATGATTTATTTTAAAATGAGCTTTCAATCCTAGCACTTTGGGAGGCCAAAGAAGGTGGATCTCTTGAACCCATGAGTTCAAGACCAGCCTGAGCAACATGGCGAAACCCTGTCTCTACAAAAAATACAAAAATTAGCCGGGCATGGTGGTATGCACTGGTAGTTCCAGTTACTCAGGAGGCTGAGGTGGGACGATTACATGAGCCCAGGGAGGTCAAGGCTGCAGTGAACTGTGATCATGTCACTGCACTCTAGCCTGGGCAACAGAGTGAGAGACCCCATCTCAAAAAAAAAAAAAAAGAGCTTTCAAGTAACTATCAACTATTTCAAGAAACAGAATATTGCCTGTACCCTAGAAAATCCCTGAGTGTTCCTTCTCATTCACTATACCCTCCCACCCTCCACAAAGCTAACCATTATCCTGAATTTAATGATTATCTTTTCCTTTTTTTTAATAGGTTTTTGATTTTTGTTTTTCGTTTTTCACTTTCTGTTTTTGAGATGGAGTCTCCCTCTGTTACCCACGCTGGAGTGCAGTGGCGCCATCTCAGCTCACTGCAACCTCTGCCTCCCGGGTTCCAGCCATTCTCCTGCCTCGGCCTCCCGAGTAGCTGGGATTACAGGCACATGCCACCACGCCTGGCCAATTTTTGTATTTTTAGTAGAGATGGGGTTTCTCCATGTTGGCCAGGCTGGTCTCGAACTCCAGACCGCAAGTGATCTGCCTGCCTCGGCCTCCCAAAGTGCTGGGATTATAGGCATGAGTCACTGTGCCCCGCCTGGAATAAGATTGTTAAATCAGATACAAAACTGGCTCATGTGCTGTGTGCTGCTAGAAACTAAAACCATAATGTCTGGTTATCTTTCCTACCAGAAAGAAATTATTTGCATCTCTACTGCAAAGGTCGACAAGTTAGCATGTAATTTCACAGAGTCAGGGCCTTTAATAAGTGACTGAAAGTGAGTCAAATAAAGGTACATTCCCCTGGATACTTAAAGAACACTGAGGGGGACTGGGGGCGGTAACTCATGCCTGTAATCCCAGCACTTTAGGAGGCCAAGGCAGACGGATCACTTGAGGTCAGGAGTTCGAGACTAGCCTGCCCAACATGGAGAAACCCCATCTCTACTAAAAATACAAAAAATTAGCTGGGTGTGATGGTGGGCGCCTGTAATCCCAGCTACTCGGGAGGCTGAGGCAGGAGAATCACTTGAACCCAGGAGGTGGAGGCTACAGTAAGCCGAGATCACGTCACTGCACTCCAGCCTGGGCAACAGCAGTCTCAAAAAAATAAAAAATAAATAAAATAAAAAAGAGCCCTGAAGGGATTAAACACCACTCCAACATGACATTGAAAGAAACAAGGCCCTCCTTTTGCCTTATGTCCAAATCTGAGATAATTTTTCTTAACAGCCAAATCCCTGTCTGCTAAAATGAACCACAGCAGGAATGGTACCACATGACTCTGGCCTGGCCACAGCCTATGTCACAACTTTCCTAACCCAGTCTTCTCAGCTTATCCACCAACTATTGGGTGTTGGAACATCCTCAAGTCTCCCCATCAAACTAGGCAGCAAAGTCTACCATTTTGTGGCCACCATGTTTGTCGCTGCTCATGCCAAGGAAGCGAAAGCTGATCTACAGAGAAAAAGCAGCAGGGATCAAATATGGAAAAAGAAGCAGAGTCCAGATGACCAAGCGAGAGAGAGTCAGAGAGAGAAAAGTGAGGATGAAATAACCTCTTGAATAGGTTTTTGAAGGTTTTGCACTCACTTCGTGGTTCCAGGCCTTCACGTAGCTCTGGCTGTAGTTCTTGGCCTTGGGTTTTGTGTGATACTCCAGGACTCTTCCAATAAATTCCCTTTTATGCTTAAAGGAAGTTAAGTGAATTTTGAAAACTAACAAGTCTGGGTACAGTGGCTCATGCCTGTAATCCCAGCACTTTGGGAGGCCAAGGAGGGCAGATCACTTGAGGCCAGGAGTTCGAGACCAGCCTGGCCAACATGGCAAAACCCTGTCTCTACTAAAAATCAAAAAAATTAGCCGGGCGTGGTAGCACGCACCTGTAATCCCAGCTACTCGGGAGGCTGAAGCACAAGAATCACTTGTACCCGGAAGGCAGAGGTTGCAGTGAGCCGAGATTGTGCCACTGCACTCCAGCCTTGGGGATAGAGTGAGACTCTGCCTCAAAAACAAACAAGAATAAGCCACAATTTGAAAGCCCAGAGACGTCAAGACAGAGAACAACGAGAGTTATCTTTCTGATTAACACAGCTCCACAAGTCCAGGTGCAAGACCCCCTTGATATGTCAGAAAACATCAGTTCTTATGAGGTTCCTGTTAACCAAGGGTAAGGCTACTCTGCTATGCAGGAAGTGCCACACAGTAGACAGTTAATTAGGACTTGCTTTGAGCCAAGAACGCCACTGGGCTGAGATCATGAATTTATTTACACAACACACGTGGTAGATCCAGGAACATAGTCACATCTCTTTCCTGCTCCTTATTATGCATTTCATACAGGTTACTGCTGGTGTCTAACAGCCTGTGGTGTGTCCTCCATTGCTTCTATGGGTATAAAGCAAGCCAATTACATCTCCACAGCTTTTTAGCTTCATTTATCAGGTCAATTCAGAGGGGCGCAATTATGAAATTAAAACACCCACATTTTAGGTGGATATTTTTCACTTTTGTATTGAATATTTTTTTAAACGTTCAAGCTTTCAACACTAAACACTAGGATAGCTCTAGAAAGACCCAAGGAAAAGGAAAAGGGACCCACAGGGAGGCAGTGGTAAATAAATGGGAGGTGGCTGCAGATGGGAGGGTCCTTGCGAGGAAGAGGAGGTGGGGCAGAGAAAAAATAAATTGAACCTGATAATACTAGAACAAACAAGGGAAAGACAGATTTTACCAATTGTTTACCCTGTATAAATCTTTTTTAAATTATCTTGGTGCATGTGACAGCAAACAAGAAACAAGAAAGGGGCTTTTATGAAAAAGCTTTTTAGAATGTGTGAAAAAACAAAAGTTCTAGTTTTCCATCTCAGCTCTTTTGTGCAATCACATCAAATAGAAGCTCAGCAGGCCCGAGGGCCACTGCTGCTTCTAATTAAGGCCCCAAGGTAAGGCAGCACATTAGGGGGTATCATCCCAGCAAAACATAAATTCTACCTCTGTCTCTAGCAGCAGAAGGCCGATTTGGGCTCAGTATGCCGTGTTTGTTCTCAGCTTGCATTAGAAGTGGCAGGCCGCACCTGCCTTCCAGACACCCTACAAGCAAGTTTATTCTGACACTGATTCTCTTGTTCAAACAACTCAAAGCATGGCTAACAGATGGTAAACAGAGGAGGAGGGAGGAGCCAGGCATTCTTCCACTTTGTGTGTACTTTTGTGTGTGCGTGGATGAGGGGTGTTGTACCTAAAAGTTACTATTTCTTTCCTTTTCAAAAATAAGACCTCATCCATCACACAGGTGTCAACTCTGAAATTTTGGGGGCTGGTAGGGGGCCTTATTGCTGTCATATGTCTCAAAGAGAGTGGTTTTCCAACTGGAGTGATCATTAGACTCACCTGGTGGGCTTGTTAGACATTCAGATTACCAGCCACACCCTAGAGTTTCTGATTCAAGAGGTTCGAGAATCAGCATTTCTGACAATTTCCCAGGTGATGCTGGTGCTGCTGGTTCAGGGACCACACTTTGAGTATCATGGTTCTCAGACAATAAAGAGATAGAGAAAAAGCAAAGAAACATTAGCTAGGCCTCCAACCCAGACTTTTTGATTTTTTGAGAGACAGCTGGTAGACAAAAAAGAGACAGCTGTGTTTGAACGGGGGCAGATATGCAAAAGGACAAGCCAATGGCAGGCGGAGGATGGCGCTAAAAATGATTAGCACATGTGCAATGATTTGTTATGAGGAGTGGGATTCACATTTGCTGCAGGAGGGGCTGTGGGCCTCCTTCAGTCCAGCCGAGCTTCCTAAACTATCAAGACTCTAGGTGGGGTCCTAGCTCTTCATTTCCTCCCTGGCCTATTATAGAAGCTCTGCGTGCCTGACACCCCTGCTCCTCCCTGTCCCCTGCTATCTCCCCGAGTAGAAAAAACCCAGCTGGTGGAGAAGGAGCTTCCTCAGCTTGGTTCCTAGGGAAGAAGAGCTGGGATTCAGCACATTCTAGGTTCTGTTGTTTTAGGCCTGAGCTACAGGACACTGTCTCCAGCCGCGTTCCCAGCCTAGCATCCCTCACACCCGGTTAATTCTACCAGAGGATTAGGGCACATTGTTAATTACATACAGGGGTTGGGAGTATCTGTTCTTAAGATCTTTGAGGGGATCTGTCAGACAGAGGGAAACATGAATACAGTATTCAGTTTTCATGTGGTTTGTCCTTCCTTGCTGATGCAACTTCTCCACCTGGTCCCCAGTGAGATAGTACAGGCTGAACTAATGAAATAGCTGAGGCTCCTGGTCCCACCACACGAGTATGAGTCACCAGCAGGACCAACTACTTAATGTTCAGGGCCCAGTACAAAATGAAAAGCCAGGGCTCCTTGTTCAAAATGTATTAAGAATTTTGAGACGGCAACAGCAGAACACTAAATTGAGCACAGGGTTCTTTTGTGTATGGGGCCCTGTGTGACTTCACTGGTCACAGGCTTATGGAACCGGGCCTGTCATAGGATTGTCTACGAGTGTATAGACTAAGAATCTCCTTGTTTAGGCTGGGATGCTGCCCCCAGTGGGGTAGAGGGACCCTCTCTGTAGTAGGCTCTCTAGAAGGAATGGAAAGAGGAGTGAAGCCAGACAAACAGAAAATGCAGTCCTAGACCTAAGAGAGCTTCTGTGGCCCTGGGAGGCAGACAGACACTGTCCCTAAAAAATAGATTTTTGGAACAACTTCACATGGACAAGATGACATGGTTGACCATCCATACATCTTACTCTGCTTAGGGCACATTTCCAGTGGGGTTATCCAGGAAAGGTAAACACAAGAGACGCTTCACCATCAAGGGCAGGGGAGGTAAAGCTGAAGTAAGGAAGCTCCAGCACCTTCTATGTGATTGCTGCATTTTGTGCTCAGTTTCTGGAGGCCTCTGACAATATTCAGAATTCTTATGTGCAAATCAGGGAGTTGAAATAACTGACCTCTAGGTCTCTCTCAGCTCTGTTAACATGTGCCCAGCCTTCTCTACAACAAAGTTCCAGGCATCTGTAACATAGCAGACTATTCTAAACATTGGTAGCTTAAAACCAATGTTAAGAATAAATATATATGAATATAATAAAACCACCATTTTATTATATCTCACCATTTTGTGAATTAGGAATTCACACAGGGCTCAGCCATTCAATTTTTCTGCTCCATATGGTATCAGCAAAGGTCATTTGATAGTGGATGGGCTAGGCTGCTTCCAGGATGAGGGCCCAGGATGGCCTCACTCATGTCTTGCACCTTGATGCCTTGATGGGGATGGCTGGGAGGCTGAGATCAGCTGGCACCAATATGTAACCTTTTAAGCATGTGAACTCCAAGTAGTAAACTTCCTGCATGGTAATTCAGGGTTCTCAGCAAGGATTCCAAGGAACCCAGAGAAGAGTTTCAACCCCAGCCACGGAAATTTCAGAATGTCACTCCCACTGCATTTTACTGGTCAAGAAAAAAGCCAGCCCAGATTCAAGCAAAGAAAAATTGGACTCCACCTCTCATTGTGAGGAGTTGCAAAGGATTTATTTGTGGCCATTATTGGATCCATTATGAATGTGGCTCATACAAGAAAGAAGAGAAGGAGCTCAAATCAGCATACCTGTGGTCAAAGAAAAAGCCTAGACTCAATATTAAAATATTAGGAGATAAATGTACATTTGATGTCTTAAGTTAAAATATTTAAAATATAGGGGTCCTATTTTTGTACTGATTCCTCAACTTTTTTCCCCTTTATTTTGACCTATCACTTGACTCAGTTGTATGGAATAAGAATCTCTAAGTTTTTTTGAAAAAATTCAAGAACTTAGATCCATGACAATACCTTATTTGTCCTTAAGGATTCAAAGCGCAGAGTGTGTTTACTAATTCAATACAAACAAACAAACAAAAACTAGGTGCCCACTTTCGTTCGTGCCAGAGCTTCCCACAACAACCCCTGTGGTTTGTCCTGTGAAGCTCCAATTCTTGGTGCTAACTTGCCTTTGTTGTGGGCCATTTTCACCTCTTTCTTCCACTGTCACCTTAGCTGCCTGCCATTTTCCAGGGCACACTTTGGTCACATGTTTCTCCAACACAGAGGCTCCCTTCCTCTGCCTGCTTCTAGCTTAAGCTGGGAGATGCTTCTTACACCATACTTTCAAGGAAAACCAGTGTTTTCCTTACGCAGATGTCGAAATGCTGGCCATCTGCTAACCCTTCTCATGAAGTTATCCTTGCTCAGGCCCCTGAGAGTTTCCCTAATGATGCATCCCCAGGTGCCATCATCCCCTCATCTCCTACAGACCTTACCAATGCCCATCAGAACCTGCACCTCAGTGGTCCTGGCATCCTTTGTTGCCATAGTAACCATCTCTGGGCTTCCACACACCCTTTCTCATGCCCAGAGTCCCTTCTCCAATAGTCTCTGGCAAAACAGAGCCTATATTTTTCAACCATTCTTCCTCATTAAGCCTTTTCCAGCTCACGTCACCCATAGCTGGCCTTTGCTCACTGAATCCTGGCACTCCTTGGCCCGCTCTCCACGCCGTCTCTCTCCTGCAGCCCCTGCATCACCTTAGAACTCTCCTACCTTCTATGCCTGTGTGTCTTGCCACTCCCCACTGTAGTGCAGAGCTTTTGAGAGCACAGATCGTGGTTAATGCATGTGTGTGTGTTTGTCTCATACAGCATAGAAAACAGGACTGGGCTTCACAGTCTATGCTCTAAAGAGGCGTACTGAAATGAAATGTCTAAAAAAGGTACATAACTGGTGCCAGGTGCTGAATTCAGCCCTTTATAGAACATGAACTCTTCATTTTCACCTCATACCACTATGGCCTCCTCTCAGGTCCCAGTTTAACAAAATCCCACAATAGGAAAGAATTTGGATGTCCCATGTAGTTAATTATAATTAGATTTTTTTAACTTTTATTTTTAGATTCAGGGGGTACATGGGCAGGTTTGTTACCTGGGTTATAATGCGATTTGGAATCTGGTACAAACACAGCTCAGAATGCCAAATAAAGGCATGAATATCATGAGGTAGCGTCAGTGGCACAACTTGTTGGCAGGAGAGCTTGAGCTTACGTGGCTCAGACTCCAGGCAGAGAGAATATTCTCGCCTAGAGAAGCCTCAGCCCTAGGAACCAGGCATTTGTGAGTGAGGGGTGAGAAAGAGGTTTCCTGCTCTCGAGGAGAGGAATCATGTAGGAGTTGTGAGAAATAAAGCTGTGGAAGGGAGGGGTGGATCCCAAATCCCACACCCTCAAAAAAGTCAGACTTTAATTCTTATATATTTTACAAAAATTGGAACCAGTGAGGAAAAGAACAAGCCACAGAAATTCATTCTTGGCTCCTGTCAGACAATTGAGCCCCAAACCATGATCTTAAAATCTGTTTGCTATTGAACAGGCAATTGGAAGACCAAAAGGCGCTGACATGTCTGGGGGCTCCTGGCTCAGCTGCCAGCTGGAGGGTTGGAACGGTTGCCAGCAGCCTGCTCTGGTACACTCTGTCCCACTCTGTCCCTGCCCAAGTCCACTGCAGTAATTAGCTCTGCTCATTAGTTTCAAGTAAATAATCTCCTTGTCACAGCTGGGATCCTTTATCAGAGCAGTGGACATTAGGGTTTACAGAAGGAAAATGATTTTTTTTCCCCTGGAATTCCCTGGAACACTAAATCATGACCCAGTAATCTGAATGAGGCAAGGAAACTTCCTAAGACATCTAAAAATTCCGAAGAACAGTTCTGCTTAAAAGGTGGAAGAGTTGGGTATTTAAAACAAACAGCCAAAATACAATAGCCACCGCCACCCTTAGAAGTGGATAATGATTTTTTTCTTCAGTTCACCTTATTAGCTCAGATCATCAAAATGCACAAAGTATTTGTTAAGGGCTAATATTGAGGTATTCCCAACCCCGGGAGAGCATCCAGTCTAGGCAGAGAGAGAATGACAAGTAAATTGGTCTAAATGCACTAATGGCATTCTTGCACTCATAATGCATGCAAACAGCAGAATGCACAGAGGGAGGGCACTTTAAGCCAGCCTGGTTCTTCAGGGATGGCCTCCCAGAGATGTGGTGCTGATTTGAGAAAGACGAGGAGTGGCAGCCAGGAGTGCCTCTACAAGAGGGCTTGCACTGAGGAGGCACGGGCTGGATTCTGAGGTTTTCGAAACAACTGGCAAAATACATTTCCTCATCCTTTTGTCCCTTGGTATCACATCAGTTTGCCCACTTTGAAGAAGGGGAAAGTGAGAAGAGAAACTTCAGCTCTGCCCCTGGATGACCTGTGGAGTTGGGGCTCAGGGGACAGCTCTGACATTGTGGGGGCAGGACCCCTGCCAGCTTCAGGAAGAGCCTCATGGTGACAGGGCATCTCATCCCTGGCCCTTTAAGCTCTGCCTTCCATGTCCCCACCCTAAGGATTGCAGGGGCATCTGCAGCACCCTTAGTCATTGCCAGAGAGGGTGCCCAGTCTGCTCACAAGCCTGCATGGGCCACAGCTCAACACCAAATGCCAATCTCCTTCCAGTGTGGCAGAGGCTCGCTCTGGAGTTTAACACAGGGTTGCCCAAGAGCAGAAAGAAAACACGGGTAATTCAAGGGCAAGAGGGATACGTTTCCTGATAGATTGATTGGAAATTACAAGATAGGAAGACAAGGTAAAGAGGTAAATAATTGCGTGGGGGTTAAGAGGATGAGCTTCGGAATCAAATATTGCTGGTTTTCAGTCTCAGCCCTGCTACTTCCTAACTGCATAGGAATGTTCCTTGACTTCCCTGAACCTCACTTTCCTCATCTGTAAAGTGGGTGTAATAGTACTTACCCCAGGGGGTTGTTATGAGAATTAAATGCAGTAATATGTGTAGCCACTCCGTGCAGGGTCTGGCACACAGAGGCTTTCAATGAATATTACCCGTCGTTTTTTCTGTCCATTTACATCCCCCATATCAATGCATAGGATACCCAAATCCACCAAATTTACCTGAATCATCTAGATAGTCACCTTCATTTGATCATTTTGGAGATAGCCAATGATATTTTACACTGGTAGTTTTTTTTGTTGTTGTTGTTGTTGTTTTTTAACCAGAAAATGAAAAGATACTTTCTAGTAGCAAAGAAGAGTTTCTAGGAAGATCAGTGCTAGAGACAAACAATGGTGTCCAAGTTCTCATGTCCTTTCCCACAGAAAGGGCTTATTTAATGAAACTTTGACTAACTGGTACCCATCCCACGCCCTTGGGTACACTTAGTGATAATGTGATGTCCCAGAATGGATAATCCCTGTGAACATCCTGGCTGGACCACAGCATCCCACGTCCTGGGATGAGCTGAAGTAGAGATAAGAAGGCCTTCACCATTTGTTCATTTGGACTAATTTATGTCACTTGTTCTTTGATTAGCAGCTCTTACATTCAAGGTGCTGCTTTAGAGACCACTGCCCTCACCAGGGACGATAGAGGCAGAGCCACCGAATGGGCTTCCCTTTGATTAGGAAATTGACGCTCTCCATCCACAGCTGTGGTCACAATCAGCAAACTCTACTTATTGACAACTGGGTAAAGCCCAGCCTGACCTCCCTATGAAAGAGACAAACCAGGATTTTTACTCCTGTCTTGCAGAGCAGGAAACAATCATGCTTGTTTGATGCCATTCCACTTGACAAGGAAAGAAACTAGGGCTTGCCCCCTGGTTTTCTGATTCTAAAGTCCATATTGTCACTGAATCAGGTACTTTTGTCACATGGAGGGGGAAAGCTACACATCCTTTGCCCTTTAAAACCTAGAGGACACATTTCAAGGACAGTTGGCAATAGGCTATGGTCCTGGAACCTCTAACCTTTATTCACGCCATGATCTAGAGAATTTTGCAACTAGTTTCATCATGCCCCAAATTGTGCTGTTACCTGAATTAGAAACATTCAGTCAGCTGGACAAATGAAGCAGAGGGAAAACGTTGGGACTCAGAGAACTTCTAGGAGGACAGAGGCAACATGATTCATTCTCAGTGGAAAATTGCATGGGTAGCTCCAGCTAGTCTCCCACTTCTTCCATTTTCCTGAACTATCCAGATCCTTCTATTTCTGGGCTTCCTTTATATTATCTCTCTATGTGATCAACCTCTCGGTCACTCAGCACCTATAAAAATCACCTGTCCTAGGATCCAATAACTTCAAGACTGCTTTCAGCCAAATGTGGGGTTAGAAAAACTCCAACGAACAATTTTATTCTAAAGGGGTAATAACTTAATATGTTGTGTTTCTCCAGAATATTTGTTTTTTGTTTTGTTTTGTTTTATTTTTTAAGAGAAGGTCAGGGGCCGGGCATGGTGGCTCATGCCTGTAATCCCAGCATTATGGGAGGCCAAGGTGGGCGGATCACGAGGTCAGGAGATCAAGACCATCCTGGCTAACACGTTGAAATCCCGTCTCTACTAAAAATACAAAAAAATTAGTCGAGCGTGGTGGCACGTGCTTGTAATCCCATCTACTCGGGAAGCTGAGGCAGGAGAATCGCTTGAACCCAGGAGGCAGAGGTTGCAGTGAGCTGAGATCGTGCCACTGCACTCCAGCCTGGGCAACAGCAAGACTCCATCTCAAAAATAAATATAAATAAATAAATAAATAAAGAAGAAGGTCATTAACCTTAAGACTTAATGGCAGAACTTTAGGCATTATGACAGGTGGTGGGTGGGGCAGGCAGTACCTTACAGCAAGGGGCTCTCTCACCACACACGGGAGGCTGTTGTAAATTTCCTTTCTCCCTCTGTCCAATATGGTCAGCCCTAGGTCGCTCTTTTTCCTCTGAAATCAAAATCTCATCCAGCTGCTGGGAAGACAGAACAAAGCTGCCAACTGATTATTATTCAAGAACAAAGCAGACCATTTATTTTAGCAGGTTCAGAGCCATTATCTCCCCAGGACACGAGCTACGGTGTGTGCCGGCTTTATCTACCCAAATTTCCTTCCGTCCTTAAATCCTTAAAGAGGGTGCTGTTCCTCTTGCTGGAGCAAGACAAAAGGGAACAGGAGAAAGAAATTTCTTACAGCAATGACCTATGAAACTTCTCTCTCCTTCCTTGGCTGCCTAGGCTTCTCAAAGGCAATTGGATTTCCTGACTCTTTGAGAAACTACAGACAGATAAGAAAAGGTATGAGAGAAGCAGGCTTGGGCAGGCATCTTCCATTTGAAATAAGGCAGAAGGCTGGGCATGGTGGCTCACACCTATAATACCAGCACTTTGGGAGGCTGAGGCAGGAGGATCACTTGAGCCCAGGAGCCTGAGACCAGCCTAGGCAATATGGTGAGTCCTCGTCTCTACAAAAATAATGCCAGGTGTGGTGGCGCACGCGTATAATTTCAGCTACTCAGGAGGCTGAGGTGGGAGGATCACTTGAGCTCAGGAGGTAGAGGCCTCACTGACCCATGATTGCACCACTGCACTTCATCCTGGGCAACAGAACAAGATGCTATCAAAAAAAAAACAGAAAGAAAGAGAGAAAGAGAAAGAAAGAAAGAGAGAGAGAGAAAGGAAGGAAGGAAAGAAGGAAGGAAGGAAGGAGGAAGGAAGGAAGGAAGGAAGGAAAAGGAGAGAAGAGGAGAGGAGAAGAGAAAAGAAAAAAGAAGAAAAGAGAAATACGGCAGCCCAACACCATCAACCTCACTACTATTTTTTTTTTTTTTTTTTTTGAGACAGAGTCTCACTGTGTCATCAGGCTGGAGTGCAGTGGTGCCATCTCAGCTCATTGCAACCTCAGCCTCCCAGGTTCAAGCGTTTCTCCTGCCTCAGCCTCCCAAGTAGCTAGGACTATAGGCATGTGCCACCATGCCCAGCTAATTTTTGTATTTTTAGTAGAGATGGGGTTTCAGCATGTTGGCTTCTTTGAGAGTCTCAAGAAGGAATTGCCAGATAAAACACAGGATGCCCAGTTAAATCTGAATTTCAGATGAACAGTAAATAATTTTTCAGTATATAAGTATATCCCATGCAATATTTGGGATATGCTTATACTAAGCAGTCATTCATTGTTCATTTTAAATTCTCATTTAACTGGGTATCCTGTATTTTTATGTGCTAAATCTGGCAACACCATCACATCATATTTCTGCCCAATCTCCATCCCTCCCCAATAGGCTGAAAAGCAATCATACTAATTCTGACGCAGTGAAGACCAACATGTGGGCTTTATGCTGAGTCCTTCATGCACTTGGTAAAATTCACTTTTAAAGTAACATGAACCCAATACCACCCAGTTGTGCTTCTTTTTTTTTTTTTTCTTTTTTTTTTTTTTTTGAGATGGAGTCTTACTGTGTTGCCTAGGCTGGAGTACAGTGGCACGATCTCAGCTGACTGCAACCTCTGCCTCCGGATTCAAGCAATTCTTCTGCCTCAGCCTCGTGAGTAGCCGGGACTACTGGCAAGCGCCACCACACCCAGCTAATTTTTGTATTTTTAGTAGAGAAGGGGTTTCACCATATTGGCCAGGTTGGTCTCGAACTCCTGACCTCATGATCCGCCCGCCTTGGCCTCCCAAAGTGCTGGGATTACAGGTGTGAGCCACCGCGCCCGGCCCCAGTCGTGCTTCTAACACAATTATTCTTCCCTCTCACTGGCAAGTCTTTACTCCTTTTTTTGTGCTGATTGCTGTTTTAACTGTGTTCTCTTTCCAAACAATTTGTCCATTTGAATTAATCGACCAGTAAAGTTCATGAAAAGTCAGCCCATCCTTTTATTCTTAAACTGATTCTCTGGTAATATCTATCTAACTGATAGCCTGTATTTTTTTTCTCTCACTCAGTCTCTTCCATTTTTGTTCTGCTCAAAGTACACCCACCCTTTCAAGATGCACTGGAATTTGTATTTTATAATCTAGCATACAAGGTCCTCTGAAGACACTTTTTTTTTCTTTTAAACAAATGAAGACTCTACCCTCTGAAGCATTTCATCTTCAGGAAAACAGACACAAAATTATTTAATCATTTCCCCAAAGTCAACATTGGTGAAAATTTCTGGGATTAAGAAAAACAATATGATAGGATTTTGTGGTAGAGAGGCTGCCTTTTATATTTTACTTGTGACTTTTCCCAATGCCAAAATTCTATGACTCTATGATCAATATTCTCCCATGGCTCTCATGGCTGCTAATGGCTATGTTTGGGGGACTTTCTCTTCTAACTGTAAGAGTCTTGAGGCTTAACATTCCAAAGTGCTGGCTACATCCCCAGTGGGAAAAAAAAATTTCTACCATGTAGTAGCTATTTCTATTGTTTTATAAGAATGAAAATAAGCCACATAATTAAGCCTGGAGCCCAGGGAAGGGAGCTCAAAAAATGCCTTCTGTGGTGCCATGATAGTGGATGACAAAGTAGATAAACAGGAATCCCTCCTGTCCCCCAGATAGAAAGTCATATGAGTCGAGTCATCCTCCCGCATCTCCTGCCAGGCTACACCTGGCCAATGTGCTTATATAATACTGGATAATAGTGAATGAAAGTTTACATCCCAGGGTCTCCCAGTGAGTTTGTCCATTCATTCATTCACGCAAACCCATTAATTGCATCTCTCACATGTCAGGTACTATGCAAGACACAGGAAACATAAAGGTCAATAAAACCCTGTCTGGACCCTCAAAGAACTGCAGACTGATGCATGAGACAGGTCCACAAATAATAATGCATCCCAATGTATCTCTCAGTGTTGAACTAAAAGAGTGGGCTCTCTGTCACAGCAACTCTCAACCAGGGCCAATTTTGTGCCCCCCACCCCCACCCTGGGACGTTTAGCAGTGTCTGCAGACATTTTTGATTGACACAGCTGGGGTGAGGGATGCTACTGGCTTCTAGTGGGTAGAAGCGAGGGATGCTGTTAAACATCCCACAGTGCATAGGACGGTCCCACAACAAGGAATTATCTAGCCCCAAAAGTCAACAGTGCTGAGGTTGAGAACCCTCATCTAGTGGGATAAAATATGATGTAGTCAGCTCTGTCTGGTCATCTCTGGAATTTGAGCCGACTTGATCACTTTTGTTCTTTTCATAGTTGTGTCATTGATTGGCTTTTGCTCCTAAGCAAGTTACTTCGCCTCACTTGGCTTAAGTTTCCTCATCTATAAAATAGATGTAGAGTCTCTGATCTCTAAATCCATTCTAGCCTAAGAAGCTATGGTCTTCTTGGGCCAATATTTATGCTTTCACTGAACCCTGCTTCCGAGAGGAGAATGCCTTGGCCAAAGACTGTTTACTCCACTCCAGGTCAAGGAGATAAACTAGTTTCCTGTGTTGATCTGGAGTCTCACTCAGGAAGGGCAAGCATGACCTCTGCCCGAGGACCCTGAGTTAGGACACTTCCATCTTTGGAGTTTTCTCATCAGCAAACAGGAACTACTTAACTGCTCTGCCTCCCTGTGTCCGGAGGAAGCCTTTGAGTCAATGAAGAGATGGAAAATTACCCGGATGCTGTTCCTGTGACTAGGTCCAAACCACAAATGCCACTTTTCTCCCTTTGGGGGGCCTGTGGCAAGGACAGGGTGGGGAGACACTGTGCTGTCCCTGTGGTGTAGGCTGGTGGGCTGGGCCGGGGAGGAGTAGTGTCTCTTTATCTGTCTGTGGGGCTGCCTCAGGGAGGACCTTCGTCATTTTTCTCCCTGAGGACAAAAAACTTCAATTCTTGGCCACATATTTTAGGCTCTGGGGACTGGGTAGGGATCTGGTGCCCTCAAATTCTCACACTCTCTCTCTCTCCCCCGCCGTGGCTTCAGGCTTAGTCACCAAACAGAAAGAGCTTTTCTGAGCCAGCCGGCTGGAGGACAAGAGCAGCTACAGAGACCAGGGGAAGCCAGGTCCCCACAAGACGCGCTCCTGCCTGGGCCTGAACAGAGGCCTCTTCAATGCTGCTGTGGTGCTGCTGTAACCAGAAAGGCAGAAAAAGGGAGACTAGGGCAGGGCTGGAGATGAGGGCAGGGCTGGTCTTGGCAGTGACACTGAGTTTGGTGTTATTGGGCTCTCTGTCTTGGCAGAAATGCATCAAGGATGGCAACTGGAGTATCTTCGTGTCCTCTCCCCTGCTACACCAGTGCCACCTTAGGTAGCAGATCCTGTGTGTGATGAACAAATGAACTGCTGTGAAAGAAAGAGAGAAAGAAAGAAAGAAAGAAAGAAAGAAAGAAAGAAAGAGAGAGAGAGAGAGAGAGAGAGAGAGAGAAAGAAAGAAAGAAAGAAAGAAAGAAAGAAAGAAAGAAAGAAAGAAAGAAAGAAAGAAAGAAAGAAAAACAACCCAGAGACATTAAGTAATATGCCCAAGTTATTTAAACTGCTAGTCAAGGGGAACTTCTATCAAATGTGCTTCACTGAACTTATCAACAATAAAAGTTCCAAATCAGACAAATATTTCCCACTCTGTATGTTTTCATTGCTTGGGATGTTGGGGGTTTTTCTGGAGGCGGCAGGGTTGGTATGATTTACATTAAGTAAAATGTGCAAATCTTAAGTACACCGCTTAATGACTTTTATATATGTATATACCCAAGAATCATGTTCCCAGATGAAGATATAAAACGTTCCCATTGTTCTAGAAAGTGTCCTCGAACCCTATTTCAGTTGATAGCCACTTCAAGAAATAACCAGGTTTTTTTCTACTTCTGTCACCATAAATTAGTTTTGCCTGTTCTTGAACTTCTTATTATCAACCTCATATTGTTTTCTTCAATATAATGTATTTGGGGTTCATCCACATTGTGTCAGTAATTTGTCCTTTTTGATTGCTGTGTAGTATTTCACTGTATAAATATATCACATTCTGTTTATCCATTGTTCTGTTGATGGATATTTTGATTATTTTCAGTTTTTGGTTATTGTAATATATTTATCCTAAAGATATGAATTGGATAGGGATAATTTTTTGTTAATTTGTCTCAAAACATGTGCCTATTTTAATTCCCCTTCAAACAAACTCTAATAAAAGTCATTCTCCAAAGCTCCCAGAAGTTGAGATAGAAAGAAGTATTTATTAAATTACCTCAAAGATCTTTTCAGACATGAAATCCTCTAATTCAATGTCTTCTCTAAGAGCTGCTGTTAAGCACCTGCTTGCATGAATTCTAAAATTTTCTCTGAACTGTAATACAGAGAGTGGTTGTTTCCATGTAGAAACAACCCCTGCCTCTATAAATTCACCGACAAAGACTAGAGAACTTATTCAAGCACAAAAAACATACTCATATCTCTTCACAAGATGGCACCTATTTCCAAATGAAAGATGCTCTCCTGTTCTGCGCACTGGAAGCAACTTGGGAGTGACCAGAAGAAATGGTGGAATGTAAATAAATATAACTACTTCATTTCAATCCTTTTTTCTTCCATGGAAAGCAACGGTGGTTTCTTTCTTGAGATAGGTGGGAAAGAATGAAGCCCACAATGGACTATTTACCAGGCCTCCAAAGCATTTCTCAGAATTTTCAGATCCTGCAGTGAATTCCTACCACCCATTGTATTCAGATTTTCATTTCGTCTAATGCTAACTCTAATGAGTCTATACCATACCTGGTGAGCCGAACTGCAGTACACACTCCATCACACCGTCAGTCTTCTATTTAACCCAGACAAAGGGTCTTTTATACTCTTCCTGGACATGAAAATAAAAGATTGGAAACAATCATTTTAATGATATATTTATTTAAAAAAAAACTTTGCCTTAAGATTTGTTCAACAAATATTCATTCAGCCACAAGGACTGAACTCCCAAAGCCAAAGGTTGGAGTCACCATTATTGTGGCACCTAACATCTTGTATGATGTCTAAAAAAAGGAAAATTCAAAAGAAAATTTGCACAATGGCCCACGATGGCTGTAGTCAGACATGTAGGTAATAAAACCTAGGCCTGTAAACTAAAGCTGACTTCTTGCCTGTGTAACTGGAGTTTGTTACATACTTCACTGACAGGTACTGGTTATAAACCTGTTTATCAGCTGTAGAACAAAGACAGGATGCAAAGAGTTGCCCTCCACCAGACCCTAAGGCACCTAACCTTTCTCCTACCCGCTCCACCATATATTTACCTTATCTTATGGACAGTGTCACCGAGCACCAATCAGAATCACAAAAATTCAACTACTGCTTCCCTCCTCCTTTCTCCCACCTTCTGTGCCACGCCTATCCCTCATTAGGAAATGTATCTATACTGTGCCTCCTGTAACCCACTTAGAGACACATTCTTAGTCTATACTGAGTCTGTGTTCCTGGGCTTCCGTCTTCAAGTGTGGCTCAGAATAAATCTAAGCATGATTTCTCTAAGTTCTAGTGCCTGTTATTTCACTTTTCAGCCAATGGTGTATACCATCCAAACACTGAAGTCCTACCCTCATCACACCTAAGACTGCAACCAAAAATACTATGGACAGGGCGGTGAGGCACACAGATTCCATCCCATCCCCTCTCTGTCTTCTCTCATCCCTCTTGGCTCAGCCCTGATCTCTCTTCTCCTCTCCCCTCCTCTTCTATCCCTTTTCCTACTTGGTCTCCTGTCTGCCGATCTCCAAGGCTCTTTATGAGTTCACAGAAAAAAGAAAAGGGGATGGGGGAATGGGGAGAGGACACACAGATGTAGCTGTTACAACTAAACAGCCTTTATACTCAAGCCATTCAGATTCCTGTATCCCACCTTTAGGTACTATTGGTTCCTCACCTTACCCCACATATAGCCCAGGAAGACCTTATCTGCTCTCCAGCTGGCCTAATGCACCATTATTTTCTCCAGATCCTTCACATCAAGACCCGAACCTCCCTCACCCCACCCACTTGGCTTTACCAAGGTAGGGAATGAAATTCCTCCCTGGGATCCTAATGAGCAGTGGTAGTCCCTGAGCTGCCAATCTCTCATCCTCACAACAGGCAGGGGTGGTGCTTGTCTGTCATTATGCTTGACTCCTTTCCCTTCCTTTCCCTAAGCTGGTCTCGCCCTTTTCTTAAAATGACAACACTGTGTAGAATCAGCTCCTGACAGCCTCACCCACCCCAATCAGCCCCGGCCAGCCAGGGCTCTGGAGGCGTCATCTGAAAACCAGGGTATTTTTTTCTAACCTCTCCCCGCCCTCCACCCACCTCTTGTTCTTTCAAGAACAAATTCTTTCCCCGGCATTTCTAAATTAAGAGGAAAAGAAAAGGAGTTTCTTCCATTTTCGTCGTGGATGAAAATAAGCCAGTTGTCAGTTATTTACCCAAAATCTGATTCGGAAATGACCCAGTCCTAGACTGGATTTAAATTTTAAAGGCAAACCTAAAAAGAGTTTCTGAGATATTTTTTAAAAATTCACCAAAAGTGGCCAGGAGGTGAATTTGCTAAGCTGTGGTTATTGGCAAGAAGAACTGCAAAGGCAGGAAATTCTCTGCATAACTAGCCCGTCTTCCCGAAGCCTGCCGGGAGCAGGAACAGGAGTTTCCAACTCCTCCCTGACTATTTCTCCTGAGTCCCCAGTCCAGGCACCCACTGGCTCTGGGCACAAGCCCGCCAGCCTCTTATTGCAAATCACAGCATATGTTCACATCCATTCATCGAATCCCATTTGGCAAGAGTTCAGGCAAGAAGGTGGGATTAACTTGCCAAGACACCAACCACTCCCTCACTACAGGCTGCACGAAGTCCTCTCCTTCTATGTAATCCAGCCAGACAGCAGCCAAGATGCTTACCTCAGGGAACGTTCCATTCTGGAAAATTCCTTCTGGAATCACTCCTTTCTGTTGCCCCACCAACTCCACCTCTCTGACCCAACTCCCACCACACACAGACACAGTGTATTAGTCAGGGCAGGCTAGGTGCTGCAACAAACATCCCCAACATCTCAGTCAATTAGTACAGAGGGTTTGTTTGTCTCTCATACTTAACATCTGAGCAAATATTGCTATGATTTTGAGGTTTTTTCCAAATTATACTTCTAGCCCTCGAGGTCTTAATTTTTTGAGGAACTGTGACTTATCCATGTTTATGTAACAGAGATGTCCCTCTTTATAGTTTGCAGCGTAAACAGCATACTTCAAGCAGGTCCCAGATGCAAGGTTTGAGCCTTCAAAAGCTGGTAGCAGCCGGAAATCCTATATTTTTATTTAATTCTGTATTTTACAAAATTCCAACTCCTTTGCTTTTATATATCCAAAAGTACCTGCATTCTTACCAGTAGGTAAGATAGATAGGAAATGGGAGGAAAAAATGCAAAGGAAATGAGAAGTCAGAGAGGGATCAAAACTTATTCATCCCTATCCAGCTCTGCCAACAACAGCAGCAGGCTGGTAGCTGGGTATGTAGTCAAGATAGACAACATACTCCCTGGAAGCCACAGTAGTGACCCTCCAGGGCTATGCTCAGTCAAGAAAACTACGCTAAAGATCTAAGCCCCTTCCCACAAGGACTCTTTCAGCTACTTCCCTGGGTGAGCAGACCCCAAGAGACCTGGATCGGGATGGGGTTCAGCAAGTACCTCACAGATCCAGAACCATTTCTCCCTTCTCTCCTGCCTCAGTCAGGTGGATTTATCAGCTCTCCCTGTCTAAGTATCCATCAGTCTAACCACCTCAAACCTCCTAGTAACTTCATTCTGGGGATCCAGTTGCCTGTCTCTGCCACTGGCCACAGTTGGAGCCAATCAGATGCCCATTCACAACAGATCTCCCTAGTTCTGAATCACAGGGGAGGGTGTAAATGCCTATAGTAGATTGTATTCCTGTTCACCAATGATGCCAGCTTTCCATGCTGTGGCAGAAGTATACATCCCTGCCCTGCTGGACTCAGAAACTGCCCTGTGACTTACTTTAGCCATTAAAATGGGTTGGGGGCAGGGGGGATGGAAATGTGGAATGTGTGTCACTTCTGAGCAGAAATTATGAGAGCCAGAGCATGGTTTACTTGACCCTTTTTCCCTCTGCCATGATGACCAAGCAGTGCTTCATATAGAAGCTGCTGCATTAGCCCAGGTCCCAGAATGAGGACAACATGGAGGAAAGCCATAGCCAACCCAGGATGAATACATTGCATGCATGAAAAATAAACCTCTACTGATTCTTGTTGTAAGCCCTTGGAACTTCGGGGTCATTTGTTAAAATGGTGGAAGCTTGTAGATCCTGACTGATGAAGTGAATGCCCTGCCCTCCCTTCCCAGAATGCTCTGGGAGTCCCTGTGTACATTACACCACCTTCTCCCCAGAGCTTTTCATACCCAAAGAGGCTTCTCAAAGAAATCATTTTGCATCTTTTCTCCAGGTCTGTTGCCTGCCTTCTTTAGCAAATAAGGAAGTCACAACATCTGCCCTGGCACGCCCTTCTAGTTTGGCCTCTACGGAAACTGATTGGCAGTTCCTTTTGCTAACGAAGGAAAAAACTGTAATCTCTGAGGGCACTGCCACCACCTACGTTTGCCCTACTGTGGTTTGTGCATGGTAGACACCAGTGGATGTTTGTTGTCTGAAGAGAACGGGGATAATTTTGAGGAAGAAATTGGTAGCATCATTAGTAAAATTTAAAAGCCTGAGAGGTAGGTGGGACCATCTAGAATGTGTTCCATCTAAATTTCTACTCACACCATGTCCCTGTTTTAGCAACCTCCCTCAAACCCCTCCCCGCCAAAAAAAACAAAGAAGCACCTATAAGCAAAGGGTGTAACTCGGTTATTTTTAAACTGAAAATACAAAGATCCAAGGCTTTGGGACAAGTCAAATAAAACTGCAATTTTTATCTCCCTGTCCTCCCCTAGACAAAGCACTTGCATCTGGAGTGGAGATTACGCAGGCATTCGGTCTGTGCAAAGCCCAGAAGCTGAACTGATTGCATTGCAGATGCTTTAGGGACACCTAAACACGGCTTAAGAGGCTCCACCAGGGCAGTTGGTGTTTCCATCAGAGAAAAGACCTGGCCCACTTTGTTCAATTGGCCCATCCATTGGTGGTCCAGCATTTACTTTCCTGAATCACTGCTCTGGCTAGCGGGGCTGGCAACAACAACTCAATATTCAAGCCTCACGTAGACACAGGAACTGAATTGCCCCAATGATTATTTGATCTGGCGCAGAACATGCTATACACAGTGGACTCCACGTTGCAGGTGGATGTTCTGGCCCGGCCTGGCAGAGGCGCGCACGTATCACCGAGTCGTATGCTGGCAACCCTTGAGGGCCAGATGACTTCTCTGCTTTGGAGGCTGGCACTTCATAATTACAGCTGTGTTTGTGTTGTCATACCCAATTACCTCACTTACAGCCTTAAAATAGAATCCAGCCAAAGGTGCTGGCTGCACAGACAAAAAGGGAGGCTTCACAGGACTCAGAACCTGGGGACTGAGCCAGAGGGGAGGGCTTGAAGCTGGACACAAACGTCCTAACGCTTAAAAACCCAGGACTCCTTTCCCTCTCCTCATGAGGGAAACAGAACAGTGCCGCAAGACTGTAAATGAATGAATAGGAGCATGATGGAGACAGAACTCCAAGTCAATCTTGTTTCTAGTTTGGAAACATTCATTTACCCATGAATGAAGTCAACCAAAGAGGGGATCTTAGGTGTCTTGTTAGCTAAGGGAGAAAACCCAGAAGAGTTCTGTCACTGTGTCCGTATGTCCCTCCAATGATGGGAATACCCCAATCCACAAGTGACTCTTCTCTCCAAAAAGAATTTCTGCCATCTGCCATCCCCACAGCTGCAGGCCACAGCAGAGAACCCAATGCAGAAGAGATCCCTCCAATTACAGAGCAAGAGCCATTCCCCAGGCAGGTAGGGAGAGAACAGCAGCTTATATCCGAGGGCAAAGAGGAAGCAAACCTCTGTAGAAACCAAGTCGTAGCAATGCCCAGCACTCGCCTCGCTCTCAAGCTTTCTCCACAGAAACCATAAGGCCCTGCTCCTGAGCTCTCCAACTAGGCTGGGGATACCCCTAAAATTTATTTATTTATTTTTTGAGACAGTCTCACTCTGTCTCTCAGGCTTGAATGCAGTGGTGGGAACAGAGCTCACTGCAGCCTTGATCTCCCAGGCTTAAGTGATCCTCCCCATTCAGCCTTCCAAGTTGCTGGAACCACAGGCCTATGCCACCACACCCTGCTAAATTTTTTTATGTTTTGTAGAGAAGAGGTCTCACCATGTTGCCCAAGCTGGTCTCAAACTCCTGGGCTCAAGCAATCCTCCCGCCTTGGCCTCCCAAAGTGCTAGGATTGTAGGCATGAGCCACCGCCCCTGGCCAGACCTTCTTGTCTGCTCCCTCTCTCCTACCCCATCTCCTGCTCTCAGACATCTGCACATTTCTGATTTTATGTCCTCAATCTTTCTTAAATCCGTGCCTCCTCTCCTTACCACTGGCTCCTGCCCTGATTCAGGTCTTTATTATCTGTCCCTAGAGCTTGGCAGCTTCTTGACTGGTCTCCAACCCTGTCAAATCCACCCTCCACGGCACAGCCAACCATAAAGCCAAGCACCCCACCCACCTGCTGGGACCCTCCAGGACTCCCAGTGACCAGTAGAGTGCAGTGCACATTGTAGCCCATGACTCTCCACCAGGCCTTCCTGTCCCACCAGACAGCCTCCCACTGCTTCCTGCTCCTACTTGATCTTCCAGTAAGGCTAAATGGCATGAGGTTCTGCACCTACATCAAGTTGTCTCTCCCCTCATGCTGTTTTTCAGGTTGTCCGCTCCCTCACCATTCCTTCTCCCACAACCTAGTTAAATCCAATGCATCTCTAAACACTTAATTCAGATTTCAACCCCTCCAAGAAGCCTTCCCCGACACCTCTCTCCCTCTCACTTTCTACATGAGAATCCTCCAGCGTTAAATGTAACATCATGTGCTCTGGATATCTGCAGCGGAGTCTATTGCCGCCATTGTTATGAAGATTCTTGACAGCAGGGGATCTGTCTTATTTGATGTGGTGTATACCTGCTGCTGGGACAGAGGAGATTTTCAAAACCTAGATGAATGAATGCATGAATGAATGAGTGAAGGACAAACAAAAGGGTATTGACTGAGCCACTTTTGTGATTCTGCCTCAGAGAGAGCAGAATCTTCCCCCGCATTACCATGAGAAGGGCCCAGACCAGAATTCCCTCCAATGCATTGCACTTCCCATGTCTAGAAGCCACAGCCACTTTATTGGTTTTCTTGTTTTTTTTGTTTGTTTGTTCTTTGTTGTGGTGGTGGTTTTTTGTTTGTTTGTTTGTTTTTGAGATGGAGTTTTGCTCTTGTTGCCCAGGCTGGAGTGCGCTGACGCGATCTTGGCTCACTACAATCTGCGCCCCCGGGTTCACGCGATTCCCCTGCCTCAGCCTCTCAAGTAGCTGGGGTTACAGGTGCCCGCCACCATGCCTGGCTAATTTTTTGTATTTTTGGTAGAGACGGGGTTGCACCATGTTGGCCAGGCTGGTCTTGAACTCCCGACCTCAGGAGTCTTGAACTCCCGCCCTGGCCTCCCAAATTGCTGGGATTACAGGTGTGAGTCACTGTGCCCGGCCTGGTTTTCTCATTTTCATCTCAGCCCCTGCTAGGCAGCATATGGAAGTGTCTACCATACAGTAGTTGTGTGACCCTCGTTACTTATCCTTTCTAAGCTTCAGGTTGCCATATGTTAAATGGACCCTATTTTAGTATCTACCGAATAGAACTCCTGGGAAAACTGAATGACATAAAATGAGATGTGTAGTCAGAACTCAGTAAATGGTAGATGTAACTAAGCTGGAAAATTGACTAAGAAATACAGGTAGGCGGGCCGGGCATGGTGGCTCATGCCTGTAATCCCAGCACTTTGGGAGGCTGGGGCGGGTGGATCACGAGGTCAGGAGATCGAGACCATCCTGGCTAACAAGGTGAAACCCCGTCTCTACTAAAAAATACCAAAAAAAATTAGCCAGGCGGGGTGGCGGGTGCCTGTAGTCCCAGCTACTTAGGAGGCTGAGGCAGGAGAATGGCGTGAACCCAGGAGGCAGAGCTTGCAGTGAGCAGAGATCGCACCACTGCACTCCAGCCTGGATGACAGAGTGAGACTCTGTCTCAAAAAAAACAGAAATACAGGTAGGCGTAGTGGGAGTTCAGAGTGAAGATGTATTGGACAACTATTGCCTTCAGTAGAACACCTCCCCCTAAAGTATTCCTTACATAATCAATAGCTCTCAGAAGCTCCACTGTCATGATTTTACTGTGCTCTGCTACAAAAGGCAGTGTTATTCATTTCCTTACCAGTCTCAACCAGTGCACTCAGGATCGTAGCGGGAACAAGGAAAACATGGGGAGAGAAAAAAATCAGTACTGTATACTAGGCCAGGCCTTCCCGAGACTTCAATCAGGCCCCTTGAGAAGCTGTAGATGTTCGCCTCCTGGTGCCAAGGTGTAGTGGTGAGAGAGAAGGCCTGACTCATCATCTTAGGAAATGAAATTAGTTACAAACACATTCATTCCCAGCCCAAGTCCAAAAGCTAATCCTCACCCCAGTTTAGTAATTAGCAGGTGACAATTTGGAGATTTGAGCCTACAGATTCGAAAAGTCTGGGACTGGAGGCCAAAATGGTGATTTCTGGTCCTGGATTCCCCATGGCCTGGCAAGCCACGTCCATCGTCCTCACTCACAAGAGTGTCGGCAGGACAGCAGGGAGGCCTGAGTCTTCTTGGCTTCAGCATCAATCAACAAGTATTCAATGGGCAACTGCAGGGTGCTTGCTACCCCGTGCTAGGTCCTTTGGGCAATCCTTGCAGATTTACAAAGTACAAAAAGAAAACATTACACCAGAAGCAAAGATAGTTAGAGCCAGTAAGACTAATCTGATGAGTAGAGGCCATTGTGTGTTGGAGCCAGCTCTTACGGACTTCCTGAGAGCCGATTGTTAATATTTCAGAAACTTTGCAAGCCACTTGTTAAAGTATCAGTAGCTTGAAATCAGCCATGAGTATTTTCACCAGGGGAATTGGCAGGCACTACAAATGAAAGTTTCTCCCCACCCCTCTAGAACTGGTTTACCAGCACTCCAATAAGGAGTTCCTAAAATATAAGGCTTTAAGGCAAGCGAGGGGAGTGGTTTTGCATGCGGGCTCTGAAATCACATAGATTTCTCTGAGCCTGTTTCTTCATGTGTATAGAGCTCACATATATTCAATGCTTACTATGTACCGGATATTATTCTCAACATTTATACGTATTAATGCATTGATACGAGTTAGTGGGTGCAGCGCACCAGCATGGCACATGTATACATATGTAACTAACCTGCACATTGTGAACGTGTACCCTAAAACTTAAAGTATAATAATTAAAAAAAAAAGAAATTACAAGTTAAAGTGCTGCAGCATAAAGAAGAAAAATAATCATTTATGCCATTTTTAATACAGAACCTATTTCCAAATCAAAACCCTTTACACTTGGAATATTGTCAAATCTCAAATTTTTACCTGGCTGAGATCTACGACCACCTTTTGAAACAGAGACAGTGTAGGTATGATTACTCCCTGTATACTCAAGGGTTAGGAAAATGGAAAAGAACCGTGAGCCCCTCAAGAATGGTGGCTTTTCTTATTGGAATGAAGTAAATAAAATAAATTCATCAGCAATGCATTTAATTTCTCTCTTAGCAATTAATTGTGTATCTACATTGAATGATAACTGTGTAAACAGTCAAGATATGCATGTGGCAAATGAAAAATAAAGCAAAATGTTTTATCTTAAAAAAAAATGCATTGATTCCTTGAAACAACCCTATGAGAGGAAATTATTATTGTCCCCATTCTATAGATGAAGAAAATCAAGCCCAAGAGAGATGAGGGAACTCCACCAATATCACACAGCTAGTCAGTGGCACAGCTGGGATACAAAGACAGGCATCTTGCCCCAGAGCCTGCCCTCTCACCTTCTAGCTCTGCACTGCCCGATACAGGAGCCACTGGCTGCATGGAGCTATCAGGTACTTGAAACAGGGCTGGTGTGACTTGAGAAGTGCTATAAGTGTGAAATACACATTAGATTTCAAAGACCTCATGTAAATATTATATATATATATATAAAATATCTTGCTAATACTATATCACTTACTTGTAGAAATGATAATATCTTGGATATATTGAATTAAATGAAAGATATTATTACTATTCATTGCACTTGTTTCTTTTTACTTTTTCTATTTTTTATTTTTTTGAGATGGAGTTTCACTCGTGTTGCCCAGGCTAGAGTGCAGTGGCACCATCTCGCCTCACCACAACCTTCACCTCGCAGGCTCAAGAGACTCTCCTGCCTCAGCCTCTCGAGTAGCTGGGATTACAGGTGTGCACCACCATGCCCGGCTAATTTTTGTATTTTTAGGAGAGACGAGGTTTTGCCATGTTGGCCAGGCTGGTCACGAACTCCTGACCTCAGGTGATCCGCCTGCCTCGGCCTCCCAAAGTGCTAGGATTACAGGCGTGAGCCACTGCACCCAGCCTCTTTTTACTTTTTTTTAGTATGAGTTGTAGAAAATGTTAAGTGACGTTTGTGATTCACGTTACATTTCTGTTGGAGAGTGCTGCTGGCTAGTGCCCTAACCTCCTAGTTCGGTGGATGCATTAAATCAGTTAATGCAAGGAGGGCACCTAGCACGCTGTCTGAAGCAAATTAAGCACCTAATAGCTATTATTAATATTAGTGAGCGTACTGGTTTTCAAATGTTGTAGTCTAGTATTTTTTCCCCCAAAAAAACTGGTTGTTTTTTTTTTAATTTTTTTAAGAGGAAAGTTCTTACTCTGTCACCCAGGCTGGAGTAGAGTGTTGTGATCATAGCTCACTGCAGCCTTGAACTCCTGGGCCTAAACAATCCTTCTGCCTCAGCCACCTGAGTGACTAGGACTACAGGCACATGCCACCACGCCCAGCTAATTTTTTAATTTTTTGTAGAGACAGGGTCTATTTTCTCTAGGTTGGTCTTGAACTTCTGGCCTCAAGCAATTCCCCCACTTCGGCCTCCCAAAGTGTTGGGATTACAGGCGTGAACCACCATGCCCGGCTCCCAAACAACTTCTTATAGCAGATAAAAGAGGAGCTTTTGCAGTAGAGTAGAGCTTTGAGGAGCCCTCTTGGGGAGCCCATTCACCCTGGGCACCACCTCCACAAACTGGAAAACCCACAGGATGACATAATCTTTAAGTGTCCTTCAAGCTTTAGCATTCCCTATCATTTCAGAGAAGTTGAGGAAGTGATTGGGAAAGAATTAAGGTGTCTATGGCAGTATATTACAACGACTATGGAAAAACACTCCCATTTTGCTTGGGAAAATCAAAGTGGCTTGGCCCCAGGTCTAGGCACAGCCCAGAAATGGGAGCATCACCAATGTGAGTTGTGGGGCTTGGCCCCAGGTCTAGGCACAGCCCAGAAATGGGAGCATCACCAATGTGAGTTGGGGGTCCCCGTGGGCTCCTGGATCATTACCTACGCACGTTCACACAGACAATACCGATGCACCATGTCACCTCTCCACTTCGGCTCGGTCACAACCTGCCAACTCCCCACCCACCCAGAACCTGGGCAGACCAGACACAGGCTCTAGGCGCCAATGTCCTAGTCTAGCTCCAGGGCCAGGCAACAGTGACACTCAGCCCAGGCACCACAATGATTTTGCTGTCCTGAAGGCAACTTAGGCTCAACCAGCCCTGGTGTCTGCCAGGCAGGCTCCCAACTCTGCCTCCAGCCCTCGCCCCTGGCTCTGGTATCGTATGTGTGGACGGGGAGAGCAGCCAACTCTTCGCCGGGCTCTCTAACAAGTTCCGCGGGTCTGTTTGTTAAAGAAAAATTCCAGTGGGTGCATCCAACACATGGAACTCAAGTACAGAAATTATATTTATCCGCCCCACTGCCAAGGAGATCACATGCCCCGTGAGTCACTCCAGATGTGCTCAAAAACAGAGTCTCTCTGTGGAAGGCCAGTTCCCCAATCCCAGAGAGCGTCAAATGAAGAGAGGTACCGACTCCTGTCCCACCCAGGACGCAGCCTTCAGCCTCCAGCCTTCTGAGGCAGAGTAGGCATTTCTGCACGTCTGCAAAAGGAAGGGAGGGAAGCACTCCATCATCTCACTGGGAAGAACGGCACGGGCATACCTGCAGCTACTGGGGTTCCACTGGGCTTGAGGGTCGATTTTTCACCTTTTGAAGGACAAGATGCATTGGAAGATGTTGCTGCTTCTGCTGTTGTATTACAATGCTGAGGCTTCTATGTGCCACAGGTGGAGCAGGGGTGAGTTGCTTTTTATTCATTTGTTTGTTTGATGCTCATTATACTTTCTTCAATGCAATTCAAAATTTGGAGGGAAGGACATTAGAAGCCCCGCACTCTCCTTTTGTCTAATCTCTGTCAATTCCTTGATGCTTCTTGACGTGTTCCCCCTTCTTAGAGGGTGATGGGGAAATGACACTGGAAAAAATCAAAGCTCCTGAGGGAATTAGGTTGAGGTGGAGAACCCAGAGAGTACCCCTTTCTGGCATCCCAGAGAGAACTCATTTCTGCTTCATAGAAAGTAGAACTCATTTCTTCGACTGCCCCCACCACCTGCAGCAGTTGGGCCAGACCGTCTGGAGAGCAGGTGCTGAGACCTGCTGCTAAAATGATGGAGTGATGGGCACTGGGATGCCAAAGGCCTGCTCCCTGGGGGAACCAGAGCAGAAGCTCTGCAGAACGTTGCCTCCTCACCGGGAGGGGATGCATCTCTGCAGCCAGAGGTGGGCAGGTGAGGAGAGCAACCCTTCAACCTCCACTGCACCCACCAGCTCCGCCACCTCCTCACAAAGGAAGGGGCCCCAGCAAAGGCTGTTCTCTTATCACTGACTTCCTCCCCCTCAGGATGTAGTTCCTCCTAGCTGGATGGCATCTTTTCTCCATTTCCCTGGGAGTGGCTCTGCTTGGTAGACACTGGGAGCACCTCGAGCCAGAGTTTATCACTGTTAGGAAAGGAGGGACCCACGGCACTGCCCACTCTTCACCAATATGAACGGAAATCTTTCCACTGCCTAAAGTCAACTGAGTTCACTCTCCTAGAAAGAACCGCAAGAAGAACAGGCTCCTTCAAGTCAGGCCAGTAGGTGTTTCTAGAGATGCAAAATTGGAAGGCAACTGGCATGGTGGCATGGATGCGCCTCCTGCTTGCTTCTCAAGGACAGTGTCAGGGAAGGAAGGAGTGGCCGGAGTGGGGATAGAGCAGCGCGAGAGAAGGATCTGAAATGGGAGGGAGGCAAAAGCTACTGTACTTATGCTGGGTTTTATTTCCTCATGGTTAAACGTGACATTAGGGACTTACATCTCTAACAGGGATATAAGTCTTTTGAGCTGAGCTGTGAAGTGATCGTTGCCCAGAAACAAATAATACAGCATTCTTCATTTTTCTCATAACAACCTTGCATACACATGCACATACACACGTACACCCCTCCCTTTTCTTTTTTTAATTTTTAATTTTTAATTTCTGTGGGCACATAGTAGGTATACATATTTATGGGGCCTATGAGATGTTTTGATACAGGCACGTCACATCATGGAAGATGGGGTATCCATCCCCTCAAGCATTTAGCCTTTGTGTTACAAACAATCCAGTGATACCCTTTTAGTTACTTTTATTTGTTATTTATTTACTTATTTATTTATTTTTGAGACGGAGTCTCACTCTGTTGCCCAGGCTGGAATGCAGGGGTGCAATCTTGGTTCACTGCAACCTCCGCCTCCCAGGTTCAAGCGATTCTCGTGCCTCAGTCTCCTGAGTAGCTGGAGTTACAGGTGCGCACCACCACGCCTGGCTAATTTTTGTATTTTTAGTAGAGATGGGGTTTCACCATGTTGGCCAGGCTGCTCTCAAACTCCTGACCTCAAGTGATCTGCCCACCTCAGCCTCCCAAAGTTCTGGGATTATAGGCATGAGCCATAGTGCCTGGCCCTCTTTTAGTTCTTTTTAAATGTACAATTAAATTGTTATTGACTGTAGTCACCCTGTTTTCACACCTCCCTTTTCATTGTGTGCACAAACTTTGAGGTAGCACTTGGAAGTAAAAAGCAAAGAGATCTTGGAGTTGGGTTCTGTCACTCCCCTCTTTGTCACACTGGGGATTTGCTTATTAAACAGGGTAACAGTGCCCACTCTTCCTAAGGCACAGGCTATTACAAAGCCAAAAGGGATTATTTGACTTGCAATATGGTTTGTAAACACGATAGCCACATCATGAGCTACTCTGCAAGGGTCCTGGTTTAAGTTCCATCTCTATTTGGCAATGTGATCTCAGACAAGTCTCTTAACCTCTCTGAGCTTTAGTTCACTAACGGGTGACATTAACATCCATCACATCAATAAAACCCTCATGCTATTACTGTGAGGGTCATATTCAAAAATATAGATGAAAATACTTTGTAAATGACAAAGCACAATATAAATATTAGCTATTGCCTACCAGTTTTTGAAAAATAAAAATTTTTCATTAAAGGAAGTTTAAGGCTCTTAACAGGGGAATCTACAGCAACATTCTGGGAGCAACTTCTCCGGGCCATGTCCTTCCGCATTGGGGAAGGTCTTTCCACAGTGAGTTCACAATCCACTGACTCAAAGCCAGCCAAACCGAGGTCACTATGAGGCAGCGGATGTGACGTGCTAGATTAATGGCTCAAGTCAGCGCTGAGTCAACAAATGATACAGAGTCCCTCCAACCATCATCAAATGTCTTCCGCGTAGTTGATTTTTTTTTCATTTTTAACATTTTTTTCTAATTATAAAAGAAATACACAATTCTTGCCATCTTTTTTTTCAAGACTGAATAGGAGTCACACCCAAATGAGTAAGTTTTTCCAAATGTATTATTCATTTCACCTTCATCCTTACCCCCACCCTACCTCCAGCCTCAATTCAAAGTACTCCCTTTGGAAACAGTCTTAGGGCAATCTCTTCCAGAGCTTTTCCTCTTCCACCCCCTGCCCTTTGGCCCCCAGCCCCACCACTACCCCGTGTCCATCCTCCCACCCTCCTGCTCCAAAATGTAAATGTAGATGTAAACCCACAGGCAATATGCGCCTTGTTGTTAGCACTGTCTTTTTCCTACCATCCTCCCAGCCTTTCCCTAAGCGCTCTCTAGGATTCCACCCTGGGAGGCAGCTTTCCATGCCAGGATCCAGGATCACCCATTCCAGCCCCACCAGTTTGATGAAGACCAAATGACTCACCTGTGGCCAAGCCAGGAAAGCCACATCTACACACACACACACATACACACACACAGAAACACACACACACACACACAGGTGGCCCACGTCCCAGCACATACCAGGTCCTGCCAGGGCACCACTGGAAGGGGGAGGACTAGCCAGACTTGAGAAAGAATTATGCACCTATTAAGGATATGAATGAAATATGCACCTATTAAGGATATGAATAGCTATGCTTTTGTTGAATACATACAAGTTATTTTTTAAGTAGTTTAATAGAGCAGCCCTTCCATTTTTTGGTGGACCTTATGTCATTTTCAGGTGTCCATTTAAGGGTTGTGTGTGTCCTCAGTCATGAATGTTCCATGAGGGAAAGGCCTGTGGTCAGTACTCAGTAAGTACTCACTGACTGCCGGGCACGGTGGTGCACGCCTATAATTCCAGTGACTCAGGGGAAAGTTAAAAAAAAAATTAGCTGGGTGTAGCAGCACATGCCTGTAGTCCCAGCTACTCAGAAGGTTAAGGTGGTAGGATCACTTAAGGCAAGGAGATCAAGGTGGTAGGATCACTTAGGCCCAGGAGGTCAACGATGCAGAGAGCTATGATTGCGCCACTTCACTCCAGCCTGGATGATGGAGCAAGACCCTGTATCCAAAAAGAAAATTGTTTTAAGTATTCACTGCCCAAGTGCCCCATACAGAGCCATCTCCTCTCTCCATAGTAACTCTGTGAGGCAGGTGCTATCCTAACCATTTACAGGTTAGAAAATTGGAGAGTGAGGCAAGAAGTGAAGTGACCCAGCTCCCCCAGCTGCAAGGGCAGAGTTGAATTTGATCCCCCAGGTCCATCTGCTGGCAGAGTGCCCCGTCCTCATTCATCCGCTCTGCATATTTCTCCATCCCCCATGGGCCACTCACCTGCTCCCGGCAGCCCCAAGCTCCCCCCTACATGGTGGAGCTTTCCAGCCAAGAGGAGCTGGCTGCCAGAGCCCTTTCAGGAGCTCTCCCAGAGGACCCCCACGCACAGGGCCGAGACCCTGGCTCGCTCAGAATAGCACTCTGTTTCCAGAGGGCTGGCCCAGGAGTCAAAAAGTAAATGACATCAGTCAGATCTGGCAAAAGATCTTTTACAAACGAGAGCTTTTCCTTTCCACACCCACCGTCCTTTCCATCGAGTTGCTTCAACTGATTCATTAAAAATACAGTTGGAGTTTGGCTTGAGATGGTCTGCAGCTTGAATCCTTTCCAACAAGCTCTTTGCCACAAATGCTATGCACAGTTCTGGGGAAAGCATGATTAGCCTGAATACCATACTACTGAACATATCGGAGGGATGGGAGGAAAGAAGAAGAAAGAGACTTTTAACCCAGATTACAGAAAGTCAAAGAGAAGGTCGGGCTGCCAAACAAAGGCAGGCTACTCCATTGGAGTGCCTCTGGCTGTTTGTCTAGGCAAGAAAGCTTTGAAGGGCTAAGGTGTGGGGGAGGTAGGGGACAGCACTCGCTGAGATCAATTAAAAACTAGCTTCGTCCAGGCCCAAACAGGGACTCCTCAGGGATAAGGGGAGGGTGTGGTGGAGACAGAAGTCAACATCTACTTTCTGATCATTAGCCAAGACCGAGAACCACAAATAAACTCTAGATTCACCCTATTAGAAAAGGAAGGATTTTGTAGGCACTCTATTTGAAAAGAATAGAGCTTAGTGACCAGGGCAGGTAATGTGTTCCTGTGGGATTATTTATTCATTTGACAAACAGGAAGGGGCATGATACTAGGCACTGAGAATACAACAGTGAACAAAATAGACAAAATCCCATACCCTCTAGTGAGGGGAAACAGGCAACAAATATATTTATATTTTAAAATGGGTGATTTGTTGGATGATAATAAAGTAAGGACAGAGGCTACAGAGTCCAGAGGGTTGTAATTTTAAATAGAGTCATCACAAAGAGCATTTCTCTCCAGCCACCTTCAGGTGCAGAGGGGCAGGTGTGCAATAGGCAGAGCTGGACTGTGCTTTTGCCAAGCGATTGCAAAGGAACAATAAGGGGCTGGGCGCAGTGACTCACACCTGTAATCCCAGCACTTTCAGAGGCTGAGGCAGGAGGATCACTTAAGGCCAGGAGTTCGAGACCAGCCTGGCCAACATGGTAAACAACCCCATCTCCAGTTAAAAAAAATAAAATAAAATACAAAAATTAGCCAGGCATGGTGGCGCCTGTAGTTTCAACTACTCAGGAGGCTGAGGCACAAGAATCGCTTGAACCTGGGAACCCAGATTGCACCACTGCCCTCCAGCGTGGGCGACAGAGCAAGACTCTTGTCTCAAAAAAAAAAAAAAAAAAAAGGAACAATGAGGGAGAAAAGGAGAATCGATGCAGGAGAGTGATCCTAAAAGTAGTCCTTTGACCTTGCATATCACATTATTATAAGTCAAAGTCAGAGTTTTGAAAAGTATGTGTGATCCACTTAAGAATACGTTTTCTATCAAATGCATAGGCATTCATTCATTCATAACTAACTACCATTTATCCTTTCTGTAGTTATTCAGAACTGAAGAATGCCCACTCTCTGGGCAGAGGTACCTACAAAAAGGAGCATTGTTCACTTATCAGTGAGATTGGGTTTTGGAGCCTTGGAGATCTGGATTTTAATCCCAGCCCTACCTCAAATAAATTGGATGGCCTAGGGCAATTTTCTTAACCTCCAAGTTTCTTCATCTATAAAATGGAAAGTTCATATTTACCTCACAAGGTACTTATGGACAGCACAAGGCACACAGTGGGTGCCCCGAGCTCTTACATTATTATATCTGAGCTCCACATGTTAAGAGCTTTAGCCTGAGCTCCAGAGGTATCTCTCAGCAGAAGACATGGACAGAACACGCTATAACACATGAATCATGAACTCTGGATCCAGCTCCTGGACTAACTTAGTCCATGTGGCATGACCTTTAGCAAGTGAGTCACTTGTTCTATGCTGGTCGGTCCCATGTGTCCTAGATGCTCATTTGTCCAGGGAATCGAGGAGGAGCTGAGCAGTGCTTGGTTTCCCCACCCCACGGCCAGCCTGGGCAGCCAACTTCCATGCAAGCTGACCATTGAGTCTCAGGAAAGGCTTCCTGGGGAAACAAGATTTTCTAAAATGTAGGAGCAAGTCTAGTTTCCAGCTTTGCACATATACATCTTGGAGTTTGCCAGCCCTTGTTTCAGCCATCAGCATTTCCGGTGGGGTCCAGCCTTCATCATTATGGACAAGAACATCTTGGAGTGACTGTACATTGTGAAATTGTACCTCTGTATTTTGACATTGATCAGATAGAGCTATTTCTCACCCACCACCTCCAGCCTCTCCAGTGGAGATAAGTTTATTCTCTCTAGATCTTGCCTCACACAGGGAGTCAGATCTGGGTGGCTGCCGAGCCACTGAGATGTCTGCCCTAGAGCTGGCTGCACTCCAGCAGCCGTCCCTACCCCTGCCCAATGCACAAGGTCAAAGCAGCCACAGAAATGTGAGGGGCAGCACTGCTGGGCCTGGTGGACCAGTGCAGGGGTGGGGGTGAGGAAGGGAGGAAGAGAGACCCATCTTTAAGATTCCTGTGCTTCCCACACATACATTCTAATTTTTTACTTTTTAAATGGATTGGTAGGACCTCTTTTTTAGCTTCTAGATATTGATCCTTATCAGTGACATTCATTGGAAATGCTTTCTCCCATTTGCTTGGCTTTTCTTTTTTTTTTTTTGAGACAGGGTCTCACTCTATCGCCCAGGCTAGAGTACAGTGGCTGATCACAGCTCACTACAGCCTTGACCTCCCAGGCCCAGTTGATCCTCCTGCCTCAGCCTCCCAAGTAGCTGGGACCACAAGCGTGTGCCACCATGCCCAGCTAAATTTTTTTATTTTTAGTAGAGATGGGTCTCACTATGTTGCCCAGACTGGTCTCAAATTCCTGGGTTCAAGTTATCCACCCGCCTCAGCTTCCCAAAGTCCTGAGATTATAAGTGTGAGCTGCCACACCTGGTACACACTTACATTTTTTTTTTTTTTTTGAGACAGAGTCTCAGTCTGTCACCCAGGCTGGAGTGAAGTGGCATGATCTCGGCTCACTGCAACCTCCGCCTCCCGGGTTCACGCCATTCTCCTGCCTCAGCCTCCTGAGTAGCTGGGACTACAGGTGCCCTGTAGGTGCCTGCCACCACACCCAGTTAATTTTTGGTACACACTTACATTTTAAAGCAATAGCCATTCCCATTGTCTGAAGCTATTTCTAAGTCTCCATCAAACTATATTACTATTCAGTAGGAGACCAAGAGCTATTGGAAATGACAAAGTTTCCATTATCAAGCTCAGCTTTGAATCAGGAAGTATTTTCTTCTTGGCTCTTTGAGAACTAGGGGTACCTCTGGGGTGAGCATGTTAAAGACATGTTGCTGTTCACAGGGCAACAACTGAGCGAAGAAAGTCCAGGTCTAAGATCATAAATAACTTCCAGGCAGGCAGCGGCTGTGATTACAGGGAGCAGAAAGGGCTCCACGCCCTGACATTCCCTCCCTATTGCCTTCCTCTGCTGGGACTGAGGTTTTTTTTTTTGTTTTGTTTTGTTTTGTTTTTTTTTAAGGGAATAATACCTTTAATTTGGCAATAAGAGATAAATTCTAGCAGAATTAAAGAAGTAGAGTCGCTCTTAGATCCTATCCTAAGAAGGGGGTTTCATCCACCTCCTTTCTTCCTGGTGGGAAGAAAAGAAGAGCACAAAGAAAGAAACAGGCCACACCTTGACCTAGGACCAACTCATCTCATACCAAGGAGAAAACAGAGACAAAGTCCATGCCCTCTTTGTGCCTGCACTCCTTACCTCCAAGAACATGATGACCTTGGTCTCTTCAGATGACCTTGTAAGGCCCCATCAGATAGGCAAGAGCTCTGAATTGTTTTATGGTAGAAGGACACCATCGGCCTGTCTGTGATATGGATAACACAGATCTGGCTGCCAACTGGAGCCTGGGAGCTGGAAAAAGTCCCAGTGCCTACATTTCACTCCCAGAGATGCCCACAAATTGGCCTGGAGTGTGGTCTTGGGCATTTGGGTTTCTAAAAGTGCCCGGATGAATCGAATGTCTAGTCAAGGCTGGGAACCACCGGTCTAAACAAAGAGCGGCCACACAGCCTAGGGTCAGCGTCTTCCACACAATTTCAGGTCAAGCTTACTCTGACTAGGACAGTGGTTCTCAACCTCGGCTGTCATTAGAAGCACTTAGGAAGCTTTACAAAATCGTAATGTGTTCATTGCCCTCTGGTTCAATTAAATCAGAACTCTGGAGCCAGGTCCAAGAAACCGCTTTGGTGACTCTAACAGTGTTAACTAGTGGAGTCACAGACACCTCACTCTCCTGTGTTCCACCTGACACTACAGGCATTGGCAATGGACAAACAGGGGCAAAGGCTTCCTCAAGCCCTAAAATCTATGATTCTGGGGGAAACTGGCTCTTTTTTGGCAAAGAGTATAAACTCTGCTGAAATACCTGGCTAGGGAATACTGCCATGGAGCTCATGGCTCCTTCCCTGAGCATGGTCTGGCGAAACAGAGCTCGTCACTCTGCTGGCCGAGGCGACCATTAGTGCAGGGATTTGGTCATCAACAGCTATGCCCAGCGCACACCCCGGAAGCCTGCCAGGCTCTGCCACGGGTACAGAATATAAAACTGTATGTATCAAAGCCCTTGAGGAACTTGTGGTATCGATCATAAATAAGTTACTGAGAAAGCAGTTTACAGCAATACTATAATAAGCCCATCAGGATTTTCTGGGACATGGGAGATTCCTACCAGTGAGCTTTTCAGGAAAGTTCCTCTAAGTTAAAGATGTTTCCTTTTTTTTTTTTTTTAATCACTTCTGATGGCAATCCTTCTAAAATGATTTCCATCCTTCCCTGCCTTTTTTTGTTTTTGTTTTTGAGACAGAGTCTCACCCTGTCACCCAGGCTGTAGTGCAGTGGCGCGATCTTGGCTCACTGCAAGCTCCGCCTCCCAGGTTCACGCCATTCTCCTGCCTCAGCCTCCCAAGTAGCTGGGACTACGGGCGCCTGCCACCACACCCGGCTAATTTTTTGTATTTTTTTAGTAGAGATGGGGTTTCACCATGTTACCCAGGATGGTCTCGATCTCCTGACCTCGTGATCCACCCACCTCAGCCTCCCAAAGTGCTGGGATTACAGGTGTGAGCCACCGCGCCCAGCATTTTTTTTTTTTTTTTTTGAGATGCAGTCTCACTCTGTCGCCAGGCTGGAGTGCAGTGTGGCACGATCTCGGTTCACTGCAAGCTCCACCTCCCGGGTTCAAGCAATTCTCCTGCCTCAGCCTCCCAAGTAGCTGGGATTACAGGCACGCACCATCATGCCCAGCTAACTTTTGTATTTTTAGTAGAGATGGGGTTTCACCATGTTGACCAGGCTGGTCTCAAACTCCTGGCCTCATGTGATCTGCCCACCTCAGCCTCCCAAAGTGCTGGGATTTTAGGCATGAGCCACAGCGCCCAGCCTGCCTTCTTTAACTGCGTACACTGAACATAATTTGACCTTTTCTCAATGGCTCAAGGGCACTATTATCAACTAGCAGAGCTGCCATTTATGATTAAGCAAAATATGCCTGTACAACTTCAGGGGGTGCCAACACCTTGTAGTCTCCAATTTTTACCATTATTTCCACAGTTTTCTGGTAGATCATAATTAAGTGTCTTAAAGAAGCTGTACCTTTTTCTATCAGCTGGCAGAGGGCTTGCCGATCATTTCTGCACAGTGCCTGCTCCCCAGAGGGGCTGTGGAGGTGACCAGAGCTATTTGCTCCTAGCCTGACGTGGTCCTGGAGAACTGCAATTTATAATGATCATTCCTATACCCTCTGATGTTCTGTCTTCTCCTTCACTTGTCCCCAGTTAGTGCCTAATTCTTGCTGTCCTGTGTACCTCTAATAGCAATTCATCTTCCTCCAGTTACCATTTCTACATGCAACCACTGGAACAGCATTGTCAAGTCACTGACTTTATACTAAATACATTCCTAAATCAGCCAGGCTTGGCTGGGCTCGGTAGCTCATGCTTATAGTCCCAGCACTTTGGGAGGCTGAGGCAGGCAGATCACTTGAGGTCAGGAGTTCAAGACCAGCCTGGCCAACATGGTGAAATCCTGTCTCTACTAAAAATGCAACAATTAGCCGAGCGTGGTGGCACACATCTGTAATCCCAGCTACTTGAGAGGCTGAGGCAGGAGAATCACTTGAACCCACAGTGGGCAGAGGTTGCAGTGAGCCAAGATCGTGCCACTGCACTCCAGCCTGGGCAACAGAGCAAGACTCCATCTCAAACAAACAAACAAACAAAAATCAGGCAGCCCTTGGGGAAAGCTCTGAGTTTGACCCCACAATGATGCCCTAGATCCAAGGGCCTGGGTCTTGTGCATCTCTCTTCCTTTATTTTGTCATGTGTGTTCAGATTCTTGGCAGCTATATTTTGGATGCATGAGGCAGCCAGAATCCTGATCTTCTGATTAAAACAGGCAGTGAATCAACATAAACCAGCACTTCATACTGATAACGCGCTAAGATGCGTGCAGTGCTATTAGGGAACAGTGTTTTCAGGGAACTCACTTACTGACTTTGGGGCTTTTTGTTTTCACTCATTTCTACTTTGCTTTATTTTGCTTTGGTTTAATATAAATTTCCTAAGGCATGCATATCCCCAGGCATATAGATTTTGCAAAACTTTCTCAGATGGTTCTTCCTTTTTCTTTTTCTTTTTCTTTTCTTTTCTCGTTTTCTCAGATGGTTCTGATGAGCAGCCAGTTTTTAAGCCACTGGTCTGATATGACTGAGAGCTTTCTGGGCCACACCAGGGGAGTATGTCACCTCTCTCCTCACTCTGTGTCCACCACCACTTTCCAGTCAGTCCTTTTTTTTTTCTTTCTTTTTTTTTTTTTTTTTTTTTTGACATGGAGTCTCGCTCTGTTGCCCAGGCTGGAGTGCAATGGCGCAGTCTCGGCTCACTGCAACCTCCACCTCCTGAGTTAAAACTATTCTCCTGCCTCAGCCTTCCATGTAGCTGCAATTACAGGCACCCGCCACCATGCCCGGCTGTTTTTTGTAATTTTAGTAGAGATGGGGTTGCACCATGTTGGCCAGGCTGGTTTCGAACTCCTGACTTCAGGTGATCCGCCCGCCTCGGCCTCCCAAAGGGCTGGAATTAGAGGCATGAGCCACCGTGCCTGGCCAAGTCAGTCCGTTTTTAAGACTCCTTGACTACCTTCAAGGTGGATCAGAGGGAGAAGGTCTGGGCGCACACAGCAGCCAGGAACTCACTGTTTTCTTTCTTTCAGCTGTGCTCTTCCCTGCCGCCCACCGGCCAAAGAGGTCCTCATCACTGCCATTGAACCCAGTCCTGCAGACCTCCCTGGAGGAGGTGGAGCTGCTCTACGAGGTAGGCAGAGGGGAACATGCTCAATCCAAGTCACCCAAAAGACTCTGCACTTTCTCTATCTTTTTTGGAAAAGGAGAAGTGACCCCTCAGCCCCTGACCATGAGTGACCCCTGCTGTGGTAGGGAATAGCCTAATTTGTAGAGGTCATAGAACCTACTCATTCATAAAGTATTCCTCATGCCTCCTGTCTTTCCCACATGCTATAACAGACAATGATGGCATTAGGAGTTCAGTTCAGTTTAAACTAAAGATTAGGTTTGGCCTATAGGCATCACTCCTGGCACCCAGGCACCAGAGTATGGCAATATTCCCAAGCAAAGGCCTTGAGGCAGGACTTGCCAGGAAATGCCAAGCCATTGTCTGGGTGCAGCCGTGTCTCCAAGGCCCTGCATGCTAAGATGGCAATGCTGTCTGGCTGAGCTGCCAGCCTAGCTGGGTTTCTGGAAGCCACAGACCACCCTGCAGGCTGTCTTTCACTACCTCTCATCTTGCATCACTGAGACCCCACTCCTCCTCCAAACCACAGGGTCAATTTCCCGAGGCTGCCCAGATTGGTTCAGTGTTATGATCCCAGGCTCAAGATCTGAGCTTTAGTCCTGGCTCTATCTCCCGTCCGCTGTGCCACCTTGCATAAGCCACTGTTTCTCTCTGGGCCTGACTCTCCTCAACTGTTAAATGAGAGAATTCAACTAGGCTGTCCAAAATTCCCCTCCAGCTTTGACATCCTCTGACTCCATGCACTAGGACTGTCTGGTTAAGAAAGAGACAGCTGGTTGGGGGCTGGGCGCGGTGGCTTACGCCTGTAATCCCAGCACTTTGGAAGGCCAAGGCGGGCGGATCACAAGGTCAGGTGTTCAAGACCAGCCTGGCCAACACGGTGAAACCCCATCTCTACTAAAAATACAAAAATTAGCTGGGCATGGTGGCACGTGCCTGTAATCCCAGCCACTCAGGAGGCTGAGGCAGGAGAATCACTGGAACCCGGGAGGTGGAGGTTGCAGTGAGCCGAGATCACGCCACTGCACTCCAGCCTGGACAATAGAGCAAGACTCCATCTCAAAAAGAAAAAAAAAAAAAGAAAAGAAAGAGACAGCCAGGCCAGGTGCGGCGGCTCATGCTTGTAATCCCAGCACTTTGGGAGGCCGAGGCAGGTGGATCACCTGAGGTCAGGAGTTCAAGACCAGCCTGGCCAACATGGTGAAACCTCATCTCTACCAAAAATACAAAAATTAGCTGGCCATGCTGGCATGCACCTGTAATCCCAGCTACTTGGGAGGCTGAGGCAGGAGAATCACTTGAACCCGGGAGGTGGAGGTTGCAGTGATCTCAGATCGCACCACCGTACTCCAGCCTGGGTGACAGAGCGAGACTCCATCTCAAAAAAATAAAATAAAAAAAGAGAGAACTTGCTGTAGCCATGCAGTTAAGCCAGGGGGAGAGATTTCAAATCCTGCCTTGGGAACCAGACTGGGAAATGCAGAGTCTTTGCCTAGTCTTGAACATGGGAGTCATACGAAGAGATCTATATTTTAGAAAGATCATAGACAGTGCCATGGAGGATGAATTCGGGCAGGGGAGGACAGAGACAGAGAGAAGAGAGAGGATTTAGAGTCATTCCATCCCTACTGTGAGCCTGGCACTACCCAGGGATGTGCATGGCAGACCCAGCTCCCACGCTTAGTGGGCAGGTCAGAGACGAGGACAAATATCTGTGTCCCACTTGATTCCTAGCACAATCCTCTGCATCCTTCAAACTCTGAACATTTTTCCAGAGGTCCTATAGTAAATATAAAGAAACTAGAGCTATACCCAAATAAATATATTGTTTGCCAAGGATGTACTTCTTGACTTTTCCAAGAGCTGCCAAGAAGAATCAGTTAGAAAATCAGTCATTTGGCTCGGGGTAGTGGCTCATGCCTGTAATCCCAGCACTTTTGGGAGGTCGAGGCTGGTGGATCATCTGAGGTCAGGAGTTCGAGACCAGCCGGACCAACATGGTGAAACCCCATCTCTAATAAAAATACAAAAGACTAGCCAGGCATGGTGGCAGGTGCCTGTATTCCCAGCTACTTGGGAAGCTGAGACAGGAGAATCGCTTGAACCCAGGAGGTGGAGGTTGCAGTGAGCTGAGATCACACCACTGCATTCTAGCCTGAGTGACAGAGTGAGACTCCATCTCAAAAAAGAAAACAAAAAACAAAAAACAGAAAATCAGTAATTTTATGACCTTTATGTCTGAACTCCTTCTTTTTGAAAGCTGGTTTAACACAGAAAAGAAACAGCAAGGGGCCCACAGCCCAATCCAGTCTCACCTTGTCTTTGAATAGAAAAACCAAGCTAATGCAGAAAGAGTCTCCCAGCTTCTGCCTTAAAATTATCGAAATAGTTGATGCTTTAGATGATCTTTGTTGGGTGGAAAAAAGAAAGGGAAGAAGGAATTTATCCAGGACACTAGAAACTATAATTAGTCCCTTAAATACTGGTTTTGAACCAGACACTGTATTAGTTTTGTCCATATTTGTCTTATTTACCTCTCACAATATCCCAGTGAAGTAGATGGTGTTACTAATTATTTACACAGAGAAGGAAAGTGAGGCTCAGAGAAGTTAAGTAACTTGTCCAAGTTCACACAGCAAGTGAGAAAGTCAGAACTGGAACTCTCTTGAGTTCCAAAGCTCTTCTGGCAGCTGCCTCCCTAAGGGAAGGTGCGTGATAATGAACAACTGTGTCCTCAGCAATGCCTCACTTCATATTTTTGCACATCCACATTTCTCACCAGTTCCTGCTGGCCGAACTTGAGATCAGCCCTGACCTGCAGATCTCCATCAAGGACGAGGAGCTGGCCTCCTTGCGGAAGGCCTCAGACTTCCGCACCGTCTGCAACAACGTCATCCCCAAGAGCATCCCAGACATCCGCCGGCTCAGCGCCAGCCTCTCCAGCCACCCTGGCATCCTCAAGAAAGAAGACTTTGAAAGGACAGTGCTGACCCTGGCCTACACAGCCTACCGCACAGCCCTGTCCCACGGCCATCAGAAGGACATCTGGGCGCAGTCCCTCGTTAGCCTCTTCCAGGCCCTGAGGCACGACTTGATGCGCTCCTCACAGCCGGGAGTACCTCCCTGAGAGACTGGCCCACACCAGGACCTCAGAGCAGGGACCAGCACAGTAATCCAGAAAGTCTTCATTCTCTACTCCATTTACAGAGACCAGCAACAAAACTCTTACCGCTGACACAGAGCAGCAGAGATCAAACAGTAACCCCGATGCTCTTTTCTCCTTGTAGTTTCCTGGAAGACACATCTGATTCATGCCATCATGTGACCTGGGCTGGAAGAAAGGGCTGGAATGGTCATTCAAGACGCCTCCATGGGCAGAATGGTTTGCCTATGGCAGGCAGAATTCTGATATGCTTCAACCCAGAGCAGTGGCCACACACTCAAGAGTGAGAACAGGCCGGGCACAGAGGCTCACGCCTGTAATCCCAGCACTTTAGGAGGCTGAGACAGGAGGATTATTTGAGGTCAGGAGTTCAAGACCAGCCTGGGCAACACAGTGAAAACCCATCTCTACTAAAATCACAAAAATCAGCCGGACGTGGTGGCGCACACCTGTAATCCTGGCTACTCAGTAGGCTGAGGCAGGAGAACCAGCTGAACCCAGGAGGTAGAGGTTGCAGTGAGCTGAGATTGTGCCACTGCACTCCAGCCTGGGGAACAGAGCGAGATTCTGTCTCAAAAATAAAAATAAAAATAAATTTAAAAAAGAGTGAGGAATGAGCTAGAAGAGACATCATGGCAGGAAGATGGGGGACAGATTCCTTCGGTCCTAAGGGACTAGGGTGCTGGGTTGAATGAACATTTTTCCAGAGGTTCTACAGTAAATATAAAGAAATTAGAGCTATACCCAAATAAATATATTATTTGCCAAGGATATACTTCTTGACTTTTCCAAAAGTTGCCAAGAATAATCCATTAGAAAATCAGTAATTTTATGACCTTTATGTCTGAACTCTTCTTTTCTGAAAGCTGGCATAACACAGAAGAGAAACAGGAAGGGGCCCACAGCCCAGTCCAGCCATTCCTTGTCTTTGAATAGAAAAACCAAGCTAATGCACAAAGAGTCTCCCAACGAACAAGGTGGCATGTAGGCCCGTGCCTGTCTGTCTTCATGCAAAAATAATTTAGCATCATCAGACAACTAAATGCTCCAAATAAAAATGATTTTCAGATGACAGAATTCTACCCTTTCAAATGCCAAAACTTTCCTTTTATAGATATTGACTCGATATCTTTTTAAACTATATATACAAATCACCTTAAGCTTTTGTTTAGTGTAAGATCATCATTCAAACATTCTTGTGTGTGTGTGTGTGTGTGTGTGTGTGTGTGTGTGTGTGTGTGTGTGTGTGATGGAGTCTCGCTCTGCCATCCTGGCTGGAGTGCAGTGGCACTATCTCGGCTCGCTGCAGTGTCTGCCTCCCGGGTTCAAGCGATTCTCCTGCTTCAGCCTCCCGAGTAGCTGGGACTATAGGCGCGCACCACCACACCTGGCTAATTTTTGTATTTTTAGTAGAGACAGTTTTTCGCCATGTTGGCCAGGCTGGTCTCAAACTTCTGGCCTCAAGTGATCCACCCGCCTCAGGCTCCCAAAGTGTTGGGATTATAGGCGAGAGCCATTGCGCCCGACCATGTCATCATTTAAACATTCTAATGAAGGAGTTGGATAAGATAATCTCTAAGACTTCTACCTATGAAGTTCCTACAATCCTTTAACTGTGAGATGCCACAAGGAGAGCACCTGGATCTAAGAAGTCAGCTCAACTGTTTGTACCAACCCTGAGAGGTCCCAGACTGCTCATTCTGTGTTCAGTTCTGAGTTTCCCTGCTGCCTCCCTCACTGTCAGGCTATTAGAGCATATTTTTCTTTGTTACCAATGTAACTTGCCCTTCACAGTCTGTTCTTTCTTAGCTGGCCATTGCCTACAAACTACGATAGCCAGGTTTGTTATAATTCTATGTTAAATAAGAGTTAATAGATGAAGTCCTCTGCTAGGGGTCGAGCGTCTGGGTCCTAATAAGGATTCCTCATTAGCTCAGAGATCTTTCTGTCTTCTCCTAAGTTTACAGCTGAGCTCAGCAAGCAAAAGCTGCAACAAGTCTGATCTTTGAATGAGTGAGGATTTATTGGGCTAAATTTGATTCTGAAATGGGTATTTAACAGTTGTCATTTGATAATGATGAGGTCTGGACTCCTTCAAAATCTTTGAGCAAATAAGCTTTGCATAGCAGTGCTAGCCGCATGATCTTTTTGGAGAAATACTAGGACACTGGAAGAAGGTATTCATCATCAGAGAAAAACACAGCTTTGCATCCTGATATTCTCAGGCTCAGAAGATTAGTAAGTCTCAGTTTCTCTTTCTCATTCCCTGACCATTCTGCTCTTTTACCTCCTCCAAATGCAGATTCTGATATATGCTTTTTTTGTTCAATCTTTCTTTTTCTAAATGTACATATTCTCTCTGACATGGTCACTCTGCTTGTCTCTGTCTTTCTTTCTTTTATTTTAGTTGGTATCTCTGCTGCTGTATATTTGGGCCCAATTCCAAATATCTCTGTATCTGTTTTTTGATGCATCTCCAAGACTCTTCTGCTTGACTTTTGCTCTATCTCTGCTGACCCACACTCTAACACTCACTGTCTGTCAGTCTTCTCTGGGTATCATTGTCTAAGTAAAACACAAGTCAGTGTACAGACAGCGTTGGGATCGGCCAGAGGCAGATAAACATGGTAGCCTATCTTCACAGTTTGTACTTTTCCTAGATGTCAGATGGGGAGTGGATTAGCAATGGCCTCAGTCCCTAGACACTGTGCAATACCCTGATAGTCAGTCTTGTATCCCGCCCCGAGGCTCCACTCCCTTGACAATGGATCTGAAAGCTTTCTTGTACTCAGAATCATCAGATGGAAAGGCCCACCCTTGTAGTCCCTGACCACCATGTTATGTAGATGGCTGCTCCCAGTAGTAAGAAATCCATGAATGGGAAGATGGTTCCCAGGAACATTCACCCAGCAACAAAAAAATTAAACACAAATTGGGGCTTGAATTTTTGTGGCAATCAATGACTGAAAAAAAAATAGAAAAAAGAAGGACATGACCTTTTTAAAGACAAATGAAGACTCATTTTCAGTAACTAGAGTCTTAAAAACTATTTTAATCTGAATGCAGATCATTGTTTACCCACAGAGAGTTTTATGACAATGATTTCACTGACATGCAGAATCAAATATTATGATCACCACCAGCAGCCAAAAAACCCTATTCTTTGCCCAAGGAGTAGTAGAAATGTAGACTAGACAGACAAACAGGGTCTCCTATTTTGCCTCATTAGTGCCACACTCTATACAACTACAGTCACGAAGGGGTCACATTTGGTTATAATTACTATTAGAATAATATGGGAGTGTGATGTTTGTGGTGGAAACTTGCCCATGACTTATGTAACCATTTCTGCTGACAAATTTTAGGATCTAAAAACTTTGTGGGTTTTTTTGTTTTGTTTTTGTTTGTTTGTTTTTGGGACAGTCTCGCTCTGTCACCCAGGCTGGAGTGCAGTGGCACCTCCGCCTACAGTGTTCAAACGATTCTCCCACCTCAGCCTCCCAAGTAGCTGGGACCACAGGCACACGTCACCATGCCCTGCTAATTTTTTTGTATTTTTAGCAGAGATGGGGTTTCACCATGTTGGCCAGGCTGGTCTCAAACTCCTGACCTCAAGTGGTCCACCTGCCTCAGCCTCCCAAAATGCTAGGATTACAGGCGTGAGCCACCGTGCCTGGCCCAGGATCTAAAAACTTTCTAAGTTTCCTCCATCGTTGGCATCCTCACAGCTATCTCCAATGTCACTCAAGAGACATCAACAGACATTTAACTGCTGCAGACTTCATTGCTCTGTCACCTCACCTTGAATCTAACAAATCAAAGTATTTCTGCAGGTCCAATGGTCTAAAATCAAATGCTTGTTAAATGACTTTTTACAACACCCCTTACTTTCCTAATCCATTTCAATCTTATTTTTTTTATTGTGGTAAAAAACACATCAGGTAAAATGTACCATCTTAACCATTTTTAAGCATATGGTACAGCAGTGTTAACTCCATGCATGTTGTGAAACAGACCCCCGGAACTTTCTCATCTTGTAATTCTGAAGTTCTATACCCACCGAACAACTCCTCTTTTCCCCTTCCCCCTGCCTGCCCCAGCTCTTGGCACCATTATTCTGCTTTCTGTTTTTGAGAGTCTGACTACTTAAGATACCTCATACAAGCGGGATCTGGCTTACATTTCTTGAGCATTGTATTCTGGAAAAGTGTTTCCTTCCTCTGAAAAATGGGTAGAGTTCTGAAGGAGAACTACTGGTCTTATTGTACACTTGCTGTACCTATTTTTATTTAACAAATATTCATCTATGGTATAATAAAGATGTCATGATTGAGTTGCTCACTGGAATCTTTGTTATCTCAGAGTATCTCACCGAGGAATTTGGAATGGTTCATGGGTTTAACAGTGGATGTTGACTTCCACAGCTGCTTATAATTATTCGCTGTCTTTAATGTTTGCGACCAAAACATCACACACGTGGTATTGTTCATTCTGAGTTTCAAAATCATAACCAAAAAAAAATGAGGCCAGAATGTAGTAAATACAGTAGCCAGTCTTTAACATGCATTTAAAGAGTTGAGTCATCCTAGCCCATCCTACGATGGCAAGATAATTTCAAAGGGGACCTCAGCTGTCCACAGTTGCACCTGCCTTAAAAGTCAAGAAGAATTTGTTTTTTGGGTCACTTCCCTGGTCACTTTAGCCTGGGGATCATTTCCAAGTAGTATAGTTGCAGATCTTCGAACGCCATTCCTGTGTTCTGTGAATTCAAGACAACATGGGTTTTATAACCCTTTGACTCTGCTCAGCATCTCCCAGATCAAGGTAAGGTAATGTTGCCAAGAACCACTACTTACAGAATGTTTGGGCTTTTGCTTTTGCTTTTCTTCCTTGCCCCAAATCCACATGTCCGTTCTGAGAAAAGAAGCTAACAACTTCTTCCAATCTGTAAACAGGAGAAATTCCAGAGTTCAACTGCAGCTAAGACCTTGTCCCTGAACTTGTCAACTTCTTCCCTGCCCTCCCACCTCCTCCTTTCGTACCAGCCAAAGAAGGTCTTCGGTTTCCTTTTTGGAGAGCCCCAGAGAGAAGCATTTGAGCACCTACTTTAGCCAGAGAGACCACTGACATCTGGGCATGAGACTGGCATCTAGACTTTGCCAGGGAGGCAGCTATACTTCCCAAAAGATCTGGGGTCTTTCTCACGAGCTCATACCCTCTGCTGGCCTAGACCCTTTATATTCCCCCCTCGGTGCTGAGGCAAACGATCTTTGCCAGCAGGGAGGTCTGAAAGGCTTAACTTTGTACACTCTGAGGCAAATTCTCCAGAAGTAATGTTGCATTTTCTCCCTGCCACCAGGCACATTCCCTTCCCAAGGTCTAGATCAGCAGGTGGCCCTCCCAGCGAAAGCTCTGTGTCCTATGATCCGAAACAATAAAGCTGTGCTTGGGTACGTGAGATTATGTTTACGATGATGGTCATCACTCCAGCCCTAGGAAGTTTGAGAAACTGAAAAATAAGCTTAGCAGGCTGCCTAGGTTCTGCGGAATCAGCAGGCCCCCGCTGTGACCAATCAAGAGCGGCCGCGGGGAGAGAAATTGACTCATTCTTTTCAATTTGCTGATTGGCTTTGAGAAGTGGGCGGAGCTACTGTCTCTGTCCCGGCTTCCCATTGGTGGATGAAAGTTAAAGGTGGGCCTCCAGCAAGTTTTGTCCTTTGATAAAAAGGAATGTCTTGGGGACTTTTCTTTTCTGCTTTGCAGGCCCAGGCTCAAGGCAAATTATAAGTAGGGAACCAATTTGAGGGAAAGACATGTGAACAGAGTTAAGGTACCACGTCCTGGGAGCGACCAGCAGCCCCACCTGAAGTCCGCATGCAACTCTGACAAGCTCAGGTGCTTGTTTTAAGGAAAGGGGCTACTAGAGTCTTACCAACAGCGAGCCCAGGTGGGAGATGAAACAGGTACTCCCCAAAATAGGTCATCCGAGGGAGGAAAACTGATGGAGAGCACAATGTGCTCTGAGCGTTTTTAATGTTTTTAAGCTTTTAAATGATTTCTTCAAGGCCGAGCAGCAGCAGCAAAGGTGTGGCTTAAAGGATTAAGGGGGTTTCTGCTGACACCTAGAATGAAGTTACTCTATTACTAATCAAGCCGAGAGGAGGCCCACTATGCCCCCGTTTATCATCCTTTCCCAGTTCCTTTTTGCTGGTCACAAAACGATGCTCATCAATCCCACCTAAAGCAGGAGGCCAGGAGCCCAGCCTCTTGTAGAAACAGCGAGGGTATAACTGCCCTCCCGTTCTGCCCCCAAGACGAAGGAGGACTCTCGGAAGCCAAGAAAGGTTTAAGAAGTCTTTCTGGATAGAGAGCAGTGCCCAGGCAGGAAGCCTTTCGCCGGCAGAGCGGGGTCCAAGGACGAGCTGGAGAGGACAGAGGCGCGATGGGCCTGCTGCAGGGCCTGCTCCGAGTCCGGAAGCTGCTGCTGGTCGTCTGCGTCCCGCTCCTGCTGCTGCCTCTGCCCGTCCTCCACCCCAGCAGCGTGAGTACCGACCTGCGCCCACCGGGGGTCTGGGAGTCAGTGGGAGGGCAAAGAGGGGAGGTCGGTAGGGGAACATGGGGCGCTCAGGCAGTCCCTCAAAGTGGCTTGTGGTGGGTTTAAAGAAATGGAAGGATTTTTCCAGAGGAAACCAAGATATCTTCTTCCTAAAAGCTGTCATGTTCATCTCCTATCCCAGTCCCATTCCCCCAACCCCATGGCCCCCACCGGGGTCAGGACAGAGTAGGGGCCTTGGCAGAAGTGACTGATGGGTGTTGCACCAAGCAGCAGGCCAGCCTGCCCCAGCAGCGGGGGCCAGCGACACCCATGCAAACGACATGGTGCACCTGTGTTTGTCGGGAGTTCACCTGGGACCCTGGTTATCTGAGAGCCCCTGGAGACACAGAAAGAGCTCCCAATAGTGGCACTGAGGAGAAGGTTGGGGGAGGAAGAGAACCGTGGAGCCAATCCGTGGTCTGTGGTCGTGTCCTGGTGGGCTTCGATGACCACAGTTGAAGCTCTAATCCCGAAGGCGCCTATCAACTTCAGGGAATGAATGTTTAGGGAAGGAATGAAAGCAGAACTTAGCAGGCTGCCCTGCTCCCATGCACGTGGCCTTGAATTATTTGTGTCTTCTGTGTTTTCTTCTCTGTCCTCTTGAAGGACAGACAAAAAGTGACACGATAAAAAAGAGATAAGAGCCCCCAAACTCTAGCCCGTGACCTCATTCTTCACCTGGTTTGTGAGAACAGAGGAACCTCAGCTCTGGCTCAGCATCCAGCTTGCCTGTCACACCCTCCTGGTGGTCACCTGCTTCCCTTCCCTTCCCTCCGCTGTTCTCTTCCTCCTGTCTGTGGCTTGTCCCCTTCCCCCAGCTGGCACTGCCCTGGAGACTTTAGGAAAAATAAGCTAAAACAGGTTAATCACGTTTGTAGGAGGGGGAGCAATTCTTCCACTCTGCTCCTTAAGTAACTTGGTAACCAAGATTAAGTTAAACAGTTAAACAGAGGGGATTAGGATGGTTCTTCTTAAAAACAAACTGGCTTAAATCTTTCATAGAATAAATACTCCAGAGTGCCAGGGAGACGCTGATTAAAACTGGGCTGGGATTAGCAGACAGTGATTGCTGCTGACATTCTTCCTGGACTGTACCCTAGTCAATTTTCTGCTTTGTCCAAATGGGCCTGATTTTTTTTCTTTTTGTGGCTTTTCTTGTTTTTGTTTTTTCTCCATGTAGGTTGCTATAAGGGACTGTTACCGAGAGACATACTAGCCTCCTCTCCCAAGCAGTATCAGGAACCTCTCATATCTCCTGGTTGAGGCAGCCCCATCTTTGGGGACCTTGGCCACTGCCCACAGAAGGCACAGACTAGGTGCCCAGCAGGTAGAGTTTCATCCATCCGTCACCCCTTTCATCAAACTTTTTTTTGTAGACGCAGAGTCTCACTCTGTCACCCAGTCCGGAGTGCGGTGGCACAATCGTAGCTCACTGCAGCCTTGAGCTCCTGGGGTTAAGCAATCCTCGTGCCTCAGCCTCTGGAGTAGCTGGGACTACAGGCAAGCAAGTACCACCACATGCAGCTAATTTTTAAAAAAATTTTTTTTGTAGAAATGGGGGTTTCACTATGTTGCCCAGGCTGGTCTCAAACTCATGGTCTGACGTGATCCTCCCAAAGTGTTGAGATTACAGGTGTGAGCCACCGTGCCTGGCCTGCATCAAACTTTTAGAGTCTGATATTTAACCCTTAAAATTCCAAATGGATTTTCTTGCTCTGGACTGGAGTTGAGAGCAGTGATGGAGTACCTGGGCAGGAGCTCCTGGCCTGCAGTTTTGATGGTTCTAAGCGACAAGCCTCAGCTACATTTTAGGAGGAGTCAAAATGACCTTCCCCCTTTTTCTTGCCCAACTCTCTAAAACTAGAGGTCCAGACACTGTTTATCATGTTATAGAAGAAGAGGGTACAAGAGACAGCATCCATAACTAAGCCCTTCCTCAGTGCCCCCAGTGGGATAAAAGTTGCATCTCAACTGCCCAAGCTAAATTTTTTAAAAGGCGCCCCCAGTCATTGATGATAACAGATAACAGACTTCAACCTCCTTCCCGTGAAGTTGGAGTGGGATATCACTGGGGTGGTCAAACTGCGTGGAAAACGAGCAGTTCCACGCCTAAGTGAGTAGCTGACTAGGAAACGTCCTACATGGGGAAATGCCACTTTCGAACTCTTTCCTTTACTTGTAAACGGGAGCCAAAAAATAGTAGATAGCATGTCCCTTGAAGATATTGTCTGAACACTCACCAATGCCCAACCCCCACATACCTGCTATTATAAGGAACCAGTGGTGTTGTTAAAGAGCCTGGGGGTTGCAGAATATTCTCTCCAGAAGATGAGCGAGACCTGACAGCCAGCAGAGAAGTCCAGTGCAGTTCAGCCCACGTGAATTGAACCACCTGCTAGACATGGGATAGGCGTTGGGGACATCGGACTCCTTGTAAGCAAACTTTGCAGTATTTTTGGTTGTCTGAATACAAGCTTACCTCCTGAATTTTGGGAAGCTTTAGAAGGGGAAAAATGAAGTTTATGGAGATTCCATGGGTGAAATAAGTGGAAACTGTATGGAAAGACTCTCTAAAGGTGTCTCTTGTCCATTCTTCTACTCTAAGGAAAATCCAGGTAAAAAATGATAGTAATTAATCCTGTCCTTAATACAGCTGGGTGAAGGTGGCCTGATGACTTACTTCTTCCAGTAACCTAGTCGCATGTCTAACAATATTTACAACCAAAATGTTTGCTTTATTTTACCCACATTCTCCTAATTGAAAACTAAAGGCACCTGGCAGAGGGAAAGTCCTCTTTCTTTCTCTCTCTCTCCTTTCTTCTTTTTTTTTTTTTTTTTTTTTTCTGAGACAGAGTCTCACTCTGTCACTCAGGCTCTGGAGTGCAGTGGCACAACCTTGGCTCACTGCAACCTCTGCCTCCCGGGTTCAAGGGATTCTCCTGCCTCAGCCTCCAGAGCAGCTAGGATTACAGGCATGTGCCACCACACCTGGATGAATTTTTTGTATTTTTAATAGAGACAGGGTTTCGCCATGTTGGCCAGGCTGGTCTCGAACTCCTGACCTCAACTGATCCACCCACCTCGGCCTCCCATAGTGCTGGGATTACAGGCTCTTTTCCTCTTTCTCCTTTCCCTTTCTCTGCACCTTCTCTCCCCACCTCCTTCCCCTTAACTTGTAACTTGTAGCCCTGTAATGACCAGATCAAGAAAGACTAAGGGTTCCAGGAAGAAATAAGGGTCCCCAGTGAGGGGCAGACATTTTGTCTCTCAACTCTTTCTCTTCAACTGGAGTTAAGATCTGCCACTCTGTCTCTTTCCCAGAAGAGAGATGAGAACACGTGGGTTTGAACTCCTTTAGGTAGTTTTATTTCTATAGCAAACAGGGTATTTCTCTAAATTGAATTTGTTTCCAAGTGGAGCCTCTTTTTTTTTCCACCATTGGTTCTGTTGTCTTATCAGCACTTCCAAAAGTTTTATCTTCCCTCTGATCTTTTGGCCCCAGAGAACATCTCAGTGGGGAGCTACAGTCAACTTTTGGGCCCAGTTCCCATTTCTCAAACCCCAATCCCATAATCCACGAATGTCAGGAGGGCACAAGGTCCTTGCCAGCCCAGCTGATTTAATCACTCCTGCTGCCCCTTACTGATACAGCGACCTTTTGTAACTTTTATGCAAGAGTTTGAGGACGCGTGTTCTGAACTCAAGGGGCCATAAACAGCAAGATTTGTCAGGTTCCTTGATCAGCAGCCAGCCTCAGGGCAAATCAGACACGAGTCCTGATGGTTTACAACTATGTAAAAATTGAGGATCCCACAGCCAACTTGGATTTTCTATAAATGCTCTTCTGAGTCACGGAGCTTGGTGATGTTACCATTAACAAGGCCCATGAACTGCAGCCTCTCCCTAGAGTAAGGCGGTAACCTGTCTTAACAGCGTTCATCAGCATAATTCAGGGCAATCAACACAACTAGAGGGCAAGCTGATGGAGGGCTGGCTTCTGATAAGAATGTTGTACTTAATTACCCTGTGCACCCCTAGGTTGTCCAGCCAGCAAAGTGAGTGGGCTATGGAAAATGCTGGTGAATGTCCAGGCCTCCCCTTCCAGATAGATGGCTGTCTTCAGTCTTTGTAGATGGATGTTTCCATGGTGTCAAGCGGATAGAATGGAGTCCAAGAGCAACGAGAACCAGACCCTGGTTAGGGCAGTGGCTCTCAACCAGGAATCATTTTACCTCCCCAAGGGACATTTGGCAATGTCTAGAGATGGTTTTTTGCTTGTCACAGTGGAGGAAGTGCTACCGGCATTTAGTGGGTAGAGACCAGGGATGCTGCTCTTTTACAGTGCACAGGACAGCCCCCCTGCAAGAAGAAACTATGTGGCCCTAAATGTCAGTAGTACGAAGGTTGACAAACACTGAGTTAGGAGCTGATGCTTCTTCATCCAAAATGAGAGTTCCATGCTCAGGATCGCTGCCTTCCTCTTCAGTCTTCCCTTCCCTCTCCCAGGGAAGGGAGCTCCTTATTAACTCTTACAGGGGCCTTTGGGAGAAGGATTCAGTCTCTAGATGCAAAACATGGTAGGACCTCAGATCCAAAATTGAAGGGGGAAATGGTCAACCAGTTCTTCAAGTTGCCTAATAATTTATTTGATTAAAATTTACTACTGAATCAAGTTGTTTCAGCAAATAGTCTAAAACAGGGGGATTTAACTTTGTTTATTCATTTTTAAAGCAATAAAGCTTTTTTTTTTTCAAATCTCACATGTAATGTTCGTATATGAATCAAATGAGAACAAAGCTACTCCATTTGGGATGAGGCTGGAGAGGGGGTCCAGATTCCAGGCCTTGCTGATCCCCCTGGTATATTCTTGAGACACACCCCAGATGCCCAGGGCTGTAAGAGCACAGTCCAGAAGCCACCTTTTGGATTGTTTATAAATCTCACTTCTTACTGATCCACTTCTCTTCAGTCAGGCACACACCAATGCCACATATCTTCATATCTTAGGCACATGTGTCAAACTCAGGATGACTGATCTCAGAGCTCACATGTGAACGAACTGTTTTTTTTGTTTGTTTGCTTGTTTTTTTGAGACAGCATTGTACTCTATAGTCCTGTAGTCCAAGCTGGAGTGCAATGGCATATGATCATAGCTCACTGCAGCCTGAAGCCCCTGGGCTCAAGTGATCCTCTGGCATCAGCCTCCCAAGTAGCTGGGACTACAGGCCTGTGCCACCACACCTGGCTAATTTATATTTTATTTTTTAGAGATGGGGTCTTGCTATATATTGCCCAGGCTGGTCTCAAACTCCTGGGCTCAAGTGATCCTCCCACCTTGGCCTCCCAAAGTCCTGGGATTACAAGTGCAAGCCCCAGCCCCCACCACACATAGTGATTCCTATCTCCAACTACCCCAAGAACTTCTAATATCCAGTCAACTTAACACCAATTACATCCCAGTCCAAGTTAAAGCTTTGAACTCCACTTGTATGGTTTTGTGATCATGGGTCTGGTCACTGCAGTTAAGTTCAGTCCCCACCTTGGCAGTTTCCAGAACCCTCCGAGCTGCCTGGCTACACACCAGTGCAAACCACACGCCAGGCATCGGTCCCCGAAGGAGCAGCCATAATGTCACCCACCAAAGGATGGACTCACCATGTATTCACCATGCTCGCCTGCCAGTTCGGTTTCGGTCCCTGGGCTGTATCCTAGTACCCGCGTTACAGTCTGAGTCTGCTGCCTCAGATGCCAGGGTTGCATCCGGACGCTCAGTGGCAGTGACTATTCCTGTGAATGACGGCCCCTTTCCTTGCCTTGCAGGAGGCCTCGTGTGCTTACGTGCTGATCGTGACTGCTGTGTACTGGGTGTCGGAGGCAGTGCCTCTGGGAGCTGCAGCCCTGGTGCCGGCCTTCCTTTACCCGTTCTTCGGAGTCCTCCGGTCCAATGAGGTTAGACTACTTGTAGCCCCACCCCCTGCCTGGGTCCCTGCAGGGCCCCTGAAAGAGAGCCTCCAATGAAGGGAGATTCACCCAGCACTTGACGATGAGGGGGCCTTGTCACCCACTGGAATGACCCCTTAACACTAAGCTTTGGCACCTGCAGTTCTAGACCCTGAATTCCTCTCCTTCCACCCATGATCCTCATCTCCTTCAAACTGGCTCAAAATTTGCCTCTTTCAGGAAGCCTTACTTGATTAAACACATCCAGTTGCTCCCTCGGTCTGAAGCCTTTTAGGAGCTGTGTGATTGATGCCTAAAACTCAGCTGCTGTTGACCTTTTTCAGACTCTGGATGTCTATTTAGACGATAAGCACACAAAGGCAGGAATCAGACCTCCCATTAGAAAGCTGAGCCTGTACACAGTAGGTGCTCAATGAATGTTTGTTACAGAGAGACTTACCCTATTTCCCTGAACCCTGACAATGTTTTCATCCACGCCTCCAAAAAACAACATTTCTTTTTCTTCTCGCCCGACTTAAGGTTACTTTCTTTCTTTGCGCCCTCCCTAGAGTGAGCCCTCTCCATTCACTGTCTGTGGCCTTCTCAAAAGCTCAAACAGAAATTGTCAGTGGGAAGCCCAGGTTGTGGCAAAATTTCAGAGCAAAGTTTAAGCCTGCCATGAGTAGGGAAAAAGAAAAAACAAAACAAAACAAAACAGCCAGAACCTGGGACCAAATGAATGACGATCTCATTCAGTAACACCTGGTTCCATTCAACTGTCTCATTATTAACACCTGGTCTCTGCTTAGGGTTTTTGTTTTGTTTTTGGTTTTTTTTTTTTTTTTTTTTAATGAAAAAGCCTGAATCACTGAGATGGGGGTAAGGTTATGGGCAGAGGCACAGAAAGAAGAGGAAAGGAAGCTCATATTTGAATGCCTACTAAGCGCCAGGCACTCTATCAGAAGTGCTGCATTTGTTATGTAATACTCCCAAGGGCTGTACAAGGCGCATGCTAGTATTTCCATTTTACAGATAGGCTCAGAGAATTAAGAGACTCAGCCCAAATCACAAAGCTGAAAGTAGCAGAATTAGATTCAAACCCGTAACTATTAGAATTCAAAGTGTATACACTTGATCACTACACCATAAGAAAAAGACTCCATAAAGTGGTATGTGGCTTCATGGCACTATGTACACATGGAGTTATTACTTAGAACTGTGAGTCTCTTCACTTCTGTGATATGAGGAAGAATGGAGCGGGGCCTATGGATGCTTTAATGGACAACAGAACTTTCCAAAAATAGAATTAGGCAATCCTCTAATAGTTGTACTTCACTGCAAATGAACACTTTGTCTTTCTACTGGATAGATTTAACTGACTAGTTTTTTGTTTGCTTTTAGGTTCCTTTTCTTTCTTTCTCTCTCTTTCTCTCTCTCTCTCTCTCTCCCCCCAACTCCCTCCCCTGTCTCTCTCCCCCTGGGCCCGTCTCTCTCTCTCTCCTCTCTCTCTCTCTTTCCTTCCTCTTTCTATCTATCTATCTGTACACACATATATATATGCGTGTGTGTGGCTATACACACACACACACACACACACACATACACACACACACACACACACATGTGGCATTGAGTAGCCATAGCCTCAGGCTCACCAAAAAGAAGAGAATCCCCAAAGCTCTCAGCAGTGCTTTCATTCCTGGAGATGGGTACAACCCCAATATCGTGGGGACCCATGTAAAAGCTAATCTGTGACCAGAATCACCAGGCAGTTGTTCTAATTGCCCCCTCTTCTTTCGTGAAAAAAGAATAGGTAATATGGGGTTTTGTGTCTGCCTAAAGAAAAAAGCAACCTAAATGTGACTTTTCTTAAGAGAGCTATACAAGCTTGTTCTCCAGGCTTCTCTTTAAAATTGTGAAATTAAAACCAGCAAGGGCAGGGCTTGAAAGTGGAGGGTAGAGGAAAAAAAATGATGTTTAGAAAGAACTGAATCCTAAATAACCTTTTAAAGTGAGAAAACTATTAATTAAGAAACCTAATCTTTGTATTTCACTATAGGCAGCCCAAAAGCCAACAGCATGCCTTAGCTTTCAAGCAGACAGTGTCTCTGTTTCTCCAAGGGCACAGTAGAGATGTTGCCAGGCAACAGTTATCCGAGGGACGCCCCTTTGTCCAGAGAGGAAGGCCAAACCCGTAAGGAGAGTCTGCAGAGGCAGTCGCTTGGGAGGGTAACAGGACTCTGTGAGAAATAAAGGAAGACTGTCCAGGGAGGGACTGTGTGTCACTATTGCTAGGGGCTGGAGGAGCCAGAAAGCACGTCTTATCATTTGAGGTGAAAAATCCGAATCCACCTGCCTGATGACGTGGCTTTGGCTGATGATGATATTTAGTAGTTGGGCTACAGGGAGCAGCTTAGTCCAAATATAGTCTGTTTAGCTGACCTTCTTAGCTCAGATTAGAGGGAAATGCCAGTAAGGCAGAGCACATGGGTTATAGCCCTTTGTAAGCCAGTTAACTTTGCAGAGAAAACACCTATTCCACAACCACCTATGCACCACTATGACACCAGAATGTGCCATGGCTCACAGGGGGAAGCTAGGCTGGTGCTCTTTAGGAGCCCCCAAATCCTTGTCATTTCCCAAACCCATCTACTTCTTGACCATCCTCTTACTGCGACTTGGGTTATTCTTCCACTTTGGAAAGTTCTCTCCCGTTCTTTGACCTTTAAAGTCCTACTCAATTACTCTCTTTGGTGAAGCCCTTCCAATGACCAAAGGCTGAAAGTGTTGATCCCTTCTCAATGAGCCTATTTCATGTCTTTATCTTTTAAATGGTGCATCAGATACACCAGATATAAACTTTTCATAGACATGTGCTCTCCCCACCGAGATTCATGCTCTCTGGGATGTACAATGTCTATGTCTATGGCCTGTCTGTAGCCCAGCACCATGTTTGCATCAGCCCTCATTCACAGCTCTTGATTGCAGTGTTTCTTGACAATGTGTCAGTAATGTCATCTTCAGTGAGGGAAGGAAGGCACGTGAATAGGATCAGTGTGACTCTGGGACTGTGGCTGGGTTCCCTCATGTTATTCATTCAACATTTAGAGACAGTATTTTCTCAGTTCTACATCTACCAGGTGCAACATGGGATGATATGGGTACCCTGAGGGTGACAAAAATAAACAAAATGTCATCTCTCCCCTCTTGAATCTCGTATCTGAGCTCTCACTGTCTGAAGCTGGATATGTTCTGCAGTTTCTCCAGAGAAACAGAACGAAGAGGAGACTAGCGCGCACGCGTGCGCGCGCGCGCGTGTGTGTGTGTGTGTGTAGGAATTGGCTCACTTGATTAATTATGGAGGCTAAGACATCCCATGAGCTGCCACTTGCAAGCTGGAGACCCAGGAGAGCTGCTGATGTCACTCTGTGTGAGTCCAAAGGCCTAAGAACCAGGGAAGCCAATGGTGTAGATCCCAGTCCCAGGGCAGGAGATGACAGATGTCCCAGCCCAGGTGGTGAGACTGGAAAAAGGAGGCAAATTCCTGCTTCCTCTGCCTTTTGTTCTAGTCAGGCCCTCGACAGATTGGATGATGTCTGTCCAGATGGCAGAGGGCAATCCACTGATTCAAATGCCAATCTCATCCAGAAACACCCAGAAGCAATGCTTAATCTGGGCACCCCATGGTCCACCCAAGTTGACATGCAAAGTTAACCATCACAAGTACATATAAATGGTTCATTTTTACAGTGGTGATCTGTCAGCCAGTGGGTATTAGGAGTTGTGTGCAAAGCTCAGACTCAGGTGCTGATAAGAGATACAAAATGACAGAAGGGCTCCTGACCCGGAGAAGTTTCTATTTTAGTAGAGAGAAAGTATAAACCATGTGGAAAAATACAGAATGCCCTATGAAGTGATGCCTCGTTTTCTGGCATTGTGGAGGATTTATACAACTCCTCAAGAGGGGATGTTCTAGATAAATAAAATTTACACTGCCAACTGCCCAAACTTCATGTTGACTAATTTTTGATTACAGTCTTTCTAATGGGTTTTATAATTTCCTTGGTCTTTGAAACAGAAGTTATTAAATATAATTTAACTTTTTCCTTGGAGCCTTCAAAATTTCCAGGGGGGAAAAAAAGAATTTCTCACTCAGAGGAGTCAGAGTGGGCTCCATGAGAAAGCACAGTTGAGTAACTTGAGGGCTGGGTGAACAGCTGAACCTAAAGAATCTTGAATAGCATGTTGGCATCAGATTAGGGTGAGATTGCAGTTGAAAATATAAAAGGCTTATTATCAGATTTGCAGATGGCTAAGTTGGATGCGCTAGCTGGCTAATGTACGGTGCTAATGTACGGTGGCAGAATGAGACATGCGGACAGGAAGAGACAATGGACTGAAACTGACAAAATGAAGTCTAATAAGGATAAATGCCAGCAGTTCATGCGAAAAAGACCCTTGGCTTTTAGCTAAGTACAGGCTCAGCATGAGTCACCATCAGTCCAACGTGGCTGCCAAATTCCAAGTGTTTACCATATGCCAGGCACTGTGGGAGGTCATTTACACACACTATATAACTTAATCCTCCGTGAAGGTGCTATTATTTTTATCTTCATTTTAAAGAGAAGGAAACTGAAGTTCAGAGAGGTTAAGTAACTTACTTACCCGCGGTTATGCAGCTACTAAGTGGTGGAGCTGGGACTTGAATCCAAGATTGTATGATTCCAGAACTTGAGCTCTTAACCCCCCAGGCAATGTGACCAAAATCCTCCGTTGAATTAATAAATTATGGGCTGGGCACTGTGGCTCACGCCTGTAATCCCAGCACTTTGGGAGGCCAAGGCAGGCGGATCACCTGAGGTCAGGGGTTTGAGACCAGCCTGGCCAGCATGGTGAAACCCATCTCTACTAAAAATAAAATAGAATAAAAAATTAGCAGGGTATGGTGGTGCATGCCTGTAGTCCCAGCTACTCAGGAGGATGAGGCAAGAGAATCTCTTGAACCCAGGAGGCAGAGGTTACAGTGAGCCAAGATCATGCCACTGCACTCCAGCCTGGATGACAGAGCTAGGCTCCATCTAAAAAAATTTTTTTTAATTTTAAAAATTAATAAATGATGTGTCCAGTACATCAAATTCTGGATAAGGAGCTCATCCAGAGGTGGGTGGCCAGGATGTTAAAAAGCTGGAGCCTGAGTCACATGAGGAATGAAGAGAAGACTTAAGGGGACATAAGTCCAGGCTTCCATAAGTCCAGGCTTCCATGGCTCCACACTCCAGGCCCAAAGCGTCACACCAGAACCAGAGTCAGAGTGCCATAAAGGAATTTCCCGTTCTGTATAAAGGAAAACTCTGACATGAGTTGCCATGTGTGGTCCTTGTGTTCCTGTCCCTAGATGTCTGAGCCAAATGACCATGCCAGATACACTAGACATAGACTTTGTGCCTTGGGAGATGGGTTGGACTCTAAGGTCCCTCTATGATCTTGTGAGCATCCAGCTGCTACTTCCTCTGCTGATTAGTCCTGTATTTTAGGTTTGTGTGTGTTTGTTTTTATTTTGGCTCCATTGTGACTCTCACTTACCGTCATTATATCTGCCTCTGAAGTCCTCTAAGCCCCTTCTAATGTGTTGCTCCAAAAGTTTATAGCCTGGGCATGATACCTGTGTCAATCAAGTTAACTAAGATTTACTGTCTATAGGAGAATGGCATAGAGGTGGGCACCACAGGGCTCTCCGGTGAAGTAGAAAGCATGGGTTGGATATTGGGGATTGGGAACAAACAGCTCTCCAGGAGGCCCAGGGTTAGGGTGTACTTCAGGAAGTAATTGCATGTGCTCTTTGTCTCTATCCTTTCCCCAGCACACACACTGGCACACACTCACACACTCACATACACACTCCTACACACCCACTCATACATACACATACACACACTCATATGCACTAATGCACATTCACACACTCATACACACGCTCACACACTCATACACACACTCATACACACATGTTCACACATACACACTCACACACTCATACACATACACTCATACACACGCTCACATATACATACACTTACTCACACACATACACATGCTTAGATATACGTACACTCACACACACTCATACACTCATACACATGCCCACACTCATACACATACACATACACACATACACTCACATATACACACTCATGCACACATACACTCATACACACTTATATACCCATATACACATATATACTCTCACACACTCATACACACATTCTCACACACGCATACACACATAAACTCATACACGCTCACACACATACACTTATACACACACATCATACACACACACATTCACATACACACTCATACCCTCACACACATTCACACTCACATATACACAAATACACACTCACATATACACACACATACACACACTTTCACATACACACTCACACACACTCTCACCTGGGCCCAGCCAGCGGTCTCTGGCCCTGCGCTGCAGGCCTCGGGCTGGTGTCACTCAGCTTCCAGCTCCCGCAGGGGCAGGAGAGGAGTACAGGCTGCGCCCGCTGGGATAACCCGCAGCCGCTGCCGCCTGGTGCCGCCGGAGTCGGCTGTCATCAATCCGCTTCCCTGCTGGCTCCTGATCTTTCTGACCCGCCAGATTCCTGCCCTCTGACTCGTTACCCTGACTTTCTCTGTTTGAGTAAGCCTGGGGGCATTTCATAAAGCACTCTCAGCTCTGCCTTTCCCATCTCTCCTCGCCATGGAGGCTGACCGGTCCTCTGCATGCGGGCCCGTGGGCATGTGGGCTGGACATCCAGCTGGCCACCTGCCTGAACCCCAGGCTGCCCTCACCCTCAGCCACCCAGACGCAGCCCCAGGGCTGAGCTCCACACTGGGCCTTCAGTGGGAGCCTACAGACCTTGCAGCCTTTCGAGACCAAGCTAATGTTTCTGGGGGGAAGAGCAGCTCCCTGTGAACCACCACCTGACCAGCAGCCCCTTGGCTCGTGGCTCAGAGCCCAGACCCTTGCCTCAGCTTCCCCATCTGGGTAGTTCATACAGTCCCAAAGAAGAAACTGGGCAGGGGTGGTGGCGGTTATGAATCAGTGTCTCCAGTCATGCAGGAGTTGGGCCAGCTTCTGGGTCATGCCAGCACCCATCTGGGTCTCTCTACTTTAGACTTCTCTAGGGCAGGATTTGCAAAGAATGTTTTTTTAAGCAATGAAACCTTTTCTTTAAACCAAATCTTAGAAGACTCAATATATAAAACAGATGGAACCAGGAATGCAAATCAGGTGATGAGAAGGGTGTCTGAGCCCCTGCTAGGGGCTTACCCGGCAGAAACAGCATTCCTGCCCCCAGGGAAGGTGGAAAGGAGACACTGCTGGCTTGGCTGTGCTGCTTGGACACTAACTGGAATGGAGTCCTGTGGGGCTTCAGCCCTGGCAGGGCTTAGCTTAGCACTGAGCGGGAGCCAGGCCAGGTATCTGCTCCCAGGGTTCAGAGAATTTCACTGCAAAATTGTTCAGATGAGGCTGGGCACAGTGGCTCACACCTGTAATCCCAGCACTTTGGGAGGCCAAGGTGGGAGGATCACAAGGTCAGGCGTTGAAGACCAGCCTGGCCAACATGGCGAAACCCCGTCTCTACTGAAAATACAAAATTAGCCGGACACAATGGTGGGTGCCTGTAGTCATAGCTACCGGGAAGGCTGAGGCAGGAGAATCATTTAAACCTGTAAGGCCAAGGTTGCAGTGAGCCGAGATCAGGCTACTACACTCCAGCCTGGGCAACAGAGTGAGACTCTGTCTCAAAAAATATATAAAATAAAAAACACATAATTAAAAAAAAATAAGAGCCCACCTGCATTATCTTATGTGTAAAGCCCATGTCACAGCAGATTAAATTAGCTATGTAGCATCACTGTGGCCCTTAAAAAATTGGTGACAGAGGTACAGAGGTTCATTAGCTTGTCCAATAGCAGGTAACTCATCTGAACTTCAGAGCCCAAGATTGCTATAGCTATTCCTTGTCAAGGGGACCTCCTTGAGCCCATCTTTCCTAAAACACAGTCCAGAAACACCTCTGCTCTCCAAGTTCAGTGATGTGGCATACTGAGAAAAACCACAGAGCAGAAAAGCAGAAAAAGCAATCAAACCACCATGCAAATGTCCTAAAATCCATGCACTTTACTCCTGGGGAGGAACAGCCATTTAGAATCTAATTTCTCTTTACAAAAAACTCTAACAATCTTCGTTATCTGGCTTCCCAGCTCACAGGATGTGAGTCTGGGAAATTATAAAATGGGGAAAGGAATGCTAATGGCAAGCATCCTCACATCGGGAAAATGCAGCCGCCTAAGAATGAGACGGGAAACCAGCAAAATGCAGACCCAGGGACCAGAGAAGGACCAGCAGCCTGGACAGCTAGCCAAGGGCAAGAGCGATAAGAGGCTCCCTGGGCAGAGGCTATGATGGGGAGAGTTGGCACATGTCTCACAAGAAGCCGGGGAGAATGCACAGGCTCTGTTGATAAAGGCAGGAAATCTGCAACACACTCTAGAAAACAATAACAATCATCCTCGAGAATCTTGGAAGTCTGGTGTTCCCTGGGAGGCTCTGAATAACCCAGGTGTTATTGTGAAAGAAAAATCAATGGGCTAGAAAACTAATAAACAACACCACTGAACAGAATTTTAATTTCTAAAAATGAAAAAGCAGCCCTGTGGCTTTGCTCTGTGCATGGATGAGCCCACTCTGTGTGCTAATGGCCTCAAACCAGCTCAGCCTTTAGATGGAGCACTTCACAACAGGAAGAGTCACCAGGGATCCTGGCCATCAATGTGGCAGGCCATGCCAGCTGGTTTGCACGTGTCATTTAATCTCTGTAATAACCTTATGAGGTAGGGACTCACATAACCTTCCTTCCTTTTTTTTTTTTTTTTTTAGATGAGAAAATGAAGCCCAGAGAGGCTGAATACCTTGTCTAGGGTCACACAGTGGAGTCCCGGCTGACTCCAGAGTCCTCCCTCTTCCCCACTCAGTGATGTTACCTCTGTAATCACAAACTATATCCTGAGCCCCAGGCCGTGTCTCCCGAGCACATAGTATCACTTACAAGGGAGCAGGAAAGACATGAGAATAGAGCTGAGCCCACCAAACACCCAGCACAGAGCCAATATCCCACTGAAGCTGGGCCTGGAGTTCAGACTGGCCCTGCCCTGGGCATTTAAGGCCAGTGTCAGGACTGCGATTATAAATGAAGATAAAAAATGTGTACCAGTGGGCTGGGTGCAATGGTTCATGCCTGTAATCCCAGCACTTTGGGAGACTGAGATGAGCAGATCACTTGAGGTCAGGAGTTTAAGACCAGCCTGGCCAACAAGCTGGTTAAAGCTCGTACCTACTAAAAAAAAAAAAAAAAAAAAAAAAAAAAAAAAAAAAATCCAAAAACATTAGCCAGGTGTAGTGGTTTCACTAAGGAGGTTTCCTTAGTTTTTCTAAGCACCTGTAGCTCCAGCTACTTGGGAGGCTGAGGCAGGAGAATTGCTTAAACTCAGGAGGCAGAGGTTGTAGTGAGCCGAGATTGCGCCACTGCACTCCAGTCTGGGCCACAGAACAACTCTCTGTCTCAAAAAAACAAAAACAAAAACAAAAACACGACAAGAAATGTGTGCCAGCTCATGCTGTCTGGGAGACCCAGAAAATCCCCCTAGAGTTGAATCAGATGGGGGTTTCCAGTCGGCTCACCGTGTGGCAGGCTGTCTAGGAGGCTTCGGATTCAGATGGCCCTGAAGTGGTATCCTGCCTCTGCCCTTACACTGTGACCTGGGAGATGCTCCCTAAACCCCCAGTTTCCTCATCAGTAAACTGAGATACGGATAGTGCTGCTTCATAGCACTGCTGTGGAGCTCAAATGAGAAAGTGAATGCAACATGCAAAATGCCGGCACTAGAAGGCTCTCCATATTCCTGGTTGCTTTCCTCTGCCTCCAAGTGGAACCCAGAGAAAGTGGCCTACCTGTCATTTAGGCACTGAGCATCCTAAAAGGCCATCACAGCCAAACCGGTGTTCTAGAATGGGATATGATAGAGGCAGAAAACGTAGCTCTTGTCAGTCAGTCCCTGGGGAAAGACACCCCAGTCGCACTGACTTGAAAAGCTTCGCAGGGCTGTGTCATGGGGCTGGTGGAAAGACCATCTCCCACAACGGTCCCGCATCTTCTGTGGGTTTCTCTCCTCGGTAGACAAGAAAATAAAGCTCCAGTTGTGCCACAAAGCCGCCTCCACAAAGCCTGGGAAAGTAACCAGGCAGTGAGAAAGGCCCTTGAACCTCCAAGTTCAACCACTTCCCTAGGACAATCCTGCAGTGCCTCCTGCTCCCGCTAGGGGGCCGCTCCCCCAACCCCACCCCCGCCCCCACCACCATGATCACCGCCCTCTCAGAGTGGACTCTGCCACGGAGTCACAAGCTGTCCAGAGCAGGGGGCCTTCCCTGCCCCCAGGGGGCATTCGTGACAGTAGTCCGCTGAGGAATGGGCTTAGAGACAAACACTGGGTTAACCAGAAGCAGGGGCTTTTCCCCCCAGGAAATGGTCACAGTGAGGGCAGATGTCCCTTCTCCTACACAACCCTCATCAACCAGATGCAATGAAATGTCCATAGGGCAAAAGAGAGAAAGGAGAGATGGAGCAGCCTGCCTTTATTTTGGTTTTGATGTTATCAAAGTGTTTCGTGCACAAAGTTTAAAAATCAAATACTTTAATACTGAACGCTTATAATGAAAAGTCAGCAGTCTCTTTCCTCATCCCTCCCACTTCCCCCCCTACCAAGTCCCACCCCACCCTCAGAGTCAATAACTTGTAACTTTGTTAACAGCTTCTTCTGTCATTAAGCTCCATTCCCATATGATATTCTTATATTAGTCCTTGAGTTCTCACTTTAAGCGGCTATCAGTTGACTTCTTGTTATAGCAGATGAAGATTTTTTCTTTTTGTTTTTTGTTTTCTTTTTTGAGACGTAGTCTCGCTCTGTCGCCCAGGCTGGAGTGCAGTGGCGCGATCTCGGCTTACTGCAAGCTCTGCCTCCCGGGAAGATTTTTTCTTTTACATCCCCCACTTCGCCTTCTACCATCCTCCCAATATGCTCAATCACAATTTTTGTTAATTCAATAATCAAAATTAGTATGATCATGTACATATTATTTCAAATGCTATGTATTTTACTATGTATTTCCTTTCCTGTTGAATTTTTATTTTTGCTGCAGTTAAAAATGTTCTTGTTTTCTCACTTTAAGAGGGTTTTTCAATTAGAAGTTAGACTTTTCTATAGCTTTTCCTCTCAATTTCTGTATGGTTCCTCCAGTTGGAAGCAATTCTCATGTATGTGACAAATATTTATTGAGCATCTACTTTTGCATATTATTCTACTAGGTGTTAAGATATATAGAAGGGAACCATTCACAGCCGAAAAATTTAGTTGAGAGACAAGAGAAGTACACATACAAAAATAAACAAACAACAGTACAATCAGGAAGCAATCATTCAAGCATTGCTCCAAGTGCTCTGTGGTGTGCGGAATTAATGGTGCCCAGGAGGAATATTCTGGAATCAGAGGCTAGGGCCACAAGAAAGGTTTTTTCTAGAGGATGCCAGGCCTGAACTGGGCTTCAAAGTCTGATTGGAATGTACAGGCAGAGATGGAAAGAGAGAATGTTCCAAGTGAGAGAATCAACAAAGATTTGGTCCATGAACCTCAAACATGCGAAACATCTTTTTAACTGCCCTATGTCTCAACTTCCCCATCATTAAATTAAAAAGTAGAAAGGAGTTTATAACTGGTACTGTGGCCACTAAGGAAGAGAAAATCCCTACTCGTAGAAAATATACCCTGAGCCTGGGAGGTTGAGGCTGCAGTGAGCTGTGATCATGCCACTGCACTCCAGCCTGGGTGACAGAGTGAGACCCTGTCTCAAATTTTTTTTTAAAAAAAAAAGAAAGAAAGGAAAATATACACTGAAGTATTTAGGGGTAAAGGACCAGCCAAAATGTGTGTAACTTACCCTCAAATGGTTCAGGGAAAAAAAAAAAGAGTGTATAGGTATTCCTTGTACTATTTTCATTTTTGGAATTCATTGGAACTTGAGAATTATTGGGAATTATTTAAATTTTTAAAATTAAGGCCGGGTGCGCTGGCTCATGCTTCTGATCCCCGCAATTTGGGAGGCCGAGGTAGGAGGATCACGAGGTCAGGAGATTGAGACCATCCTGGCTAACACAGTGAAACCCCATCTCTACTAAAAATACAAAAAAAATTAGCCAGGCATGGTGGCAGGCACCTGTGGTCCCAGCTACTCGGGAGGCTGAGGCAGGAGAATGGCGTGAACCCAGGAAGCGGAGTTTGCAGTGAGCCGAGATCGCACCACTGCACTCCAGCCTGGGCGACAGAGCGAGACTCCATCTCACAAAAAAAAAAAAAAAAAAAAAAAAAAAATTGAGCAAGACTCTGTCTCAAAGAAAAACAATAATGAGGATATGATGTTAAATGAAAAAAAGGCAAGATATAAAAGTATACATACTGTATAAATGCATTTATCTATATAGGTATAGGAAAAATGGAAGAAACTATAAGTATTTACAGTAGCATGATTAAGGGTAATTTTGTCTTTAACTTTTTTTATATTTTGAAGTTTTCCATACTGAGTATGTATTAATTTTCTAATAGAAATGAAATGAAAATAATTTTCTAATATTTTCTAAAAACATTAAAAATTAGGTTTGGGGAGAAACCTAGGGTTATTTTAAAAGATCAATATAAAATTATATGTGTTTATTCTTTAAAATCATATTCACATCATATTTAAATACAGTGGTTTTATGTTTTCCAAAGTGGAGAAGAACATCTATCCTATAGAGTTATGGGCCAGATTGAATGAAATAATCTGTCAAGTACTTAGCACAGTGCCTGCCCACAATGAACGCTCAGTAGATGTGACTCTAGGATGGGCGGCTATTTCAATAATCCTCACCCCCCTGCCTCCCCTTCGCCAGCCTCTTTGATTGAGAACAGGTTTTATTGGGTATGGCCCATTCTCCCAGCTGGTGCTGGGCCCTGGGTCTTTGGTCCGGGAGGGTGACTGACATGCCTGGCCTCCCTACAGGTGGCGGCGGAGTACTTCAAGAACACCACGCTGCTGCTGGTGGGGGTCATCTGCGTGGCGGCTGCCGTGGAGAAGTGGAACCTGCATAAGCGCATTGCTCTGCGCATGGTCTTGATGGCCGGAGCCAAGCCGGGCATGTAAGTCTTATTTGGGATGCCAGGACATAGGGCATCCTTCTAGCTCCCAGTGTGCCACCAGGACAGTGGTCTCAGGTCACTGCGGGATGTCCACTTCAGCTGTTTTTTTACCAAAGGGTCGGGCTGACACCAGAGCCATAGGACCCGTCCAGGGAGAGGGCCTGTGATCATGGAGTAGAGATTTAAACCTGTGACCTTGCTATCATTATCCAAAGAATTTACCCATTGACCTAGGCTGCAAGGGCAGCAGCTTACAACATATAGGGGCCCATCAGGTAAAACAGGATGGACCAAGAGAAATTGTTTCCCAACCTGTTTCCTGTGTATCAGGGAACAGGCTGGACCGGAAGTGGCTGTCTTCTCCTTTGTCACTGAAGGAGACGGGAATGTTTCCTCCCATCCACCCTGAGTTTTTGTCATCAGTTCAGACCACAGACCCAGTTAGAGACACTGCATTTGACTGTGATGCGGGAGGGAGTCCCACCCTCGGGGAATGTGTTACGGTGTCAAGGTTGAGTTTTGTGTTAGCTTCAGCAATGTTCCATTTGGATTCCCCTGCCTGTACCTTCCCTTTTGGAATATCCTGCTCACCTCCTTCTAGTTTACAACTTTCTTGCTGTATTTTATGTAAGCTGCCCTGACTCCTATGGGAGTCAACACGAGTATAAATAAATAATATAGTATTGGTTCTCAGTATGAGTCATTTAGATGACTATAGGTTATGCTTAAAAGCATGTTCCTGTCTCCCAGATTGTCAAACAGGTCTGATAACTACAGCTTAATCCACCCCCTAACTCAGTAATAATCTTGCCCCTACACTCAACCTCCCAGGCACACAGTGGCATTTCGTCACATCATATGGAGACTCTGTGGCTCTTTAAAATCTCTGTGTACTATCTGCAAGAATTTTTATCCTCTCACATTTCCACTCCTCCCTATTTACATCAGTCAGCAAGTTGCCACCCCCAGAGGCAGTTACCCGTGTAGGTACAGAATTGGCAAAGTCAAGTCGCTGTCAGCCAATGGAGTCCACATGATAAACGTACTGTCCCCAAGTTGTGCAAAGTCAGTGATTCCACCTAAAATAATAAACACAGTAGTCTTTATGTTGGCTTATCTTATGGAAACTAGGACATGTCTGTACAGGCACACATTGCACAACGTTCTCAAAGCCAAAGAGAAATAATTAGAGGGTTAACCTTGTTAGTGTTTTTCTCCAAGTGTTGACGCTTTAAGATGTCAGCTGGAAAAGTGCACACAGTGACACGGGACACTTCTGTGACTTTGGGGGCTATGCCTTCAGCATGTTGACAGGTAGTGGGTGGAACTGTGAGCTCCAAACATTCATCTCTATTGGGTCACTGATATCTATGGTGACTTGGCGGCAAAGCAAGGAGTGCCGTGGCGCTCACAGAATTGCTGGCTGCGAGGGCAAACAAAGTATTGCCTTCCACACACAAACACACATCACCGCCAAGCTCCAGCCAATGTCCGTGGAGACAGAAAAACAATGGTAAGTCTACACCCTGTGGCCCTACTACCAGAGCTATTCTTTGCTTCACTAAGGACTTTTTTCTGGCTAAGGCCGCTAGTCCATGAAGTGTGATTCATTCATTCAAGAAGTATTGCTTTAATACTTACGCTGTGCCAAGCATTGGGAGTACAGAGCTGAATGGCACCCTGCAGGACAAATGCCTGCCTTTCCAGCCACAGCTGTCTAGACCAGCCCCAGCAGGTTGGTAGGAGGCCCACTGTGGAGCCGCAGGGATGTGTGTTCCGTGGACGCTCTGCCCCAACCCTCCCTGCCTTCCAGGCTGCTGCTCTGCTTCATGTGCTGTACCACGTTGCTGTCCATGTGGCTGTCCAACACCTCCACCACCGCCATGGTGATGCCCATCGTGGAGGCCGTGCTGCAGGAGCTGGTCAGTGCTGAGGACGAGCAGCTCGTGGCGGGCAACTCCAACACCGAAGAGGCCGAACCCATCAGTACAGTTTGCTGGAGTTCATCTCTCCTTTGCTCCTCCAACCTCCCCTGGGGTCCTCCTGCCTGGCTCCTCTAGGGAGACTGCCCAACTTTGTGCCCACCCCAGGACCCCCTCAGCCATGCCCCCACATTCCCCTTCCTCTTCCCTCTCTCCTCTTTCCCATCCCAGCTCTTGGACTCTGAAGCTTCCCTGAACTCCCTGTTCTGGCTCTTCCTTCCTCCTTCACTTCTGGGCTCTTTTCCCCCAAATGCTCAAGGGTACACACTGCTCTTTGCCCCCAAATGCTCAAGGATCACTGCAAAACCCTGGGGCCAGTCTGCATCCATGAGCCCCATTCTATTTACAGAGCAAAGGGAAGGAGAAATGTCACCCACTCCATATGGCCCACCTCCGCCCTAAGCCCTTGAGCTATGCTCCAACCCACAGGGTCAGCCCCAGCCTCCACCTCTCACATACTGCTTTTCTTTGCTACTCATAGGTCTGGATGTAAAGAACAGCCAACCTTCTCTGGAACTCATCTTTGTCAATGAAGAGTGAGTATGACTGCCCTCTCCCAGACAGCGCCTCTCAGAGTCCATAGGGGAGGTCAGAAAAGAGGGGACCTAGACCCATAAACAGCTCTTTGAGATGTACCACCCAAGCTCACCACCTTGCCACACCACCCCCCCACCCCGCCCAACCTCCCCCATTTCCTCTCCATACCTAGGAGTGACCTGTCAGGACCTGGAGAGTCACTCCCTTAACCACAGTGTTGCAGTGATGAGGAAGAAATAAAAAGGCCACACTGAATCTCAGTGGATATATGAACTGTCCACACAGCCACCATGCAGAATCTCTTCTAAATTCATGTCCCTTTTAGGAAAATAGTATGTTTAATTTGTTAACGGAAAACCGTTCACATCTCGATGCCACTGCAGATTCTTGGAGAATCATGAAATATTTTCTAGATATTAGATAAGGTCTTGGTAGATTTGGTCTTGTTAGATATGGCAAAGAAAACTTAGGTGACAGGTAGGGGATGAGGGGACAGGAGGTGAGAGGGCCTTGTGATGATGGGAAGCAGAGCTGGAAAAGGAGAAGCAGCCTCAGACATTCCTGGAGGAAGCTCTATTAACAGCTGATTCCATTTGGAGATTCTATTTCAAAATGTGGCCCACAGGCATGCCACAATGAATAGTCCACATTTAAAAGCTGGATTTGTAATACAGCTCAGCTCTGTCATTTGCCCTTGTTGTAAAAAAGGAGAACGCACATTGGGTGAAATCAGCGTTCACAGTGGGACAGACGTGGAAGGGTGCCATCAGGAAATCGCTTTATTTTTCTCCACCACTATCTTCAATCATAGCATATTGGATTTCTTGATGACATCACCCTTGATGATATCCCAGGCAAATCCCGTAGCTCTCCTGGTTCCTTTCAGGTATTATAACAATCTCATGTTCAGACATTTGGGAGACTAGTCCAAATTCAAATCAAAACTTCAACTTCTCAGCCAAAGCTTCTCCCATACCCACCCACCCCTCACCCTAGGCCTGCAGAAGAAAGAAGGTGAAAGTAAGTCGGGGGAGGGAGTTGAGCTTCTTTCTGTCTTCCTCCACCTCCCTCTTCTCCTCCTCCCCTAACCGCACCCTCACTCTGCTGCTTCTGACTTTTCTGGGCTTAGGACAGCAGCTCTAGGGTACAGGAAAGATAAATGGGTGAGAAGGGTCTGGATGGGGGCTATTGAGGTCTGGGGTTGGTGCCCTCTCTGAGATTTCAGTCCCTGGCTCTTTCATCTGTGGGGCAACTGCCTTCAGGGTCTTTGGAGCATCCCATTATGGCGCCCTCTGCAGGGCCTCAGGCCTGATGGCAGGGCCTTGCTCTGGGATTAACACTCACGCCACCCTCCAGGGCCTGTGCTCTGGTGGTTAACTCCCCCACAACCCCTGTATTGGGGCTGCCTCTGCCTCTGGGCAGGCCTGTCCCAGGTGACCCAGGAAAAGGCCATCCTCACTGTGGCCTTTTCTCCTCCCTGTGGCCTCTCTGGCATCACCCTACTGGCTTCTTGCCTTTGCTCTTTTCCACACAAAAATGTATCCCCAAACTCCAAAAGAAAAGCCTGAGTTGTCCCTAGAACTCTAAGCATCTTTTGTGCTGGTGGGAACTGGGTCATTTGCTGGGTGTGCAGACAGCACTCTTGCGGCCACCACCTCCCATGCTACCTGAGGATCCTCGCCTACCCTCCTCACCCAGTTTGGGAAGAAGGGAAGGGAAACATCACAGCACATTCTCCTCCCAGGCTAAGAACTCACTCCAAAGAACACTTCCCTCTGCACGCCTGTCAGCTTCTTATCCTTCCCTGACAGAGCCTGAAGAGGGACCATGGCCGCAGGACCCACATCCCGCATGTGTGTGCCCAATACGCTCTCTGTCTTCACAGTGGCTGAGCTGGTGGCTCCCACTGTCCTCGCAACTAAGACAAACTGGAAACATTCACTGATCACTCAGTGTGTCAGTTACACTGATGGCTAAGTTCTCATCTTCTTCTGTCCTCAAGGCAAAGGTTGGGGACCAGCAGGGGTGGGAGAGACTCACCCCCTGAGGTGTACTTGCTGATCAGAAGTCCTCCCCCTCCGCCACCCTCTCCCTCTCCCTTGACTTTCCCTGAGTACAATCCAGGCCCTCCCTGCTCCTGTCACCTCCGATACGCATATCACAAGTTCCCCTTTCTAGATAGTGGTCTTCCCAGAGTCAGTCAGTGAGAACATGAGAGTCAGCCAGTGAGAACATGAGAGTCAGCCAGTGAGAACATGGTCAGGGGGCATAGGCTTTCCAGAGAGACAGACTCCTGGACTCCTACCCTCCTCTGCCACTTAGCATCCCCGTGCTAAGTACTGGTGTAAATGGAGGTATGAATGCCAGGACCATAGATCTGTGATGAGGATTAACAATGTCTGGGGGTTAAAGCCCATATATGTGCACTCTGTATCTAATATCCACTCCACATCTGCTGTTAGGACGATTGTTAATATCAAAGGAAAGTGCTGCCCCTGCCCTCAGAAGGAAGCAGGCCCCTGGCCCCACTAATCCTTACAGCATCTCAGAAGGCAAGGAAGACAAGGGAGAGATTAGTCTTCTCTGGAGACTAGAAAACTGGAATCCAGAGAGTTTAAGTCCCTTACACCAAACGCCTGATGCAGGGGGACCTCCCCTCCCAAGAGTCGGCCTCACTGACGTGGCTCCTGTGTCCTCTGCTTGGTTCCAGCAGGTCCAACGCAGACCTCACCACTCTGATGCACAACGAGGTATGGCCTTGGGGTTTTTCTGTGCTTTGGAATCACTTGAAAATCCCTCAGCACTTCTTCATGGAAACCCAAGATTCAGAACCAGATTTTCAACAGCTACAGATCCACCTTAGAGTTCCTTTCAGTGAGGATTCCATTGACAAAATGTTATTATTAAAAAGGACACATTGGCTGGGCGTGGTGGCTCATGCCTGTACTCCCAGCACTTTGGGAGGCCACAGCAGGAGGACCACTTGAGGCCAGGAGTTCAAGACCAGCCTGGCCAACATGGTGAAACCCCGCCTGTACTAAAAATACAAAAATTAGCTGGGAGTGGTGATGGGCACCGGTAATCCCCACTACTTGGGAGGCTGAGGCTGGAGAATCACTTGAACCTGGGAGGCAGAGGTTGCAGTGAGCCCAGATCGTGCCACTGCACTTCAGCCTGGGCAACAGAGCGAGACCCCCATCTCAAAAAATAAAAATAAATAAAAATAAAAAGAACACATTTACAGGGGAAAGCAGAGTTTACCTGCACACAGTTACTCGAACTTATTTCACCTCCCCCAAATCTGGTTATACATCTTTTCATGAGAAGTATAAAAGGCCAATTAAACATTGGACTTCAGCTGGGTACAATGATGTGCACCTGTACTTCCAGCTACTGGGGAGGCTGAGGCAGGAGGATCGCTGTGGCCCAGGAGTTTGACCCCAGCCTGGACAACACAGTGAGACCCTGTCTCTAAAACAAACAAAAAACTGTGGACTTGCTTGTGATTATTTTTTTTTTATTTTCTTTTTTTTCATCTTATATATAAAGGGTTCTTCATTAGCTAATAAAGTCCCAGAAAGGCTGGCTCTCCTCTAAGGGCAGAGCCATGTTCTGCCTAGTTTCAAAGCCTCTTCAAGTGGAGAACTTGACACCAGGCTGGGCGGGGCAGGCCTGGCTGAGGTGCCCTGGTGTATATGCTCCCCCTGGCTTCTGGCCTCTGGTTCCCACAGTGCTGAGGCATGGGGTGGCCCTGGGATGACTAGGTGGTCCTTCTCGAGGCACCTGGCTCACCACTTCCTCTTCCTAATAGTGAGATGGCCTTTGTCCCAACAGAACCTGAATGGTGTGCCCTCGATCACCAACCCCATCAAAACTGCAAACCAACACCAGGGCAAGAAGCAACACCCATCCCAGGTAATAGAACGGCCCCTTCTAGCTCTGTTTCCTACATGAAACGCTGTGAACTGCTTCCCAAGGGCACTGGTCTTGAAGTCGTAAGGGAATCAGGCTAGTGAGCTGTCACCAGGCACTCATTACTCTCATACATGTCTGGCCTGTGTGCGCCATGGAGGTGAGACATCAAGCTCACTTGACTGTAGCAAGACAGTCCACTGCCTGAGCCCCAGTGTCTTCAACGATAAAAGCTGGGGTTTGGTGTAGATCAGAGGTCCTCAAACTAGTCTTCAAAGGTGCTTCAGGGACACTGCAAATATTTTATTTGAGTATCCTAAGATTGTAAGGCACCTGCTTTTCTGAACTAATAATTGTCTTCCTGGCACGATTCCTCTGAAACAAAATGCAGAAGTCGAATGAATGTTGAGGCTTGTATAAAATAGCAACTGTCACTTACGACCGTTGATTTCAAATGTCTGTGTTCATCAAAACAGTCTCACTTGTTTAATATCCATCATCATAAATAACTGCCACCATTTATTAAATGCTTATTATGTATCAATCATTGCACTCAGCATTTTTTCTATGGTCTTGGCTCAATGAGGTAGCGATTTTGAGCTCCATTTTTGCAAACAAGGCAGAGATGAAATCATAACCCAAGACCAAGGAACTAGATAGGGGAGCATTCTGATTCAAATCCAAGTCTCCTTGACCACATGCAATTAACCCATCAATATACTTCCAATTACAAAATTGGATGCATGCCAGCCAGGTGCGGTGGTTCAGCACTTTGGGAGACCAAGACAGGAGGATACTTGAGCTCAGGAATTCAAGACCAGCCTGGGAAACACAGCCAGATCTCGTCTCTACTAAAAATAAAAGTAAAATCATTAGCTGGCATGGTGGTGCATGCCTGTAGTCCCAGCTACTCAGGAGGCTGAGGTAGGAGGATCACTTGAGCCCAGGAGGTCAGGGCTGCAGTGAGCTATGATGGCACCACTGCACTCTAGCCTGGGCAACAGAGTGAAACCCTGCCTCAAAAAAATAAGGATGTATCCAATTGCTACACTTAAACTATTCTGTGTAAAATTTCAGTAGAAGAAAGGATTGTGGAAAACCACTGGACCAAAGAATCTTTGAGGTCTCTTCCAGCTCTGTTAATCAATGGATCTTTTAGAGGTCTGGAGGGTCAGCCATACTTCGGCCCCACTAGGAAGATGGGGCAGTGGGAAAGGGCTTTGAGAGATGTGGCAAGGTGGCGCTTCCCCATTGGTTCTTTCATGACCTGACTTGCTGACAATTGCACCAGGACTTTCCTAGTCTCATGAAGAATCAGTGAAGGTGGCCAGGTGTGAAGGGAACAGGAGGGACTTGCTTCTTCAGGAAACACTTGAGACCAGAGTTCAGCAACCTCTCTGACCCTGAAAGGCCGTCATCTGGACCAAGCAGGCTCAGAGAGGACCACAACTAAACTGAAGTTTATCTGCAAGGGGGAAGAAAAAAGTAGAGAGGAAAAGTCAGGCAAGGAGAAAAGAATGAGGAAGGGAAGGAGGAAATAATCACACTTCAACCCTCTTCCCAATGAAGACTAGGGTTTTTATGTAATCCAGGTGTATTTTTTAGTCATCTCTCCATCAGGGTTTGATGGACTTGAATGGCCAGATTTGAGAGATATTCAGAGGTAGCTTGATGGGTCTTGGTAGGATTAGAAAGGGCCTGAGGGGAAGGCCAAATCCTGTCATTCTAACTCTACAGGAATAACATCTGTTTGTTATTCAAACACAATGTAGAGTGACACCAGTTTTACAGGAGTTCAAATAAAAACCCATGCTGTCAATAATAACATTAATCACAAAAATAATAATAGCCTACCATTCATTAAATGCCAGGAAGTGTTCTAAGCGCTTTACATATATTACTTCATTTACTCTTCACAACAATTCAGCAGAGAAAATATGGTTTCCACCATTTTACAAAGAAGAAACTGCAGCTCAGATGCATGCCCAAGTTGACAAATGGTAGAAACTGTGATTTGTCTTTCTGACACCCAAGCTCAAACCCTTTCCGCTGTACCATGGTGCCTCCTGCCTCTCATGCTTCGGCCAGACAGCCCAAGCTGGGTTGGACAGATTTGCTGATTTTCCTTCGTTAGGAAAAGCCACAAGTCCTGACCCCCAGCCCCAGGAAGCAGAAGCTGAACAGAAAGTACAGGTCCCACCATGACCAGATGATCTGCAAGTGCCTCTCCCTGAGCATATCCTACTCCGCTACCATTGGCGGCCTGACCACCATCATCGGCACCTCCACCAGCCTCATCTTCCTGGAACACTTCAACAAGTAAGTGATTCACTTGGTCAACAAATATTTACTAACCACCACTGTGTGTCAGGAACTGGACTAGGTGCTAGAGATATGGTAGAAAATGAGAATAGAAGAGTTTCCGTAGAAAGAGGGAAAAACAGGCTGAGCACAGTGGCTCATATCTGTAATAAGGCACATTGGGAGGGCAAAGCGGGGGGATTGCTTGAGCCTAGGAGTTCAAAAACAGCCTGGGCAACATAGTGAGACCCTGTCTCTAGAAAACATTTAAAAATTAGCTGAGCATGGTGACACGCACCTGTATACAGTCCCAGCTACTCAGGAGGTTGAGACAGAATTGTGGAGCCCAGGAATTTGAGGTTACGGTGAGCCATGATCCTGCCACTGAACCCGAGCCTGAGCGATAGAGCAAGACAGTGTCTCTATTTAAAAAACAAAAACAAAAAAAAGGCCGGGCGCAGTGGCTCATGCCTGTAATCCCAGCGCTTTGGGAGGCCAAGGCAGGCGCATCACGAGGTCAGGATCCCTAGACCAGCCTGACCAACATGGTGAAACTCCGTCTCTACTAAAAATACAAAAATGAGCTGGGTGTGGTGGTGCACACCTGTAATCCCAGCTACTCAGGAGGCTGAGGTAGGAGAATCACTTGAACCTGGGAAGCAGAGGTTGCAGTGAGCCAAGATCATGCCACTGCACTCCAGCCTGGGCAACAGGGCAAGACTCCATCTCAAAAAAAAAAAAAAAAAAGTCCCAGCACGGTGGCTCACACCTGTAATCCCAGCACTCTGGGAGGCCAAGGTGGGCAGATCACTTGAGGTCAGGAGTTCAAGACCAGCCTGGCCAACATGGTGAAACCCCATCTCTACTAAAAATACAAAAGTTAACCAGCCATGGTGGCAGGCGCCTGTAATCCCCGCTACTTAGGAGGCTGAGGCAGGAGAATCACTTGACCCCAGGAGACAGAGGTTGCAGTGAGCCAAGATCGTGACACTGCACTCCAGCCTGGGCAACAGAGCAAGACTCCGCTTCAAAAAAAAAAAAAAAAAAGAGTCCCAGCACGGTGGCTCACACCTGTAATCCCAGCACTCTGGGAGGCCAAGGCAGGCGGATCACTTGAGGTCAGGAGTTCGAGACCAGCCTGGCCAACATGGTGAAACCCCATCTCTACTAAACATACAAAAGTTAACCAGGCATGGTAGCAGGTGCCTGTAATCCCAGCTACTTAGGAGGCTGAGGCAGGAGAATCGCTTGAGCCTAGGAGGCAGAGGTTGCAGTGAGCTGAGATCGCACCACAGCACTCCAGCCTGGGTGACAAAGCAAGACTCCATCTCAAAAAATAAATAGATAAATAAAAATTTAAAAAAGGAAAAAAAGGGGGAAATCAAGTCATTATAGCTAAGTGAGACTGGAGAAGTCCAGGACTCTGCAGGGAGAGCCCTGCTGGGAGAGCTCGCCCATTTGCAGGGAGGAAATGCCTCCCTGAAGAGGCGACCATGTGGAAACCTGAAGGACGGGAGTAAGCTAGATTAAGAGAGATTAGCCAGACAAAGAAAGCAGTATGTAGGAGGGCTCCGAGGCAGGACAGCGGAGCACATAAAAGAAAACGACAGAGGGTAAGAGGAGGCCAGGGAGCTGGATGGGCAGATCTTCAGGGCTTGGCAAGACCCACTGAGGAACTTGGACTGCATCTGAAAGGCTCTGAGATGCTTTTAAAGAATTTTAAGCAGGGAGTGAGATGGTCAGATTTATAGTTTTGAAAACTCATTCTGGATGAAAAAGAAAAAAAAAAAAAAAAGGAGAACAGATTGGAAAGGAGAAACCAGACAGCAGGAAGGCAATTCAGGACACTGCTGCAAAGTTGTCCAGGGCAGCCGGTGGCTTGGCTGACAGTGCAGTGGGGAGGAGGAACAGTCAGGTTTAAGGGAAACTCAGAGGTCACTTGCTGGGTCTCAGGAAGGTTAGAAAGGGCCTGAGAGAGGGAAAGGCCGTGTCTGCCTCTCAGGCTCCTGCCCTCAGCATGTGAAGGAATAGAGGGGAAAGAGGAAGTATGGGGTGTTGGAAAAAGTGGCATAGAGGCTGAGATGTCCAGGTGAAAACAGACCTGTGAATGTCAAGGCAAATATTAATGCTTAGGCTGAAGGCATAGATTTGAAGAGAGCGGCCTGCAGCGCTGGGGTCATGGGCGTGCCGCCTGTACAGGGACACAGGGCCACCATGCCCAGACAGGCGTCACGCTTGGTTTAATGCTCTGCTGTCCCTGCCTGGATATTCATAATAACCTTTGGGTAAAGGGGCCACATATTCATTTTGCCTCCTGGTAAGGGAAGCTACGGGAGTGGAGGAAATTACCTAGAATATACAGGGTAAGGAGAACAGAGGACATAAATATTAAGCTCACATATTTAACGGACAGAAGGAAACAATATCAGACAGCAGAGAGGGAAGGGAAATCTGGTGCCACTCTACCCAAGGGAGGAAAGTATTTCAAGAAAAAGGAAGTGCCTACAATATTTAATGTCAATGAATGATGATGCAAAGTAAGGATGAAAACGTATCCATTAGATTTGGTGATGTGGAGGTTACTGGTGATGTAGGCAAGAGGACCTTGGTCAAGAGGTGGGAGAAGCAGCCAGATTCTGGTGAGTTGAGGACTAAGGTAGAGGTGAGAAAATGGAGAGCTGGCTGTGAAGGGAAGGAGAGATGTGGGGTGATAATAAAAGGAAAGTAGGGGACGGGCACTGTGGCTCATGCCCGTAATCCCAGCATTTTGGGAGGCGAAGGCAGGCAGATCATCTGAGGTCAGGAGTTCAAAACCAGCCTGGCCAACATGGCGAAACCCCGTCTCTACTAAAAATACAAAAATTAGCTGGGCATGGTAGTGTGCTCCTGTATGTAATCCCAGCTACTTGGGAGGCTGAGGCAGCAGAATTGCTTGAACCCAGAAGGCGGAAGTTGCAGTGAGCTGAGATCATACCACTGCACTCCAGCCTAAGCGACAGAGCAAGACTCCGTCTCAAAAAAAAATAAAAATAAAAAAATAAAAGGAAAGTAGAGCAGGGTCAAGACGGAGTTTTCAAGATGGGAGACATTTAGATGCTGGTAGGGATGATCCAGATGAGAGGGAAGTTAAAGATCTGGGAGAAGGGATCACTGATAGAGGGATGTCTCACAACTTGAGGAGTTTTACGCCCAGCCCCAAAAACAGAGACCCAAGGAAAACACAGCATAGGTCATTTAGGCCTGAGCCTCGTCTAGGCAAAAGCCACAGCTCTCGCGTGGTCCATCCAGGCTCCCCAGGAAACAGCACTTGGGCTGAGGGGCCACAGCTCTGCCTGCTGATGAATGAGCAGTTCCCCATACAAATCCCCTCTACCCTGAGACCAGTGGATGTTGATAAAGATTTGGAGATTCCAAGTCCTGGTTCTCTTATGGGCACCGTTAATATCTAAAAACTTCATTAAGCCCTAAAGCTCCAGATTCTCCAGAATTGTGTCCCCCAATCAAAACTTACATTCCTTTGGTGATTTTAGAAACAAAGTATACCAAGCTGTTCCATTTTCTGTTGCCTTGAAAACCAGATGAATAAACTTAGCAGAATCTTTAAGGGCAAACACGTCCTGAGTCATTCTCTTGAGTGCAAAGTATATACACTTTAATGATATTAATTTTAGTTGTTTTGATTCCTTTTTTTAGCTAGTTTCATGATTCTTGTCTGGGCTCTGTACAATTGCAACTGTCAACTAAATGAGTCCTAGGCAACGTTTTACCATATCGTTATCATTATCTCCCCACTTAGCCCAGCTGTATGTTTTAGGGAGCATTTGGCATACTACCCCAAAATACCATATGGAAACCCTCCCTTTCTAATTGCTGACCTGGTTCTTTACCCTCCAGCCAGTATCCAGCCGCAGAGGTGGTGAACTTTGGCACCTGGTTCCTCTTCAGCTTCCCCATATCCCTCATCATGCTGGTGGTCAGCTGGTTCTGGATGCACTGGCTGTTCCTGGGCTGCAAGTGAGTTCCAGGGCCCTTTCAGCAAAGCACTGAAGCCCCCCTGTTGATCCAAAGGCCATGGCATGGGCCCTGGATGGCTCTGTGCAAGGGGGACTGCCAAGTAACCACAGAGGATGCCCAAGGAGAATGCAGTGGTCTGGTCTGAGAGTCAGGTGCTGTCTCTTCTAGACATTCTAAACATTTGTGAACTCTGCACTTCACTCTCAGCTCTACAACGAAATGTTCTTAATTCCAACTAAATGGTTAGAGAGCCTGTCCAGTTTATACAAAGTCTGAGGTGAAGAGTATTTAATGTCGTTTTATTGCTCTCAAAGCATACAGAGCACTTCCAATTACTCCAAGAAATAGGAAATAAAAAATATGACTCTAAGTAGAATTTGCATTAGGTTTAACTTTATAGGCATGGGTGATTTATACTTAGTAGCCTGAATAAAATATGCTCATATGCCTCAAAATAACAAGTCAGTCTACTCCAAATTTGATCAGTTTCAAACACATAAGGGAAGATAATATAATGTTTTGCTATTAGTCCATGTAACCCAATGCTCCCATTGGTCAAGAAATGTTCTCTGACTTTTCTTTTTACTCAGACTGTTGTCAAACCAATGATAACTATATACTTCTTAACTCCAGTATTGCTAACATAAAACTAACACTGTGTGTTCCATATACGCAGATGTTTGTGTGTTTGTTTGGCTAGAGACAAAGCTTCTCTGGAGTAAAAATGTTAGTTATACATCTAGACACATAGTGGAATAAAAGTTTTAGTTTATACATCTAGACACATATACCACATTACACTGATTATTTTACTTACGTAAAAGACAAGTAGGTAGAAATGACCCCACACGAATACACTTGCACAAGTCCCTGAGACATCACTTCACACCAATACACCAGAGACAGACCCAGATGGATATCCCCAGTAGGCTAGGGGAGAAGGTTGATGAGAGGCCGGATAACTTGGCAGATAAAAGCCATATGAATAGGTGGGGGATAGAGGGATAGAGCATGTGAAAGAGGAGAAAAGTGACCACAGCAGGCAAGCGGTTTAGTATTTACCTAATATTTGATCTCTGGGCCTCAGAAGTGTGTTTTCTTTAATCATTTGCTCATTCTCCCTTCTCAGTTTTAAAGAGACCTGCTCTCTGAGCAAGAAGAAGAAGACCAAAAGGGAACAGTTGTCAGAGAAGAGGATCCAAGAAGAATATGAAAAACTGGGAGACATTAGGTAAAAATCAGCCATTCCTCTTCCCTCCTTCTCCAGCAGAAACACAGCAGGTAAAGTGAGCACAGGAGCAGCCCTGTTCCTGACAATCCCTGACACTGGGAGAATTTTCCACAACTCTGAATCAGGCCTTTAGAAGATGCTATTTAGTGCCAAAGCCAAGCTGGCCCAGATTTCAGGTGGCCACCCTTCCCCTTTGCTCTATTCAGAGTCCAGGGTATAGCCATGGCATGGGGTGGAGTGCTGACCATGGAGCAGACAGAGGCAGAAGAAGGGAAAGACAGCACAGCCACCCTCTTGGAAAATGTGAATTCCTTCCAAAGCCAGGCCACCTCTCATTGCTCAGACGCGCCACCACAGTGGTGCGGTTATCACTCCCAGGGAGATGGGAGACTCTGTGCTATATTTAGGGTATAAGGCAGTATCAAAGACAGACTTGGAGAGAGAGCGTCCAAGAAATCACTAACCAACCCTCAGCCACTTCCATCAGCTTTTCCACAGGGACCCAGCTTCCTATTTAGTGCTATTTCTCCTTTTATGGCAATTGGCACATACAACTTTGCATAAAACAATCCAGGTAGACACTGTCTTATTTAAAGCTTTAAGTTATAAAAGGAATACATGTTCATTGTAGAACATTTCAAAAATACAAGACAGTATAAGAAAAAAAATCAAAATTGACTGGATTCTTAGCACCCCATGTTAACACTTCTTTCCATGCTTTTTTGTGCAAAACTCTTATGTATTTTTGGTAAAATTCAGTCCACACTGAAACTGTTGTATACCTTGCCTTTCTCAACTCAACTTTGTACTCTCAGTACAGTATGTTCCACATCCTTAACTCTGCTGTGGAAATGGGATTATCAATGGATGCATCTCATTTTAACACAGAGTTGTATCAAAATGTATTCAGTGTCATGAAATACCATTGGATATAGAGGATGCTTCCATTTTTTAATAGGTAATTAATGTCTCAGTATGCATTTCTGGTTAGATGATGGGAATGACCAACTATTTTTTTTTTTTTTTTTTTTTTTTTGGGATGGAGTCTCACCCTTTTGCCCAGTCTGGAGTGCAGTGGCACAATCTTGGCTCGCTGAAACCTCCACCTCCTGGGTTCAAGCGATTCTCCTGCCTCAGCCTCCCGAGTAACTGGGACTACAGGCACGTGACACCACGCCCAGCTAATTTTTTGCATTTTTAGTAGAGATGGGGTTTCACTGTGTTAGCCAGGATGGTCTCCATCTCCTGACCTCATGATCCGCCCACCTCGGCCTCCCAAAGTGCTGGGATTACGGGCGTGGGCCACCACACCCAGCCAGGGAATGACCAACTTTAAGGCTTCTAATGTGTATCATCAAATGGCCTCAAAAAGGTTGTAGCAATTCCTCCTCCCACCAGCACAGTGTTTGGGGCTGCCTATTTCACTGCACTCTCCTTGTAGGCTGTATTTGAAATTATTTTACAAATGTACAGTGCTGTGTTCTCTTGCCCTTTCTACTGAAGTTTCTCCAGGAACATGGTTAATGTCATGTTTTCTGGGGCCACTCAGTCTTCTCCTCATCTCACTGTCAGCCATTCATAGTGGTTAGGCAGTGAGTGTGTTTTATGTCTAGGGTATTGAAACTCTAAATACAGAAGCTTCCAGAAGCAAAGTGAAAAAGCTAGGAGAAATTTCTCAGTTCCTGAGTGGGTCTTTCTGTTTTATTTTATAGCTACCCAGAAATGGTGACTGGATTTTTCTTCATCCTGATGACCGTACTGTGGTTTACCCGGGAGCCTGGCTTTGTCCCTGGCTGGGATTCTTTCTTTGAAAAGTAAGTGATATCATTTCCTCCTTAAGAACAACCCCCTCACCCCAATTCTTCAGGCAAGACTTCATAGACTCTCAGGGGCAGATATGAAGCCAGGAAGATTTCATTCCCCAGGAAATCCACTCTTTTTAGGGAGGCTGCAGTGTGAAATCAGGAAGGAAAAACACTCTTTGGAGTCCCGGTCTGGGGTTGGAATCCAGTGCTGCATGTAGTCTCATTACATAAGCTCTTGGAAGCTTGGTTACCTCATAGGTGGTTATGAAAGTTAAAGGAGGAAACATCTATAAAGTACCAACTGTAAAGAAGAAATCAACTTCTCACTTGAGAAGGGAGGCACATGGAGGTGTGGCCTTCATAGGAAAGAGGTCTCATCCTCTTCTATTCTCCTTTATCTAACCAACTCCACTCCTGATCACTCCATCTAGGACTTGCCCCAATTAACGGGCTCACAAATTCACATTAAGACATCTACTCTAGCCAGGCCCTGCCTCCAGACATTCGCCATTGCCCATTAAATCCAAAGTGGATAGCGTGGCAGCAACTGGCAAGAACTAAGCTTAATGTTACCTCTAGATAAGTCCTAAAAAGAGGCACTGTGTTCGGACAGACTGCTCCGAGACATCATGTTACTCCTGAAAATTCCTGACCCTTCTCCTCAGCTATGCTTGTCTCTTTACTAGGAAAGGCTACCGTACTGATGCCACAGTCTCTGTCTTCCTTGGCTTCCTCCTCTTCCTCATTCCAGCGAAGAAGCCCTGCTTTGGGAAAAAGAATGATGGTGAGAGAAGGGAAGAAACTGGGGGTAGCTCTAGTTGAAGAATACCCAAATCAGACTAATACTCCCAAAGAGATTTACCAAGGTCCTTCAGATTCCCACCCCCCTCCCGGCCCCCGCCCCAAATAGCAGTATCCCAAATCATCCACTTCACCAATTAGGCTCCTGTCTCCACAAATCACGTCCATCAGGGTTTATCTGGCTTTACATCTCTCTCTAATCCAGGAGAGAACCAGGAGCACTCACTGGGGACCGAGCCCATCATCACGTGGAAGGACTTCCAGAAGACCATGCCCTGGGAGATTGTCATTCTGGTTGGGGGAGGCTATGCTCTGGCTTCTGGTAGCAAGGTAATTCTTGAATTCTGTTTTTTTGGGGTTTTTTTTTTTGAGACAGTCTTGCTCTGTCACCCAGGCTGGAGTGCAGTGGCACAATCTCAGCTCACTGCAACCTCCGCCTCCTGGGTTCAAGCGATTCTCTTGCCTCAGCCTCCCAAGTAGCTGGGATTACAGGCGTGCACCATGATGCCAGCTAGTTTTTGTATTTTTAGTAGAGACGCGGTTTCACCATGTTGGCCAGGCTAGTCTCAAACTCCTGACCTCAAGTGATCCACCTGCCTCGGCCTCCCAAAATGCTGGGATGACAGGCATGAGCCACTGCACCCGGCTTGAATTCTGTTCTTATGGGTCAAATACTTTTCCAGCATCTTTACCTAATGAGTCATTATGGGCATGGGAGGAAAGACTCAAAGCAGCTGAGAATGTTCACAGAGTCCCTGGGAAGGGAAACAATAGAGCAGGATGGATGTCCTCTGCTGCCCTAAGCTTCTCAGCGCTACTAGGAACAGAGGAACAGATGGGCTGTGCCACACAGTCATGACACATGGGCATTGATAGTTCATCTATGGGGCCCATGCTGCTACAAGCAAAAGGTTTATTGGAGTTTGCAGCCATCTCCTTCTGGGATTTGACAGTGGCAATAGGAGATGGTAACAGGAGATAGACATAGGTAATAGGTAATAGGAGTGGTAATAGGCGATCTCTGTAAGGGACCAGAGATGCTCCAAGTGACACATGGTGAACTGTCTGTCCACAATACATAGACTGAGCCCCTTTGGAAAATCTAGGCTAAAGCTGATGTAAATGCTTCTTGATTTTCTGACTGGGAGGATTTTGGATGAGATCTTTTAAGTGGGGTGGGGATGTGAGGGGATGATTGAATTTCCTAAAGTGTTAGCCCTCCATAAAATAGAAAACAATCTTAAGAATGAATTAGGTTAAGGTTCAGACTATTTCTCCCTCCATCTCATCTACATGCATTATCCCATGCTAAACTTGGTTCTCTTTTTTTTTTTTTTTTTTTTTTTTTTTGAGACAGAGTCTCACTCTGTCACCTAGGCTGGAGTGCAGTGGCGCCATCTCTGCTCACTGCAACCCCTGCCTCCCAGGTTCAAGCAATTCTCATGCCTCAGCCTCCCAAATAGCTGGGATCACAAGCACACGCCACCACACCCAGCTTAATTTTTGTATTTTTAGTAGAGATGGAGTTTCACCATGTTGGCCAGGCTGGTCTTGAACTCCTGGCCTCAAGTGATCCACCCACCTTGGCCTCCCAAAGTACTGGGATTACAGGCATGAGCCACTGTGCCCGGCTTGGTTCACTTTTCATGGCCCAAAATACTATCTGCATTATTAATAATAAGGTCACAGAATACTCCACTAAGGAGAACCTTAGAAAACAATGAGTCCTATCTCCTGCCCATGGTGAGATTCCCCTCCATGGCACTTCTGGCTTGGACACTTCCAGTGACAAGGTACTCCCTGGGCAGGGAACAAAGAATAATTGTTCCTTATTTTCAGCTCAGGTCTTCTGCATGTTGTCTGTCCACTGTTGGCTCTAGCTCTGTTCTCTGGGACCCTCTCCTAGATAATAATTATTAACATGAAAAAATCAAGTAGTAGTGACCCATACCATCTGGTCTCTCTCCTCAGGACTCACTACACTTGGCCTTATTCAAACATAGTCTATGGGGTGGTCAGTCTACTGCCAAGTAGAGTAGTTATATTACCCAAGCCCCATCTCTCACCTCTGATTCAAGCAGCACCCTGCATTTTTATGGAAGCTTTTATAAAGCATCCTTGGCACTCATGTCAACAATTATATTAAAACTGCAGTCAATTAGAACCCTTCATTCTTTTTAACTGTTCATCATTACTGGACCTTCACCCCATCCTATATATATGCCATCAATATTTCTCATTCCAAGTTCGGGATATTTATATTTATCTTTATTGAATTTCAGTTGTTAGTTTTGGCCTCTGACAAGATTGGCCTGGCAAGATTTTATTTTTTTTTTTAACCAAAATTGGGCTGGGCACAGTGGCTCATGTCTGTAATCCCAGCACTTTGGGAGGCCATGGCGGGAGGATTGCTTGAGTCCAGGAGTTTGAGACTAGCCTGGGCAACATAGTAAGATCCTATCTCTACAAAAACAAAAGTTAGCCCAGTGTGGTGGTGCGTACCTGTAGTCCCAGCTACTCAGGAGGTTGAAGTGAGAGGATCGCTTGAGCCCAGGAGTTCAAAGCTGCAGTGAGCCAAGATCCCACCATTGCACTCCAGCCTGGGAGACAGAGGGAGACCCTATCCCCTGCCACCAAAACAAAAAACAAGAACAAAAACAAAAAAAAAACAATAAAAACAAAATTGTGCACATATTAGAGATAGTACAGTTATTTCTGTAAAGCCTACTGCCTCTACTAATTTTAATAATAATTTAGGTAGCATATATGTGATTCCTACAGAGTTTGAAATAATTTCAGTTTTGACATTAGTGAAGAAAATCCATTGTAAAATGTTTTCATACCAAGAGTTTAAAGAATTAAGACTTCCTTTGATTGTGTTTTTGTCTAACTTTGAAGTCTAATTTATTTCAAATCATAGTATAAAATAGTTCTGCTGGAAAAATAATTGCCAATAAATTATTTCACTTTACTAGGCCGGGCATGGTGACTCACGCCTGTAATCCCAGCACTTAAGGAGGGTGAGGCAGGAGGATCACTTGAGGCCAGGAGTTTGAGGCTAGCCTGGCCAACATGGTGAAACGTTGTCTCTACTAAAAATACAAAAATTAGTTAGGCGTGGTGGCGGACACTTTTAATCCCAGCTACTTGGGAGGCTGAGGCAGGAGAATCACTTGAACCCAGGAGGAGGAGGTTGCAGTGAGCCGAGATCGTGCCACTGCATTCCAGCCTGGGTGACAAAAGCAAAACTCCAGGGACTGGGCACAGTGGATCATGCCTGTAATCCCAGCACTTGGGGAGGCCAAGGTGGGTGGATCACCTGAGATCAGGAGTTTGAGACCAGCCTGGCCAACATGGTGAAACCTCGTCTCTACTAAAAATACAAAAATTAGCCGGGTGTGGTGGCACGCGCCTGTAATCCCAGCTACTTGGGAGGCTGAGGCCAGAGAATTGCTTGAACCTGGGAGGCAGAGGTTGTGGTGAGCCGAGATCGCACCACTGCACTCCAGCCTGGGCGACAGAGTGAGACTTCCTCTCAAAAAAAAAAAAAAATTTAGCCGGGGATGGTGGCACATGCCTGTAATCCCAGCTACCCAAGAGGCTGAGGCATGAGAATCATTTGGACCCGGGAGGCAGAGGTTGCAGTGAGCTGAGATGGTGCCACTGCACTCCAGCTTGGGTGACAGAGCACAACTCTGTCTCAAAAAGAAAAAAAAAATTATTTCACTTTACTTACCAGTACTATTTGGATAACGTTAAGTAAAACTCCATCTCTTTATATAATGTACCATTTCCATTCAACTAACTGCTGTTCCTCCCCTGCCTCTGTCCAATGAGCAAGGTTTAATGTGTTACCAGAGGGAACAATTAAAGAGTTCCTGGAGGCCTTGGGGCTCTGAAACAAGCATTAATTGATGCAGTCTGCACATATTGGGTTTGTAAGCTCTCAGTGAGTTGAGAGGAAAAAAAGGAAGAAAAGTTCTACAAGGTGAAGTGGCTACAACAGAGAGAATTCTGAAGGCCTTTGGTCCTCAGTTGTCTATGAGCTTGCCAGGAGGTGGCCAGGGTACTGTAGAGATGAAATGAGCTTTTGATGAATTTGGAAGAGAGGAGAAAAAGTAACATGCTGGCAGTGTAGGGAAGGCGGTATTTAATAGTAAAACATGTGTAGCAGGACTTAAGAGCTTGAGGAATCATAAATGTCTCACCTTCCTTTCTGTCCCTGCTCTCCATATTGTCATTGCATTCGCAGTTTCTAGGGTACCATGGGAAAAGGCAGAGCCTGTCACCATAGAAGAGAGAGAGGAAGGGAGGCAGGATGCATATGGCAACCTGGAGTTTTTAATACAAAACTCAATGATACCTTTCATTTTTTAGGAGAGGGAGGTAGCCCTCCCTATTTGCAGGTGAACATCTTCCAACCAAATGAATCATTCCAAGTGGGAATATTTATTCATTTATTTTTTATTTTTTTGAGACAGAGTCTCACTCTGTCACCCAGGCTGGAGTGCAATGGCACAATCTCGGTTCACTGCAACCTCTGCCTCCCGGGTTCAAGCAATTCTCCTGCCTCTGCCTCCTGAATAGCTGGGATTACAGGCGCGTGCCACCACACCTAGCTAATTTTTGTATTTTTAGTAAAGGTGGGCTTTCACCACATTGGCCAGGCTGGTCTCAAACTCCTGACTTCAAGTGACCTACCTTCCTCAGCCTCCTAAAGTGCTGGTATTACAGGTGTGAGCTACCTCACCCAGCCAGAATGTTCATTTATTTAAGTGGATGTGTGTAACTGTTGCTAGTGGAATAAATTCAGGACGGTCAATATGCCTTCATATCTGTGTCTTCAAAAAGCACTGGCAGGCCAGGTGCGGTGGCTCACACCTATAATCCCAGCACTTTGGGAGACCAACGTGGGAGAATCGCTTAAGCCCAGGTCTGTTTGAGACAGGCCTGGGCAACATGGAAAGACTCTGTCTCTACAAATAAAAAGAGCAGGGCGTGATGGTATGTGCCTGTGGTCCCAGCTACTTGGAAGGCTGAGGTGGGAGGATTGCTTGAACCCAGGAGGTTGAGACTGCAGTGAGCTGTGATCATGCTGCTGCACTCATCCTGGACCCTGGGCAATAGAGCAAGACCCTCCTCTTAATTAAAAAAAAATTCCTGACAGATAGTAGAACTAATGTCAGCCATGATGAGATTTGAACCTAAAACAGGTTGGGGCTGAATGACCAGCCTCTATGGCACTTAAGAGGCACCTTCTCCACTAAGTGGAAATAGACTTTTATCCCCCTCTACTTTATTACTCCTGTAAAACCTCCAGTGCTCAGCCCTGCCTGTTCATCTCCTTAAAAACACAGGAAAGGCTACTATCCACAGATGTTGATAAATTTTTCCCTTTTTTAGGTAACAAAATAAACTGGTTTCAAAAGCAGATTAAATGGCTATACTTGGCACTCTGTGAAGGGCATTGTCGAATCAATGCACAGGGTAAGGATGTCAGAGGCTAGAGAAAGGGTAACGAGACTGAAGTTGAGGAGCAAAGATCTCCAACCTCTGACAAGTTGTCATGGCAAAGTCCTAAGAAGGATCATGGCAATTAGGGTGGCTCTCCATGTCCCATGACGAAACCCAAACACTGAATGTTGTGCAATCATAAAAACCAATTTTCTGAACTACAAAAATGATCGAACCATAAAAATCAGGAACACCTCTGGTTCCAGTCAGACTAAAGATCAGAGGATCCCTGGTCGTCCAGCCTTCCAACATCCCTGACCTTCTGAAGTCTAAGATCTCTAGCTGGGATGTGCTTCTTCTCCTTTCTTCTTACTGTAACACCTCTTCCTACAGAGCTCTGGCCTCTCTACATGGATTGGGAACCAGATGTTGTCCCTGAGCAGCCTCCCACCGTGGGCTGTCACCCTGCTGGCATGCATCCTCGTGTCCATTGTCACTGAGTTTGTGAGCAACCCAGCAACCATCACCATCTTCCTGCCCATCCTGTGCAGCCTGGTGAGTAATGCGGAGCTCCCAGACATCCAGACAGGCTGTCCCAGGGGCCTGGAGTGGCAGGCCTGGCTCAGGGCAGCTTCCGTAGCTGTAGGCTCTCCTCTGGTTACTGCCCACAGCCTTCACTAATTGGTGTTCAATTCCTATTTTGAAAAATGAAGTTTTTCAAATAGCAACTAGTAAATAAAAAGATACACTAATAAATCATAGCAAGAGTTCTAGAAACCTTTGTCCAAAAGAGTAGGATTAGTTTAGGGGCAGCCCTGAGTGGAAACCAAAGAACATACAAAATAATATTCAAACCCTATCATTTCAATTCCCCGCAATCATTATCAACCTTTCTCTCCTGAGATAAAACCTGAGTAGGGCCAAAGAGGTAGCCACAGAAAATGGAGGTAAAACACACACAGCTGAAAAGACTGAGCTCACAACTCAGACAATCATCACAGCCTCCACTGAGTTTCACTGTCCTCCGGGAAGTTCTGAGGATTGGGAGCAAGGTCAGCTTTGCTCCACAACCTCAGACCAATTTGTTGTGAATAGAATAAGGGAGGGGAGCAACGGCCAGATCTTAGCCTGGCCAAGCAGCCGGAAAGGTGATGCATCTGACCCAATGCTTCATCTGTCCCATTCTGGGAGGCAGAATCCAGGAAATGAAGGCCCCTCCTGACCCCAGCAACATAGTCTCCTACTGCTCTTTCTAACCCCAGAGCCATACTCTCTGCTCATTGCTCAGATGACCCCAACTTCTCCCTTCCGTCATCTTGCTCCTGCGAGCAACAGAGTGCAGTTAAAACTTGGCAACATTGAGAGCAGGACCATGGATTCAAATCCCATATAAAACAATTATCTTCCCTAGGAAAAAAAAAAAAAAAAAACCACCTTAGTTCTGTACCCTAAGACTGAGGAATCCCCACTTCAATCAAAGCAACCTATTCATGAGATTTGAGTTTAAGGAAAGGAAGTCTCAGCTAAAGAATAAAGTTTAGGAACCAATTCCTTAGAATAACACCAAAAAAATCAAACATCCCTTCTAGGGAGTAACTCAAAGCCATATTTCCATGTGGAGCAAGTAAGCAGCATCAGCCTATTCAGGTTGTCAAGGGACTGCATGCCCCAGAGGGCAGAGACCTAACTACCCCTCCACATAGTGTCCTGCTAAGGTTAGCCAGCACCAAGTCATCATTAAAGCATGCTCCTGACATTAAGCACAGGAAATGCAAGCCTAATCTCGTGAATGTTTCTGTGAATTCTCTCTTCTAGTCTGAAACGCTGCACATTAACCCCCTCTACACCCTGATCCCAGTCACCATGTGCATCTCCTTTGCAGTGATGCTGCCTGTGGGCAATCCCCCTAATGCCATCGTCTTCAGCTATGGGCACTGCCAGATCAAAGATATGGTGAGTTGGGGTGCCCTCTCCCTGCCAGGCCCAGCTGCCATGAGGACAGGGATGACAGCTCTGCAGCCTTCTTTCAAAGCTTATTTTGTAGCAGTGTCCCTGGCCTGTCAATGCTAAACCCAGTGTGGTAGCAAGAATAGCACCTATAAAAAGGTTTTTGTTGGTCTATAAGCACCAAGGATAGCAAGAATGTGCTCTCCCCAACCCTTCCCTGGAAGGAAGTGGGTACCTAGGTAGAGAAAGCTGGAACAGACAGGCTGTGGCCCAGTTCCAGAAGGCATGAGCCTGTGCAAACAAGTTTTGCCTTCGTTTCTTCATTAGGCCAGTGGAGACATTCATTGAGAAAGCTACTGGTTTATTCACAGAAGATGAGAATGAGGAAGTGTATGAACCTAGGGTGAAAGGTATTTTGAGAAAACAGGATTCTTCTGCTCAACTCACCCTCCACCCCGGCCCAGGCAAGAAACCCCTGAAGCAACAATGGAAAATGAAGCGTCCACCATTCATTTTCATTTTCAGCTGGGCTCACAAAAGATGGCTTTGAGATATTTTGCTGCTGACTTTAGCACTGGGCCTATCTACCTTCTACTCCTCTACCTATACACCTGCTGCTATACTTAGTATCCAGGGCTGAGCGGGGGGGGAGAGGATGGAAAACACTGATACGAATTACTGATGGTCTGACAATTTTTTTTCATGGGAGCCAAATTTGTTCTCGGGCAGCCCTGTAAAGTAACAAATAGAGGAAAGGAAGAAAAAGTTTCAGGCTGGTGGCAGATATTCAGGTCCTTTTTTATCCTTTTTTTTTTTTTTTTTTTTTTTTTTTTGAGACAGAATCTCACTCTCACCCAGGCTGGAGTTCAGTGGTGCGATCTCGGCTCACTGCAACCTCTGCCTCCCAGGTTCAAGTGATTCTCATGCCTCAACCTCCAGAGTACCTTGGACTACAGGTGTGCGCCTCCATGCCCAGCTAATTTTTGTATTTTTAGTAGAGATGGGGTTTCACCATGTTGGTCAGGCTGGTCTTGAACTACTGGCTTCAGATGATCTGCCTGCCTTGGCCTCCCAAAGTGCTGGCATTACAGGTGTGAGTCACTGCTCTCAGCCTATTCAGGTCCTTTCGACTGTTCGAACTGCTCATCTAAGTCATCCGTGATACTTCCTTGAATGGAGTGTCCCAGCCATCCCTCTCCCCTCCCATCTTACTGCGTAACCCTCAGTCTGCTCACGCTGAGCTCTACCCCAGCTCTCCTGTCTCCCGCTTCCTCTGCTGTGTGCCCCCACCACTGACCCCTAGCTTTCTACACTGGAATCAAATGATCAGAGGCAGTAATTTTCAAAGGTACCAGGTGACAAGAAGTGAGCCAGTCTTGGGCACTATTCCCAGCTTGGGCACTACCTTGACTTCAATTTCCTCATCTGCTAAATGATGAGGTTCCAGCTGGATGCTCCATGGGGTCCCTTTCAACTCTAACACTCCTTAATTTAGCCCTGCTAGAACCTGCCCTCTCACCTGTGGGGAAACATGGGCTGTCCTCCATGCCAAAATGCCCAGGGGGCCCCGACCAGACGGCAGGAGAGAGAGGACACGTCTAGCCATTTGCTTGAAACAATTTCCCAGCATCCACTTTCCCCTTGCAATTTTCCCAACTTAATGCCAGCTAGTGACTTGTCTTGGCTACATGCTATATGCCTGGTTACTCCTTGGGAAGATGCCAGCTATCCTTACAGGACACATTTTTCCATCTGGCTCTGCCAGCCCACCATCTCTCACATCCCCCACTTCAGCCTGTGGGTGTCAATGTCAAGGCAGAAGTGAAAAGGGTCAGTCACTGAGGTGTAATTCCCTCAGAGGAAAGAAGCAAAGGCTCCATTCCAGCTAGCATGCCTGTGTCCCCTTCTTGAGGAAGAGCTGAGCAGAGGCAGCTAAACCGTTTCCCCAAGTGAACTCAAGGTACACTATTTCCATGAGCTGTTCCTTAAAAAAAGGTAACAGTAGCAAAGGCTTCATGTAATATAGCCCCTCGTACAAGTTCCCTGTATTAACGCATCGGGGCTCTGAGAAGTTCCTGCTTTACAGAGATCTGGTTAGTTTTGTTTAGCACATTTCCCTATCAGTGAGCTGCAGAAATACCTCTTCACGTTCCACAGAGTGGGTGTTCCAAGTAACTAACATACCTTCTAGGCTTCCACTTGAAATCTAGTGAGAGTGCTGTAAGCATGAAGTGGAGATGACTCTAATTGTCCCTTTCCCGCCTTTCCACAGTCCTGTGCACCCTACAAGGCAATGCTAGAGCACCCCAGGCAGCAACTGGGAACTAATCTGGGCCACAAGGCATAGGCTGCAGGAACAGAAGGGGGACTTGGGGATCTGTGCTGCTGCTGGTCAGAGTGACTAGGGTGTGCTGGTTTGTGTCCTGCAGGTGAAAGCTGGCCTGGGAGTCAACGTTATTGGACTGGTGATAGTAATGGTGGCCATCAACACCTGGGGAGTTAGCCTCTTCCACCTGGACACTTACCCAGCATGGGCGAGGGTCAGCAACATCACTGATCAAGCCTAACGCCAAGTGTACAAACTGGCCCAACCACAGGAGCTGCCAGTATCCAGCAGTATCTGGACCACAGGCAAAGAAAACCACTAGGACCACCAGGAGCACACAACCCCAGACCCACGCCGGAGGGCATCCCTCCACCAGAAGATTCCGCCACCTCAAGTGAACTGCAGGAATCCTCCAACAACCACAAACACATGCTTCGCTGTTAGTGTCTTCTTCCTGCCCTCAGCACCACAGCTCAAGAAAACCTAAAGTTTCAATACAAGCCATAGGCTCACAGAAAAAGAAAAAGAAAATAAAAATTAAATTAAAAAAAAAGAAGACAAAGAAAACCTAAAGTTGTATCTAGTCTTTGTAATCCATTCATTCTGAAGACAGGAAAAGAAAGCCTGTCTTAGTCACCCTTCGGAGGCTAAGCCTTGCAAACTCACTAGGTTTTATGTTATTCTTAATACCTTCTTAGGAGTAGAAAGATACCCAAGTCATCCTACCAAGGCAGAGTGAAACCAGTGACATCTTTTTTGTGGGAAACCTCACCCAGACCTCGAAACCTAATGTCAGCTCCTTTCTCTCTCTCTCTTTTTTTTTTTTTTTTTTTTTGAGATGGAGTCTCGTTCTGTTGCCCAGGCTGGAGTGCAGTGACACGATCTCAGCTCACTGCAACCTCCACTCCCAGGTTCAAGCGATTCTACTGTCTCAACCTCCTGAGTAGCTGGGACTACAGGCATGTGCCACAACGCCCAGCTGGTTTTCTGTATTTTTAGTAGAGATGGGGTTTCACCATGTTGGCCAGGCTGGTCTCCAACTCCTGACCTCAGGTGATCCACCTGCCTCAGCCTCCCAAAGTGCTGGGATTACAGGTGTGAGCCACCACGCCCGGCCATCAGCTCCTTTCTCTTAAGTGCTTCTATCCTAAGTTCTCTCCACAAGAAGGCATTCTTAGTAGGTCTTCCTCATGGCAATTAGTACTCTTTCATCACCACTTTCATTCCCTTTTAAGCATCTCTCCTCAATGGCTCCCCTTTACCTTGGCACCAAATTCCCATATAGTGTTCCCTTTCAGAAAGAGGCTGGTGTTGTTCTATTAGTCAAAGGAAAGGGAAGTCGGCCGGGCGCGGTGGCTCACGCCTATAATCCCAGCACTTTGGGAGGCTGAGGCAAGCGGACCATGAGGTCAGGAGTTCGAGGCCAGCCTGACCAACAGGGTTTTAGTAGAGTGAAACCCCGACTCTACTAAAAATACAAAAATTAGCCGGGCGTGGTGGTGCACGCCTGTAATCCCAGCTACTCAGGAGGCTGAGGCAGAAGAATCGCTTGAACCCAGGAGGCAGAGGTTGCAGTGAGCTGAGATCGCACCACTGCACTCCAGCCTGGGCGACAGAGCGAGGCTCCGTCTCAAAAGGAAAGGGAAGTCAAGAAAGAAGATACATTGAGATTAACATCTCTCTCTCCACCTGTCACTAACCAGAAATACTATTGCCTTGGTTAAGTTTTGGGAGGGAGGGAAAACTTTCCTATGTGTCTTATAAGGGAAACCAAAACTATAATTAAGACCACAGCATTATTATTATATTAGACTGGCTTGCTTCTGGATTTAATAAGTAGTTTGTTCCTGAGAAAACAAAGTATTAGGTAGTAGCCAAAGGTCCAAACACATCTGTCACTTCCTACACATCCCTACATGAGCCCCTTGAGGGAGAAGAGCTGTCTATGGCTCTTGAAATCCCCCAGCAACTTCTACAATGTGGTAAGCTGTAAATGCTCAATAAACGTGTCCCATGAGAAAACAACTGTCTGGAAATCAAGGCTTCTTTCTCCTCCTGAAGACCATGCCGTTTTCTCCATGATAGATATCCTTGCTACATGACTGGAGATAGCTCTCAATCCCTCTAGTTTGTTAGTGTTACATATTTTTTATTTCTCCCATCAGTTGTTTGCTAAATATATCTTAGGGGAAAGGGAGTCCCCTACAATTACTGCACTGTTTTAAGTGATTTTAAGTTACTACTGATAGCACGTGCTGTTTTCCCACAATAATTTATCTATAAAATCACTCCCTTAATTGATCAAGCATCTGTGAGTTGTAAAATTTCTTTTGGAGCAAAAGAAACCACCACAAACATGTGCTTCAACCACAGAATGTGACTGACCATGGTTAATGGGAACATCAGTGCTTCTGCCCTGTGAGTTAGACCAAAATTATTTGTCCAATATAATAGTTAAGACCTCACAAGCCCAAATGAAATACCAATGTTAGGTACGCTACAGCTGATTTGATCCAGCCAACATCTCTAAAGTCATTTGCTTTAAATTTTCAAGAGTCAGGGTATTACTCTTATTATCAGAGCAGCCAAACATCACATTTATGAACCATCACAGAACACAGATCCTTTGCCCCTAAGTCAGACAATAGGACAAAGGTGCAATCTGTAAGATTCTGGGAGTATAAGTAAAAAGAGAAAGAAAAGTTGATTTAGAATTAAGTGGACTTAGAATTACTGGCCAGTATTCAACTATGTGAGAACCTGACTCACTCCTGAAGGGAAAGCTGTGCCAGCAACTGCTGCCAGGTGTTCCGAGTAGTGAATGCATTCAACTAGCCAATTTAGAAAGAGCGTTTATTTCAGTCTGGTCTACTAAACTGCTCTCAAGCACAGCACTGTTCTTTCCCAGAACTGGAGATTCAAGCCAAGCAAGGTTACCCATTCCAGTGACAGGAAATGGCAAATATGATTAATAACTCCTTGTCATCTAAATCACTCCACTGTTGGATAACTTCTAGCCCTCCTTAATAGTCTTGTGTCTCTTGCAAATATAATTTAATTTTATCTTCTAATATTTTATGGATGATGAAACTGTGAGCCAAAGTCACTAAGTATAGTTGCATCTTATTCTTAAACCAATTCTTTATCAAATTTGCTTAGTCAAAGTTGCCTTTGAAATTCCACTAAGTCAGACATTAAGTACATGGTATACAATCTTTCACATTAGTATTTACATATCACAAACACTCATGTACCATCTTTTAACAAATCAAAAGCAGCTAGTTTTCCTTCCAACATCAGAACAAATCTGTTTGTTCAACCATACAATAAATGAGGTAGTTGGCTTCACATCTGGAGACCGTGATGTTTGAAAAAGTCTCTAAACACTAGAATCACTCTCAATACAGCAAGAAACTCAAACCATTAGAACGCAAAGGGAACCGAGACCACCTGAGTACACAGGTAGCTCAGTGGGGCTGTCCTCACTGAACGAACACTGAACACAATTGCATGCACTATTTACATGGCACCTTTTTTGGTCCCAGTCCTGTACAACTGTGTAAGATGATGCAACTGCACTGTACCTTTCATAAAATCCTCCCACCGAGGCTGTGATTCAGGAAGGCCCAGGACCCAGGGTTTCAACGTCCCACCCTGGGAACTTCCACAAGGTCTCACTGTTCTCAGTTCATTTTTCTTTCCCTGTGCCTTGCAAAACATGCCATATGTTAGGTCTTCAATGCTTGACTAAATACACTGCAACCAGATTTGGGAAAGGTATAAAATGAACACTTGAAAATCTAAGTGTCACAAACTCCCTATTAAGAGCAGGCAAGATCTCAAAATATTTTCCCTTCACCACCCTATTCCTTTCCGCAAGGCGAAGCCCTAATAGTCAATAGGGAAAAAAGAACTCATTCATCTGTAAGGAATGGAAATGCTACATGCAAAACCCAAGACTGGAAGTTTAAGAAAAGCCTCATTTGCTCCAGTACAGTATATAACGTTCCTTCAGGAGGAATAACTCAGAAAAGGCATTAAAAATGTGGGAGACCTCAGCAGAAAAACACCAGCATAGTATCTAGGGAGTGAACGGGTTAGTGGAAATGAAAACATTACACATGTGTACCATGGGTACATATGCTCTATGAGGCAATGTGTATAGACAACTAGAAAAACCACACAGCCTACTTTTCTCTATAGTCACACAAACTCATTGGGTAAATGAGTTAGAAAAAGAGAAATAAAATTGCTCCTTTAAATCAGAATCAGGTAACTGCTTAAATACATAAAATACCAAATCAGAAGAAAAGTCTAAAGATATACTTTTGGTAACTTCATAAAATTCAGCCTCTTTTGACAATTTTAAATAAGGCTTTTTTTCTTGCTTTGTTTTTGTTTTGTTTGGGAGGATTACAGTTTAGGGATAAGCTTTTCAAGTTCACTGTATTTTTCTAGCATCAATCCTGAAGTCTTGTATTTCACATGTCAGAGTAATCTGCACTAGTATTTTGAGCAACTCTCATTTTATGGTCAGATGTGGCAGAAGTTTTCCTAACCATATTAGTAGGAGCTTTCAAACATTTTTTAAAGGAAAAAAAAAAGGCCTGTCTTGTGGTGCTTCTTCCCACCACTCCATTGATCTGTGTGGCAAGGGTTCCTACAAAATTCCCAGGGAAGGGGTAACTTTCAGTGCCATAAACCCCATTCACAGTAAGGATTTTCAACTACACCCTAAAACTATGATGGTTCTGGGCTCCTCCAACATATAGCTCAGTGAAGATCATCTTGCCTGAGAACTCTGAGGTCCTTTTCACTGCTGCCAAGAACATAAAACTAGGAGAGGGTATCTGAATGGTGAATGCAAAGTCAGCCTGCACTGTGTAGCAGTTTACATGATGAAGCCGAATTTAAGAACTGATCTGCTAGATGGATCCCACTGGTAGAAATGATCCCCTTGCCAAGGTTAAGTGTCACCTCTAAAGGAAGCCCTAAGTCCAAATGAGCCTTGTTTACAAGGTATAATATAAAGAGACCTATCCTTCTAATAGCTAAGTGACCTCCAATCCCAAAGCAGCCACTCTGGGAGACCACACACACCACAGCAATGCTATCATGGTTGGTAACAAGGAATCCCTCTTTGGAAACAGCTTTCTAAGCTTCTAGCATTTTTAATACCCGCAAGGTAAACTTTCATCCTTTGAGGCTGTAGTTCATTGTGCTAACAATTCAAGATCAAATCTTGTGAGCCAGATGGTACAATCCAGGTGGATACTGTAAATTTTCATCAGTATCAAAAACAGCGACTACAGAATAATGACAAACTTTTTGTGTGGTTCATAAACTGATTCCAAAAGTGACTGCAGAACTAGCCAAAAAGCAACAAGTTTGTACTAATAGCTACTATTTATTAGATAGTCTGCAAAGCACTGTGAAACATTACATACATTATCTCAATTATTTTTTATGAAAACCCTATGAGGTGGATATTTACGTCCACGTCTACAGATAATGCAAGAGTTTCTGAAAGAATAAGCTACAAACCCGTGACATGCAATTTACCTATTAAATGAATCTAAAAGTTTAAAAAAGCTGGGCGCAGTGGCTCACGCCTGTAATCCCAACACTTTGGGAGGCTGAAGTGGGCAGATCACTTGAGGCCAGGAATTTGAGACCAGCTTTGCCAACATGGTGAAACCTCGTCGTTACTAAAAATACAAAAATTAGCCAGGTGTGGTGGTGATGCCAGCTACTTGAGAAGCTGCAGCACGAGAATCACTTGGACCGGGAGGCAGGAGTTGCAGTGAGCCAAGACTGTGCCACTGCACTCCAGCCTGGGCAGCAGAGTGAGACTCTGTCTCAAAAAAAAAAAAAAAAAAAAGCCACTTGCCCATGATCACGCTGCTAGGAAAAGTCAAACCATAATTTAATCCTAATCTGTCACACACAAAGACAACATTGACAGGAATAAAACTTACTTCCATGTAGGAGAGATGCAAGTTGTCAAAGAGAAGCAGAATCACTTTATCATATACAGAATCAATGTCATCACTGTCTGAAAAAAGATGCTCTGAACAATTCTTCCAGTTTATTGATTCTGAACCTGCCATGTCTTCAAAAATGGCATTATTAGTGAAGCTGCTCAACAAGTCCTCTGAAACAAAACAGCTAGCGAAATGGGTATTTGTATTTAGTCTAAATTATACTTTTAGGACTTCATCTTATAGCTATACCCTGAATCGATATGCTTAATAACATTAGGATTGAAGTTATCACTGTAATAGCAAAAGAACAACCTAAGCATTCACCAGTAGCAGATTAAATCAATTATGTTATATCTATTCAAAAAAATTTTAGGCAGCCAAAAAAAGAATGAGGTTCCTTGCTACTTACATGCTGGTATAGAATGATCTCCATTAAAAAAGAAAAAAAGAAAAAAAAAAGGCGAGGGCTAGACCTCCATGTATAGTTACTATTTGTGTTACACGTGTTTGTTTAGGCACAGACTCTTTCTCAAAAGTATAAGGCGAAGTGGTAACAGTAACTTGTCAAACAGGAGCCAGGAGCCAGAGAACAGGGGTGGGAGAGGCCCTTTATATGAAATTACTTTTGTATCTTGTCCCATGGCAAAAGTTAATTATTCAAATTTTTTTTTAATTTAAAAACAATACAAGCTGATTATACATTTGACAAATACAAGGAATTTCTGACTGCAGGAAAAAACAAAGCATCAACTACAAAGAGAAGCAGAAATTCTTCTTGAGCTGCTGATTTTACTATACATTTGGGCTATATTTTTTCTTAAGACAATCACTACAAAGTAATAATATAAATACCTTTTTTAATGTGAAAAGGTATAAAATCTCCTTTAAAAACTTTTCACTTATCCATCATATAACATCAAATGTACCTGTAATCCCAAGTATGATTCTTTTGAGAAGGAAAAAAGTCAGATCAAATACATCATTAAGGAAAAACATGCACACTAAATAGACTATGAACTCTACTGGGACAAAGACCATTATTTTGTGTATTTTTTCATTCCCCAATTCCTGACAGGATTCTCAGAATCGTTTCTTCATGAATAGCAAATTGACTTATTGGTTAAATTAGCAACTACAGAGCTGCCTAACAACAGTACAAAATAAATGAATAATTCACCAGAAACTAGCTCTAGATACTAATTTTAATTACTTTGCAGCAACATAATTTAGTACCAAATGTTTAACAAGTACCCATTATAATTACTAAACTGTGAAGTCACTATTATTTGTATCTGACCAGCTATACAAAACTCATCAATTTTTCTTTTGAAAAAAGGTAGTAAAAATCGCAAACGATAAAGAAGACACTACTCATTAAAAGTCATGTTTACTAATCTAGCACCATAATTCCAGTCTTAGAACCTCCCATGCAGTTGGAAAGGGATTATGGGAAGAGGTGAGTATGTTGGAAATGTCGGGTAGTTCTCAAATTGGGGCCCCATTTTGCTTGCTTTAAAGCAAAAAACACAGGGTCTAGCAAAGAAGAGAAGTGCTGAGGCTGGAGACGAAAACAAAAGCTTTTGGTTCAGATAGTAAACGAGGCCCTCAAGAGCAGTAGAATCAGTATATCCTGAAGGCAGTGCTGGAGGCAGTCTCATGCACTAGGGGGTTTCTTCTTGGCATCCAAGTCCTTTTTAATTTCTTCAAGTTTTTTAGCCAGGTTTGGTATCTTTGAAGAGAAAAAAGGTTATTATAATTTTGCATCTACCTAATCAATATTCTTGTACTTCTCTTCCTCCAAAGATAAATGGTTTTACAAGCTTTTATCTTCCTCCAAAAGAGATCTGCTAAATAGTGGTTATTTCTTTTTGCTTTCTTTTTTAAGATAGGGTTTCACTCTGTCACTCAGGCTGGAGGGCAATGGTGCAAACACAGCTCACTGCAGCCTTGACCTCCAGAGCTCAAGTGATCCTTCCCGCCACAATCCCGCAAGTAGTTGGGACCACGGACATGCCACCACCCCTGGCTAATTTTTGTATTTTTTGTAAAGATGGGCTTTCGTCACACTGCCCAGGCTGGTCTCGAACTCCTGAGCTTGAGCAATCTGCCCACCTCGGCCTCCCAAAGTGCTAGGATTACAGGCGTGAGCCACTGCACCCGGCCAATAGTGGTATTTCTTAGCCTTATAACTGCATGTGAAAGATATCAGAAGTTGTCAGATAAGTATGCTCCTTCTCTGAAACCCACTTCTACTTTTGTATACCCACTTCCGCTCGATCTGGTGCCAAGTAAAGGTTGTACATATAAACAATAAATGTGACATAATGTAGCCTTTGCCTAGAAAACTGTATGACTCAAACGAAGGTTGACAAAGGAATTCCCTTTGTCATATGAAAAGCTTTATAACAAATCAAGTTAGTATCATGTTTCCCTTGCTTGTCTTTTTCAAACTCCTGTCCAGAATCCCCATTCATAGGCTGCTGCACCACCTGGTTTTCAACATCACCACCTATAAAGTGAGGTTAATACAACTTCACAAAACTCTGTCCCCAAATGTGCTACACTTAGAATTTTGGAGATGGAATATAGATCTATATTTTTCAGTCCCCCTACCCAGATGCATCTCCAAAATTCTAAGTCATCTCTACTACTGGATAGTGGGGCTGAAAATATTATCCAATTAATTTTTAAATTCTCACTTATCACATGATTTCCCAAAGAATTTTAAGAGCCCAACTTAATATTACTCTCGGCTAACAAGCCACAGCTGAGGATGATCATGAGCCCAGCTAAACTGAAGGGATTTTGCCCTCTTGTGGTGATATGGAGGACAGCTGTTTCATGAGTTGGATTACTTTTTCAAACAATGGCAAACCATTCTACAATATTCAGGAGTTTTGCCTCAGCCATATGGACTACATTTATGCTGGAAGTCACACCTTACCTCAAACAAAGAAAAGTCACTCTAAAACAGTTACATGGAATCAAGGAAGTCATGGATATGGCCACTTACATCATAGTTCTGAGCCAGATACATTCCAACCACGTTGCCCAGTGTAAATCCAAGCTGAAAAAATAGAACAGTAAGAGTTATAGTGCATGCCGAGTCCTGTGCCAGTCTGATTCCAAACTAAAATACATAGACAATATCTTCCTAAGAAGCTTAGGACAGTTAGAAGACCTTGATGTCCAGTCTAGGGCTGTGTACAACATGAGAGTCACATTTTTCTTCTATAAACACAGAGATGCCCTCTCCAGAGGCTAAACAGCATACAAAAGAATAAATGGTGACACCAACCAAACATAAGAAAAAAATAAAACAACAAAAAAGAATAAATGGTAACACTGTATAAAGCTACCCTAAATTCTCTTATCCCCTCACAACCCACATAAATACTTGACTACAAGTCCTGGAAACTCAAGCCAAAGTTCAGATTTTTCTTGTTGCATGCTGCAATTTTTTTGTCTTTTTTTGGTTATGGATATTGTTATTCCTTTTTAAATCAAATAAAAATTATTCAGTTTTTAAAGTATTCAGTCAAGGCCGGGCACAGAGGCTCACGCCTATATCCCAGCACTTTGGGAGGCCAAAGTGGTAGATCACTTGAGGTCAGGAGTTTCAGACCAGCCTGGCCAACATGGTGAAACCTCGTCTCTACTAAAAATACAAAAATTAGCCAGGCGTGGTGGCTCACATCTGTAATCCCAGCTATTCGGGAGGCTGAGGCAGGAGAATCACTTGAAACCGGGAGGCAGAGGTTACAGTGAGCTGAGATTGTGCCACTGCACTCCAGCCTGGGAGACAGAGCAAGACACTGTCTCAAAATAAAAATAAATAAATATTCAGTCAAATCATAGGATCTCAGAGAATGAAGGGACTCTTCACAGTTTACAATCTCTTCATAGTTCAAAAGAGGAACTTGAGGCCCAGGATGGGAAGGGACTTCTCCAAGGACATTCACAACAAGGAGGACAGGACAATCTACATTAGCTTCACACTCAAAAACTAAAATATGTGATTACAGAAAAGAAGAGAAAACTCTGACACACCACTGAGAGCACATATGGCTTAGCACTCTGCCACAGGTACAGTCTAACAGGCAGGACATTTAAGGCCGGTGGGAAACACAGTGACAAGAGACGGGTGCAATTTTTAGAAAACTTTAAATATTTATCTCATTTGGTGACTATTTTCCTAAACAAAAACTGGTTCATGAAAATTTAGATATATCCAAAAGGGCCAAGGCTCCTCAGCTTTGAGTTTTAATGATAATAATTCCCTGTTTTCCTCTGGTAACTAAGAGGCTCCATCTGGAGCTTAATTTCTCATTTTATAAATTCAAACTAGCATCAATTTTTTTCATCATTTTCTTTAATCATTGTTGCTTTTATTCAATCAATACACAGCAGAGAGGTTTAAAAAAATAAAATGTGGCACTTAACACCATCAATCACATGGCATGACTGAACCTTCTCTTCAAGTTGGAGATGCACACAGGGGAACAGAATGCAGCTGGGTCCTTAGTACACTTTAAACTTACTAAGCTTGAAACACCAAAAGTATAATTTAAATTGGTTTGTTGTTAGCAATAAAAATCATAGAAGAGTCTATCTTATCTCTAATCATAGACCGTTCTGATCATTTGATTAATCAGATATGGCCTGCAAAATCCTACTTTTACCAGTGTTGCACCTTGAAGGAGAATGATTTTTTTCTCCTATGGGTTGAAACCAGGTAGGAAATGGTTTTCCAAATCCAGAAGGAGTATTAAATTTGCTTAAAAGAAGAGAAAACAAGTCAAATGAAAGTATTAGCTCTAACACCAAAAAGAAAAAACATGGGATTTAAAAACTTTCAAAAAAAATAATCGAGTTCTGGTTCCACCACTATCAAGCGGTGTGCCTAAAGCAAGACACTTAACCTCTCTGGAGCTTTGCTGATTTGAGCTTCCTGATTTATAAAACATTATACTCACAATGTAATGTCCAGCTCCAACATGCTAAGATTCCTAGTTCTTACCAAATGTGTCTCTAAATAAATGTGGCATGTCTAACGTGGCTTCATTTTGGCAACTTTGCCAGGTATCAGGGCACATAAAAAACTCATGATTATTTTAAAACACAACACAAAACAAAAACCATGAGCCTCTAAACAAGTCATATCAATTCCAGTTTCAGAATACTACCGGATCTACCAAAGGAGTATCATAAGATTAAATACACAAGAAAAATATCACTAAGAGAAATGTTGGGAAAAATGCATGAAGCCAGAAAAGCATATACAGTATGTCATTCACGGGATGGTCAGTAGGCAAGTTTAGACAAAAAAGTAAAACCTAAATCTGAGGAACAGTGACTCAGTCTGAGAGGTTAGACTGGAGTCAGATTATAGGAGGTCTTGGATGAGTCTGAAACCTCCTTGCAGGCCAAGAATGCCTAACTTCTTCCAGGCCAAGACCTGGAAACCTCATCAGTAGTTCTGTCAGCTGAATGCCATCACAATGCCCTGCTTCCCCCATATCACATGGTCACCCCTTAGTATTCCCTGTAGAGAAGACTGTGGCATAAGGAATGCAATGCTTTCTTCCCAAGCTCAACACTAAGTGCATTACTATCACACCCTCTCTGTAATAATTTTGAGACTTTAGGGGTATGAAAAAGTAGCTTCTTTTCACAGAAACATTGGGGACAATTAATGGTAAAACACTGGAAGTTTGAGAACAGAGGACTGAGATGAGGAAAGTAGTGTACAGGAAAAATAGATGGGAAGAAGATACTGGAGCTAAGAGCCCCAAAAGAGAAGTCTAGACTGGCACAGAGCAGTACACAACAGAAGAATCGCATTGTCAGCTCTATAAATAGAGAGTACACTAAGAATCAGTGAAGCTCCACAATCCATTATCCACAATTCTGAAACCCAACTCAATCCAAACTACATTTCATCATAACTCATTTGGTAGCAAAAGCATATCTGACCTGAACTAACAGGAGCCTATTTATGTCATTATCACACTTTAGTGTGAATAATCATTTTTTGCTATAGAAATAGAAATCTTTAAATATAGGATCCTGCCTTAGACCTCCTCGCTGGAGAATATGTCTCACACCAAAAATTTTAATACATTTAGATTACAAAGTGCTATCCCAGATGCTGCTGGGGGTGTTAAGTACCGAGGTACATGATGCAGCTTATTACTTTTCTAAAATCTGAAAGAAATCTGATTTCCCAAATACATACGGCCCCTAAAGATTTTGATTAAGGGACTGCAGACCTTATACTAAAAATCAACCTCATATTTAGCCCCATGAAAGGATTAAAAATGATCTCTGCCCTTAGAGAACTTATATGATGAATAGGAAGAAATGCTAGGTAAAATAGTTATATAACAACAGAAGGCAGGACCCTGCACAGGATTTTCAATGTTAACAGATGCTCCAAACATCAGAACTAGGCCATGCATTAAGTGGCAAAATGAATGACACAAAAGTGATTCTTTTAAGAAATCATACTTGAAAAATATATACCTCAGGTTGATATTAAAGGCTCTAAATATGCTAAGTGTTCACATTTAAACTGGTGATACGGTTTGGCTGTGTTCCCACCCAAATCTCATCTTGAATTCCCACGTTGTGGGAGGGACCAAGTGGGAGGTAACTGAATCATGAGGGCAGGTCTTTCCCATGCTGTTCTCGTGATAGTGAATATGTCTCATGAGATCTGATGGTTTTATAAAGAGGAGTTCCCCTGCACAAGCTCTCTCTTTGTCTGCTGCCATCCATGTAAGACGTTACTTGCTCCTCCTTGCTTTCTGCCATGATTGAGGCCTCCCCAGCCATGTGGAACTGTAAGTCCATTAAACCCTTTTTCCCATGTAAATTACCCAGTCTCGGGTATGTCTTTATCAGCAGTGTGAAAATGGACTAATACAACTGGTAAAGGAAATGCGAAGAAAACTGAATGTGGAAAATCAAGGCACGAGATGGGAATGGACATGTGATGACTGGCATAAAAGAAACAGGCCTGACTGGAAAAGAGAATTTGAGTTAAAGAATGGAGAGAATTAAGTATGGAAAGCTGGAAAGGTCTAGATGTTGGGCTTCAACAAGCAGGTAGGGCAGCCAGGTACAATGGCTACGCTTGTAATCCCAGTACTTTGGGAAGACAAGGTGAGAGGATGGCCTGAGCCCAAGAGTTTGAGACCAGCCTGGGCATCATGGTGAAACTACATCTCTACCAACAAAATGCAAAACTAGCCGGATGTGGTGGCATACATCTGTAGTCCCAGCTACTCTGGAGGCTGAGGTGGGAGGATCACTTGAGCCCAGGAAGTAGAGGTTACAGTGAGCTGAGATCATGCCACTGCACTCCAGCCTGGGCATCAGAGGCAGGGGAGTTTCCTTCACATGCAATCATGGTAGGGAGACACTGACTACTCTGCCCTCAGCAACATGATGAAAGCACTGCCTGAGAAGCACTCTCCCGGTACCTATACTCAGAAAAGGCTGAGGAAACAAGGACCTATTAGATGATGAAAAGATGTAGGAATTTAAAAAGGTAATTTTTTTTTTAAGAAAACCAAGTACCCATTAGAGAAAAGCCGATTACTGTGGTGGCAAGGAAAGAAGACTGAATTGTTTCTATTGATCAATAAAGATCAATGGAATAAAGTGGAGAGCCCAGGAATACACCATAAAGGCTTATGGTCAAGTGATTTTCAACAAGAGTGCCAAGGAACTCAATATAGAAAGAATAGTCTTTCCAAGAAATGGTGCTGGGAATAATCTTTTCAAGAAATGGTGCTGGGACAATGGGATATCCACATGCAAAGAATAAAGGTGGACTCCTATCTCACACTATATACAAAAATTAACTCAAAATGGATTAAAGACCTAAATGTAAGAGCTAAAACTATAAAACTCTTCAAAGAAATCATAGGCGTAAACCTTCATGAGTGGGGCTGGGCAAATAGTTTTCTTAGATATGACACCAAAAGTACAAGTAACCAAAAAAAAAAATTGGACTTCATCAAAATTAAAAATATCTGTGTTTCACATGAGTGGGGCTGGGCAAATAGTTTTCTTAGATATGACACCAAAAGTACAAGTAACCAAAAAAAAAAATTGGACCTCATCAAAATTAAAAATATCTGTGTTTCAGAGAACACCATCAAGAAAGTCAAAAGACAACACACAGAATGAGATAAAATATTTTCAAATATATATCTGATAAGGGATGTGTATCCAGAATATATAAATAATTCTTACAACTGAGTGACACAAAAAAACTCAATTTAAAAATGGGCAAATTGGCCAGGCACAGTGGTTCACACCTGTAATCCCACAGTTTGGGAGGCCAAGGTTGGGGGATCACCTGAGGTCAGGAGTTCAATTACCAGCCTGGCCAACTTGGTGAAACCCCGCCTCTACTAAAAATACAAAAATTAGCCAGGCATGGTGGTGGACGCCTGTAGTCCCAGCTACTCGGGAGGCTGAGGCAGGAGAAATCACTTGAACCCAGGAAGCAGAGGTTGCAGTGAGCCGAGACTGCACCACTGCACTCCAGCCTGGGCGACAAAGCGAGACTCCGTCTCAAAAATAAATAAATAAAATAAAACAAAAATAAAAATGGACAAATGATGTGAAAGGATTTCTCCAAAGCTACAAACAGTCAACAAGCATATGAAAAGATGCTCAACATTAGTCACTGAGGAAATGCAAAGCAAAACCATAATGAGGAACTACATCACACCCACTAGAATTACTTTAACAAAAACAATAAGAGCTACACGAAATGTTGGCGAGGATGTGGAGAAATTGAAGCCGTCATACATTACTAGTGAGAATGTAAAACGGTGCAGCTACTCTGGAAAACAGTCCAAAAGTTCCTCAAAAAGTTGAGCATAAAGATACCACATAATGCAGCAATCCCACTTTAGGGTATATACTCAACAGAACTGAAATACATATCCACACAAAAGCCTGTATACAAATATTCCTAGCAGGATTACTCATCATAGCCAAAAGTGGAAACATCTTGAATGTCCATCAACTGGTGAAATAATTAACAAAATAGAAATAAACATAACAAACAAGGTGCAAGATAATTATTCAGAAGTTACTGAAAAGACATGAGACCTAAATAAATGAGGAAATGGATCATAATAGTGTAATAGTGTAAGGCCAGGCACAGTGGCTCACACCTGTAATCCCAGCACTTTGGGAGGCAGAGGCGGGCAGATCACATGAGGCCAGGAGTTTGAGACCAGCCTGGCCAACATGGCTGTTTCTACTAAAAATACAAAAATTAGCCGGGGATGGTGGCACACGTCTGTAATCCCAGCTACTTGGGAAGGTAAGGCACGAGAATCGCTCGAACCAAGGAGGCAGAGGTTGCAGTGAGCCGAGATTGCACCACAGCATTCCAGCCTGGGTGACAGAGTGAGACGCTGTCTCAAAAACAAAACAAAACAAAGACATAATAGTGTAAAGGTTTCAGAAGCATAAGTCATCAGGAGGGCCTCATGGAAAAAGATCAAAGTGGGGCCTTGAAGAGTATTTAGGAAGGCAAAAAGGATAAAGGGAAAACCGGCCGGGTGCAGGAGCTCACGCCTGTAATCCCAGCACTTTGGGAGACCGAGGTGGGTAAATCACTTGAGGTCAGGAGTTCAAGACCAGGCTGGCCAACGTGGTGAAACCCCATCTCTACTAAAAAATATAAAATTAGCCAGGTGTGGTGGCATATGCCTGTAATCCCAGCTACTTCGGAGGCTAAGGCAGGAGAATCGCTTGAACCCGGAGGCTGAGGCAGGAGAATCGCTTGAACCCAGGAGGCGGAGGGTGCAGTGAGCCAAGATGGCACCAGTGCACTCCAGCCTGGGTGACAGAGTGAGATTCTGTCTCAAAAAAAAAAAAAGCAACAGATTACAATAACACAATAACAACATCATAGGCAGTGTGCACAAAGCCCCCAGCAGTGCCATCATGTTAGCTTCCCGCCAAAAGCATCCTTAAAATAACTCTAGCTAAACCTTACGATTAAGGAAGCAGTAGCTTCCCTCAGGTAGTGTTGGTAACTATCTGCAAAGAGGTGTCTTTTACTGCAGTAAAAGAAAGGGGGGTGCTCACTTTGGCAGCACATACACTAAAACTGGAATGATACAGAGATCAGAATGGCCCCTGCGCAAAGACGACACACAAATTTCTGAAGCACTGCATTTAAAAAAAAAAAAAAAAGTCTAGGAGCAGTGGCTCAAGCCCATAATCCAACACTTTGAGAGACTGAGGTGGGAGGATTGCTTCAGCCTGGGAGTTCAAGACCAGCCTGGGCAATATAGTGAGACCCTATCTCCACTATTAAAAATAGTAATAATAAAGGGGAAAAACTGCAGTAAAAGAAAAGGGGAAAATCACAGGAACAAGGTCTCTTCAAGATAGGGACAAAGGGAGAATATTTTAATCTGAGGAGGAATATGAATAATGGAAGGACGTTATCACCAACACAAGCAAGTGCAGTGGTTTTCAAACTGTCCACAAATCACAACTGTAGGAGAAACATCTTAGACGGTTCCAAAATGTGTAATGACAACGCACTGCTTAACTTGTGACTGTTTCATCACTTCTAAACCTTTCCTATCACCTACCCTTCTGAGAGAAGCTAATCCCCACTTGAGAAGAAACTCAATCAGGGTTCAAATGAACCCTGCAAAAGAAAAACTGAACACTATCTGAATCCTTGTTGAGTGCTCCTGTTTTTAAGTTCTTTAATGTGTTAACTCATTTTTAATCCTCACAACAAAACTGTGAGGTGGGTTTGCATTTTCAGATGTGGAAATGGGAGCACAGAAAATTTCAATAGCCCACCCACGCTACCACAGCTTGAAAATGATGGGAGGCAGAGTTCAAACTGAGAAGTCTGACTCTGAAGTTTAATCTCTTAAACACTAGAACATGATGGTCATTTTTTAATAGATGAAATGACTGCACACAAAGAGAAATACTTGCTCAACTTTAGAGTCAGTGGCTCATTTGACAGAGGTGGAATCAATGTGAAAAGTAATGCTATCCACTTATTTAAAAAAAAAAGCAATGAGGTGGAAGACCAGAGGGTGAGAGAACATCAGTGTTCAGTTACTTCTGAGCTAGGAATATAATTGACAGCTTTAGCATCTCTCCTTAAATACTGAGAATTCTGAATTCTCAAATCAGAATCTGACCAGGCACAGTGGTGGCTCATGCCTGTAATCCCAACACTGTGGGAGGCCTAGGCAAGACCTGTCTCTACAAAAAAAAAATTTTAAAATTAGTCACGGGTGGTAGTGCGGGCCTGTAGTCCTAGCTACTACTAAAGAGGCTGAGGTGGGAAGGCTGCTTGAGGCCAGGAATTAAAGACTGCACTGAGCCATGATTGTGCCACTGGACTCTAGCCTAGGTGACAAAGAGAAACCTTGTCTCAAAAAAAAAAAAAAAAAAAAAAAATTAACACACAGTAAAAGTTTATTGCAAAACCAAATAGACTCATTCTGCAAAACCACTTAGAAAGTTAACTGTAATTGAATCATGTCCTCTCAGTTTATCAATGAGCAACAGATATAGTAAGCAGCTCAATTACATCATTCTATACTCTGGAGCTAAGTGATACCGCTTTTAATCTAGTGTTTACTACAAGAAAATGACTGTCATTATTCTGAACTCCTAAACTAACATCTAGTTAGGACACTACAGAAACTCCTAGAGGCAAAGGAGCAGCCCTGTCTTAGCTGGGCAGATTAAGGACACTCTTTTGACTAATTGGATTTAACAATCCATTACCATCTTTCAAAAGGACAAAAGGGGTGCATTTTGTGTTTTAATCTCTTTGATAAAGATACAGCATTTGGGGCCGGGCGCGGAGGCTCACGCCTGTAATCCCAGCACTTTGGGAGGCTGAGGCAGGCAGATCCCGAGGTCAGGAGATCGAGACCATCCCGGCCAACGGGGTGAAACCCCGTCTCTACTAAAAATACAAAAATTAACTGGGCCTGCTGGCGCGCACCAGCTACTCGGGAGGCTGAGGCAGGAGAATCGCTTAAACCCAGGAAGCGGAGGCTGCAGTGAGCCGAGATCGCACTACTGCACTCCAGCCTGGCGACAGAGCGGGACTCCGTTAAAACAAACAACAAAAAAAGATACAGCATTTGAGCCGGGAGCAGTGGCTCACGCCTGTAATCCCAGCACTTTCGTAGGCTGAGGTGGGTTGATCACTTGAGGTCAGGAGTTCGAGACCAGCCTGGCCAACTTGGTGAAACCCGTCTCTACTAAAAATACAAAAATTAGCTGAGCATCCTGGTGCGCGCCTGTAATCCCAGCTACTCCGGAGGCCGAGGAGGGAGAATCGGTTGAACCCGGGAGGCGGAGGTTCCAGTGAGCCCAGATTGCGCCACTGCACTCCAGCCTGACGACACAGCGAGACTCCGTCTCAAAAAAAATAAAAAATAAAAAAAAATAGAGGTTGAAAGCATCAAGTTTTGAATGCACAATAGCTTGGCAGAAAAACTTTCACTTGAAAATTTGATGAGCAACTCCTGGAACCTTCACCAAGCAATTTTTGAAATATACCGAGTTTTGCCAGAAAACTCGTTTTTAACTCAAATAAGGAGCCAAGAGAAATAGTCTGCTTACTCATGCTTACACATTTTGGGAAAAATTACTTGTATACCAGTGTCTGACTCATTCCTCCAACTCTGAAAGGTCTGATGAGGACTTAGCCTCTCGGACTTCGTGAGGTGGCTAATTTACGGTTTATTCCTGGCCTTCCTACCTCCTCAGAAAAGCCAACTAGCAGGGCTCCACAGCAGGGACCGGCCGGCGACCATGTAATGGAACAGGAGCGCAGAAAGAAAGGGGGGCGGACTACGAAAAGTCATCAAGGACCACACAAGCTTTAATACAAAGATTGCACAATGAGCGCGGGGCGCGGCACACAATAAGAAGCTCTGGAAACGCACACTCTCTGACACCTCAAAGTTTTAGGGACTTGGATGGCTGCAGAAAAATATTGGCAAAGGGATTTTCTGGGGAGGCAGGAAGAAAACGGCCGCCCTGCGAGGCGACGACCAGGCGCGGGGGACGAAGGGACCGCTGGACCCACGCCCAGGCCGGGTCGGCGGGGTCGGCAATCCTCAAGGGGGAAATGGGGTCCGAGGCACGCCCCAGGCAGCGGGCCCCGCTCTTCGGCAGCTCCACTCACCAGGAACTGGAGCATGATGTCGGTGGGGAGGGCGAGGAGGGCGCGAAGGACTGCAGCAGCTCCGCGGGCCGGTCCGAGCCTACCTCCCCATGCGCGGGGGGGGCGGAACCCCTCGTCGACTTCCGGGTCACGCCACGCCCCGCCCCGCTCCTCCCACTCAGCCCGCGCCCGGAAACGACTTGCAGTGTCGCAGCGCCCAGGTTCCCCCTGGCGGAGCGCGTTGGCCTCACCGCCTGAACCGGCGGGGCAGCGAGCGCGCGACAGGACTTGCGAAGAGCAAGTCCCGAGCCTGGCTGGGCATCCTTGAGCATCCCGCCTCTGTAAACCTGGGCCGAGGCCCAGGAATCTATATTATTCTCAGCACGCGGACTATTCTGATACACAGCCCAGTTTAGGGCTCTCTAACCTAGAAGGACGGCATGAGCAGCGGGTCCCATCCCTAGGTTCGCAGCTGAATCGTGGGGGCTTTTGCAGCATCCTCTACTTGGGCCCAGCTGGACTTTGCGGGGAGGAAAGGAGGCTTGTAGCTCTCAAAGCTCCGCAGGTGTGCTGTGTAATCAGCGTTGTGTAATCAGGTGTTGTGTAATCAAGGTAGAGGCTGGGTACCGTATGGGGCCCATGCTGCCGTGTGCCGCACGCCAGTCACTGAGATGATGAGTTTTGTAGCAGAGAAAAGGTTTATTCACCAGGCAGCCAGCCGAGGAGACGGGAGAACAGATCTCAAATCTGCCTCCCCAAAGATGGGTTTTAGGGATATTTATGGGATAGAGGAGCAGGGTGGTCTGAGGTGTGGGGAAAGGCGGTTGAAGGTAAGGAAAAGTTTGGCAATGGGTTATCTGCGCGAGGTAGTCAAGCTTCATGGCTCTTTATAGGATACATGGTCACAAAATGACATCCTTAGCATGATCTGAGTGTGGAGGTTTTGGCCCTCTAATGTCAGAAGGACACCCATCGGGCTTTCATGCAGGCCCAGTTGAGAGGTTGGTGGTTTAAACTGTACAAGAACTGACCCCAACTTCCTGAAAAACAAGAAACCTTTATCAAGCAACCCAGATGTCAGAGATGTTATCCATAAGGAAGATAGTGGGAGCTTAGATATATATTGTTTAGCTCTGTGACTTTAGCTATGTGGGTTTTTTAATCCACTAAAAGCAGGTGACTAAAAACAAGTGAGAGAAGTTGCATTTGGCAGGCCTCATCAGGTTGGCTCTCAGTTTCACTGGCCTAGCTGGGTTTCTTGCCTGGGATGGCCATAGGTCCTGTTGACAATTTGTATCATCGCCACAAAGAGTCTGTTCTGTCAGTCTTCCGGTCTGTGTATGTGTGTGTTTTTTTCTCTCTTTCTCTTTTAAAGAATTTATTTTAAGCCTATTATACCACACAGTATGTTTTAAACACTAACTCCCTAATAAGATATATAACTCCCTAATAAGATAAAGCAAAGACAAAAAAAGTTCATCTTATTAGAAACAAGATACACCATCCCTTATTGTCTTCAAAAATTATTGCACTTTAATTTTCATAATTTGACAAAGCATTCATGAAACAATCTGCAGACTAGTTTTAACAGACAAATAACACCTGTAAGCAGACATGACTGTCCTAAATTATTAGGTACGAATTTTACAAACTTTTTTTTTTTTTTGAGACGGAGTCTCGCTCTGTCACCCAGGCTGGAGTGCAGTGGCGCAGTCTCGGCTCACTGCAAGCTCCGCCTCCCGGGTTCACGCCATTCTCCTGCCTCAGCCTCCCGAGTAGCTGGGACTACAGGCGCCCGCCACCACGCCCGGCTAATTTTCTGTATTTTTAGTAGAGACGAGGTTTCAACGTGTTAGCCAGGATGGTCTCGATCTCCTGACCTTGTGATCCGCCCGCCTCGGCCTCCCAAAGTGCTGGGATTACAGGCGTGAGCCACCACGCCTGGCCCAAACTTTACTTATATTAGTGGTAACGGTGGAGCTGGAGAGTATCACGCCTTCTCCAAGCTGCCCAGCAAGAACCATCAATAGTGTGGTGGAACTTATGGCACTTTCCAAGGCCACAGCTCCTTTGGCCTGCAGATGTCAGCCCACACATCTCCCTCTGCTTGTGGACTGGTTTGGTGATCGACTGGGTGTCAGGATTTCTTCTGATAACTTCATAGAATGGATCAATGAGGATAACCTCAAAAAATCTGTATGTGGAATCTTCACCAACCCAGTAAGAATTCAGGACTCTTAGAGCCCCACAGTTGTGTCCAACTCGCTCCTCTGCAATGGACTGAAGGCTTCGAGCAAACTTCAGCTGGTTAACACCATGATGGACAGGCTTGCCATAAGTTGCACCCTTAGGAATTGGGCATTTTTGACCACCATGGTGAACATGAATCCTATATATAATGTAACCTTGCTTGGCCTTGTAGCCCAGCTGGCGTGCTTTATCAGGCCAGGTGGGGCAGGGAGCCCCGTGGACAGCAGATAGCTGGCAGTACTGCCAGCAGCAGACCCTCAGAAGAAAGCGCATGACATCAGACTGCTTCTTCCTCCATTGCTCCTGGATGTACTTGTATGCATCCATTTTGGCTTACCTGATGGCTGCTGCCAGACAGAAAGGAAAGAGCTTACTCCCCCTGGTCTGTGTTTTAACATTAATGCTGATCAGTTGTTGCATTTAAACTGCAAAGGAGAGGGGATATAACGAGGCATGTCTGACCTCCCGTACCATCATGTCTGGGAACTCAGTTTTAAGGTCTTTCTGGAGTCCCTTTGGCCAAAAAGAGGGTCTGTTCAATCAATGGAAGGAATTTAGGATGTTTAGTTTACCTAGGGAATAGGAAAGCTATAGAAATCTAATCAACATTTCCTATTTCTGCTTTTCTCCAAACATCTCTCATTGTTCTCTCTGTCTTCCCCCACCCACTTCCTGGTTTTTCTGCTTTCCAGCATATTGCCACAGCAACCGACCTGGGTTTATTTATTAAATGGCTAACCAATAGAGACACTCTGTGGTTAGCCATTTGTATTAGTCTGTTTTCGCACTGCTATAAAGAACTCCCTAAGACTGGGTAATTTGTAGAGGATAGGCGTTTAACTGACAATTCTGCATGGCTGGGGAGGCCTCGGCATACTTAAAATCATGGTGGAAAGCTAAAGGGAAGCAAGGAATATCTCACATGGTAGCAGGAGAGAAAAAGGGAGGGGGGAGCTGCCAAACACTTTTAAACCATCAGATCTCTTGAGAACTCACTCACTATCAAGAGAACAACAGCATGGGGGAAACTGCCCCCGTGATCCAATCACCTCCCGCCAGGTCCCTCCCTCGACACGTCGGGGCTACAGGGATTACAATTGGAGATGAGATTTGGGAGGGGCCACAGAGCCAAACCATATCACCATTTAACAAGTAAACTCAAGTAAGTTGAGTTTACTCCTAATAGGATCTCTCTCTCTTTGCCATTCTCGAATGCCAGGGAAAGGAAAACTGATGGGTCAAGATGGTGTCAGATGCTCCACAATCAACTACAACTAGAAAGGGCAGGGTCTCTGAACTAAAGTGGCTGCCAAGAGGGAAGAGGGAAGGGATACTAGGAGATGGCTACAACACACCATACTTTCCAGTCTGTCCAGGTTAAAACTTGACTCACTCAAGACTTAACCAGTGCTTCTCAACTTTAATCTTCATTCACATCACCTGGGCATCTTATTAAACTACAGGTTCTGATTCAGTACGTCTATGGTAGGGCCTAACTTTCTGCATTTCTTTCAACCCCAAATGATGTTGCTGGTCTATGGACCAGACTTTGAGTTGCAAGATGCCGGACTGTGAGCTACACTGAGGGTGAGGACTTCACCTGTTGAGCTCATGACTCCATCCTCAGCGCCCAACAAGTGTCTGGCACAGCCTCTGAACGCAATATAAGGATAGTTATTAAAATTTATTTCGTAGAACCTTATCCTCTCCTTAAGATAAGGCTTAAATGAAGCCTAGCTTTTCCTCTAAGGCTTTTTCAAAGGTGTTTTCTCTAAATAAACACAGGGCATGGAGAAGCAAGGCAGGACTCTTTTGTTCCCCACTGCTACTTCCAGATTATCCCTTCAATATCCTTATATAAAAACACTTCCTTTACTTTCCTGTTTACCATTAGCTCCCCCTTCCCTTTTTTTTTTTTTTTTTTTTGCAGTGGGGTCTAGCTCTGTCACCCAGGCTGGAGTGCAATGCCGTGATCTCGGCTCACTGCAACCTCCGCCTCCTGGGTTCAAGCGATTCTCCTGCCTTGGCCCCCTGAGTAGCTGGGATTACAGGCGCCCGCCACCATGCCCAGCTAATTTTTATATTTTTAGTAGAGACAGGGTTTCATTGTGTTGGCCAGGCTGGTCTCAAACTCCTGACCTCATGATCCACCCGCCTTGGCCTCCCAAAGTGCTGGGATTACAAGCGTGAGCCACCGCACCCAGCCTACCTTTAGCCCTTCTTAATGTCTTAATCTGTTGATTTCTGAGGCAGTCTCCTCATTCACTGAAGGCTTTGGCATCTAACCCACAGCCTTCCTTTCAGTGCCACATTATCGTAATTTTGGGTGACTTCAAGGCCATATGCACTTGTACTTTCCAGATCTCCTTCCTTCCAGTGACCTTCACCTTCACTCCCCTTCAGCAGTGCTCTACCGTGATCGTTAACACTTTGTCATATCCTAGACCTGTGAAGTATACTCCCAAATCCTACCTCCTCTCCTATCAGCCCTTTGACCTTAGCCAGATCTCCACTCAGCTATTCCATATTCTCATGAGCTATGAGCCCCCTTCTGGAAGGCTTCAGTCCTTTTCTGTCTAGTCTATACCCCAAGAGACCAGCACTTTAAGGACCGTTACTCTCAATTCTCTTATCCAGTGGTCTTCTCTGATACTTGCCTTTTAAAATTCTAATTTTTGATCTCCACCTTTTCCAGTCCCATACCAGTGATTCTAAGCACTAAATGGAGAAAAGATGGATCATTCAGCAAATGATACTCATCTAACCAGGATCATTACGTGGAAAAAATAATGATGTTGGGTTCCTACTTTACACTTTGCACATAAATTACAGATAACATAAATGGCACTGCACACATAAGTAACAGCTTAAACAAGACAAAAAATATTAAAAGAGTAAAAGAGAGAAGTTATTTTATAATCTACAAATGAGAGTGGAAGCTTTTTCACATCGCCAACATGATACAAAACCCAGAAGCCATAACAGATTGAGAAAATCAACTACATCAAAATTTAAAAATTCTGTAAACACTTTTTGTGAAATAAGTGACAGTGCTAACTTCCTTTATATAAAGATCTGCTACAAATCAGTGAGACCAATGGCTCAATAAAATATGGCCAAAGGATTTGAACAGTTCACAGAAAAGGAAATACAAATGGTTCAAACATATGAAAAGATCCTGTGGGTGGCATTTATGTTAATACTAAGAGAAATGTGGATTAATACTATAATGAGGTACCATTTTTCTCCAGATTGGCAAAAATCAGAAAGCTTGGCCAGGAGCGGTGGCTCACACCTGTAATCCCAGCACTTTGGGAGGCTGAGGTGGGCAGATCACTTGAGTCCAGGAGTGTGAGACCAGCCTAGGCAACATGGTGGAACCCCATCTCTACAAAAAAATACGAAAATCACCTGGCTGTGATGATGTGCGCCTGTAGTCCAGCTACTTGGGGGTGCTGAAGCAGGAGGATCGCTTGAACCCGGAAGGTCAAGGCTGCAGTGAGCTGTGACTGCACCACTGCATGCCAGCCTGGGTGACAAAGTGAGACCCTGTCTCAAAAAAAATAAAATAAAATAAAATTTAAACAGCTTGATAACATACTGTGTTGGAAGAAGTAGGGGAACAGGCACAGTTTACACAACATTGAGGGGAGAATGATTTGTTAAAACTTTCATGGAGGCAGTTTGGCCAGAACTATAATTTTAAATAAGCATAACTTTTTCCTAGCAATTGCTGAAATTATGCTCAAAAACATTCATTGTAGAAAAAGGTTGGAAACAATGTTAACCAATAAATTAACGATTAAAATCATGCTATATATCTACATTGAAATACTTGTGCACGAGAAAAGAGCTTTATGTGTTGATATGGAAATATCCTCAAGTGAAAAAAGCAAGGTGTTGGTATGCTACCATTTGAGGCATTGACAAAAATATCAGTGGGAAGGAATGTGCTATTCAATAAATCATAAAATTATCCATATGGAAAAAAGTAAACGTAGATTATACCATTCACAAATATCAATGCCAGAGAAATTAATGACCTAAGGAGGAGGCAACATTTTTAAATGCCAAAAGAAAATACAGAAGAGTATCTTTATGATTTCAAGTGGGAGAAAATTTTTAGATAAAGAGCACATACCATCAAGGAAAAGATTTGACACATTAAAATGTAAACAAGTATACCATAAAAAAGTTGAAAAGATAATCCAACAGACTGGTTGTCTGAAAAGAGAAAACTGAAAAAAATTGAAGCCATTCTGAATGGCTTCAATTCAGCCATGTGTAATTAAGCAATTACATATAAATTCAGGATGTGTAATTACCTCATACACATCAAAAAGAAAAAACCCAATAGAAAAAAAAATGGGTAAAGCCTTTTGAAGGGGGGAAAGAATGGTACACAAAATATGCAAATCAATTGAGATAATATTTTATACCCATTAGATTGGCAAAATTAAAAAGCATGACAACTGGGCCGGGCGCGGTGGCTCACGCCTGTAACCCCAGCACTTTGGGAGACCGAGGTGGGTGGTTCCCGAGGTCAAGAGATCAAGACCATCCTGGCCAACATGGTGAAACCCTGTCTCTACTAAAAATACAAAAATTAGCTGGGCGTGGTGGCATGTGCCTATAGTCCCAGCTACCCGGGAGGCTGAGGCGGGAGAATCGCTTGAACCCGAGAGATGGAGGTTGCAGTGAGCCGATATCGTGCCACTGCACTCCAGCCTGGGCAACAGAGCGAGACTGCATCTTAAAAAAAAAAAAAGGCCGGGGGCCCATCCCGGTTGCAAGGTTTTTTAAGAACAAGATATTTGAAGTATCCCTCCATGGATCACTTGTTATAATGGGAAACACATATTTTACAACAAAGATGTGTGTCAAATACCACCTTAACCAAGTGGTCAAGCTTAATATAATTGGACACACTGATATGCACCTCCTCCTGATGTGATACACTGAAGGCACATATCAGCTGTACAAGTGTGGTATTCTGGCCACAACTGTTTAACCTGTTTAAAAGAAAACAAATTGTAGGACCTTTTCCAAAACAGCTAAAAAATGTCAGTTATAAAAGCCTCCCATCCTCCGAAAAGCCAGGGAACTGTTTTAGAATAAAAATTGACTAAAGAGATAACTAAATATTGGGCCAGGTGTGGTGGCTCACACCTGTAATCCTAGCACTTTGGGAAGCCGAGGTGGGCAGATCACTTGAGGCCAGGGGTTCGAGAGCAGACTGGCCAACACAGTGAAACCCTGTCTCTAAAAAAAAAAAAAAATTACAAAAATAGGCTGGGCATGGTGGTGCACGCCTGTAATCCCAGCTACTCAGGAGGCTGAGGCACGAGAATCACTTGAACACGGAAAGCAAAGGTGGCAGTGAGCCAAGATCGAGCCACTGTACTCCAGCCTGGACAACAGAGTGAGACTCTGTCTCAAAAAATAAAAAAAAGGGATAACTAAATATAATGTGGTTTTTTTTTTTGTTTGTTTGTTTGTTTTTTTGAGACGGAGTCTTGCTCTGTCGCCCAGGCTGGAGTGCAGTGGCGCGATCTCGGCTCACTGCAAGCTCCGCCTCCCGGGTTCACGCCATTCTCCTGCCTCAGCCTCCCGAGTAGCTGGGACCACAGACCCCTGCCACCACGCCGGGCTAATTTTTTGTATTTTTAGTAGAGACGGGGTTATCACCGTGTTAGCCAGGATGGTCTCGATCTCCTGACCTCGTGAACCGCCCGCCTCGGCCTCCCAAAGTGCTGGGATTACAGGCGTGAGCCACCGCGCCCGGCCAATGTGTGATTCTTAATTGGATCCCGGGTTAAAAAAAAAAAAAAAAGTTATAAAGTGCATTTTTGGGACAATTGAGGAAATTTTAATGGACAGATTAGATATTTTTATTGTATTTTATTGTCAAATTTCTTGGATATGATAATGGTGTTGTGGTTAGGAAGGAAAATATCCTTGTTCTTACTTGTTAAAATATTTAGCAAGTAAGTGTCATCATATTTAGTAAGTGTCATAGTGTCTACAATTTAGGGAAGAAAACTAGCATATATATATATACACACACACAAAAAAAGCAAATGTGCAAACTGTTGACAACTGGCGAATCTAGGTGAAAACTGTATGGGTTCATGGTACCTTTCTTCCAACTCTTTTGAAGATTTAAAATTGTTCAAAATAATTGGGAAGGCCGGGTGCTGTGATCCCAGCAGTTTAGGAGGTGGAGGCAGGCAGATCACCTGAGGTCAAGGAGTTGGAGAACAGCCTGGCAAAGAAGGTGAAACCTCATCTCTACTAAAAATACAAAAACTAGCCGATCATAGTGGCGAGCACCTGTAATCTCTGCTACTTGGAAGGCTGAGGTAGGAGAATCACTTGAACCCGGGAGGCGGAGGTTGTAGTGATCTCAGACTGTGCCACTGCACTCTAGCGTGGGCGACAGAGCAAGACTTAGTCTCAAAAAATAAATAAATAAATAAATAAATAAATAAATAAATAAAGTTGAGAAAACACTAGACAAATATTTAGAAAAGATTATGTTGTATATTAACAGCTGTTACAGCCCAGATTAAGTTCAGACATAATTTCTATATTACTAACTGACCAAAACTACAGTAGTAATGACTAGGAAGAGAGTATGTACCTCTTTTTGATTTTCTAACCCACCAAACTGATTCACTCAGTAAAAATGCCATATTTAAATCCTGCATTTATTTAAAATTTAAATGTAGCTTTTCAAAACAAACTATCCAACACTGGTTTTATCCTCTCTGCTTGCTTCGGTGAAGAGTGCGTGCTGCACCTGGCGCCCTCTCTCCATGCCCCAGGTAACAGAATGCAGAGGTCAGGCTGAATGTCAGCCTCTCCCCGCTGTGTCACACAAACATTTCTGGTCAGCAGTATGATGCAGCTGCAGGCCTGCCCGCCTCTCCCTCCCACACACTTCTCCACTGCCCCCGATTCTGATCCACAGTCAGTGGTAATTTGGGACAAAATGATAAGAAAACAATATGAAACACAGTAAATCCAAAATCTTTATTTTTTTAAGACTATAGTCTTGTAGTCTGATAGTAAAGGGAGGAAGCCTTAACTTGCAAGGATATGTACAACATACTTTTTATTTCTATGGAATGGAATCAAACCCAGACAGAGACTACAGAATATATACTAGAAATTAGCAAATGCCAGGAACGGAGCAGGAAAAAGACAAATGAGGCCTAAACACACAAAACCCTTCACTGGGATCTGTTGACTGCAGCCAGAACCAGGGCTGGATCACACAATGGAGGCAGGTACCAGGGCCGCAGGAAGGGAAGTAGCTGGGGCAGGGAAAGGCCCACACTGGGATACCGGTTTAGCACCAGGTAAATCACTCTTGGTATTTATATACAAAATCAGTTGGCTCTATTTCTTAGACATACACACAGAAAGCAAGATTTGATCATTACTTTATGAATCTGTCACTTTGCAATACCGGTATTATCAAGAAATAGGGACAACTCACTCAGATTCAAATTTCAGTAGCAGGAAATAAATATCGAAACACCATCATTGGCCCTCAGTACAAAACCTCTACATCACCCAATATTGCCCTCCCTACCCAACCCCAAAGGACCACTCCCTGGTGGCTGCGACTTCACTGCTGCCATCTCCAATACATACCACAGGTGTCATGCAGCCCTCCTTAAGGCTGGCACCGTAGGCTTAAACAATTGGCTGAGAAGCAGGAGAGAAACACGCCAAAGGTTCTGTGCTGCAAACACGACCCCTCTTTTTTTTACACCACAAACTTCTTTAAGGATCTGGTCACTCAATTGGAGGGATAAATAGCTTTTTAGAAAAAGAGAAGAAAGTCTTTAAAAAGGAGAAAGTGTAAATCTGATTACTCCAAACCAGTCATCTTTTTTTTTTTTTTTTTTTTTTTTGAGATAGAGTCTCGCTCTGTCACCCCGGCTGGAGTGCAGTGGCACAATCTCAACTCACTGCAACCTCCGCCTCCCGGGTTCAGGCGATTCCCCTGCCTCAGCCTCCTGAGTAGTTGGGACTACAGGCACGTACCACCACGCCCGGGTAACTTTTGCATTTTTCAGTAGAGACAGGGTTTTGCCATGTTGGCCAGGCTGGTTTTGAACTCCTGACCTCAGGTGATCCGCCCGCCTCTGTCTCCCAAAGTGCTGGGATTACAGGCGTGAGCCACCATGCCCGGCCCAGTCATCTTCTTAAAGTCATCTTCTTAAGAGCAGTTCACAGATTCTCAAAGTCTGTTAAACAGAGGTGAGCATGGACCTGGAGGCAGCCTGGGTGGGGCAGGTGTCCTCCAGGCATGTGCCTGGGCAGGGCTGCAGGAGCTGGTGGAGTGGGCAGGATACTGTGCTCAGAGGTCAGGCTGGCCATCTGTCCTCCACAGAAAAAGCTGCCAAGCTAGGGTGTTTTGGTCTAAAAATTCTTGGTGGAGACAGGGAATCCCTGAAGGGAACACTTTTTTTTTTTTTTAAGTTATAGTAGAAATGGGGAAGGAGGACAAGAGCTTTTTTGGGGGGGTGGGGTAGGGAGGGGGCTGGAGTGCAGTGGTGCCATCTAGGCTCACCGCAACCTCCATATCCTGGGCTCAAGCAATTATCCTGCCTCAGCCTCCGGAGTAGCCAGGATTACAGGCGTGCACCACCACGCCAGGCTAATTTTTGTAATTTTAGTAGAGACAGGGTTTCACCATGTTGGCCAGGCTGGTCTCGAACTCCTGACTTCAACTGATCTGCCCGCCTCAGCCTCCCAAAGTGCTGGGATTACAGGCGTGAGCCACTGTGCCAGGCCCCAAGAGCTTTTACATAAAAATTTAAAAAACAATTTTTAAGGGAGAAAGAGAAAAATAGTCTCTCAAATGGTTCTGAGGAAACGGAAAGGAGGATGATGGAGACAGTGTTTATTGCTGGCCTGCCCTGAGTAACTCAGCTGGCCTCCATCTGGAGTTTCTTCCTACTTCAGGCCTCTTCAGGCTCCAACTCTGAGCTGCAGTCGGAGCCCCCATCAAAGGCAGAGGTGGTGCTGCCCTTGGCATTGGTGTAGAGGATGCTGTCTGAGGAGGGATAGTTGGCCTGTGGCTGGGCACTTGACCTCCCCTTCGGTGCACGGACTTCCTCCTTCAGAAGAGCATTCTGCCGCTGAGGTCATCAATATCTCAGTGGCGTGTGGTTTTTCCCTTCGCATATGCTGGATATACTCTATGGCCTTCTCTCCTTGGAGTGTTGGGACTGCGTCCCACAAACTGGAGGCTGCCTTTGATGTGGTCCCTACGATTTCATTCCAGTGCATTATGATGGGCCCATTCGTCAGCCGCAGATTGAAATCTCTGTTGTTGCTTGTCACTCTCCACCCCGACGTCATCATTATCACTCACTTCCTACAACCCAGGGAGCAGCCACTGCAGCAGCAGTAGTCGGGGAGGCGGAGGGATAGAGGAATCTGAGGAAGTCACTGACAAGAAGCAGAGTTCCCCTGCCTACACACACACACTCACTTGCTCTCACTCACATAAAACACAGGCAAGAACCACCTCCTCACTCCTAAAATCCCAGTTCAAAATTTAGCTATATGTCTTGTCTGTTAAGAAGGCTTCATACTTCAGAAGTTTATAAAATGCTTTGATTTCACGCCTAGGCTCTTTGCTAATCATTTCTAGGTTCATACCTGTGCTCCAGATGACAGAGATAACCATATGCCTGACCAGTGGAGCACTATGCACTGTAACTACATTTTGGATCCATTTATTTATTCTTTCACATCCAGGACTTTTATTTATTAACAGAATGTTTTCCAGCTAATGTTTATATCTGGTGGGCGGTAAATTAATTACAAAATATAACACTGACAAAGCCTTTATATTTTTCTTTTTTTAAACCTGACAGCATAACTTCCTCTAAGATAAAGATGTTTTAAAGATGCTTGAAGGCCAGATGCAGTGGCTCATGCCTGTAATCCCAGCACTTTGGGAGGCTGAGGCAGGCAGATCCCTTGAGGCCAGGAGTTTGAGACCAGCCTGGCCAACATGGTGAAACCCCGTCTCTACTAAAAATACATTAGCTGGGCATGGTAGCACACGCCTGTAATCTAGCTACTCGGGAGGCGCAGGCAGGAAAGTCACTTGAGTCCGGGAGGTGGAGGTTGCAGTGAGCCACGATCATGCCACTGCACTCCAGCCTGGGTGACAGAGTAAGACCCTATCACCAAAAAAAAAAAAAAAAAAAAAACCACAAAACCCAAAAACCAACGCTTGGAAGCCATAGAAGTTTTATTGTAAGCATTTAAAAACAACAACAACAACACTAGGCTGGGCGCGGAGACTCACGCCTGTAATCCCAGCACTTTGGGAGGCCAAGGTGAGCGAATCACAAGGTCAGGAGATTGAGACCATCCTGGCCAACATGGTGAAACCCCGTGTCTACTAAAAATACAAAAATTAGCTGGGTGTGGTGGCGCACACCTGGAGTCCCAGCTACTCGGGAGGCTGAGGCAGAAGAATCGCTTGAACCTGGAAGGCAGAGGTTGTGCTGAATCGAGATCATGCCACTGTACTCCAGCCTGGTGACAGAGCAAGACTCTTTCTCAAAAACAAAACAAAAAACAAAACAAAACAAAAAAACACTATGACACTATAGAATAATTATCAATTTTATTCTATAGTGTTATAGCGTTTATTCTGTTACTAAATGAAAGCAAAGACTTCCTCTCAGCAGTCTCTCCTATGTATTAGGCTGAAGTAATTGCTGTCTGGAAAAGGAAATTTGCAGTTTCGGATGATGTAGTTACTTGAACATGAAAACAACTGGGTAAGAAATAGAGTGGTGATCATGTAAATGTTTTGTCCTAGTGATAGCCATCATATTAATTATATGAGAAATATTGGCAGATGATTAATTTGAGAAATTTCACAATCATTTCTAAGGAACAAACACAAATTACTGTAGAGTCAGCTCTCCATATCCCCACGTTCAAAATCTGCAGATTCAACCAACCACAGATCACAAATATTTGGGGGGGAAAAAACCAGTGTAACAGCAAAAAATAATACAAATTTAAAAACGTAGTATTAACCACTATTTATATAGAATTCATATTATATTAGGTATTGTAAGTAATCTAGAAATGATTTAAAGTATACAAGAAGATGTATCTATATTATATGCAAACACAATGCCATTTTATATAAGGAACATGCATGCCAAAACATAGGTTTTGGTATCCGTGGGAGCCCTAGAACCAGTAATCACCAGATACCAAGGGACAATTGTATTGTCAACTTACGTGCAGAAAAGAAAAAAACAAAAAAAAGGAAAACCTAAATAATTTTAGGAAAAAGCTTGACTTTTTCAGACATTTTCACAGTATTGAGTACACTATTCTATAAGAGCATGGCTATATTTTAGTAACCCTGAATATTGTTAATAGTGTAATGTAGCTACAAAGGGTGAAAAAATTAGAATTTTCAGACTATGCCTTTAATCTGGCATTCAGAATAATATCTCTATGGGAAAATCACCACTGTTGAAGGTTTATTTGTTAGATTCCTGATAATGCTGATCAAAAGATAAAAGATCAAAAGATTAACCATACATTTGTTTTGTTTTTTTAAAAAGTATTTATTTTTTACTAGTGAGGATGGAACTAGGGGAAGAAGTTTACAGAAAAGATGTCCATATACAAAGAAAGAAATAGCAAAATATTTTTGGTCATAATTTAGAAAGAAACTAATCTATAAAATGGAGACAATTCTCCCCAATTCATCTCTCTCATAGAAGAGCATAAGCACGGGCTCTCAGTTCCTTGATATCCTCAAGAGGCCACGGATACGTCTGACAAGAGCCTGTATGAAACTATATCGAGATCGAACTTTTGAATATAATCCTTCAATGTCCAGAAGTTTCTTTTGTAGTGATTCTCCAAAAGCGTTGATTGCATCAGCCTGAAGCTAGCGGTGACACAAAAGACATTTTGTTAAAATTGTTGTCTCAAATATTTCTTTTATTCTAAGTCTTCCAATTTAAAACACTTTAGAATTTTTGTAATGTGGTTCTTTCAATGTAAATACTTTTGAATTTTTGTAATGTGTTACTAAATTAACTAAACATTCACATTTTCTACCTTAGAATTTTTTGGTTTAATTCTCATGTTTTTCCTGCTTTCTTTTCTTGTATAAATTTAAAAACCTGCTTTAAATAGCAATGAATGTTGATGCTGATGCTGATATACTAACATACACACAAAAACATTTCCTGAAGGGCCATACAAGAAGTCAGTAAGACTGGCGGGGGAGGGAGGGAAGGAGAATGCAGGGAAGGAAGGGAGGGAGGGAGGACAGGAGGGTAGGTGGGAAAGAAGCTTTTACTTTTTACTTCATTTTGCAATTTTTAAAAACCCACTTGCATGCTTTTGTTTTCAAAAAATATTAATGTGGGGATACACCTGTTATATGCTTTAGAATTCATATATATTCTAGAATGCATATGTAGTTTCAGATGGATCTTTTTGATGTTATACTAAAAGACTAAAATTAAGTACAATATTAGATCAATCTACCTGTTTTCAGTTTTGCATTAAAATCACAACACAGAGTGTGAGATTATTTATTAATCCTGCATTTTTTTCTAGCTTTTTCACAAAGCAGTCTAAATGAAATAGTAACAGTTATTACTTCAAAATATATTTATTTTTGTTGTCCTAGCTACTCAGGATGCTGAGGCGGGAGAATCACTTGAGCCCAGGGGGTTGAGGCTGCAGTGAACTGTGGTCACACCACTGCATGCCAGCCTGGGTAATGGAGTGAGACCTTGTCTCTCAGACAAAACAAACAAACAAACAAACTTCTGAATAATCTTCTTTGGCTAATTTTGCACATGGCCTCAATTAACACTAGTTCTCCTAAACAAGCCTAGCCACAAAACGAATTCCTTTTATAAAGTCACTAAGGGGCGAATGTAGTCTGGATTGGGATGGGAGCGTGGTATTCATGATATCCAGCAAGCTGTGCTTTGGAGGCTGCTGTAACTGCACCTTTCATTCCCAACCTTGTTTTAAGAAAAATAGCAAAAAGAGGGATTTGGGAGGAGCAGAGGCTTTATCAAATCATGGCTAAGGACATTCAGATGGCTAGCAGAGGATCTAGCTGTAATTCATTTTCCCTAACATCACACACCCTGATACCTGCTTTGTTAGAAACATAACTTTGCTATTAGTTTAATATGAGGTTTTCATTGTAATTGTTTTTGGCATACTCTTCATTCATTCTAACACTACTGATCAACAGGTTAGTAAGAGCACAGTGTTGTGTACTATGGTCTATGACGGCGGGATTTGTATTGGCTGCTCTCAATCTCACCATTAAATTATTTCCTGAAAAATAAGTGCTGAGTGATACTTTGTACCTAAAAAGTTCTACAAAGCTAATCAAAAGACATCAGGAGTTTCCAGATCATAATGCCTACCAATCACGGAATGCTTACCATGTTCTAGGTACAACACTAGCAGCCTCACATACATGAAACCTCACTTAATTCTGACAAAACCCTCTGAGGTTGAATCCTCCTATTTCTTAGATGAAGCAATTGAGGCTCGGAAGTTAAGTAAGTTGTTCAAAGTCATATAGCTGTTAAAATGGTCAAGCTAGAGTTCAAACCAGGTGTCTGTAAGCAACCCTGAAAATCATAATCTTATTAACATACCAGGCTTTCCTTTTTACTTACTTACTTACATTCATTCATTTATTTATTTATTTATTGGAGACAAGGTCTTGCTTCACTCTTTCATTCATTTATTGGAGACAAGGTCTTGCTCTGTTGCCCAGGCTGGAGTGCAGTGGTGCAATCACAGCTCACTGCAGCCTCAGTCTCCCAGGCTCAGGTGATTCTCCCACCTCAGCCTCCCAGGTAGCTGTGACTACAGGTGCATGCCACCACAGTATGCCAATTTTTTTTTTTAAGAGACGGGGTCTCACTATGTTGCCCAGACTGCTCTCAAACTCCTGGGCTCAAGCAATCCTCCCGTCTCGGCCTCCCAAAATGCTGGGATTACAGATGTGTACCATCACACCCAGCCCTTTTACTTTAATGAAGAAAAATAAAAGAATATGAGAATAGAACCTTACCTGGTCTAAATCATGTTGGCTCACTATAGCCAGCCCACTTCTAAAATCTAGATTGGTTTCTGAGGCGAAGGAATCTAGAGATAAAAAAACAGAGTCATACCGGCTGTGCAAGTACCTATCTACCACACAGTGGAGGAACCTGATGACAATGAATAATAACAATAGCACCATGAAAAACACGGCTCAAGATTGGGAACTCAATTTTCAACTTTTAGCAAATGGAAGCCCCTAGAAAGCATTTCACTGGTCCAGACCAGGGTTCTCAGCTTTTCTCTATTTCCTTCCACCTAAGGGATCCAATATATGGCCATCAGTCACAGAGGCCCACTCCAGCAATAAGAATCAGCATAATAGCAGACCTCCTCCATTCTTCTAGAGCTGGATCAGCCCCCTAACTGCAGCAAGAAGCTAAGGAACAGCTGATGAGCAGGCTCTAGAATATTCTTATGCTCAGCACAATGTCCCGTGAACAGAAAGTAAAATGCAAGAAATAGCTACGTCTAGTGACTAAACAGCTCTTGATTCACCCAATTCACTCTAAGTAATCTGGAAACAAAAATAAAAAAAAACTGGTACTAGCTTTTCAAGGCACAAATAGGTATTTATGGTTCATTAATTTTTAGCAGAAAGTTTACCTTGCAGTCTTCTGCTTTTAAACAAGGTTCTCGAGGCAAATAAGGAATCTTGAGAATCCGTGGGCATGCAATGTAACAAGTAGTACTCCAGATGGCGCCAAAGAATAAATAGGCAGGTCTCTATGATAACTATACCAGAGCTCAGATTAAAGGAACATAATCTCATCAAATATGTTTTACACACCAGTTTCGGAGGAGAAGAAAAAAGGACAGACTGCACTCACTTAATGAGGTACCCACAGCCTCAGTCTAACAGACAGGGTCTCACTGAAGGCTCCTCAAGAGGAAGCAGCAAGGTGTGCTGAGGAAAGAGGTGGGGACCTTGGGGTCCTGTGCCAGCAGTCTCATGTCCCTACCTTCTTCCCTAACAGAAAGTGCCCATGTATTTTATCAGTATTACCAGCTACTCTAAAAGATAAGAACAAAAACTATGATTTGGAAATACATTAGGCATTTACTGGGAAAAAATTAAGTTTATCTCCTTCCACCTGGTTTTGGTGCCCAAATAATATGAGAATAAGTGAACAGTTCCTATATTTCAAGGTCATCATTCAAGTGCATGATTTCATAAAGGATACAAGAACAAAGGGAAAGCAGTTTAGCTCGATTGTTGATCACCTTCACCAAGCGCCGTCTTGCTAGAACATATTTCTGAGCAGTGGAGATTTTATCAACACCAGCAGGCATCACAGACTGACACAACTAGAAGAAACAAATGTGGTATTAGAATGACATCAACTGGAATGAAATTTTTAATGAAAAACTACTATCAGCAGGTCACCATGATAAATGCTATGAAAAACACTCAAATTTAAACATCCTTGCAGATAAGAGTTTTTATCTAAGAAGCTAGCAATTTTTAAAAATTACAGCCAAAGAAGCAAATTCACAAATGAACATTTATCTGCTGCCTTTTGAAAAAGTCTGTCCCTGAAACACAGTCAGGGTTGCTGATGAAACCCTGAATTTCCTGTCACATTAAAACAAACCAAGACAAAATGATAGGTTTTTCAAACAGTAGCTATAACAATCCCATGGAGAATTTCTAACAGTTGTCAGGTATCTTCTGCAAAAAATACAAGGTAGACACCTAGAGCATAACTAAAATCTGATCATCAACCAAAGCTCCCATGACCACTTCTCAATGTGGCACACACACAAGCACAGTTGTTCCAGCTAATGTTCTGATGCTGGGTTCCACAGAAGGCGTACTGAAGTGAGGCTGATGGAAGGCCACGCGCTTCATGATGATGATGCAATTCCTCTTACAAGTACAAACATCACTGATTAGCTACACATTAGAGGAAGGACTGCCAGGCATGAACCCAAAATTTCAGGGGTTACCTAAACCCAGTCATTGACTCCTGCCTCACCCTGTTCCTGCCAGCTACATGCCTTTGGGTAAGTTATGCAAGTCTTCTGTGCCTCAGTTTCCTCACATGAGAAATGAGAATAGAAACAATATCTGCCCGGGTGTTAGGTAGAACATGTAGTTCAGGGCCTGGCATGTTGTAGACACTCAATAAATGTCCCCTGAGTTTACCAGAAAAGTGGCAAGAGGGAGTAGGCATGGACTACTCATAAGAGTAACATGGAAGTTTTTAGAAAACTTGGTGCAAACCAGGAATGACAAAGTGGCTCAACATTCAGGCTGCGACAGGACACCAGGAAGCTTCAGCACTGCCTTAGGAACTGGCCAAGAGATGCCTTACATTCAGCTGTGCCAAATGGAAAAGGCAGCAAGCTACTTAGTAGCAATCCTGGTAATGCAGCATCTTTAGTTATTAATACTGTAAGTAGAGGGAATGCTTCTGGGTCACTGAGGGAAGGCAGTCAAGTCTCATATGCTATCCCATTTGTTTGAAAGATTTGCTAAACAGATATTGAAGATGCTGAAGGCACAGAGACATTTACCCAAGTTCTATTAAAAAAAAAATCTGTAACAGAAGCCTTTCTCAGAACAGATTTTAGAGTATAAATGACCCAAAACTCTTCATTCAAAGGCCAGCTGCCTTTCTATTTTCTTGAACAGGTGCTACACTTCACTGTTTTTCAGTCAAGAGTTTCTATGCTTATAAGGCTGGTGCTACGGCGAAGGAGTCTTCTTCAAATCACACAGAAGAATCATTCCAATTCCTTCAGTCATACTGTATACGTTGTCTTTACTCAGTCTGAGTACCCTGGCCTAGTAACAGCAATGATTTCTCAAGTCCCCCCAGCTCATTATAAGATTCGTACCTCTTTTATCTCATCTGGGGGAAGCTGCTCTACATTTTGTAGCTTGCTGACACTCTGTCGATGACTGTCATAATAGCTGAAGAAATCATTAGCACTCTGTTTCAGCAGGTAGATGATAATGCCTAAACCAGGCAGGCGCCAGTATGGAACCACTGGAGCTTGGGTATCTAATAGAGGTGATGACATAAAACAATGTTCCACTTATAAGCATTTCATATGAATTTCAAATGACCTGTTTTAAAACAAGGGATGCCCCAGAATTTAAGGACATGTAACCTGTCATTAAAACCAACCCAAGATTACTTTTAAATGCCATTTATAATTTAAAGAACAAATGGTTAGGAGCCACTGTAATCAGGTACATACATAAGGCTGGAAATCCTGCGAGAATAAAGAAATCTGACTGATGCACATTGGCAGAGCCTACCCTTTATTAGGCAAAGAGTCCTTTGAGAACTCTATCAAAGTATAAACCTTACACACACACACACACACACACACACACACACACACACCCCTCCACATCAAAAACAATATACACAATTGTGGGGTTTCTTAACACCAAGTGACTAATTCCTGCTTTGCCTGATGGCTCTAGTTGTATGGATTCATTTCTGGTCTGCATCTTTCTGGTTACTAAATTGCCAGCTCAAAGTCATTCTTTCAAAGAGACAAGAATAGTAACTGAAATATTCAAAAAATATAAATGGATTTAAACTTTAAAAAATCTTTTGCCACAACAGCTACATTACGGTAGTAAAACAAAATGATCTGCCTTTTACCTGGCTACTGGCTAATGAAGATGCAAAGGAACAGTGGGATGTCATAAAAGTTGTTTGCAGAGGGAAAACTAGAAAGCAATAACAATATTATCCTAGGACAGGCACGGTGGCTCACACCTGTCAACAATTTGGAAGGCTGAGGAGAGAGAATGGCTTGAGGCCAGGAGTTCAAGACCAGCCTGGGCAACAGAGACCCCGTCCCTACAGAAAAGAAAAAAAAAATCATCCTAGAGATAGTCTGTGTAGTGCAATTAGAGCAATCTCCTCTAGTGACTAAGGGATTTCGTGGAAACATTGTGGCAATTTCTTTTTTTTTTTTTTTGAGATGGAGTCTTACTCTGTCATCCAGCCTGGAGTACAGTGGTTCGATCTCGGCTCACTGCAACCGCCACCTCCTGGTTTCAAGCGATTCTCCTGCCTCAGCCTCCCGAGTAGCTGGGATTACAGGCGCATGCCACCACACCCAGTTATTTTTTGCATTTTTAGTAGAGATGGGGTTTCACCATGATGGCCAGGCTGGTCTCAAACTCCTTACCTCAGGTGATCCACCCGCCTCGGCCTCCCAAAGTGCTGGGATTACAGGCACGAGCCACCACACCTGGCCCAACACTGTGGCAATTTCAAGTTCAATTTGGAGATAATCTTTGTTTAATGACCCAAACTGCCATGAATACTGAAGGAGAGATCTACATTTGCTTTTTCTTCACTATCAACTCCCTTAACTTTGCTCTAAAGTCTGACTCATAGATCTTTTTCTTTCTTTCTTGTTTTTTTTTGAGACAGGTTTCTTACTTTGTCACCCAGGCTGGAGTGCAGTGGCACAAATAGGGATCACTGCAACCTCAACCTCCTGGGCTCAGGTGATCCACCTCAACCTCCTGGGCTCAGGTGATCCTCCCACCTCAGCCTCCCAAGTAGCTAGGATTAAAGGTGCACGCCACCACACCCAGCTAATTTTTTTGTATTTTTTGGTAGAGATGAGGTTTTGCCATATTGCCCAGGCTGGTCTCTACCTTCTGGGCTCAAGCAACGTACTGCCTTAGCCTCCCAAAGTGCTGGGATTACAGGCGTGAGCCACCACACCTGGCCAATCTCATACATCTTTATACAGAGGGGAAGAGACAGAAGAGTCCTTTGTCTGTGGATGCTGCCACCAACTAAGACATCCTAGACAAATTCAGTTTGCCAGGTATCCTCTTCTAGTCTACAGCAAGATGTGACAGTTTTCACAATACATTGTTATAGAGAGCCTTCTCCTACTGAAATTAGGTATCCTGGTCCCCAGATAACATTTGTATAATCTCTACCCTGGTAGGAAGATACCCACAAAGAGGATGATTGAATGCTTGGAGGACTCCAAAGCATTTCAGGAATTCTTACCATACTAACTTGCCCAAGTCTAGAAAATATTTGCGCATTCAGAGGCTATCAGGTTTGTATAAACCTTTCCCCTCATGCCTTGGCCTGATTCCAACATGCAGATATTGGAATCCCCCCATGGTGGCCCCTTTTTATCCTATCTTCCTGGCAGCAAACTTTTTTTTTTGTTAGAGGCATGATCTTGGCTCACTGCAGCCTTGAACTTCTGGGCTCATGTGATCCCCCTGCCATAGTCTCCTGAGTAACTGGGATTACAGGCTCAGCCATCATGCCCGGCTCCAAATTTCTGAATACAGGAGAAAACAAGAACTATATAGAATTAACTTGTTTAAGCCAAAGGAACTATTTTACATGTCCAGTCTAATTTAACTATTTTACTCTATAAAATAGAACTACAAATCTTTGTAGCTACTTCCCCAGTTTCTTTAAGACATCCTGTCACCTAAGACTACTCCCTTTCAATCACTGAAAGATACCTTTAAATAAAGGTTATTTTATTAGCTATTAAGGACTTAGTTTGTCTTAATATGACAAACTAAGATTCTACCAGTCAGTACTCTTCTCCCCCATCCATGGCATAAAACGAAAAAGCCTAGACATAATACAAACAGAAGCAGACACTGGTAGGAGAAGGCAGAGATTTTGTGACAAAAATCAGAATAGTAGATGCCTGGGCCGGAGTGGAAGGAAACAATCAAATGCAATCAAAGGCAGGAAGAAATCTTTAAGGAACAGGGAATTGTTCTGTATTTTGGCTGTGGTGATGGTTACCCAACTTTATATAATTACCAAAAAGCATTCAAACTGTATACCTAAAATGGGTGAATTTTGTTGTACATAAATTACAACAACAACAAATTTAATACTACTAGCTAGGACCTTTTATAATAGAATTTATCTAACAAAGTTCTTAGCATAATTTATATAGGATAAGGTTGAATGTTGCTAAACTAATATATTTTTCTTTTTTTCTTTAACTTGAAGTTCTGGGATACATGTACAGAATGTGTACGTTTGTTACATAGGTATACATGTGCCATGGTGGTTTGCTGCACCTATCAACCTGTCATCTAGGTTTTAAGCCAAACATGCATTAGATATTTGTCCTAATGCTATCCCTCCCCTTGCCCCCTATCCCCTGACAGGCACTGGTGTGTGATGTTCCCCTCCCTGTGTCCATGTGTTCTCATTGTTCAACTTCCACTTATGAGTGAGAACATGTGGTGTTTGGTTTTCTGTTCCTGTGTTAGTTTGCTGAGAATGATGGCTTCCAGCCTCATCCATGTCCCTGCAAAGGACATGAACTCATTCTTGTTTATGGCTGCATAGTATTCCATGGTGTATATGTGCCACCATTTATTTATCCAGTCTATCATTGATGGACATTTGGGTTGGTTCCAAGTCTTTGCTATTGTAAATAGTGCTGCAATAAACATGTGTGCATGTGTTTTTATAGTAGAATGATTTATAATCCTTTGGGTTAAACTAATTTTTTTTTTTTTTTTTGAGACAAAGTCTCACTCTGTAGCCCAGGCTGTAGTGCAGTGGTGTGATCTCAGCTCACCGCAACCTCCGCCTCCTGGGTTCAAGCAATTCTCCTGCCTCAGCCTCCAGAGTACCTGGGATTACAGGCGCGCGCCACTGCACCCGGCTAACTTGTTGTATTTTTAGAAGAGACAGGGTTTCACCATGTTGGCCAGGCTGGTCTTGAACTCCTGCCCTCAGTTAATCTGCCTGCCTCGGCCTCTCAAAGTGCTAGGATTACAGGCGTAAGCAACCACACACCCGGCCACTAATATACTTTTCATAATGTCATTTTATACTATTATTATACTAAACACATATTTTTTGTGATTAAGTAATTTTCAGGGATAGTAAGATCTTGAAGAAGATGAAAATGTGACAAAATTTTTCTCACAGATCTCAAACAAAGACTTCCTGAAATCACCAACAGTCAATTCCATTATCCCCACCAAGATACTAATGGGCTTTTTCTTCTGAGTGTTCCATAGGATAACAGCTTTACCCATTATCCTGCCCCATATTCAAACATTCCCTACTGAATCATTAAAGAATTATAGGGTAAGTTGGCCTAATTAGTATCTAAATTGTATTTCGTTATGTTATAGAAATTTGGAGCTATAATAAAAAACCCAGTTTAGACACTGAATTCAGCTTAACATGATTTAACATATAAAACTGTTTGTTGTATTTTCATCTTTTCCACCCAGCCACCTGACTCCCCAATTTAGATCCTTTGAGCCCTCAAGTGCTATTCAAAACATGGTTCCTCTAGATTTACTCTCAGTAAATCCTGAATTTCTCTATTCTCTCCAGTCTTGTACATAGGTCTAATAATAATACCTCCCGCTCAACTTTAAAACTTATTTAAAATGTTTCCCATTAATGACACTTAAAAGAAAATACTGCATCTTACTGGAGCCAAGCTGGAGAGCTATGTCATAACCATAGCAACTTAGTTCCTTCAATACAGAATGAAAAACTAAGCTCACCTTGCCGCGGTCCATCTCTATTAACTGTTTCTGAAAGGCTAGGAGTGAAGAGACACACAGCATGCTGGAAGGTAGGGGAACTCTGTAACATGAGTGACTGGCAATATTCCATTACATTGGCACAAATCTATAATCAAAAAACAGTAACAAAAATGTTAAGACCCTGAAATGTCTCAATTAGCATGAAAATCGAGATTTGAAGAAGAAAAGGTTATCAATCAATTTGTAAAATGACTCACATCTGTGTATTCTTTTTTTTTTTTTTTTTTCAGATGGAGTCTCCCTCTGTTGCCCAGGCTGGAATGCAGTGGCGTGATCTTGGCTCACTACAACCTCTGCCTCTTGGGTTCAAGCAATTCTCCTGCCTCAGCCACCCCAAGTAGCTGGGCACACAGGCACGTGCCACCATGCCCAGCTAAATTTTTTTTGTATTTTTAGTACACACAAGGTTTCACCATGTTGGCTAGGATGGTCTTCAACTCTTGACCTCAGGTGATCCATCCGCCTTGGCCTCCCAAAGTGCTGGGATTATAGGCGTGAGCCACCGCACCAGGTCCACATCTGTTATTTTTATCAACATTTTCCAAAAACATAAAAACCTTAGAGAAGTCACATGGTTCTTACCTGCTGCATAGCCAGTTCAATCTCATCTTTCTTGCTTACTTTATCTCCCTCCACATTATCGTCTTGAAATTTAAACTGACGCAGTCTGTCAGAGCCACCAAAGCGACTTAGTAGTCCTAAGCACTGGCGCTAACAAGAAAAAGATATCTTGTTAAATGTATTTAAAATTAGTAACCTCTCTTTCTTGAGGGATAGAAACAAGAAAAACTCAGTGGAGAATGGAATCAGTCCTTAAGGCATCTAATATCTTACTTAAAACTGAGCCAACTAAAAGTAGCATTATTAAAATTCAACTTTTTGCAAAGGTATTTGATTGGTAGCTAACAGATGAAAAGAGTACCCTTTTTTTTTAAAGCAATAAATCCCAGTATCATCTAAATGTTTGCCAAATAACTTTCTGCATTATATCAAAGTAGGTATTAATTCTTTGGAAGATACTCATTAAATGAAAAACAAGTTTATAAACAAAAGAGAAGCAAAATGAGAGGGCAGTCACAAGATGGACACGTTTGTGATAATTTTGTCTACCAAGGCACAAATCTAAAAGCTGTTACTCCTGTGGTTGCTCCCAGGGACTTCATAAAGGGGTTACAAACACACAGATCACCTTGGAAGATAAATGCAAATGTCCCCAGTTTCAAATGTTAATACTTCTCACCTGAGAATACAGTATTTCCCATGGTTCTCAAAGAGAAAGGACAAGCTTTTCAATATTGGCAGTATATCCAGAGGTTAGCCGATGGCTTTCAAATTAGAGACATGGGTTCCAATAACAGGTACAACTTTTTGCTCTGTGACCTGGAATTTCTCACGCCTGCATGTTCACATTTCTAAAGTGGTAATAACAATTCCTATCTTATAAGATGGCTGTCAGGATTCCCTGAGACATGGTATTATATTTAAAGTGCTTAGCACAATGTTCTGCACATAGTAAGTGTATTTTAAATGAAACATATATTTTAAAAATTGGTAATACAATATACAGATTTAGATACATAGAGAGGTATACACGTACATAATACACACTGTCTTATTATTTTATTTATTTATTTTGGAGACAGTCTCTCACTCTGTTGCCCAGGCTAAAGTGCAATGGTCTGATCTCAGCTCACTGCAACCTCTGCCTCCTAGGTTCAAGTAATTCTTGTGCCTCAGCCCCCCAGGTAGCTGGGACTACAGGCGTGCACCACCACACATGGCTAATTTTTGTATTTTTAATAGAGATGGAGTTTAGCCATGTTCCCCAGGCTGGTCTCAAACTCCTGGCCTCAAGCGATCCACCCACCTCAGCCTCCCAAAATGCTAGGATTACAAGAGCGAGCCATCCCACCCGGCCACTGTAAGTTTCGATAAGGCAAAACATATTAATGAGACTATAATATAAACTTATTTTGCCAAAATAGTTCTATCTATGTTTAACATTTATAAATGTGTGTTTGCCGCTTCTTACAGATAAAATAGATGCATTCAAACATTTCCGAAGCTCACCTTATGAAAGATCCATCAAAAAGGTGTCTTCCTCCATACCAATAAAAGATGACTTAAAAAACCCAAAGTATTTGGGTTTTGTGGGTGAGAGTACAATCTTTTCTGGAATGCTGTTTGACAATTATGATTTCAAAATGATGTACTATGTGTATACCCTCGGTCCCAGTGATACCATGTGTTATTTAATCCAGAGTAAAATATGTACACAAAAATGCTAATAGTAGCATTTTTCTTATGAAATCTTGAAAAACAGCGCATGAAAAAAGGACTAGTTAAGAAAATTGTTGTATCAAAAACAATGGGATATAAACACTAGTACATAAATACAATTACTCTGCAGTCAATACAAAGTAAAGATGCTCAGACCAAACCAGGCCAAGAGGCTCCCAGAAAGACTGATAAAATATCTAATTGACAAACTAATATGTTAGAACATATTGAGAGGAGATTACAGAGCTTGTAAAGAATCTGGGGATAAATTAGTAATAAGTACATAAAAACCAAGCAAATAAAAAAGAAAACTCTAGGGCAAACAGTCTGCTCGTGGCTTATTCACAAATGACATTTACACAGTCATAATAATGTAACACTAAATATTAATGTAACCAAAACTATGATGTAATTATATTGAGTTTCAGGGGGTGTTATGGGAAATGTATACATTGTATGATGGAAGAAAAGGAGTAAAAACATCTAAATTCTCATCTCCTCCCCATCCCCCAACAATGGAAAGTCAACAGATGATTACTAAAATTAGAAAATCAAGAAGCAGCAATATAAGCATATTATTTAGAAAAACTAAAGAACCAAAACAGTTGAAAGGGGTTTCCCAAATCTAGGGGGCACAATGGGGAGGATGGTATATTTTGTAACATGTCTTATAACTGCTATTTAAAGAAATAAGAATCAGTTACCTGGAATCTTCCAATATGTCCCTGTAGCTCCATTAGAGACCCTTCATTTACATCAACGTCAAGTTCACTTAATATTCCTATAAAATGTAGAATGCTTTAAAACATATTATTATAATAAACAAAAACATTAAAAACTAGGAAGAGAGGTTCTAATATTTTATATTGTTTATGTGCATGAACAGATATTCTTGCCATAAAAAAGTTTTGAGAACTATGATTTTACAAAGACTGTAAGTACCTGTTATATATTAATAACAGCACCGGTACATGCGCATTCAAAGCCAATCTAAAATGCAGAGTGAAATGATCTTAAAAGGCATTTTTAGTTTTCAAGAAAAATCTAATTTTTTTATAATGATAAAAGTAATTTTCTAAATTACTTTCTCATAAAGGAGTTTTTAGAATATGAAACAGTAAGAATAAAATGCATTTCTTTTTAACACCTCTAAATATACATAATTTGCTTTTGCTTTTCCCCTAGGCAAAGTACAATTTACAAAGAAAACAAAAACATTTCCATTCAACTTCTTAGTTTGGACCCGTTACAAAATTCCTAAATCGAAATGACCCACCTCTAATAGTGCCATAGCCTCTCCTGATTTCTAATGAGCCTGCCAGTGACCATAACATGTCATTCTCCCCATCAGTTTGTTTCCTTGTTCCATCACTAATCATGCTGAGGAATACCCACCTAAACCTATCCTAGCCACTCAAATTTCCTATGTATTTTCAGATTCCTTTAATTCACTTCGTACTCACTTCCAAGCATAGACTCCATAGCACATAACCAAGAACCTGATCCTTCTCTCCTCATAATGACAAGTCCTCCTCTTTTTAGATTAGCTCAGCCCTCAACACAAACTGACAGAAAATCCTATCATCTGGTACATGTGGGCTCGTTATACCTCTATCCGTGCCTCACCGCTTCCCGAGAGCTTATCCTGTCCCACCTTCAACTCCTCTGAGAGTCTCCTCCCAGGATCGCTTTCTCTTCTAACATACTAACATCTACCCTGCCACAGAAGAGTTTTCCTATTTGAAAATAGGCTAAAGTCTTTCTTGTACTCCAAAACAAAACCAAGCAAAAACTTGGTTAGTATCAATTTTTGGAAAGTTTTTCTTCAGTTGCTGCTTGTATTCATAATTCTTATGCCCTCCTTTCCCATCTGAACTCCTTGAAACCTTGATTTTGCACCTAACGCTATCATGAAACTAAGACTTTTTTTCCTCTTTGTCCTCAAACTTGCTGAACTCTGCACCAGGTATTGCTGTTCCAAAGTTCACTTTCCCCTGCATGTCAACTGCTGCCTCAATTTAAAAGGACTTCCAGTTCTCAGGTTCCGTAAGATCTTTCTGCTAAATGCCATCTAACTATTCTATGTATATCAATCACTCTCAACTCCAAAATACTTTTCAGAATATCTGTGAGCCAGCTGGGCATGGTGGCTCACATCTGCATTTTGGGAGGCTGAGGTGTGAGGACTGCTTGAGTCCAGGAGTTTGAAACCAGCATGGACAACATGGTGAGGCCTCATCTTTATCTGAAAAAATGAAATTAAAAAATATATATATCTGTGAGTCACAGAAACAAAATAAATCTGCTGATAAGATTTGTGGAGGTACAACATACACGGTAGTGGGCTAGGCAGCATGGGGGATACAAAGTTACAAACAGAACTGCAATCTAATGGGAGCGTTTAAGACAAATGTGCATAAATTATAGCAAATTATAGGATAATACAGGGCTGAACTGTACACAACAGGGTTGATAGTAGTATAACTTGTTTAAAAGTGTTTTCAAAAGCTTGGGAGGATATTTGGTATTATTTTTAACAAAAATGTTAAGCACATATATTTCTGATAAAGTACTGCCAGGAATTTATCAAGTCTTATCAGTTCAAATGGACAAAAATGGGGCCGGGTTCAGTGGCTCACGCCTGTAATCCCAACACTTTGGAAAGTTGAAGTGGGAGGATTGCTTGAGGCCAGAAGTTTGAGACCAGCCTGGGCAACATAGTGAGACCTTGTCTCAACAACAAAAAATTAAAAATTAAAAAAGTAATAAAAATAAAAACAAATGTAAAAAATGTTCATGAATGCATATGTAAATATATAGCTAGAGGTAAACAGATAAGTACACACACACATATACACACAAAATTATTAAATGCCACACTGTTTAAAATTTTAAGAAGCTTGGAAACAGTCAACATGTCATAGAATCTGATTAAAAAACAAAGTACTAGCTAGGCATGGTGGTGTGTGCTGTATTCTCAGCTACTTGGGAGGCTGAGGCAGGAGGATCATTTGAGCTCAGGCGTTCCAGCTATGATCATGCCACTGCACTCCAACCTGGGTGACAGAGTAAGACCCAGTCTCTAAAACAAACAAATAGGCCAGGCGTGGTGGCTCCTGCCTGTAATCCCAGCACTTTGGGAGACTGAGGTGGGAGGAATGCTTGAGGCCAGGAGTTCGAGAACACCTGGGCAACATAGCAAGACCCTGTCTCTACAAAAAATAAAAAATTAGCTTGGTGTGACAGCATGTGCCTGTAGTCCTGCTTACTTGAGAAGCTGAGGTGGGAGGATCACTTGAGCCAGGTAGGTCGAGGCTGCAGTGAGCCACGATTGCAGCTTTGCACTCCAGCCTGGGTGACAAGAGTGAGACCCTGTCCCCCCAAAAATAAAAACAAAAACAAACAAACAAATAAAACAAGGGTCTGGTTAACTATCTCACAACTGGAAAACCAGGCAGTCAATTAAAAAGGATGGGCAGGAGCTGTATGTGCTGATGAGAAAAAATCTCATGGAGACCCTGCAATTTACAGAAGTACATTGAGAGTAATTAGTTAAGTCCTGGAAAAAATCAAAGGAAAAACCATTAGGAGTTCCACCCCACAACACTACAGGACCTTAGTAGAGACAAGAAGGGTGGCCTGACTTGGTATCATCTTAGGACACTGGAATGAACTGGTGAACGAAGCACACCACAGGCTGGGTGGAATAGACCCTGGGATCTCCTTGGAAGAAGCACAGGCTCCAAGTAACTCAGCTGGCACTGTACTCAGCCCTGGCCAACTCTCAACGTCTCTCAACCCAGAGGGCTCAGCCACCGAGACAGCCCAGACAAAAAAAATTATTGGGGATTATAGGGTGGATTCAGAGGTTGCCTCAGACATCTCCAAAGCAACATAAAAATGGAGGTAGTGTAGCCTCGTAGTTACATATATAGATTCAAAAGACGTACTGCCTGGGAAACTCTATACTATGCAGTGTTATCTGTGTGACTTTGGACAAGTTAACCTCCCTGTGCCTCAGCCTCCTCAGCTGTAAAATGTGGATAATGACAGTTCTACCTCATAAGACTGCTGTGTCTTCCAATCAATTAACATGTCAAGTATTTAAAACAGTACCTGGCACATACATGCTTAATAAATGCCAGCTACTATCATTTATATTACATATTCTAAGCAAAAGAAAATCATAATCGGCCGTCCTGTCATTAAAGAACAAAGACAACCTTCAGACATTCTTAGAGAATTTCAGGAATATGAGACAGCATGCTTTTTCTTGAGGGAAGGAACCTCAGTACAAATTAAAAATACCAAGAGATAGGCCGGGCGCGGTGGCTCAAGCCTGCAATCCCAGCACTTTGGGAGGCCGAGGCGGGCAGATTACAAGGTCAGGAGATCAAGACCTGGCTAACACGGTGAAACCCCGTCTCTACTAAAAATACAAAAAATTAGCCAGGCGTGGTGGCGGGCGCCTGTAGTCCCAGCTGCTCGGGAGGCTGAGGCAGGAGAATGGCGTGAATCGGGGAGGCGGAGCTTGCAGTGAGCCGAGATCGCGCCACTGCACTCTAGCCTGGGCGACAGAGCA